>NC_000021.9:27375265-28005187 GCF_000001405.40 Homo sapiens
TAATTTTCTGAGTGTTTTTTTTTTTCCTATTTTCTTAAGCATTTGCTATATAGTGAAATAACTTCCAAAGAACAGGATGTTCTCCACAGCTAAAGAACTGCTCTAGCTAGGCAAATACTCATATCGTCAATTACCATTTTAAAATATCTCAGAGAACACTCTTTGAAGTAATCCTTCCTCAAATCCTATTTGAAACTGGATTCGTATAATGGGTAAGTGGGTAAACATTTTGTGGAATGAAATGAATGAAGGGGAAAATGAATTTTGTCACGTATAAAGTTGTTATCTTTAAAGGAATGCCTGAGTGTTACTTCTTCTCAAAATTCTGGGAAAACCAGATAGAGTATTGTTAACCAAGTAATTCCTAACTCATGGTTTGAAAGTCTGTGAGGGTTTATGAGAATTAGGGTTAAGTGAAGAAAGGCACTGAAACAGTTCAGTGGATACAAAAATGTGCTTTTTAGTCACCAAATTTTACATGTTTTTATTTATCCAATCTTTCCATTTCTCTTTACCTAATATTTTGCCTACTCTTCTTCATCACAAGGACCATGTGTTACAACAATTTTGAAATCTATTAAGCAACTCGCTAGTCATTTAGTGATTTGCTTTTGAATGAAGGATTAATATAATTATAAATCGAATACAAATTACTTTCAGTGTTATATACAATGTATTTATATTACCGATAAAAATAATCCAAATATTCTCAGCCTTTCAAATTGGCATTAATACAGGAATGGTATTTTAAAAATCCCACTTAATCCAAATTACTTAAAAAACAACTCTGTTTTCTACAGTAATTCTGCTCTGGAAGTAGATGATGTAAGGATGAATTTGTAGCACTTATTGATATAAAAATAATTAAACCAGTAAAATATAATCATCTCATTCATTATCTGCACTGCTTGGCGTATGATAAGGCACTAACAATGGATTCCTAGCAAATGGATTGCAGTTAAATAAATGTAGACCATCCAAATAATCAAATATTACAGTGCACATCTTGGATTTAGATGTAATATATTAACAATTTGCAGCTTATAAAATTCGGAGATGTGAGAAGGGTTTGGAGGCATTGTCCCGTTTCTTTGTTGGATGTACTCCACACCCAGCTTGCCCAACACTGAACTTAGATACCCGAGATGATAAGATAAGGAATGTTTTAAAAACATGTATCCCATCTGACCTTAAATCTTAGAAGGAAACGTCAGGATTTCCTCTTTATATATTCCTTTCTCTATTTTTCCCTTCCCTCATTTCTTCACGTTTGCTTTCCTTGCTTTGGAACAATTTCAAATATAAACTAATTTTTGATGATTTTTCTAGGATTATTTAATTTTTGGTAGGAGATGTAATTGTGGTTACGAAAAAGAACGTACTATTTTTAGGCTATGGATGTTAAATTTTTTAGAGACATAGGGATATTTGTGTGCAATAGATTTTCAAAGGTTTTCAAAAGTACATGCAAATATGCACACATAGACACACAGAGCAAATTTGTTAAAGTGTTAATAGATTTCAGTTCTAGGTAGGGAGCATGTTGGTGTTTTTTTCTAAGTTTCTTCCCACTCTTTTGTATTTTTGACATTTTTTATTATAAAAAGATGGAAAAAGACATAGACCCTATGACAATCAATTCTATGTCAACTTGGCAGGGTTCTAGTAGCAATTTTTAATCAAACACCAATCTAGGTGTTGCTATGAAGATATTTTGTAGATGTGATTAAGGTCTATCATCAGTTGACTTTAAGTAAAGGAGATTATCCTAGGTTATCTGGATGGGCCTGATTCAGTCAGTTAAAAGGCTTAGTACCAGAACTGAGGTTTCCCTGAATAATAATAAGTCCTGCCTGTGGAATGAAGCTTTAGTTCATGCTCTAGAATTTCAGTCTCCTTTCTTGAAGGTCTGCCCTACGGGCTTTGGACTTGCCTAATCAGCCTCCACGATCATATAAGCCCACTCACGGAAATAAATCCTTTAACATATAGCTCCTACTGGTTCTGGTCCCCTGATTGAAACTTGACTGATACATACCCTTTCATCCAAAAGCTTCCTGTAGAGTTGACAGGCCATATGAGGGACACTTAGCTTAGATTGGGGACAATGTCAGAGAAAACTGTGTAACTTCCCCACGGAGGAGATACTTGATTCAAGATCCGAAAAGCATGTCATAATTGATAAAACTATGAAGAAATTTATTTATTTCGAGACAGAGTCTCACTCTGTCACCCAGGCTGGAGTGCAGTGGTGCGATCTCGGCTCACTGCAACCTCTGCCTCCTAAGCTCAAGCAGTCCTCCCACCTCAGCTTCCCAAGTAGCTGGGACTACAGGTGTGCACCACTATACCCAGCTAATTTTTGTATTTTTTTGTAGAGACAAGGTTTCACCATGTTGCCCAGGCTGGTCTTGAACTCCTGAGCTCAAGCAATCTGCCCACCTTGCCCTCCCAAAGTGCTGGGACTACAGACCTCAGCCACTGCGCCTGGCCAGGAAGTTATTTTTATATATATTTAAAACTAAATTGGTCCATTGACCTAAGAAAGTTAGGTGTAGGTATTAGATACAGGGACTAAAAATATTTGAAGAGGGTCACATGACTTTATTGAATATCATTTTGCGATGGGGTTTTCTAACAAACAGTCAATTAAACAGTGTGGAGTGCATTATGGGCAAGAAGTTGTCTTAGCACTCTTAGGGAAACAGTCAAAACATTGGATTTATATGTTTTGTGAATGTATTTACCATTCAATTAATGTTCTATGCAGAGGATACTTAAGGTTTGCATTCCTCATGTAGATGATAGAACTACTTGTCAAATAAGATTACTTTTTCATGCTTTTAGTACAATTTAAATTTTCCTAGCATGACAGATAATCCACAAAATCCATCTACTAATTTACACATAAATTATCTATAGAGATTGCAGATCTACAAGTAGAACATAAATTGTTTAAAATCAATGATACAGTCATCGGCAAGCAACTTTATTCCAGGATATCCCATTTTACTCCAAAGCAGCAAGAGTGAAATGGCAACGGGGAAGTGTACAGGGTGGTGGTGGAGAATGGAATGAAGAAAAAAAAGGCAAGGAATTTTGGCTGCGCCCTGAATAGTAGCATCATCAACCTCTAAATAATCAACAATCTGGATAAATGATTTAGCATCTGACATACTTATTTTGTCAATCCAAGTCATTTGATCTTGTCATGCCCTTTGTGGCATTCAATATATGGCCTTCAATATAACGCCTCTACTTCTTGTCTTTAAACAACTGCTACTGTGAATGTAAATTTCTAACCAAAGCCTGGTGAGATTGTTTTAATGACATGAACACAAGCTGCGTTTATGAAGGAAGCCTAAACATTCAGATGTCTTTTATTTTAGTCAAGAAGTTAAATGAAAATCGAGAGAACAATTTATTGGCAAAAGGTTTGTTTTGTCTAACCTATATGCAAAATAACCCACAATTTTGTTTTTATTCACCCATTGTTCAATCATAGGAAACTTTCATGGGAACCTAAAGCAAAAATTGCTGAACTATATATGTGGAAAATCAACCAACATGAATACAAAATGCCAAAATAAATAAAAATGGTTTTGTGAATACCCTCTATCAGAAGAACAGTTTCTGAAGGGAAAAACAGTGTAGAAAAGCATTAAACAAGGAGAAGTATAATTTTTGCTGGTATTTAGCAATCTAGGTTCAGTTCTTTAGAAGGACAGATCACAGATTGATTTTGGAAATCTGCTCAAGCTTAGAGGCTGGCTAAAGCTTTCCTGCTTTTACAATTTTAGATGCTTAGAAAAGGCATTTTCAAGACAACACTCGGAGCCTATGAGAGAGAATAACACACTCAAAGTGTTTCCAAACTGAATGGATTTAATAACCTATGCTTTTACAGAACAATAACTTTAAAAATGTCCCAATCTTTCTCGAAAACACCATGCTGCATTAACTACTTGAGGGGATTTTCTTGAAGAGCAACGACAACAATAAACAACATTTTTGGTTCAAGAAGATCCCTTTTCCTTATTTCCTTCTTAGGTTTTAATATAAAAGCTAAACCATAATAATCTTTTTCTTTTTTATATATTTTACAGAATCCAATGCATATCAACTTATTAAAGCATTATAATGCACAAGTGCTCCCAAGTGTTACTGTTTCCTGTCGTTTTCTCCTCCCAAGGTTGGTCAGAGAGGCACATTTAACGTGCTGCAGATCATTACTTTATCTATAAAGACTTCTCCCATGGGTGTGAGGCAGAAGAAGTAATTGTTGAAGTCGGGAATTGTATGTGTTCCCCACCCTTGTGATTAACTCAAACGAGAAGGGATGTGGCAAGAGCAGAGCCTGGAAAACTCAAATTTGAGATAGAAACCATGCTCTTGTTTTTCTCAACTGATTATGTTCAACAGTGCCAAATAAATAATTCTGCAAATTGGGAAGGGTGACTAGGAAAGCAGAGTGGGAAACAACAGCAAAAAGAAGGAAAATCTCTATTTCTCAAAGACTCTTTTTGTAATTTAAAATGTTATTAGAGTGCCATAAAATAAGTATTTCTGTTAATGTTTTTGCCTGATGAATATATGTGTCTTCTTTTTTTAATGTTTAAAATTATTTTACCTTTCTATGAAAATATTTAATTAAGGTGTATTATGTATTTGTAATTAAATCCAACAAAACTTAGATGATAATTTTAATGAATTAATTACAAAGTAAGAGAGTCATTAGGGAGTGCCTTCTAAGACATTTGCCAGCATTCATGGCCCTTTCCCCTGGATGCTGGTAGCATCACCTCTTTGATTGTGATAATCATAACATCCCCAGAGATTGGCAAGTGTGTCCTACAGGGCCACATTTCTCCCCCTACAGCAAACTGAGCTTTAAGGAAACAAAGCAATGGCAGTTAGGAAAACAAACAAACAAAAACACTAAAAAATGATATAACTATAGAGAAATAACACAAATAAAGTCAATCTTAGAAGGTAATAGAGTGAAGAAAGACAAAAAGAAGGATGGGTGAAGAAATGGGTTTGGGGAGAGTAAATGTATAACTGAAGGACTCAATATTTCCCCCAAAAAGTAAGAGCAGAACAGCTATGAAATGTGAGAGAGTGGTTTGATGCTAGCAGATTTTTAGGAGTTTGATAGAGGATATGATTTAGCTTTTGCAAAAATAACTTGCCAAGGAATATTGAGGAGCAGCTGAGGTTGAATAATAAGCTGAAGTGGTGCCAATCAGCAAGCTGATGAAATATTCCCCAACAATGTTCAACCTCAAGGGAATCAATAAATAGAAAACAAATGGTGAGACAGATCAGCGTTTGAGGTTTTAACAGGGCAGGCGTGGTTCTGGAATTAGATGGAAAGAAAGAGATCCCAGGATAGAATGTAGGTAAAATGATTGGTGATTAGATCCAGGCTGGGTTATCAGGAAGAGAATCAGTGATAATGGAAAAACTGGGAAAAAAAGCCAGAGAATTATTAAGTGTTTGGAGGCTTTGATAAATTACAAAAATATGCTTCATGTAACTAATGAAGTGGGACAAGTAAAACTCTAAAAAATGTAGTTATTAAGAGGGCTGGGTGCATGTATATTAATCCAAGGAACAGATCCCTCCTATTGGAAATATACAAACAGTCTCTGTGCATTGCATATATACTGACTTGAGTGTTTAGACACTCCCCTTACCAATATCTGTTTGTATGTGTGTGTGTGTGTGTGTATATATATATATATATATACACATACATATATTAAATAAATCTATCTTTTATATATTTATCTGTCTAACTCTAATTAATATTTGAGAGTTTTGTTAATTTTTTTTAAATCATTGACTTCTTACATCATGGTGAAGGAAAGTAAATGTGTGTATGTAATCTATGTTAATCAAGTAGGACTAATTAGAGCTAACAGAGAGTTTATTTTTGTCTTATTGTCTCTTTAAACTTGTACAGAGGATAAATTTTTTTCTCTACCACTAGATAAAAGTGGGGGGAGGATGCTATAATTTCTGGTCATTTTTAGATGGTATAAAATACATGGTCACTTTAAGTGGCAAACACAGTCTCATGTTTTCAGCAAATTAAAATGTCCGGTCATAGATATCATAAGGTAAGAGAGTCAGTAGGGAGCGTCTTCTAAGACATTTGCCAGCATTCATGACCCTTTCCCCTAGATGCCCGTAGCATCACCTCCTTAGTTATAGTAATCATAACATCTCCACACATTGGCAAGTTCCTCCTACCAGGCCAAATTTCTCCCCCTACAGCAAACTCACCTTTAAGGAAAAAAAGCAATGGCAGTAAGAAAGAAAAAAAAAAGATATAACTAGGCCGGCCGTGGTGGCTCTTGCCTGTAATCCCAGCACTTTGGGAGGCCGAGGTGGGCGGATCATGAGGTCAGGAGATCGATACCATCCTGGCTAACACACTGAAACCCCGTCTCTACTAAAAATACAAAAAAATTAGCTGGGCATGGTGGCCCGTGCCTGTAGTCCCAGCTACTCTGGAGGCTGAGGCAGGAAAATTGCTTGGACCTGGGAGGCAGAGGTTGCTGTGAGCTGAGATCGCACCACTGCACTCCAGACTGGGCAACATAGTGAGACTCCATCTCAAAAAAAAAAAAAAGATGTAACTGTAAAGAAACAGCACAGAGAAAGTCAATCTTAGAAGGTCAGAGAGTAAATGAAGACAAAAAGAAGGATGGGTGAAGATATATTATTTGAATCTCTATTTGAGATAATTTGCCTTTCTATTCCTCTGTCAGCTAGGATCAGCCTTAGGAGGGCTGTGGCTGTCAGAAAAATTAATTGGAGTGGGCTTCACTATTCTTGTCACTCAATCCTAACCCTGCTGATAGATGCTACTTCTAATCCCTAAGGATGGTATGAAACGAGAGAAGATGCAAAAGGAGGCAGAGAGCATTCCTCCTTGCCTGGCACTACTGCATGCAGCCTTCATATGTCCTGTATCTAGCAGGTATTTAAAGCTGTGGCTTCTCTTGCAAGGTATTTTGTGAGTTCTTTAAAGGCAACTAGTTGGTTTCCTTAGACTATAGCTTCCATGATGTAGGTGATGACTCTCTGTTGCCTTGCCAATGTTGATCTGCTTTAGCTTTCTCCACCAGGAGCCACTTACTGTTGTAATCTTGGGACTATAGGATGCTGCCCCTCTGGGTAGGGATCATTTTGGATGACCTCGTGGCTAATGTTCCTTCTGTAGGTGTCACATCCAGTCACTGGGATGCATGCATTTTGACCTGCCTGTCACCAGCTGGAAGTGCAGTTCCTTTCCAGCTGCAGCTCCCTACTCTGCTGCCAAGAATACGTCTTCTTCCTCTGGCATGAGTCAACCATCTGTTTCCCACTGGAGGGAATACATGTCGAGCTTTCTGAGTGTGCCTATTCAAACCCCTCTACTAGAATTGGGATGAGGAAGCAATGCCTGCGCCCCAAGCCTTTGTGGGAAAGGATAGTGAGAGTCCCAGCACAGCAGTCCTCTTCCCAAAATCCCACTTTGGACTCTGCAATTACCCGCATCCTCTCGACCTTTAAATTGGAGTAAGAAGCTTCTGGATGAGGAACCCAAGTACTGTGTAATGGGTTCTCATGTATTTTCATTGAACACTTAATTATAAGTTTTCACCCTGCTTCTGAGTTCACCTATTTTGAATTCCACATATAAGTGAGGTCATGTGGTATTTGTCTTTCTGTGCTTGGCTTATTTCACTTAACATAATGTCTTGCAGGTTCATCTATGTTGCCACACACAGTAAGATTTCCTGTTTTTTAAAGGTTGAATAATATTCCATTGCATATGTGTACCACATTTTCTTTATGCATTTATCTGTTGATGAACACAGCTTGATTCCACACCTTGGCTTTTGTGAATAGTGCTGCAATAAAGGTGGGAGTGTAGATATCTCTTCAATATGCTGATTTAATTTCCTTTGGATACACTGTACACCCATTAGTGGGATTACCGGATCATATAGCAGTTCTATTTTTAATCTTTTGAGAAACCTCCATACTGTTGTTCATAACAGCATTCTCAGAAAAAATGTACAAGGGTTCCCATTCCTCCACTTTCTCACCAACACTAATGTTTCATGGTTTTGATAGTAGCATTTTAACAGCTGTAAGGTGATATTTCTTTGTGGTTTTAATATGCATTTCTCCGAGGATTGGTGATGTTGACTTTTTTTTCATATGCTTGTTGGTCATCTGTATATCTTCTTTTGAGAAATGTCTATTCAGTTCTTTTGCCACTTTTCTAATTGGGTTATTTTAATTCTCACTATTGAGGCATTTGAGTTCCTTACATTTTGGATATGAACCCTCATCAGATGTATGGCTTACAAATATTTTCTCCTATTCTCTGCATTGTCTCTTTGCTCTATTGACTGTTTCCTTTGCTGTCCAGATGTTTTTGGTTGATGGAATTCCATTTGTCTATTTTTATTTTTGTTGCCTATACCTTTGAGTTAGTCTTGTTTTTTAATATTTGCCCCTTCTAAGATTTGTGGAGAAAGAAATGTTGAATGTTTTCAGCATAAAGAAATGCTAAATATTTGAGGTGATTAATAGGCTAATTACCCTGATTTGATCATTATACACTGTATACATGTATAGAAATATCACTCTGTACCATAAACATGTGTACAATTATTATGTGACAACTAAAAATAAAGTAAAATATTTTTAAAAGGTAAATTAATGATAATTATGGGTTTGACTATTTGAGGACTATTGAGGAAGAATGTCAGAGAGCCCTATGCTCTTATCACTTAATAGAAGAATTTTAAAACTTAGATGCTATAATAGATAGTTTAAAAATATCTAACAACTTTTAAAAACACAGACTATAATGTTTTAATTAAATTTATATACTCAAAATTCTATTCCTCAGAATCTATATTATAGGAGTAAAGTAATTGTATGAAAAGATAAATGTTGGAAGATATTTATTTTAGCATTGTTCATTGCGGCAAAACAATAAATAAAATAAAATGATTGCTCACTCATTTATAACAGGAATATTGAATAAATTTCAGCGCATTCTGAGCATGAAGCCATTTCAAAAGCATACATTAACACGATAGCAGTTGAATTATAGGCATTTCCATAATATATTATTGGCTGATAAATACAAGTTTCAGAAAAGTATAAAAACATAATCTTGATTTGGTTTAATCATAAAAAATATGTTTTGTATTTTTTGTTGTTTTCTTACTAAAAATCTATTTGGAAATGTTAATAAAAATAGTATTATGCTTGTGAGGGCATTTACATAGTCTAAAATGTATTATTTCCCTTGTCAAAACACATTTCTCAGTTTGATTTCATGGTTTGGGTTGGATAGTAATCAGTAATTTCATGATGATCATTTTTAGCGTGATGATGTGAGATTCTAATACAGAGATAAGCCAATTTTCTTTGCTTGAAGTCCACTTTGTCCAAGATACATCGCTAATCCAGCTTTATTTTGACTATTATTTGCATGAACATGATATACCTTTCTCCATCTGACAATCTGCCTTTCATTTGATATGTTTAACCGTTTATATTTAATATAATTATTAAAATGTTTGGATTTAAAACTGCCATTTTAATATTTATTTTATAATTGTTCCCTCTGTTATTTATTCCAGTTTTTCCCCTACTGTGTCCTCTTTTGTATCATTTAAACTTTACTTTTCATTCAGTTTTAATTTATTAATTGTGTATTCATTTATTTATTGTATATTTATTTATTTATTTTGAGGCAGAGTCTTGCTCTGTGGCCTTGGCTCACTGCAAGCTCCGCCTCCTGGGTTCACGCCATTCTCCTGCCTCAGCCTCCCTAGTAGCTGAGACTACAGGCACCGGCCACCACGCCTGGCTAATTTTTTTGATTTTTTTAGTAGAGACGGGGTTTCACCTTGTTACCAGGATGGTCTCGATCTCCTGACCTTGTGATCCACCCGCCTTGGCCTCCCAAATTGCTGGGATTACAGGCGTGAGCCACCGGTCCGGCTGTGTATTTATTTATTTATAGATGGTGTCTCACTCTGTCACCCAGGATGGAGTGCAGTGGTGTGATCTCGGCTCAATGCAACCTCCGCCTCCCCAGCGATTCTCCTGTCTCAGCCTCCCGAGTAGCTGGAATTACAGGCGGGTGCCACCACGCCCGTCTAATTTTTATGTTTTTAGTAGAGACAGGGTTTCGCCATGTTGACCAGACTGGTCTCGAAAAACTGACCTCAGGTGATACACCCACTTTGGCCTCCCAGAGTGCTGGGATTACAGGTGTGAGCCACTGTGCCAGCCTTAATTGTGTTTTTAATAATGTACTTTGTCTTTTTGTGGTTATTTTTAACATTTGTTTGAGGAATTACAGTATATTACAGACAGCAAATTTATGTAGGTGTGCAGCAACCTCAATTCTTGCCTCCTCGGAAGAAAGAATTTGACTGAGGGACGTAAGGCAGAAAGAGAGCCCTACCCAAGTTTTAGAGCAGGAGTCAAAGTTTATTAAAAAGCTTTAGGGAGGCTGAGGCAGGAGAATGGCGTGAACCTGGGAGGCAGAGCTTACAATGAGCCGAGATCATTCCACTGCACTCCAGCCTGGGAGACAGAGCGAGACTCAGTCTCAAAAAAAAAAAAAAAAAAAAAATGTTTTAGAGCAGGAATGAAAGGAAGTAAAGCAGGAGACTTGAGAGATCACATGCACAGTTTGACATTTTGACTTGGGGTTTTATATTTTGGCATGCTTCTGGGGTCTTGCCTTATTTCTCCCGATTCTTCCCTTGGGGTAAGCTGTCCGCATGTGCAGTGGCCTGCTAGCCCTTGGGAGGGGAGCATAGGAAGTGTGTTTACTGGAGTTGTGTACGTGCTCACTTGAGGCATTCCTCCCTGACCAGTCACATGTCCCTAGAAGGTCATATACCAGTTGAACTCTGCCATTTTGCCTCTTAATGTGCATGCTTGAGCCTACTCACCTGACTTCTGACATTGTATTGGGAAGCTGCTAATCACGTTTCAGGTTTTTTCTATCTATTGGGAGACGGCCGTTCCCTGGCGCCAGCTGCAGCCAATTATTATTTGAGAGAACCAGTGTAAATACCACCTGCCCATCATCTAATGGTTCCCTGACATTCCTGGTGGGGACACAGGGGTGCTTCTCTTGCCCTGCTCATGTCTAACTCCTACTATAACAAATATACATTATACTTATATTTGTAATGCCCAACTAAAATCAGTATTTCACCACTGCATGTGGAATTCAGAAAGCTTACCAGCCTTTGGGTCTCTATCCTCCTTTATTTTGAGTTGTCTTACGTATTACAACTACGTAGAACTAAAATACTATCAACAATGTTATAATTTTCTTTCCACTCTCAAACATGTTTTAAACACTCCAGAGGAAAATGATAGTCTATAACATTTACTCAATAGTACCATTTATGTTGCTCTACTTTCATTACTAACGTTTCAAATTTCCCTCTGGTATTCTGTCTAAAGGTCTTTGAAGGCTGGGCGCGGTGGCTCTTGCCTGTGATCCCAGCACTTTGGGAGGCCGAGGTGGGTGGACCACCTGAGGTCAGAAGTTCAAGACCAGCCTGGCCAACATGGCGAAACCCTGTCTCTACTAAAAATACAAAAAATTAGCTGGTCGTGGTGGCATGCGCCTGTAATCCCAGCTACTAAGGAGGCTGAGGGGGAAGAATCGCTTGAACCTGGGAGGTGGAGGTTGCAGTGGGCCGAGATTGCGCCGTTGCACTCCAACCTGGGCAACAAGAGCAAAACACCGTCTCAACAGCAACAACAAAAAGTCCTTTAATGATTCTCTTTGTAAAGATCTGCTAGCAATTAATTTTCTTAATTTCATTATTTAACTTTCATTTTTTAAAGATAGTTTCACTACATAGATAAAGTCTGGGTTGATAATCTTTCCTTTTAGAACTTAAAAATATTGCTCCCCCCCAGAAAGTAGGTAACTATGTAAAGTGATAGATACGTTAATTAAGTTGATTGTGGTCATCATTTCACAATGTGTATGGACATCAAAACATTATATATATCTTAAATGTAAACAATTTTTATTGTCAATTATAGCTCAATAAAGCTGGGAAAATATTGTTCCATTTCCTTCTGGTCTTGACATTTTCTAATGAGTAATCTGATACCATTCAAATATCTATTGTTTAGGACACAAATCAAAATTACTCAGAATTTGAAGAGCCAGGAAAATATCAACTTGAGTGGGAAAAGGCAATCAACATATGCCCTTTATTGTGCAAAACTCGGGTAACAGGTAAACAAGATTAACAGGGACCGCTAGGATCAAGAAATGGAAGATGCCTCCCTACATACATCTGAGATGAATCCACAAAGATATCAATGTGAGTATGGGATGGCTTCCCATATAGTGATCAAGTAGATTGTCATATTTAAAAAAATTAAATAATTATTTTATGTTTGAAAAGGAAAGTTTATCAATTAAATTTATAAGTTTCCAATCTGTTAGACCTATGCTTTGATCACCTTTCATCAGAACTTGCCATCTACCATCTACCCAACTTAGGGTTGCTAATTAGCTAGGATAATTATCACACTCATGTCCTTATATGCAAACCTTTATTTTTCTTGGTCACTGAAGAAGAGTCTCAGTTTAGATATAGGTTTTCTGTGTAAGAAAATCTGTTTTACAGAAATGTAAATACATTTTCTCTCTTACTCTAATGCTTAAACCAAAATATGAGCATAATAATACTATAGTTATATAGTATTATTAGTATATATAGTATATAGTATATATAGTTATATAGTATTATTATATAGTATTATAGTTATATAGTATTTATTAACAAATAAAAATTTAATTGTAAAACTGAGTACATTAATTTTGCTTCTTTAGTAATACACAGAAGGGGTCCTTAGTGAATAAGTTGTATTCCCAAGATAGCACAGCAAATTAATAATAGAGTCAAGTGGGAACCCTGGTTTTCTTTTTCAAGTATTAGTACAATACAGTGTTTAGAGGGTTCCAGAAGAGGAATATTCCTTCAGCATATTAGACACACCTTAAGATCAAATTGATACCAAATTGATTTTCAGAAATGTTCTACTTGCTGCATTGTGTTAAAAATAATCTTCAAAAGTAACAGTGGAAGATGTACGTATTTTGGGCCCACAGACTTCTGAGTTCAAATCAATCTTCTGTCCATTAGTAGCTAACAAGTACTTTATTTGAACTTGAAAATAGTGTAAGTTAAACTTATTCTTAATGAAGAATTTAGCTTGGAAGCTATCGCTATGTCTGACACATTTTCAGTAACCATTTATTTTCTGCCTTCTTTGGCTGAAATGTCATTTAATAAGATGCCTTTATAATTTTAATAATCGTGTAGTCTAATTCACCAATTATATAATACAATTGTTTAAAAACCTATTTAAGAACAATTAATCTAAATAATTCCTATTTTATTATATTTTAAATAAAATTTATATTCTGTTTAAAAATTTGCATATAGCTACCAATGATAATTACATTTAACATTTTTTGGCTATTGTATCCTAAAATTTTATAAGTTGATATCTCAAACACCAAGACTGATGACACAAAATAACTGTAATTTCCAGTTATTATCTCTAAAGGCGTGTCTACATTAGGCAGGATGTGGAAATGTTTGCTTAAAGGTGAGGAGCAGGTCTTAAAACAATAAAGCTGCAAGAGGAAAAGCTAAAATCCCTGACACAGCTCTTGAGAATGGGATGGTCAGGTCTGAAAGTGGGATCGGAAGCACCAGGTGAATTCACTGGCTTACTCAGTGTGTGAGAAAATGTGCCTCACCAGATTCTCTTGCTGATTCACATTTTCTGTATTAACAATATTTTTTTTTCTGATTATGTGAACTACACAAATAGAAATCTGGTAGCTCAGATGTGTGAAATGAGTGACTGCTCATCATATTTGCTGTGATGGTTGAAATTTATTTTTTCATTAGTCTGCTCATTATTACCAAAGAGAAAAGTGCATGCTTTGCTACACACAGCCACCGTCCATCTTGAGCTTATGCAGGGGAGGGCTCAGAGAGGAAGAAAGGGAGAAGAAAAACCTGAAAACAGGCTACACAGGGTCTGGGAAGAATGAGGGGGTTCAGGTTAAGCCAAGGAAGCCTGACTCTGTTCCAGGATGTGGCTACAACTACAAAACATAAACTTGCTTGTCTGCATGATTTTTTAGTCCCATCCACCTTCTCATACATTCTAAGAGCAGGAAGGTGTAGCAGGTAGGTTATGAAATAACCTCGCATACTCTGTCATTTTTTTTTTTTTTTTTTGAGACAGAGTTTCACTCTTGTGGCCCAGGCTGGAGTGCAATGGTGCAATCTCGACTCACTGCAACCTCCGCCTCCCGTGTTCAAGCAATTCTCCTGCCTCAGCCTCCCGAGTAGCTGGGATTACAGGCATGCGCCACCACCCCGGCTAATTTTGTATCTTTAGTAGAGACGAGGTTTCTCCATGTTGGTCAGGTGGTCTTGAACTCCCAACCTCAGGTGATCCGTCTGCCTCGGCCTCCCAAAGTGCTGGGATTACAGGCCTAGGCCACTGCACCTGGCCATACTCTGTCATTTTTAATAGAGAATTAGGGCCTGATATTCCCTGAAGTTCCTATGAAAGTAAGTTACTTGCTTTGGTTTTGTTTCTTTCCATAGGATGTCAGGGACAATGAGAGGACAAGCCCTGTTCTGGGTCAACCTATCATGTAGGACAGGATACTTTTCTCCCACCTTCTTTGTTACAGGCACCCTGTGTCAGTCTCCACATCTAGCTCTATGTGCCCTCTCAGTCTCTGCTATGGCTCCTTGCTCTGGGAGAGACCACATACCTCAAACTCAACATCATCTCTTACTTCCATCCACTCCACCACCTATCTATTGCATGTCAATAGACACATGGGGGAGGAGCATATTTCAGCTCAACTTACAAGCATTCAATTTCTCAGACACAGTGCTTATTCTGAGGGATGGATACCACTCTCGACACATGCTCTTCCCAGTACATGGTAGTTTTATATAAAAGTATAGAAGGGGCATACTTAAGAGAAAAATCAAACCAAACAAAAGAGACTTAAAAGACTTGAAAATAGCACAAGTCTTTTAAAGCCTCATTGAAGCAAATAACTACCACTGAAATTTTAAAAGTCCCTGGGAAAAAAAGTCTAACCATGCCCAGGGCCAAGGTCTCTGTGCTCCGTTGGCTCCATCCACTCCTCACTTGTACCCTCATGAGCAACCCCTGGACACCCAGCTGTGGCCTGTCTAAAGGGAAATGATCTCAGCAGTGCTGGGTTCTGCCCCTCCCTGCCTCAGCTGGTGATAGTGATCTTCCTTTTTCTTAGTTCTTCCACTTCTAGAAAACAACAATAAAAAATGGATTTACATTCTGATCAGTGTCTCAAAACTAGGTTCATTCTCCTGCCGCTTCTGGCTAGCTATATTGTTCCCAAATTAGTCAGCTATTCTCCATTTATACTAACTATGGTTTATGCATGTATAATGAATGCCTGTTAACATTGAATTTTTTTATTTTAAAGAAAATAATTTTTAATTGAAATTAGTCTTTATTTTATTATATTACTGGCATATGAGACTTGATATGAAGATTTTTTTTTTTTAACTGGGAGTGCTTTCTGCTTGGTCAGCAGGAGAAACAAGAAGAATGGGTTTTTAGGGTCACTTAGGAAGACGTATTTTCTATTATCCTCTTTTTATGACAATCAGAGTTGTTCTGATGTTTCCAGTTTCTATATTTCTTATTTTTTTTTTCTTCTTTCAGCATTTTGTTACCTGGAGGCCAGGTGATGAGATCTGAAATCATCTTATCTAAATCCAGCACACAGTTTATACCCACTGTACCTATCAAATTATTCAAAGGTCCCTTCTGATACATTGCAAAAATGGATACAACTTTTCCCTCCTTTTAGCTTCTTTCCTTGTGTAATGTGACTTTGAAGCTCTTACTATTATATCAAGAAATAAAATCTATTGTCTCTGGATTGGTCTTGTGACTGCTTTGGCCAATGGAATACAACAACAAAGCTGTTGATATACACATTCCAACTCTAGGCCTCAAGAGCCTTGCCGAATTCCACCTGCTGTCCTGGGATCTCCGCCTTCCCCATAGAACCAAGCGTGGGCTAGTCCCCTGGAGGATGAGATCTCACATAGTCCATAATCAAATGGGTCTCCTTCCTAGCCAGTAATACTGCAGACAAACGAGAGTTCCAGGTGAGACCAGGAGAAGTCCCTCCCTGAACCCAGTCCCTATGGCTGATGCACAAAATCATGAACTAAAAAATAGTGTTGTGTTAAGCCAGTAAATTTTTTATGAGTTTGCTATGCTGTTAGATGTTTGTTTTCAGCCACTGTATTTTGTGGTAGTTATATATTATAAGGTAACTCATAATAATCCACACAATAAATTCCATATATTTTGACATTATAATCAAGGCCTCTCTAGGTTTATATTTCCAGTCTCAATCCTGGTACTTTTCCCTTTGAAATACACTCTCAATTCATATACTTCACATGTTTTCTTCATGTGATGCTGTTTTCTGTGACTCTGTATTTCCATATTTTATATGTATTGTGCCTTCTTACCACAATACCCTCACCTATCTGTTCTCGTGAACTCATACATTTTCTCCAGACCTTGTTCTAATATTATTGATTTCATAAAGATTTTTCCAACTCTTCCAAAAGATGGAAGTCCTTGACTGTCTGTTTCTACAATAATTCTCATGTGTCTTTCATGTATGGCATTTATCATGACACTGCATTTTCTCCTGTCTCCAGCACCTAGCACAGTAGTAGACATAGCTGCAGTAGCTTCAACCACTAGTCACAACAATCTGCTGTCTACTCTCCAACCCCACCTCCACGGGAAGAACACACCTCCCCCCTGTAGCCAGTACCACTGTGTCAGTTTCAACCTAGGTCTTACGAAATGTGGTGCTTCTTCTCACCCTTGTAGGTGCTTCCAATCACCATTATTGAGTTCTTTCAGAAAAGCTCATATCAAATAAATCAAAGGGAAAAAGAGCTGCTAGAGCTTATGTGCTAAAGTGTGAGCAAGAAATTAATATCAAGTGTCATTGTTTCACTATATGTAGAAACAACTAACTGAGGAAATAGCTAAACTGATATTTGAGGGACAAACAAACTTAAGAGTTTGTGTGGTATCTTAAGATATTCTAAGGAGAAAGAAATTGAATCAAAACCTGGGACATTTTGGTTGAAAACAAATTAGTTTTCTTAAAACATATTAAATAGTCTTTATGTCCTCAAAGGAACAGCCAACAATAAATATATTTCACTTCTTTAAATTTGAACTCATTTTCATCAGTCTTTGTCAGAGATTTGTCTTTGAGCACATCTAGCTTGACTGAAAGTTATGTGTTGTTAAATTAATTTTTACCATAGTTTAAATGGACGCTAAGTACTCTCAAATGTTAAGGTTATATCTCTGATGGCATACAGCCCATGACAATATGAGAGAATGAAATATATTTTAAAAGGCATGACATTGCTTCTCCTTTTATGGGATGGAATTGGCATATTAAATGAAAATGCTGCTATCCTACAGCATTTTTTGTTAAACCTTTTTGATGAAAATATTTTTCTTGGAGAAAGGAGATAGTTATGTTTTAGTGAATTTCAGTATGAGGAAGCAAATTTTAAATGTCCTACTAAAACATCCTTTTATATATTAACCCCAATTTCTAAAGTAACATATGTTCAAGGTAAAAACATTTTGAGAATACTGAAATGTATAAGCTATAAGGTGAAATCCCATGATTTGGTACCCTAGAGCAAGTACAATTCACATATTGGTATATAATCTTTCAGGTTTACTTTTCTGTGTGTAGAATATCCTAGGCTGGGCACCGTGGCTCACGCCTGTAATCCCAGCACTTTGGGAGACTGAGGTGGGTGTGTCACCTGAGGTCAGGAATTCGAAACCAGCCTGACGAACATGGTGAAACCCAGTCTCTACTAAAAATACAAAATCAGCCGGGCATGGTGGTGCATGCCTGTAATCCCAGCTACTCAGGAGGCTGAGGCAGGAAAATAGCTTGAACCCGGGCGACAGAGGTTGCAGTGAGCTGAGATTGCGCCACTGTACTCCAGCCTGGGCAACAAGAGCGAAACCTCATTTAAAAACAAAAACAAAAACAAAAAAAAAAAAAAAAAAAAAAAAAAAAAGAAAGAAAAGAGAAGAAAAAGAAAAAAAAATCCTTACTCTTCCATAATATTAGATTAGGGATAGACATGCTAATACATTTTGTTCTCCCTTATAAGAGTAGTGAGTATACAATTATTACCAAAATAAAGTTCAAGTATAAAATGATTGTATTAGATTTCTAATGGAAAAAGTACATAGTATGCTTTGATTTTAATTCCAAATAAACTCAAAAAGGGAAGATGATTTGCATTTTTCTACAGAAAATATGTGTAATACACATAATTCTGTGATGCTGCTTTATGACCTATTAATTTAAAAATGTAAGTGTAAACAGTTGGCTTGTTTCAGAAATACAAGTGAGATTTTCCGTTAGCTCTTTCACTTTATGAGTTGTGGTTTAATATGATTACCGCACTGTAAACATCTGAGCTTACAAGACAGGGATGGAGTTGGCACATTACGTGAAAATGCTGCCATCCTACAGCATTTTTGTTAAACCTTTTTTGATGAAAATATTTTTCTTGGAGAGAGGAGATAGGTATGCTTTAGTGAGCTGCAGTAATAAGGAAAAAACTTTAAGTATCTTTTTATATATTAACAACTTAGAATGTTCCAAGTGAAATGTACATTTTTTCATTTATGTCTAAGTTTATATGACAGCAGAATTTCAGTACTTAGATATATATTTTTTCTGAGCCATTCAAGGAAAATATGAAACTTAATTTTTTTCCTTTGGCAAGTTATCTGGTCCATGCCAAAGGGTTTCCAACTGCAGAACCATGACTTGTTATTTGTTATGCAAGACTAAATGTGACTTCCTTGCTGCTTCTAAATTTATTCAGTCAAAGTTTCTTATGATCTACATGAACCATACAGAGAAGACAACCTACACTCCTTCAGGCAATTCATTCAATTCATCAAGAGAGAGAAATAAGGAGATTTAAATAAAGACTCTAGTGTAAATAATAACTACTATCATAAATAAGTTAATAGACTTTAAGCAAAAGTTAACATTTTACTTAGAGAGTGAAAGAAAATAGGCCATAAGATGGTCTGTGGAAGGTAAAAATAAACCAATTTTACTGACAGAACTATGGAATATTGATGTATTCATTGCTCTAAATGTGTCAGTTAATTCTCAGGAAGAAAGAACTAAGAAAAACTCAGGAAAACTATTTATAGCTCCAGATACCTATGTACTGATGGAAGAAAAATCTGAGTAATAAATCTAGTGAACAGGAACTTGAAAAGTGAACACAATAAAAGTATTTTGAAGGTATTAAATTATTATTAGGAGTCAGAATATAGGTGTTACTAACTCATTAAATCTTAAAAGTCTATTAGGTAGGCATACTATATAGTGGCAGAGTGTTTAACTCTTTTGCACAAAATCACACCGTTGGTAAGAGGCAAAGTTGGGATTCATATCCAGGCCAGCTGGCGTGACTCTCATCTCAAAATTTTGACTCTCATCTCAAAATTTCACTTTAGTACCTACTTACTTATTCAAGAAGGTAACTGAGATCTCAAATGAACACTAGAATATCTGGGTAGTCCTGACCCATGAAACATACCATCTTCACAGATTCATTCCATTCAGTGGGTTCAAACATCCATTCTATCTATTTCATTTTCAGAGGAAAACATATGCCATCCATGAAAGGTGTTAGTTAGAGAGAGGAACACACAGGCATGCAGCGATTTGCAAACAGCCTGTAATTTAGAGATTGAATTCTAGGTTTGATATTTATCCAGGCAGATGATTTTTTTAATTTGAAAAATGCCCATCCTTGCCATCTAAGCCACAAAGTAAGCTTATAATTATGAATGCTTTCAATTTCAGAAGCTGACGAAGGAACTTAACGAGTAGAATATGAAAATGAAAGCTTATCATGTGTTCAAAAGAAGCAAATCTAATTGAAATGAGGGGAGTTAGAATTATATCTTCAAAATATGCATGGGGATACAGCATATGAGCATAGCAGAGAAATTTTTATAAGATAAAATACAAAATTTAGGAGAACTTTATTTTTAGGAGAACTTTAAAAATATATATTTTTTATCATCCACAGCAAACGTCATCGTAATGAAGAGATCCCATCCTTCATGGTCACACTCACAGCAATATTTCATCTACTCCTCTCTCCTTCATCTGTTGTCTGTCTTTTCCGTGACTTTTCCTTCAACCTTCCTGTTTTTGAATGCATTTTGATGTTATCATATAGCATAATAGCTCTATGTCTCCTTCACTCTATATAAAGCTCTTCAGCAACGGGAAATTTGTCATGTTTATCATTATGCTCTTAATACTTAGCACAGTATCTGGAGCTCAACAAACATTTTTAAAGAGATTGCCTTATTGTAAGTAACAATGGGTATGTTGATCTATAATATGTTTTCTAGTGATGAAATTATTTAATTGCAGCTACCTAGAGTATTAAGAGAACTCATATAATTCATTTGTGTGGAAAATATGCAATGATGATAATGATGATATATTTAATTCTCATAGTTTGAACAGTACATCTCCATCTTCTGTGGCAATAGATCATGACGAAAGCATAGACTGAGTTTTTCATGGCCCAACAGGATGCAAAAGACAGACAATCAAACAAGCATTGAAGCCAAGCAGGATGGGAAATAAAATAAGAGAATCAAAAAGGTCTTATTTGGCATAATCATTACTTCAGTAGAATTTAGGAAGAACTGAGGTGGGATATTATTGGAAATCAAGTATTCTTATGAGGCAATTGTAATTGATCCTGATTTAAGAGTTCGGATGGCTAAACAAGAAGTGTAACTAAGGAAAAATCAAAGACCAAATCCCAGAAGCAGAGAATGTTAAAGGATAAAATTTAAAAAATCTAGAAAAGCCTGCTGACACATGATTTTGAATAATGGAATTCCAGGAGTTAGAGATTGGGACAATTGGCATAGTTATTTTAGATATTTGGAGGACAATAAAGAAAGATCCAGGGTTCACAACCAAAGGGAATATTTACTAAACAGGTAAGAGACCACTATGAATGTCGCTTTTGTTATAAACAGGTTTTTTAAATGACGTGATTTTAGCTTTGGAAACATAAACTTGTCAATAGCATTCAGGATGGATTCGAGGAAAAGCAAATACTGAATATGAAGAGGCCAGAGGTGATAGTTCTTGAAAATAATTAAAAGAACCTGAACTTTGGTATGCCTGAATTTTGGCACAGAGAATTACAAAGAAGAGAGAGATAATTAAGAATATTTGGGGAGTAACCAAAAGTACATTTTATAAGGCCATAAAAGCATTTACCCCAGATGATGCTATAATTAGAGATAGCATACAATGAACCTATGTTGTACTTAACAAGGTGTGATAATTAGAAAAGAGAGAGGCAAAATTAACCATACTCTCAAGGAAAAGCTTTATAAAACAATGAATATTTAGCTGTCTTGAAGGAAACACAAAACATAGATAGGTAAAGAGAATATGTGGAAGAATTTCCACATAAGGAGTCAAAGCATGGGCCAGTGTTCTAGAATCAATAGTTACTCATTCTGATTTTAAGCTGGCACGGTAGGATCCAGACTGATTGAAACTACATTAATACAGAGTAGTTGTAGGGGGAAAAAGTTGGGATAGATAAATGTTTCAGACATTATTAATCTGGAAACTACATAGATATACTTAAATGTAAAATGAACAGCATAAGGGAGGTTTGTAAGCTCTGAAACAAACAAGCAAATTAAAAAAAGACATTAGAAATCATTCTTATAAGAGTATCAGTGAAGAATTGGACTTAGGTTTCATGGCAGATTAAGGTTCCATTAGGAGGCAATTAGAAGACAATGGTATTGATTCGCTAAAGATGAAAAGACAAATGCAAGAAAAATACTGTCTTGGTGTCTTTTGACAGAGATAGGAGCAGGATTACCCGAAGATAGCCAAGTTAGCTGGGGGTGGTAAGCAAGCATGCAAGCAGATAAAGCACTTTGGAAGAGCAACTAGGTGAGTGCGCACATATTCCATTTGTGATGGTGAAAGAATATCCTATTTGTGTAAAGATCTTTTAAGCAGATAGAAATGAAAACTGAAACCTTAGTAAGTATTTGAGGCTAGAGAGTTAGGTTAGATAAGATAGTCCAACTTACTTGAGTGGGTGATTTTCATAAAAAGGAGGGAGTGGACAAAGACTAAAAGATCAAGAATGGATACTTGGAAGGCCATTACTACTATAGGTCAGGAAGAAGAAAAACCAACCAAGAAATTAAGTGATGATGATAATGATGATGATGTCATAATAGTAATATATGCCAGTTTTTGAGCAATTATTCTGAGCCAGTGACTACGATAAGATCTTTACATTAAATGCTCATAACACCATCTTTAAATAAAGAAGTAGAATTGATAGAATTCAGTAAAATGCCAAGGCAATGTCTCAGTTATCAAGAGAGGGCAGATTTTTAGGATGATCATCATCAGATCTTACTAAGACATCAAATGGATTAAAAAGTTCCTACGGTCTGGCTAAGGTAGGTACAACAAACTGGAAAGCCTGTTAAGGAAGAATAATGACATTAGAAAAGGCAGGTTAAGGGCCTCTCTGCTGTTCAGTTAAGGATAAGAGCCAAAAATGGCCCAAAAATTCATGTGGAAGAATGATGATTTTATGCTAACGTTGGCATGGTACTACTAAGAGTGTTTAAAGGATAAAGGATTACAAATGATTCCCAGCAGGCTGAACTCTTACACAAGTAATTCTATTCATAAATGTTCTTTACTGGTTCTCATAGAATCGAAAAATTAATAATATAGATTTTTCCAAAAAATAAATAGTAGTAAGAATAATACTTATCTATTATTCATTATAACAACCAAAGGGTTATATTAGCCTTGATACTAACAACCTTTCAAGTTAGATCTTATTACGTGATTTCATAGTTAATAAAATTGAGATCTGGACCGTTTAAGTAATTTGCCCAACTCACCTAGCTGTACGTACCAGAAACAGGCTTCCAGACCAGATATACAAAGTCCCATAGCACTCCTCATTCCCACTGTTCCACACTGCCTCCTGCAAAAGTTCGTATTTACTTCTCTGCTCGTTAAGATAGAGATAAAAGATAAATAATTTAAACCAACAAAGGCACTGTATATAATTCCCTTTTAACAGCTTTTTCATTAACTTGAGGTATTGGGGAACTGGGCTCAAATTAGTTGACAATTTAATGGTCTTAATCCCTCAAAGGTTTACTCAATTTATAAAGTTGGCAGAAACACGATTAATACCATTTGCCTTATGAAAACTATGGTTCCACAGTAAATAAACAAAGAATGTCACAAATGTGAGTTGTGCTCTGGAATAATAGGAAGATAGTTTAAGATGTGAAGAATGAGAGGTCACCATTATAGTAAACTATCTGCTGACAGATGATTGTTTTTATGTTTTTTGTAATTTCCACAAAATTTCCACCTGAGGTCATTTTTAATTTATACCACACATTATCTCTCTTGATCCACCTTTTTCTTAAGGTACACTATGCTAAGGTTTTGTTTTTATTATCCCACCCACATGCAGTTGGCCTACACAAACACACACACGCCCGGCCTGGGTTTTCTCCCAACACAAATACCCGTGGTATTCATACTATGGGAAAAAGAGTAGCTTGGTTAAAAGTTGATGTAGAAGTTTATTAATGTCCAAACCCAAACTTATTACATATTGTACAGGCAAATGCTACAAAATGATGAAGTTATGGAAGTAGAGTACTCAGAAGCTTAGAGGCCAAATATATATATTTTTATTTTGTCCAAAAAGAATATAAATATCATTGCCCCTAAACATGTGCATAATAGGAAACAAGGAAGGGCGTGACATCATTTGAAGAAAGTCAAGAATCACCTACACTCTTCCTTAAGTGTTTTTCTAATGGTGTGTTTTTTCACCTGAAAATACTACCTATAATTCTATTAATATGATTTTTTTTCTCTCATACATACACACACAGAACACAATCATATTAATGAAAAAGAATGTTACCTGTGAGTGAAGGGTATTCAGTCAGGAATGCCACCAGTTTTACCTTAAAAAACAAAGACATATATACAGAATGGTCAAGTATGAAACTTAGCTGTACAGAACCCAGACAAGAAGAAAGGTGGGTTTCACACTTAGGGAACTGCTGGTACATTCAGAACCAAAGAGAGCCTGCGAGGGGGAGCCCTGGGAAATAGGCGAGCTGAGAGGTAGGGAAAATCATGCATGTGCCAATGGATGTGAAAGATATTTAAACGGATAAAGAATGACAGCTACAAAGTGGCCCATTGACTCACAGGCACGTTTACAGGTGCCGAGCAACGTATCAGCTCTTCTTCCCATTTTGGGGACGCTGGTTGTGTTGTCATGCATGTTTTTGCTCAGCAACACCTCCCGCACCTCTGCTTACCAGTACATGACATTAAAATACATGCACTTTCACTTCTGAATTCCTTGTCCCCCAGCTGCAAGAATTTCATTTTGAGTGTATGTGGATTTTAAGTCATTCTGGTTGAGGATGATCACAAAAAGATGAAACTAGGAGATGGGGAGGGAAAAGGAAGACAAAACAGCAGGAAAAAACGCTTTGCCAAAGCAGCCACAGGAGAGATAAAAGAAGCCCAGCACTCACAATCTTGTCTGAGGAAGGCAGCTCAGACATATGTGAAAGGGACTGATAGTGCCAGACCATAGTTCTCTGCTGGCACGCAGTACCTTAGAACAGAAAGTTAAGCCCTGGGTCCTTGTGAACAGCAGAAGAGGGCTGACAAACACCTGGTCCCCAGTGGCAGACTGAACGCGTTAAAAATGGTTACATGCAACTTTTTTCCATCTGAAGTATTCAAATTGCACAGTCTCTCTCATAGAATTAAAAATCAAAGTCATCATCAGAAAGATATTAAGTGTTTGGATGGAAGATCAGACCCTGAGGAAAAGAAAGTGCTTCTTAGAGTCTTACACGCAAACTGTCTGCCACAGAGCGCAATTTATAAGTATCTCATTTCAACCACGGAAGGAAAGAACGAAGGGTAAAATGGAGATACATAAAATAATATTTATACTCTCTGGATCTAATATGTCATCTTTATAATTTTATTTTCATGAGTAATAAAAATCTTAAAAACAAACTTTTATTAACGAGGTTAACCTGAAAATTGTCTCTTCATCATCTTTCGTCCCATAAGGTAAGGATCACACGTTGGGGCGCCTTCCTGCCACAGCCAGGAAACCTCAGTAAATGACAGCTCTTAGTTATAAGGTGTTAGAGTGATGAGGATTGTGCTAAGTTTGAGAGCACATGCCCGGTTTTTTAAAATTCAATTTTCTTAAACCACTTGGTAAACCAAAGAAATAGGTCTGTGAGCCACAAGCTTTTCTCAGTCTGCCAGTTTTAACCTCTCAATGTCTTAAGTTCCTCAGCAGCAAACTGTCCTGCCACAGGGGCTTTTAAGTTAAAAAAAAAAAAAAAAAAAAAAAAGAAAAGAAAAGAGAAAAGCACTAAAATGGAAATACAAACAAAGCAAAACCTTCAACTTAAGAAAATATGTGTTTTCCTAGACTTGTGGCTTTCAAACTTCAATTTCTGCTGTTATTTCTTTTTTTGAACACTTTGTGCTGAGTTGTTTTTTTTTCTTTGTATTTGGTATGTGTTGATACTTCGACAGGAAGCTTATAAGGATGATATCCACTTTTGTGTGGTTTTATCAGAATGAATACTGGGGGAATAGAGGTATTCTACTTGTAGATTAAAAACACAACATGTACATACGTGAATATATAAAACATACGCAAACCCACAAACATATACACACATGCAGTCACAGATATACAAACGTACATGTATACACATAAATACATACACACACACATACATGTACACACACAGAGATTCAGAAACACATTTGAGAAGTCTGCCAGGCCTTCTGAAATGTATAAAGACTCCTGTGGGAGAATATTTTGGGCTCTCTGGCAAGGGTAGAGCAGAGTTTGTTTTTAGTATGGATCAGAGTCTGCCCAGAAATTACTCCATATTGCTGGCCCTGGTAACCCTTACCAACTTCCCTGCACCTCATTTTGACCTTGCCTGTAACTGAAAAACAAAAGCTGCTGCTTTTGTTACTCTTCTTTAAACTGAAATTTAAGGGAAACATGGCCCCGTTTCTTCCTGATCATTACGTCTCACACTTTCATTCTTGTTCCTCTGTCCTGGGTAGCAAGTATTTTTTTAAGTAGAAACTTCCTTCAAATGATTGGATATGCAGATGACTTTTCCGATCCTCAGCTGAGGTGGCCTAAACATAGATGTGTTCATTTGTCCTGTGTTATTTTATTACTTCTGCAAATTATATAAGTTGGGCAACATCTCCAAAATACTTAAGTATAACAAAACTAGAGCTAAGGTTTAGACTTAGCATTTCAGTAATTTTTTTTAATTGAATGAAGACACTGATTTTGTTTTATTTTCTTCTACTTTTATTATGTTTTAAACTTTTACTTTAGGTTCAGGGGTATGTGTGCAGGTTTGTTATATTGGTAAATTCATGTCACAGGTGTTTCTTGCATAGATTATTTTGTCACCTCAGTACTAAACCGAGTACCTACTAGTTACTTTTTCTGCTCCTCTCCCTCCTCCCAATCTCCACCATCAGGTAGGGCCCGGTGTCTGTTGTTCCCCTTTGTAAGACACTGATTTTAATGGCTATCAAACCATTAAGACTGTTGATATTAGAAAATTTTGTGAGGTTATTGAAAATAATTATATAAGTTGGGCAACAACTTATTGACTTTGTTCTGTACCATATAGGCAAGAAGAATTCTACAAGTGAAATTGTGGTTACAACTTTTAAACTATCTTAGATTAATTCTTGTGGTATGCAGAATCCTAAGATGGCCTCCAAAAATTCTGCCCCCTGTGTATATACCTTTTCTATCCCCTTCCTTAATTACAGAGGAAAGCTACACATATGATAGCTGTCACTGCCATGATTGTTATATAACAAAAGAGAAGCAGATTTGCACATACAATTATGGTTCCAAATCAGTTGGACTGAAGTAATCAAGGGGAGAATATTTAGCAGGCCTAATGAGACAAACCCTTTCAAAGTGGATCTGGATGTCAGAGACTGTCTCTCCTGCTGGTTTTGGAGTAGCAGGCCACCAAGAGTTAGGTAATCACACAGAAGTTAAATTTGCCAATGACTTTATGGCCTTCTAAACCTTAGATGAGACACCAGCCCCAGCCGACACCTTAATTTCAGCTTTGTGAGACCCTAAGCAGAAGACTCAATTAGGCCATTCCCAGGTTCCTAATCCACGGAAATAGTTAGACAATCTATGTATGTTCTTTTAAACTGCCAAATTCAAGATAATTTGTTATACAGCAAATGGAAACTAATACAACTCTCCTACTGAGTTTGCAAATACAGCAAAGCATAACCATTTAACAGTTAAATAATACTAAAGTAAATCATTCTAAAATTAATGATTTATACTTCTTGTATTAATAATTTTAATAATCAATATTAATTGGTTATTAAATATTATTACATATATAATAAGTAATATCAGTTCAATTCTTGCCGTATACCTAGTAAGACATGTCAAAACATTCTTTTTCAGTGTGACAGATTGATTGCTAAAGTTTTCCCATTTTTCTACTCTCTTGGTATCCATGCCCCAGGCAATTTAACTTTGTGTCTTTCATCAAGAGGTAGAATCTATTTGCTGTACTGGCGATGTGACTTGCTTTGGCCCATAGAATATGTTGGAAACGATGGTGTGCCAGTTTCAAGCCTAGGTCTTAGGGAAGCCTGCATGTCTCTGGTCTCTTGGGATTCTACCAAGACCTAAGAAAAACCTTAGGCTAGCTTGCTGTAGTATGAGACATGTGGACAAATCCTAATGGTTCCAACTATCCCAGACAGTCTGTGTTTAGCTAACTCTTCGCCTGATCACAGATGCTTGAGCAATCTCAGTTGGGAGCAGCTAAGCCTCACTAGCTCAGCAGACCTATTCAGTGAACCCATAGGTAAGTAAGAAACAAAAAAATGTTAGTTGTTTTAAGCTATTATGTTTTGGTGCAGTTTGTTGCTCAACAATATATTGGTTATAGCTAATACATACAATAAATAATGTTTATAATAAAAGCAAATACCATGATTGAATTTTATTTTGAATCTTTTTCATTTTTACAAAAGATAAAATAATAATTATACAGTATTTCCTGATACATTATAATTACTGTATAATATGTATAACTTTATCATATTTACTGTGAAATAATAAATTCAAAATATCAATTTCAATATATGTTTTACACACTCATTTTGTAGATGCTTTATGTGATTTATAAATGCAAATATAAAACTTCTGTCCTCACTAACTGCTAGCCACAGAGTCAATGACAGGGATATTAAAAGTTATAAAGGCTTATCAACAATATGATGCTTGGATGTGCGTCATTATAGTGTACTTCCGTATTTTTCAAGTTGTTCAGCCAGAGCGTGGAGATCTTCAGTAAGAAAACTCATTGTTCTTTGAAGACAACTTATTTTATCCTTGGATTGCTCTGTGCATTAAAAATGTTTTTCGTTATTTGGGCCAAACATTGTTGTCCTCTAATTTGTATGCACTGATCCTAGTTCTATCTGCTAGGGGGCTTAGGGCTCACGTAGGGCAGATTTAATTCCTGTTGCACCCAGGTTATGGTACTTTGTTATGGCAGCCATTAGGAAACTCATACACCAACTAACCCCATAATACCACTAATTTTGACTAAATATTCTAATGTAGCAAATACTTTGTTACCCAGAGCCATGCCTTCTATAGGCACTCGACTACAGGTATCTACAAATGATATTTTGGATAAATGTTTGCCACTGCATGCCGTGAACTACTAGTCCCCCTTTACCAATGGAAACAAGGTCATTATGCCTTTAATATGCTCAAAACAGAGAATCATAGCCAGAATATTCAGAACTAATTAAGGAGAGAACTTATCCTTAAGATTCTATTTCTCTAGGACCACTCTGGTACACAATTCTGTTTAAATCAAGTAAGAGAAAGGAAGAGAGAGGGAGAAATGTGTGTGTGTATATATTACATATATATACACACGTACATATATATGCATATACATACACACACACATACATACTTATACATAAATATATAATAGATTCTTTCAAATATATACATATATAATGTTATTACCAGAATTTGGTCTTGCACCTTTGGGGAAGTGGGTTACGCAGCCTCTATAAAGCTGTCATCTTGCAACTGATACTGGAGTTGAAGTCTACAGAGCCGAAAGTGAGGAAGGGAACATGCACGTAAGTTGGTGAAGTCAAGCGCAAGCTAGAACTCACAAGCACTAATTAGAACCTCATGAGGACAGACTGAAATTCACATTAGTTGTTTCTGCCTCTGACTCTAGTGACAAGTATATTCTGAAGAAGCTGGGCCTTTTTGTTGTGGAGATAAAGACAAAGACACACACACACACACACACACACACACGTCTGGCCTAAAAGTCAAAGAAGTGAAGGAAGACCTAGGGGAAGATAGAAGCTGCAGACAGCCATGGCTTCAAGTCAGTGAGATGAGTTAGCAGATCAGCAAAAGTCTCTATGAGCTGCGACATGTCTTCTCCTTTTCTTCCTTACTCCAAATAACCCTACAATCTTCATTTGTCCTGAAATTTCTATTTAATTCCACACTAAGTAGAAACACACACGAAAGGAAATTCTGGAATATGCAGTTCAAGTTCAGTCTAGCCAAGTTAACACATTACAAAGTCATCACAAGCATCAGGCTTTTTATGACCTAGCCTGGGGTGTCACAGTATAAACTTAGGGTGTTTGACTGACCTAGTCTATTGTCAATTCCACCTGTCTGTTCTTCACAGTCCCACCGGGAATAAAAAACCTCACATTTCATAAGGATAATTGTCAAATAATTTGTGGTCATATTTTAAGAGGTACACAGTAGATGTGTGTGTATGTGTGTTTGTGTGTGCATGTGTATGTGAGAGAGGGAAATCGACTGGCATAGAAAATATGGTAAAATGTTGAAAATTGGGGAATCTGGGTGCAGGAAGTAAGAAATATTATTTTTACTGCTTTTGCAGCTTTTTCATCATTTTAAATTCTTGAAAAGAACAACATGAGAGAATGGAGGTAGCAACCTAAGGAGAAGTAGATGTTTACTCACATGTATAAAGTTCATTATTTTTCATTATCATGTTTTAACAAATTATTTGAAGAGTTAATGAGAAAAAAACGAAGCATGTCTCTACTCTTTTTGTGTCAGATAGCTTCCCCACCTAAATGTCACTGGCTTGACAGTGCAAAAGAGAGTTGTACGGAACACGCATTTAATTTGAACCAGTAGATTAGCTTAGACGTTTAAATTATCTAGTTACTATAATAATTTACTATTTTTCTTCTAAACAGAAAAATATCAACTTTATATAGCCATATTTTCTAAACTTGAGGGTACATGAAAGGAATTTCTGCTAACCAGATGTTTTCTTCTTTGCATGTAAAGTGGGTCAGTTAAAATTTTGTTATCCAGCATTTCATGTTTTCCAAATAGGCTTGTTTCAGTGATTTGATGAAAATTTGCTAATTTGCCAAGATACATCTTTTTCTGAGTGCCAAAAGTTTTAATCTTTTTCTGATTGATTCTTGCTGTCACTCCTTCAGTTTCAGCATGAATGTCAGGGCCCCCTGAACTGCTTGCAGTCCTGCTCCACTTTCTCAGATAGTTTAGAATTACAGCTTCAGTCTAGGATTGAATGTGGTCATTTCAATCATTTTCCGTTCCCCGAAGAGACTATAATTCTCTTATAAAATGCTTATTAGGGAAGACATTGGGAATTCAGAACAATTTTATTTTCTGCTTATCTTCCAAGGGCCATGAGATCAGGATCCAGATGTTCTGACTCAGCCAAAGGCAGGACTGTTCCCTGGCAAAGGAAAAGTGAGATTATGCATGCAGGAAGCAAAGAGGACTGGGAATGCATATGCCTAAGTGATAGATATACCAGCATAGCCACTTCTAATATATTTACTGAGACAGAGAACATAAAGGCTTGTTAGAAGACTGAAGTGTCCTTTGACTGTAACCATTGTAAATGCAGTTGAAAAATAAAAGATTACATAACAAATTGAAACAAGTATAACAGGGTTATTGAGAAAATAGGTTATCTTGTTTCATACAGTTGGGAAGGTTCAAGTTAGAGTAGTAGCAGGGAAAGATTTTAAAAGCATCATTACACTTGCTATTAAACAGGAATCATCCTTGCTCTCCCTTCTTTGCTCATTTTTATACTCCCCAAGCATCCTCTTCCTGTTTCTACTATTTTTTTTTTCTGTCTTCCAACCAAATAAAATGCTATCTGAAAACAGCCGTTTTAAATCTATTTTTACTTCTTTTTCTTTGTTTCTCCACAGTTGCATTTGCTTACACTGAGAACATATTCCAAGAAGCAAAATAAATTCAGTTTGTGTTTTAATTTTTGAACAACAAATACAAACTACTATTAAAGCATTTGTCATCTTTTCTAGTTAAGTTCCTTCATGTCTCCTTCTTTGCCCATTCCAGCTCTCTATATACACGGTTCATCACATCATTCAGGCTTATACCCAAATGCCATTTCAGAAAGCATAACCTGTGCTACATGTTACCTGAAGCACGCTTCAATTTCAACTAACATGCTTCACTGAAATTTCAAAATAATGCTAAATATGATGTCATTTTAATGGCTTATAAGAAAAAGACTTTTGCACATGCATATGCAAAAGTCCATAAAGCAATATCTACGAGAAGTTTCCATCTTTAAATGAGACAGAGTGAAAAACAAAACAAGCAACTTTTGTCAGTAACCCTCAGCTTACTTGGAGACTTGCCAATTACTATAAGAATGCTGAGTTTTGTATTCCTAATTAGTGTGGAGCGTATTGTGCCTTGCTGTCAATTTCCACACAACGAATGGCTTACTGATTCTGACGCTTCCTTCAGCTGAGGGATTACTACTCATGAAGCTGACAAAGCTGTGAAAGATGGTGTTAGGCAAGTAAAGCTCAGCGGGCTTTTATGTTGAAAATTTTCTTGGAAGAATGCTAACTTCTATCAAAAAGTCCATGCCAGGCAGGATAGCTCTAGTGATTATATACATATACATATATATATACACACACACATTTATGTACACATACGCACACACATATATGTATATATATATGTGCATTTTATGTACATATATTTGCTATATAATACAGGTGATATATATAACACATTATATATTATATAAAATATGTATATATAAATAATATATATTATACATAATATTATACATCTCACCTATATTATATAGCAAATATATGTGATATATATATCTGATATATATGTATGTGATATATACATGCATATGATATATATGTATATCTTGTATACATATGTACATTTAATATATAATACAGTTAATATATACTTTATATATAATACCAGTGAAATAGTCAGTATATTGTATACTCTATATGTAATACCAGTGATATTATTAACCAGTCCTGGACGCAGTTAAATAGAGTAGGCTTGCAAACAATTTGCATGTCAGACTGAAATTAAACTTAAACCTCTGCCCCTTAACAAGCCATACTATTTCAAACTTTAAAAAGACTGTAAGGATCATCTAGTCTACTTGTCATCAGCTAGGGAACTCATCTCTTTTATGATGTTTTCAGTAGGTACCCAACCCATTTCTGCTTGTTGCAGTCTTTGCACTGTACGCTTAGGAGTCAGATACACTTGGCTTTACATGTTCACTGCAATTCTTAGCTCTGAGATCTGGGGAAACCTTCTGGGTCTGTTTTCCTCATTTAAATGAGGGTAATATTAGGCATTTCATGTGGTTCTGGGGATTCTGCAAGGTAATATATTTAACATTCCCATTATAGAGACCAGAACAATATTTGTTTAATAAATACGTTTCTTTATCCATTCCTTCCAGTTCTGGGAAGGTCATTAACTTCCCAATCAGTTTGTTCCACTGTTGAGCTGGAAGAGTTGTTAGAAAGTTCTTTCTTGTACTATAATCTGCCTTTCTGTTATTCTCATCTGTACTTTTCAGTTGTGGCTTTGAGCTTCCCAGAAGTAGTTTCTGTCTATTCCCATAAGTTAGTAGGTATTGTTTGAAGATGGTAGAATCACCCTATTTTTATCCAGAGTATATATTCTCAGTTACTTTTACTAATTTTCAATTGATATGGTTTCTGTACAGTTTAACTGTACAGTCTGTTAAAGCAAACTAAATATCACCTGAGAAGGACTCTGTACTTCTATATTTGAGTCGTTGTGGATGAACCATAACCTAGTTTAAGAGTCAGAGAAGATTAAAAACCTACCTTAGGAATATGTGCCTGTAACAATAGCTAAGTCCTGGCTAATCCCAGCCACCATACTTCAATTATTCACACATTGCTGAGTGTTTATTCTGTGTTCAGATAAGGCAAATGCCTAGCTGTAACCAGTCCAGGCATTCTGTAACTCACTTCTAATTTCTGTACATAATTTTTCTATTTTTGTCTATAAATCTTCTTCCACCACATGACTGTGGCTGTGCTGGAGTCTCTGTGAATCTGCTGCGATTTGGGGGCTGCTTAATTTGTGAATCATTCATTGCTCACTTAAACTCCCTTAAATTTAATTTGTCTGAAGTTTTTCTTTTATCAAGTCCTATCGTACTGGACAAAATTAAGTAGCTGAATGACCCAATCTCTTCTTCCTCAAACTATCCATATTCATCACTCGGAATTTCTGAACACTATATTTAAATTCATTATGATTTAACTATTTTTTAAATTACATTCAATTTCTAATCACATAAAACCTAGCGATTTTCATGGGAGAACCCACTGGAATTGTATTTTACGACTTCCTTGTCATTGTCACACAAACCCAAGCATGAGTCCTAAATCTAGCTCTATATTAGTCAGGGTTCTCTAGAGGGACAGGACTAATAAGATAGATGTATATATGAAGGAGAGTTTACTAAGGAGTATTGACTTACACGATCACAAGGTGAACTCTCACAATAGGCCATCTGCAAGCTGATGAGAAGGAAGCCAGCCTGTGTCCCAAAACCTCAAAAGTAGGGAAGCTGGTAGTGCAGCCTTCAGTCTGTGGTCAAAGGGCCAAGAGCCCTGGGCAAACCACTGGTGTAAGCCCAAGAGTCCAAAAGCTGAAGAACTTGGTGTCCAGTGTTTGAGGAGAGGAAACATCCAGCACAGGAGAAAGATGAAGGCTGGAAGACTTAGCCAGTCTAGTCCTTCCACCTTCCTCTGTCTGCTTTATCCTAGCCACGCTGGCAGCTGATTAGATGGTGCCCACCCAGACTGAGGGTTTGTCTGCCTCTCCCAGTCCACTGACTCAAATGTTAATCTCCTTTGGCAACACCGTCACAGACACACCTGGAACAATACTTTGCATCCTTCAATCCAATCAAATTGACACTCAGTAATAACCATCACAAGTCCACTCGTTGTCGACTTGAACCCATATACACCTCCTGAAATCAAACATAATCTTCAAATAAAGACAATAATACGGTCATAATTATGCCTAACATAATACAGCTATCCTTTGTACAACCAAAACGCATCGATCTCCAACCTAGATGCTATGACATAAAGTTAACAACACTTAAATTCTCATATGAAGTCAATAAATCTTATGTCACACGACAAAGAAAAAAGAAAGGAAATAAAACGAAGATATGTTAGTACAAGTGTATACATGCACAAACATGTTCTTAACAAAATAAGAAGGAAATACTCATTACAATTATAGTCTTCTTTTCTACAATTGGTCATGTGGTCATAGCTGGTATTGATGACTACCTTCTTCTACTACTCATTCTATATTCTGTTTGCCTTCAGCAAGCACCTCAGCAGTCATGGATTTTTACCTGGTGAAGTGACCCCAAACCTTCATTTCTAAAGAGTCTGGGCCATTTGTAGTCCTTCCCAGACTGGGCTGTTGTAGTTTCCCATTGACCTTAATCACACGGCTTGGTAATACTAAGAGATGCCCTAAGGGCTCGTGTATTCCACCCATACTCTTCCTTATCTCCATTGTGGAGTAGTAGACTTGCACAGCAGCCTGGACCTGTTGCAGAGCCTTCTCCTGTTCTGGACCCCACTCAAAGCTGGCAGCCTTTTGGGTCACTCGATAAATGGGCCAGAGTAATACACCCAAATGAGGAATGTGTTGCCTCCAAAATCCAAGTAGGCCCACTGGGCATTGTGCCTGTTTCTTGGTTGTAGGAGGGGCCAAAGGTAGCAAGTTATCCTTCACCTTAGAAGGCATATCTCAACAGGCCCCACACCACTGGACCCCTAGAAATTTTACTGAGGTAGAAGGTCCCTGAATTTTAGTCAGATTTATTTCCCATCCCCTGGCATTCAAATGTCTCACCCATAAGTACAGTGTGTTTTGCTACTTATCATTCACTGGATCCAATCAGCATAACGTCATCAATGCAATGGACCAGTGTGATATCTTGTGGAAGGGAAAAGCAATCAAGATCTCTGCAAACAAGATTATGGCACAAAGCTGGAGGGTTGATATACCCCTGAAGTAGGACAGTGACAGTTTATTGCTGGCTTTGCCAGCTGAAGGCAAATTACTTCCGGTGGGCCTTCTGGGCAGGAATGGAGAAAAAGGCATTTGCCAAATCAATGGCTACATACCAGGTACCAGAAGATGTGTTAATTTGCTCAAGCAATGAAACCACATCTGGTACAGCAGCTGCAACTGGAGTCGCATTTGGTTAAACTTATGATAATCCACTGTCATTCTCCAAGATCCATTTGTCTTCTGCACAGGCCAAATAGAAGATTTGAACAGGGAGTGGAATCACCTCTCCCGAGTCTTTCAAGTCCTTGAGGGTGGCACTAATCTCTGGCTTCCCTCCAGGGATGTGATATTGTTTTTGATTCACTCTTTTTTCTTTGTCATGTGACGTAAGATTTATTGACTTCATATGGCTGCTGTTGGTTTCCCATGTAATTAAAATGCCCTCTGGGTCAATAGAATCAAATATTTAAACCAATTAATGAAATAAATAATTATACACATCTATCACTGTATACAGTAAAATAAATATTATTTGCATTGTTCTTTAGTCAGTGAACAACGACCTCCTCTTTTCTTGAGTTGATATGAAAGTTGCAAGGTCGACAGTTAACTCATTAAAGAAAAAAAATCATAGAGATTAAGATAAGGGATAATTATATAGTTTTATGTGTATTTACCTGAAATGTTGTTAAATATTAACTACTCTTCTACGCTTTTTTTTTTTTTTTTGAGACGGAGTCTTATTCTCCCTCCCAGTCTGGAGTGCAGTGGCGCCATCTTGGCTCACTGCAAGCTCCACCTCCCGGGTTCATGCCATTCTCCTACCTCAGCCTCCCAAGTAGCTGGGACTACAGGCACCTACCACCATGCCTGGCTAATTTTTTGTATTTTTAGTAGAGAGGGGGTTTCACCGTGTTAGCCAGGATGGTCTCGATCTCTTGACCTCGTGATCCGCCCACCTCAGCCTCCCAAAGTGCTGAGATTACAGGTGTGAGCCAGCATGCCCGGCACTCTTCTACTCTTACATTAAGTCTACCTAGGTCTGCAGAAGGTATCAGTTACGATGCATTTTTAGTTATGATAATAAGTATAATATTAAAGGTGGAGTTTACATTTAAACTCAATACATATGCTAAATTATAAACTAATGGTAATTGTTTGAAAATTGAAACATTTAATCTCTAATACATTTATGTAATTAAGTATGAATAATAACTATGGAGTGGAGAGTGGTATGTATCTCTTAAAATAGAATTTTAATAATGATAGCATTGCTGGAAGTCCAATTTCTTCTTAAAAATTAGGCTTGTTCTAAGCAAGATTTGTCATTCTTTATAAATAGTATACAGGAGCTCAAGTGTAATACTTCTTAAACTTTGAAATGAAGATTAATATATGTTTGATAAAAAAAAACTTTGACTGCTTTAAACTTTTTCAAATTAAAATATCCTAGATGATTTATACTCCTGGAAACTGAAAGCTAGACAGACAATCAAAGATATATTTGTCTACCTGATCTAAAAATAGCCAACACCTTTTAAAATATAACAGAAGCTATTGTCAACAAGACCTAATTGCCTCATTCGTTTCCTTATTGACTTGATTCCCTGATGTTGTGTTACTCACTAGAAAGTTTAGTGCTATTCTATTCTCTGTTCCAATTTCATCTGAAAGGGAAGCATATTGGACAAATGTATGCCTTTTTTTTTTTTAATTTTTTGAGATGGAGTCTCGCTCTGCCACCCAGGCTAGAGTGCAGTGGCGCAATCTCAGCTCACTACAACCCCCGCCTTCCAGGGTTCAAGCAATTCTCCTGCCTCAGCCTCCTGAGTAGCTGGGATTACAGGCCATGCGCCACCACTCCCAGCTACTTTTTGTATTTTTAGTAGAGACAAGGTTTCACCATGTTGGTCAGGCTGGTCTTGAACTCTTTACCTCGTGATCCACCCGCCTTGTCCTCCCGAAGTGCTGGGATTACAAACGTGAGCCACTGTGTCCGGCCACCCATTCTGTTTAATTGGCCTTCTTATGGCTAAAGTGTTCATCCTCCTAGATTGGATGCTGTTAATTCCACAGAGTCCATTTGAGATAATGTGATCCTGACACTGACATTAAAATTTTGCATGCCATTAGTCACAGTGATTGTTCTGGAGGACATGGTATCCGATACAATGCAATGAGACTCAATTGCGAGTTTTTAGAGAACAACTGGGAAAAGAGAGTTGTCCTTTCTGCTAAGGGATGCTGTAAATATAAGGTATATTTCTGGGTCATTTTGCAAGGACATTATCACCAGAACTTGGAAGCCTGTAGGAAAAGAGAGAAAACAGAAAGGGTATCCAATGTAGAGTCAAGACATAGATAAAATTGAAGCTTGAAAGTTTTGGTTGACTCTCCCTCGGTACCAGCTATCTGGATAAATTCTACATTTTGCTTTTTGTTTTTGTTTCTTTTCTTAAGGTGGTTTGAGTTGAATTTTCTATTACATGTGACAATAAAAGGCTCAACATACATGTAACTCAACTTAGAAAACTTGGAATGACTTGTCCCAGTGATACTTGCTGGAAAATATGGCAATATTGTTCCAAGTCCAATTTATGCCAAAGCCTGGGACCTCTAAATATGACCACAGTTCACAGTCATGCAGTGACAGTTCTCTCTACTATGTATTTATTTACATTATGGACTGGTCCTTACACAGTCTTTTCTTTTAAGTGTCAACTTATTGTACTGCTACCTATTTCTCTCAAGTTCTCTTAACATTTGTTTTGTATATTTAAGTGCTCCATGAATGGGTGCACATATATTTACAATTGTTATATGCTCTTGAGATGAGCTGACCCCTTTATCATTATATAATGACTTTCTTTGTCTCTTGTGACAGTTTCCACTAAAAGTCTATTTTGTTTCAAATAAGCATAGCAATTAGTGCTCCCTTTTAGTTAGCATGTGAATGGAATATTTTTCCTTTCCTTCGCTTTCAGCTTATGTACACCCTTAAAGATACAGTGAGTCTCTTGTATGGTACATATAGTTAGATACTGTCTTTTCATTCATTTTAGTCACTCGGTATCTTCTGGTTAGAAAATATAATCCATTTACATTTAAATCAGTTATTTATTTCACTTACTATTGCCACTTTTTAAATTGTTTTCTGATTGCTTTTTAGTTTCTTTTCTTCTTTCCTCCTCTCTTGCTCTCCTTGTAATTTGAATTTTTTTTGTTGTTGTTTGCAGTGGTATGCTTTGATTCTTCTCTCTTTATCTTTCGCGTACCTACTACACATAATTTTTTCTTTGTGGTTACCTTGTTGCTTATGTAAAACTTTTTTTAGTTATAACAGTTTACTTTAAGCCAATAATAACTTTGGCTACATCTAAAAACTCTATATTTACCTTCTCTCACCACATTTTTTGTTATTAATATCACAATTTACATCTTTTTTATACTATGTATCCATTAACAAATTAGCATAAAGTTATTTTAATACTTTTGTCTTTTAACTTTTCTACTACAGTTAAAAGTGATTTTTACACCATCCTTGACACACTAGAATATTTTGAATTGGACTATATTCTTATCTTCACAGTGGGCTTTGTATTTTTACATATTCTCAAGTTGTTGGCTAACATCCTTTTATTTTAATTCGAGTAACTGCTTTTGTCATTTATTGTCAGGTAGTTGTGGTTGTAATGAAATCCCTCAGATTTTGTTTTGCTGAGAAGATCTTTTATCTCTCCATTCCTAAAGGTCATATTTGCAGAGTATGGTGGACGGATTGGCAGATTTTCTTTTTCTTTCAGTACTTTGAATAGATAATCTCACTCTCTCCTGGTTTCCAAAGTTTCTGCTGGAAAATTTGCTTATAGTCCTTATGAGGGGTTCCTTTACATGTGAAGAGTCACTTTTTCTTTCTCTGAGGAGTCAAAAATACAGTATGCTTTTACGACACTGTATTTTCGACTTTTGATAATTTGATTATAGTATATCTGGTGAAGATCTCTTTATATTCTACCTAACTGAGGTTCTTCAGGCTTCATGTATCTGGATGTTCATTTTCCTCTCCAGATTTGTGAAATTTTCTGTCATTGTTACTTTAAATAAATTTTCAGTCATTTTCTTTTTCTCTGTTACTTCTAGAATCTTCGTAATATATATATATTGTTTGCTTGATGTTCAGCTGTAACTTCTGTTGTCTTTCTTCACTATTTTTCATTCTTTTATCTTTCTGTGCTGCTGAATGGCAAATCTCAAATGACCTGTTGAGCTCCCTGATTTTTTCTTCTGTTTGATCAAGTACAAATGCTTCTCAAATTACAGTAGTTTGACTTACAATTTTTTGACTTTACAATGGTGTAACACCATCACAATTTTGTTATACTTTAAATTTTGAACTTTGATCTTTTTCCAGGCTAGCAGTAAGCGGTACATGAGATGTTCGGCACTTTATTATAAAATAGGCTTTGTGTTAGATGAGTTTCCCCAGCATGGGCTAATTTAAGTGTTCTGAACATAGTTAATATGGGCTAGACTAAACTGTGATTTTTGGTAGGCTAGGTGCATTAAATGCATCTTTTACTTACAATATTTTCAACTTACGAGTATACTGAATGTAACATTGTAAGTTGAGGAACATTTGGATGCTCTTGAAGCTTTCTAAGGGTTTTTTCTGTTCAGTTATTATGTTCTTCAGTCCCAGAATTCCTGTTTTGTTCTTTTTTTATAGTTTCTATTTTTTTGTTAAACTTCTAACTTTGTTCATGTATTTTTTTTAATGATTTTATTTGGTTGTTTTCTTCTGTAGTTCACTGAGCTTCTTTAAGAGGATTATTTTGAATTATTTGTCAGGCAGTTCATACATCTCTATTTTTTAGGGCTAGTTACTAGTTCTTTTATTTTTTTCTCTTTTAGTTATGTCAGATTTCCCTGATTATTTGACTTTTTTTTTTGTCTTGCATTATGATCTATGTATTTGAAGAAGTAAGCACCTCTTCCAGTGTTTTTTTTTTTTTTTTTTTTTTTTTTTAAACGGAGTCTCACTCTGTCACCCAGGCTGGAGTGCAGTGGTGCAATCTCTGCTCACTGCAAGCTCCGCCTCCGGGGTTCATGCCATTCTCCTGCCTCAGCCTCCTGAGTAGCTGGGACTACAGGCGCCTGCCACCATGCCTGCCTAATTTTTTTTTGTATTTTTAGTAGAGACAGGGTTTCACCGTGTTAGCCAGGATGGTCTCGATCTCCTGACCTCGTGATCCACCCACCTCAGACTCCCAAAGTGCTGGGATTGCAGGCAGGAACCACCACGCCCGGCCTCATCTCTTCTAGTCTTTACAGACAGGCTTCAGCAAAGAGAGTCCTTCACCAAGCAGCCCATGTAGAGATTCTGAGCAGGATGTTTCTGGGATATCTGTGTACACTTGCTGCTGGAGTCCTTGAAACAGCTGGCCTGGTACCTCAATAAGCAGATGAGTAGCCCTGGCTTTGGGTCCACTAGGTGCAGCCTGATGCCTGGGTCTGCAGGAGTAGGCAGACATGGAATTTGGGTTTGCGTAGATGGGCCTAGTGCCTCAGTGCACAGGGGTAAGCCTGAAGCTTGGGTCTACAGGTATAAGCCTGGATCCTGGGTACATGGGGTCTAGTGTGTTGCTGGGGTCCACTGGGGTGGACCTAGTAACTGTGTTCATGGTTACAGGACTGGAGTCTAAGTCCATTGGGATGGGCCCAGAGCCCGAGTCTATGAAGGCAGGTATGGGGCCAACATCTACAGGGGCTGGCCTGAATCCTGAGGCTGCAGGAGCTAGCCTGGCACTGGGGTGGGTCTGAAAGCTGGCCCTGAAGGGGCATGGTGGCGAAGACCACAGTAAAGTCATGTGTTAACTTCACTCTTCTTCCGCTCTGTGGAGGATATCACTGTTGGCACTGTGCTGTGCGAAACAGGCTTGGGGGAGAGGAGATGTGAGTAATGTGAAACTGTCCTTACTCCCATCTTCAATCCATCTTTCTTTATTTCTGTACTTTACCCAGGTGTTGTAATCTGTCATATGGATTCCTTAGCTCTTGGCAAAGTATTTTCATGCATGGATGGTTGTTTAAATTGATGTTTCTGTGAGGAGTGCTGGAAACTTCCTTTTCATTATCTTGCCGATGTTACTCCTTCAACATTATTTTTAACCACAGAAAGAACAGAAGCTAAAATATTAATATTTCATTTACTATAGTGTATACATAGAAGATTATTATGTATTTGTTCTTATCAGAATTTGTTTACTTTTTAATGTGCTAAGGGATTATCAATGGGGGAACAATTACTTTTACTAGGTTAGAGATTTATTTGTCATCAAATTAGTTGCCAAGATTTATGGTAATTTAAAATATGTCATAATTTTAAGGGGATAAATAGCATGACCATATGCAGTAGTTTGGGGTTTGTTAGTAGGATGATGAAGCATTTGATGTAACTGGAAATAGATAGTTAAACATGAACTATAATAATGAAAACATAATTTGCATGGGAGGTGCAAAAACCTGATGGCTACTACAAAAATCTAGCATAATGTTCTTACGTACTGACTGTGGAGCCCAGAGCCCCCTGGGCAACAGATGTTGACTGTTTCATGATAAGAAAACATGCTATAAAGTATAAAATAAAGTGCTTGGCAATGAGATGGCTTATATTTGTATTTAACTGTGGTCCTAAGATATTGTGAATGGTTGTTTTCCTAAACCTGGGATATTGTGATTATATTTCAAAATGTGTGGAGCTGATTTTAAGTATTATGAAATTTTTGCACTTAATAGTAAAATTAACAGCCACTAAAATTACTTTTCAAATGGAATTTGATAAAGAAACTTATTTACCCTTTTCTGTTTTCTCAACCTATATTAATGTTAAATGATAGAGCTCCTAGTTCTCTAGAATTACTCAATAGATCATGGTTATATTTGTAGTTTGCTTTGGGTGGGATTTTAGATTAGACTTTACTTGAAGTAGCAGTATGCCTTCTTTTAAGAAGCCATTAAACTTCATTCACTTTCTATATAAATATTTATAATTCAATGATTATTTGTTATTTTGGTTAATGTTGAAGGATAGTAATGGTATTGGCATATTTCCCACTGAAACTAATACTATATATTTAAGTACTCGTCAAAGTAAAAGGCCTTCTTTTAATAACTGAGTGCATCTATTCATTTATTTTATAATAATAGATTTCAAAAAGGGCCAGAAGTCCCAGCTCTATTTTACCAAGGATAGCCAAATGGATTTACCAATGGATATCCAAATTGGTTAAGTGGCTTGTCCAAGTTCAGCAAACATGCTGAAGTTCACTGCTTTTTAAGCTTCCCTAAAATGACCCAGCCCTCATAAATGCTTATAAAGCTTTAATCCAAAACATCTTTGGCATGTCTTCTAAGAAAGAGCTTTGAAAAAAATGTAAGTGTGCTGCAATAATGATGTACTCAGCTTTTTCTTTTCCCAGAAGTTTTAGTATATGACGGAAATGAGTTCTAATATCAGAATTATATTTTTATTTGAAAAGCTTTAGTTTGATTATTTGTATTTTACATAGTAAGCTATAATAATTCTCATGACTCACATGTATAAATATATAACATTCAAAATTGTCAAAGGCGGTAGTGAATGGGTCATTTAAGAAGTACAATAACATATATATTCTATGAAAGACAAAACACTTATGGATGAAATGAACAACAAAATCAAAGTTAAGTATCAAAAGAGAAAAGGAGTTAGAGAAATATTTTAATAGAAGTACCTTTTCAGTTTAATATTTCAAATGTAATTTTAAAATAAAAAACTACAAAAATGTATATTTCAGAAAGTATATGGTAGTTTTCAAATCTTTTAAAAAGAAGCAATTGACAAACTGTGGGCCAGGTAAAACCTGGGTGTAAAAGGAAAGTTAGTTTGCTGCCCATAAGGAGATTAATAACTTTGTGGGGTAAAAGAGACATTGAGCAGCAGTGTATTAGAGTTCATATTACAGAGGAACTGGAGATTTTGTAAGGTGTCCCATTTTTCTCTGTCACGGATAAGAATATTTTGATAATAGTGAAATTCTGATCACATCACAAGATGTATTTCTGGTGTTGAAACAAGACAATTAACTGGCTTTGGAAAAGACTTGGATAGTTTTCAAACTACCCACGTATAATAACAGGAAAACTGCATAGACAAAGAAGTCGATGGGGAGAAAAAATAAACACAGTGTAAGCTTAGCACCAGAGATTGCAGGTCATGAGGATCTGTGTAGTGAGCCACACAGTAAAATAAATACAATCTAAACAAATAAAGCATAGTGCATTCATTTAAATACTTTAAAATATTTAAAATAAATAAATGAAGCATAGTGTATTTGTTGGTTAGTGAGAAAAAGTAGCAGGAAAGGTGACTCTGAATAATATAGATATTAAGTTATGAAGTGTGAGGCCATCTCTAATATGTTAATAACATGAACACATACTAATCCATCATTGCCATGTTGAATGAACTTTCCAAAGGGTTCATTCCTTTACCTTTCTGTAGAGAGGTGGCTGTCAGTTTCCACTTTCTGAAGTTTTCAAATGTTCTTTCTCTCTTTCTCTTTCCCTCTTTCGATACAAAAGGAAGTATTGGAAGAAATGTCCTCAAAAATGTTTTGAGTTCACAGCAACTTTATCAAACACAAAAATAAATAAATAAATAAATAAATAAATAACTGGAAATATTGTTATGAGGTCAATTTTCCATTTATCAAAATTTCCTTTCTTGACAAACACAATTCACTGGTCATTTTAAGTTTTAAGGAAAGTGCTGTATTTAATGGCTCATGCATATTTTCATTGCTTGAAGTAGTCCATAGTTTATTGATTGCATATTCTTTCTCTTCAGCAAAATGGCAGTACATTGATGAAGAACATGGGATCCCGTGGGTTAACACCACACTAGATGTAACCTAACACTCTTAGATGCTCGATGTGTAGGCCAGAGCCTCCTAGTCTATAATGTGAGTAGGACATATACTATACAGCATGAGATAAAGTTTAAACAAGTTAGTGTTCAACTGTAGGATCTCAGAGCAATCTAAAGCACTGAGGTTGCCTAGGGACAAACATTTTCATGAATTCTATTTATTTATTTATTTATTTTTATTTTTTAGATGGACAGGAAGTAGGATTTATTGGTGAGTATTAAGAGGGGGAAGCACAGTGGAAGCCCTCATGAGTGCGGGGCCTGCCACTTGTCCAGAGGGCCATGACTAGGGATGTAGGCGACCCCACAGCCATCTGGGATGAGCTGCTTCTCAGCCACCATGTCTTCAGATTCATTCGCATTGAATTTGGTGAAGCCCCACTTCTTTGAGATGTGGATCTTCTGGCGGCCAGGGAACTTGAACTTGGCCCTGCGTAGGGCGTCAATCACATGCTCCTTGTTCTGCAGCTTGGTGAGGATCGACATGATAACTTGGCCAATACAAACCCCGGCCACAGTGCCCTGGGGCTTTCCAAAGGCACCTCGCATGCCTATTTGAGCCTGTCAGCCCCAGCACAGGACAACGTCTTGTTGATGCGGATGACGTGGAAGGAGTGGAGCCACACCCGGATATGGAAGCCATCTTTGCCACAGCTTTTTACCATGTACTTATTGGCACAAATTCGGGCAGCCTCCAGGGCTTCAGAGGACAGCTGCTCAAATTCATCTGACACCATGTGGCCATAAAGCGGAAACTCATCCACTTTTACCTTCTTCCGCCCCAGGTCAAAGATGCGAATCTTGACATCAAGGACACCTTGGCAGAAGCGAGACTTTGGGTACGGCTTGTTCTTACAATACCGGTAACAACCCGCGGGGCGGCGGCCCATGGCGACACCAGGATCTTCAGTAGTGCTCTCAAGGGAAAGAGAGCATGAATTCTTATTAATATAATAATTTATGTACTTTACCTCAATTTATTTTTATTTTTTATGTTTAATTGACAAATAGAAGTGTTATATGCATATTTTTTTTTCTTTTTTTTTTTTTTTGAGACGGAGTCTTGCTCTGTTGCCCAGGCTGGAATGCAGGGGCGCAATCTCGGCTCACTGCAAGCTCCGCCTCCTGGGTTCACGTCATTCTCCTGCCTCAGCCTCCCAAGTAGCTGGGACTACAGGTGCCTGCCACCAAGCCAGGCTAATTTTCTTTTTTTTTTTCGTATTTTTAGTAGAGAGAAGGTTTCACTGTGTTAGCCAGGATGGTCTCGATCTCCTGACCTCGTGATCTGCCCGCCTCGGCCTCCCAAAGTGCTGGGGTTACAGGCCTGAGCCACCACGCCCGGCTGAATTGTATATATTTATGCTGTACAACATGTACAATATATATCCAACATATATCTTGGGTATATATCTAGACACTATGGAATGGCAGAATCAGGCTAATTATCATATTCCATTTCCTCACACACTTACCATTTTTGTGGTGACAGCACTTAAAATCTACCCTTTTGGCACATAGTACATTGCTGTTAAGTATGATCACTGAGTCCTGAACTTATTGCTCCTAACTGAAATTTTAAAATTGATTTCTTTCTTATCTTCCTGTCTTTACTTGGAAGCCAACTATTGTTTTTCTTGGCTTTTAAATGATGGGTGGCATGCTAATCTGAGGTCCGTTTTGCAAGTTCTTGAGAACAGATTACCCAAGGAAACAACAACCATATTCCCTAGTGTCTTATGATGTAACCAGTGGAATGGTACCCATGGGAGGAGAGGGAAGAGGTAAAAACTTGGTTGTGGACCTCAGCTCATGCAATTTTGCTCTGTCGTGGGGACCCTCTACTGTTCGGCTTTCCAGTGTTACTGTGTGTATTCTTTTATATGCTGAGGAAGTTGTAGGAAAGTAAGGAAAATAAAACACTTTTTTTTTTTTTGAGACAGAATCTTGCTCTATGCCCCAGGCTGGAGTGCAGTGGCACAATTTCAGCTCACTACAGCCTCCACCTCCTGGGTTCAAGGGATTCTCCTGTCTCAGCCTCCTGAATAGCTGGGACTACAGGCGCCCACCACCACACCTGGCTAATTTTCGTATTTTTTCGGTAGAGATGGGGTTTCACCATGTTGGCCAGGCTGGTCTTGAACTCCTTGACCTCAATTGGTTCACCCATCTCAGCCTCCCAAAGTGCTGGGATTACAGGTGTGAGCCACTGTGACTGGCCTGTTCGTTTTTTACATCAGCATATCTGTTACTCCCCACTAAGGATGAGGAACTTCGCACTGGAGCAAGATGATTAGGAGAAAAATGAATCTGCTTTGCCACCTAGTTTGGGGGGAATTGATGGAGCACACACTTCTGAGGGACACATGATCTCTTTCTCAGCAGTAACTTGCTAATGCTGTACCAGCTTTCAGCTTGTCTGGAAATGGCAAGAGTGTTTTATGAGTGTCTTATGGACACAATGAATCAGCTTTACCTCAAAATAAAAGTTAAAAAAAAATACATTCTGGCTTACCCCATGATACAATGCTAAGTGCATTCATAGGCACACACACGGAGTCTTTCTGTCTAAAAAACAGCACTGTGTTTACATCCTGCCACCTATCTCAGAGGGACTGACTAAGACTTGGAAAACTCTGATGATATCCTTTAATCTTTTCCTTAATATGGGAATATAGTGTTTAATCTTTGTACCTTTTTATATAAGTTTTCATCTGAAATGGTTTTTTTTCAAATGTATTTCTCTTAGGTTGGGTGCATGGTGGCACAATATCATGCCTTATTATTTAACGTTCACATCTCCCTCCCAATAATTTAAACCATCCAAATATTTGTTGATAATTTTCGTATTCCCATTTCATGTTTGCACAGCCAAATAACACATGTAAAATTCCTTTAATCTCTCCATACAAAATAAATCCTCCATTGCTTTAATTATTCCTAGTAGTGCTTTCTGAACTTTTACCAGCCTTGCTTGGCAGAATTATGGTGAGAAAGTTGAATCCAGGCTGTCAGTAGCAAAGTGTTTGCCATGCTATTATCCTTGGCAACTGCAGGCCTCCTCCAGGCTACAAAACAGCTCAGTGCCTACCTCCTTTTCCCTGCTTTCTACTGGCCTACAAATTCCAGCTGTGGTCAGCTGGTGAGCTCTGAGCTACAGGGACGGCGTGGCGCATGTTTTGGGCTTGACTCAGGGATCATGTAATGTTGGGACAGTGAACTTTCCGATGGGAGCCAATAACACCCATGGTTGTTTTCACCTCCTGACCAGAATGTCTCAACTTAATTCAATCATCTGAACATCAATGAGGGTGACTGGAAAAAATTTTTTATCACAGCACTAAAATAAAAGCAATTCCAAGATGTTTTCTTTTCCATTGCACATTTTCAGAGCTTTGATTTTCCTGGTAAAATGCTCTTTGCATGTGCCATGTTCCCAGATTAGGAGAAGATGATACCCAAGGGAGAAGAGGTAAAAATGCACATAAATAATTTTACACCATGACACCGTGGTTAAGGCTTTCAAGGATGCTTTTAATGATGCTATGTGCCATGGTTTTAAAAGTCACTATCAAGTTATTTATTTGTATATATTTTGTTTCCTCTTAAAAACTCTTTAAATAAATAAAAGAGGAGAAATTGTACAAATTTCTTCTTTTACTGTGTACCTACTCTTGCTTTGTGTTTATGAGTGAAGAGAGATGGGGAACATACAGAATATTAAGTGGTATATTTAAGATACTTGTTCATTTTAAGATTTAGGCTTGCAATTTAGGTGTGCCTAATTTGTCTGCTTTGGGAGCTCAAAGGTCAAGTTGCCACCGCAATTAAGCATCAATATTCCTTAATTTGAAGTGTTAAAAAATATGTGTGTGTGAGCGTGTGCATATCTGTGTTCAACTGTCTGCCTTTATTAGTTTTCTAGTCCTGCTGTACATAACACATCACTATAGACTTACCACCTTAAATACATAGGTCCAAAGTCTGACACTGATTTCATTACTGGCAACAGGTTCTTTGATATGAGGCAAAAAGAGTTTTCCCAGACAAGTCTTCACTGGAGCTTGTGCCAGGGCATAAGGGAGACAGCAAGAGAGAAAGAGAGAGAATTCCCTAATTCCACTAGAAGAGCTGTAGGGCTTTTTTGTTAGGCAAAGCATGGAAATTGACATGCAAGTTGGGCTGGACAAAGCACATAAAGGGTAGAGCACAGGCTAGCATTATCTGGTTGCAATGGTTGAGTAATGAACCATCTGGTGGTCTGGCCAGTGGCAACAAGGCTGCATTCCTTCCTGAGGTGGGACACTCTGCAACCTTGGTTATCTCCTAAGGCCAGTTCCTGGAATTCTTTAAGTAAAGACATGTTTAAATGGTGATGTAAGTGAGGTAATGGTGTGAGTTCTGTGATCAGTGAGAATGCATAAAAGACTCCGCTAGGTGACTTGAAACTGAGCTTCGTCTCCAATCTGCCTCGGTTTCTCTGGATTAAAATTGAGGTATCAGAAGAGTGGGGCTTCTTACCAGAGACAGTGGGAAAGGATGAAGCTATTGACAGAATTCAGTTTCTTGTGGTTGTAGGCATGAGGTTCCCATCTCCTTGTACTCTGTCAGCTGGGAACTGGTTGTATTTCCTAGAATTCTCTTTCCAGTCCTTGTTTGTGGCCACCTCCTATCTAGAACCAGCAGAGGCATGTGGAAGTTGAATGGTTCTCATATTTGGAAGCTGTGTGACTTCCCCTTCTGCCTTCCTCTTTCACCACATCTCTCTGACACCAGGCAGGGAAAATTCCCTGCTTTGAAGGGCTCATGTGATCAGATTGTGTCTCTCCAGATAATTAAAAAAAAAAAAAAAAAAAAATCCCTACTTTGAAGTCTGTAACCTAAAAATTACCCTATATTAAAGCCTGTGTCCTAACATTTTATCTGCAATCATTTTTTTGTTATTGTTGTTGTTCGTTGGTTTCTTTCTTTCCTCTTCCTTCCTTCCTTTCTTCCTTCCTTCCTTCTTTCTTCCTTCCTCCTTCCTTCCTTCCTCCTTCCTTCCTTCCTTCCCCCTCCCTCCCTTTCTTTCTTTCTTTCTTTCTTTCTTCCTTTCTTCTTTTCTTTTCTTTTTTTTTTTGCCATGTACTATAAGCAGCTATTTACAGGTTCTAGGGATTTGGTCATGGATTTTTCTGTGTGTGTGGCAGAAAGGGGGCACTATTTAGCCTAAGACTTTCCAGCATCCTCTTTCTCTCTCTCACCCTCTTTCTCTGCAACATGGCCTCAAGAGCAAGAAAAAAGATAAGATGCCGAGTCAGAAAAACCTGACTTCAAAATTCTTTCCCCTACCAGCAGCTCACTAATTACCCAGCTGGTAATTTGATAACAGGAATTTTCTTCATCCTTTCAAAGATTTGTTTCATTTCTTGTTGTCGTATTTACTTCATCAGGTAATTGTAAAATTGATGATATAGTCAGATGTCTGCATCTAGTGCTATGCCTGGCATACGGCATGGGAGGGTGCACTTTTAATCCAATTTTATTTCAGAGGAACCATTGTACATCCTGTTTCTTATCAAAAGTTGCTTCATGGCAGTTACCCCAGGTCACTGAGACCAAGCCAGGGCTGTCATTCTCAGAGGGGGAGATGGAAGGGAGTGATACAGGGGAGGGCCTAGCAGGCAAAGGAAGTTGGAAACTGTCCTCTGTAAGCCCAGCACGTGGGAAGCAGCTGGGTGCATTAATTTCACCTTTGTCATCCCTGGCATTGAAAAACCACAACCAGCTTACACGGAAAGGATTCTCAAATGGAACTTTCTCAAATTTATGGTGAAAAACACTAGGAAACTGCTTTGAATTGAAGCATGGCGCTGATGGTTATCCAGTTCATCCTCTCTGCTAAAGCCATTTGACTCTCATGTGCTTAATAAGAGATCCTTGGAAACATTAAGTGCTATCCAAGAAGCAAAAATAAAGCAGAACAACCAAAACAAAATGAAAACAAAAAATAAGAGCAATAACCTGCATGGTAATAGGAGAAAATTTTATTTTTTATCTATTTTCTTCAAATCTTGCTTATAGGTAAAAGAGAAAATTATTTGAGTAAATATAATGCATTCCCTAAAGAAACAAAAAAGATACTCAGAGGTCCTCTGAAACCCAGCTCCCCATCTTCTTATTAGACTATGACTGAACATTTGCCCAATTGGACATATCACACCCTCTGGCTAGAATGTGGTATTTACATTGTTATAAATAAATTGACATGTGTGTATAGCTCTGGTGGGGGGACCGTGGACAATAGAGCACATACTGTTCCTGAGTTCATCTCATGTTCCCTCAGTCAGTTTCAGTCAGAGATGAATGTTCATTTAATCAGGAAATTTTATCTTGTCTTTAAAAGCCTTGGCAACTGTAAATGAGGGGAGATCTAAGATTAGTAATGTACTCTGACAAACTCTTCTTTTTAAAAATTATGTCAGATTTTCCAGAGCAGGATTTCAGTTTTCTTCTACAAAGTTTATTCTTAGCTTATACAAAATAGGCTTACTCTAAAACCCTAATCATGAAGTAGTACATTCAGATAATAGGGAAATTAAAATATATCAAAATGAAACAGCAGAAAGTAAACATGCCATCCTTATTTTATGTCACTGGAAAAAAGTGTGTGTGTGTGTGTGTGTGTTTAGCACTAGCATGTGGCATTACAGGACATTTAGGTTACCATTTAAAATTTCTCTAACAAATTATGGTAATAACCATTTATTGAATCTAACAAAATGACTTCTTTTGAAACATGGTAGCCTGAGCTTAATTGTCTGTCATCATCTCTATCTAAACCCCTATAAAAAATTTCTGTCTCACAACTTTTTTTTTGTGAAATGCTTAAGTTCAATTATTTTTAATTTTGTTTGCTTTTTAATAAATATATTGAAGGTTAATTTTATTTTAATAACTACCTTAGTCATATCACATACATTTTGAAAGGCAACGTATTCATTTCTAAATAATCTTTCCGTGATAATACTTATTTTTCAACTGCAAGTTTATTGGAAGAGTGTTATTTAAAAAGATTGTAGGGGTTGTAACTATCTGTTTACCCCTTCATTCATCGAGCTATCCATCAATGCAAGCATCAGTCTTCCAAATCAGTACTATTTATCTCTATCATTTCTTGTGTATATTTTGTTGTTAATTCTATTTTGACTCTATTGTACTCAGAGAATATATATTTGTGCTACATGTAGCACAAAAAACAATGAGTTGAACAACACAGTTTAGAAATGCTAAAGCAGAAATAAAGGTTTTTCAAGTTGTATCTCACAAATCTATAATAATAATGGAAGAAAATCCATAGCCCTTTTAGTATCAATAGTTGAACTTTATATTCTCTGAGTACAATAGAGTCAAAATAGAATTAACAACAAAATATACACAAGAAATATATATTCCCCCTAGCCTCAACTCCTCAGGCTCTGATAACCACGGTTTTGCTCTCTACTGCTGTGACACCAGCTTTTTTAGATTCCACAAATGCGTAAGATCATGTGGTACTTTTCTTTCTGTGCCTGGCTTATTTCACTTAATGTCATACAGGTTCATCTATGTTAATGCAAAAGACAAGATTTCATTCCATTTTATGGCTGAGTAGTATTCTTTGTGAATCTATATCTATACCACATTTTGAATGGAACTTGTAGTTTCTTTTAACTATTGATTAAAAAGTTAGAATTAAATGCGAAAAGTAAACGTATATATGATGTATACATGTATGTATGATGTTTGTATATATGTATACATATATATAATAATGTGAGTGCCATTTTAAAAGATTGTCTCTAAATATTGGGTCGTGTTACAAAGTAAACCTCAAGGAATTAGAAGTAAACATTTAAGACAGGCCGCACAATTAAATTTTGTATCTTTATTTTAGTGACTAAATATCTTGCTTCACAGCTTTCCAGCCTTAGTAAATGGGTGGTTGATTCAAGCTAAATTCAACATATTTAAATTTAAATTTCTTATCACAGAGCCATCTTTGTTTATCCTATTTTCTCCCACTCACTATTTTGTGCTTTGTAATTACTTACTACAGGAAACTGCACCTAATATGTATGGTACTTTATACAACTGAGTACTTTCTACCAAATCCCGTGAATGAAGCCAGGTTCTATTTATCTTCAATTACATAACTTAGGAAATATGAGGGATATTTTATATCTTCTACCAATTTATATTATTCCATCCATTCCTTCATTCAGCAAATACCCATTGAGTGCCTATGATTTGTCAGTGTTATGTTTCTGTGTCTTAATTTTCTTCAAAATATTTTGGTTCATGCAGAGTCGGAGCCTCACCAGACACCAAACCTGCCAGCATCTTGATCTTGGACTTCTCAGCCTCTAGAACTGTGAATAATAAATTTCTACTATTTATAAATCACTCTGTTTTTGGTGATTTATTATAGCTACATATGGTTAATACAGATGGACTAAGATATTCATGTTTACCCTGCTTCAGATAGAGAATTTTGGTGAATAGATTGTAAACTGAAGGAAGACTTTAGAGTCAAAAACGGAACCAGCGTGGGTCAATACTGTGAGTTGAGTTGATTTGGGCTTGAATACAAACCACCCTTCCAAAGGTGAGGTCAGGTGCACTCTCAGAGCCCCTCAGTTGAATATCATCCTGTGGCCCAACTCCAGAAGGAGACCTTTAATCCTCCCCAAGAAATCTGGGACAAGGGAAAAAAACAAAAAGGAAAAATCCATATTTTCAAACTTTTTACAAGTGACCTCTGATTTCCCCTTACTTTTCACATTCATTCATTTTTCTAGGTAGATCTAACAAATTACTTGTCAAAAATAAATCAGCAGTCAATAGTGCTAATTTAATGGCTGCATATTTACAGTCAACGTATGAGTTGAGATTTCCCTTATCATTCAGTTTATGGTCCTAAAAGTCTTTTTAAAGATATGCCACATAGTAAAATTGAAGATTGTTCTCTTTAGGGATGCAAATATGTAGAAAAGGTAAACAGAGTTCCCTTTTCAGTGAAAACTAGCCAGAAATAAAGCAAGTACTAATAATATACAAGAGCAGATTAACTCAAAGGTAGGTTTGTACCAGTCAGTTAAGTAGAAGTCATATTATCTGACTTTATCATTCTTCCCTCTAAGGATGTGGCGACAAATATATATATATATTAGCTTGTTTAACACACATATATATATACACATATGTGTGTGTGTATATATATATTTAGTGTGTGTGATGGGTAATCGTATGTGTCAATTTGACTGAATTAATGGATGCCCGTATCACTGGTAAAATATTATTTCTGGGTGTGTTTGTGAGGATATTCCCAGAAGAGATTAGCATTTGAATAGGTAGACTGAGTTAAAAAGATCTTCCCTCACTAATGTGGCTGTGGAGGGTGGGGTAGAGGGGGGCAGGGCATCATCTAATCCATCCAGGGTCCACCAGAATAGAACAAAAAGGCAGAGAAGATGGATGTCCCAGCTCTCTCCTTGAGAGGATGAGATTATCATTGAAAATCTCTTCTTGAGCTGGGACATCCATCTTCTCCTGCTCTTGAACAGCTGAGTTCCTCCTTGTTCTCAAGCCTTTGGACACTAGGCCTTATGCTAACAGCATTCCTAGTATTCGTGACTTCAGTCTTGGACTGGGAATTATGCCATCAGTTCCCCTGGTTCTCAGGCCTTTGAACTCTGACTGAATTACTTCACCAGCTTTCCTGGTTCTCCAACTTGCAGATGGTAGATCGTGGAACTTCTTGACCTCCATAATCATGTGAGCCAATTCCCATAATAAATCTCCTCTATATATCTATATATATCCTATTGGTTCTGTTTCTCTGGAGAATCCTGACTAATAAAGTATGCACACCAGCTTGCTCCATATTTATTCCCTTTGCACAGTTCATGCTGAACAGAGCTTCTTTAACTCTAATGTGGAAGAATTTCAAAGTGCTTAATGATTTACAAAAAATGCATTGTGCTGACATTACAGTGGCCAAAATTTTTCCCAGTTCTCATAGACTCAAGGCCAAGAAAATCTCACTGGTGTGATTAGAAATGAAAGGAAATTCTTAGAATCACTAAATAGTTGAAAAAGTATAGACCTGCTGGATTGTCGTTGCCCCTGTGAGTCACATTTCTATAATTAGGTCAGCATGCAGTTCTAAAAAAAATGGAGACAACTCAAATAAAATAAAATAAAGGCTTGAAGGAAGTTGGCTTGTGCAGAACACCAACTCACATGATTTTAATGTTCACACTATAAAGTAAATCAATGTTTGCACAAGCTGTAGGAAAAATTGTTAAATAACCACTCTAAAGAAGGCAATCTAGACATACAATTATGTGTGCCATTATTGAAGGGGTTAACCAGGGACCCAATCTGGGGGCCTTGAAGAGAAGTGAAAAATAGAATTCTCCAAGAATCAAACACACAGAATGGAAACATACAGTTCCCATTTGTATTAATTATGACTTTTTTGGTTGCAAGCAACAGATTCTTCTTATAGCTTGTTTAACTACCGTAGGGGATATGGTATAATAACACAAGGTTGCCACACATGGATAGGGATGAATCTGGGCTCCTGAAGAGATTTGAATCAGTGGCTAAGGTTAAAAGTTAAAATGTAAAATAGACATATATGAGTGCATCTATGAAGTAGTGAGATTAGACAGATGAATTTATGAGTTTTCGATTTGTTAGATTGAAAACATAAATTTGGGTATCTGTAAAGCCATAAAACTGTACAGGATTAACTCAGGAGAGTATTTAGATGGAGAATAAAAATGATTAAGTTCTGTGTGCTGAGGTCCTCCATCATTTTGGGCTCAGAAAAAGGAGGATAATCTCACAAAGGAGATGAAGAGAGAGAAGTAGGTGAGATAGGAGAAAGGCTGAGAGGCTGAGATTTCCTGAAAATCTAATGCAAAAAGTTTTCAAGAAGAAGGAAGTGATAAACGCTAACAACTACTGTATTGAAGTGGAGTGAATTGGGACTAAGAGTTTTGGGGTTAACAAGATAGAAGTTTGTGAAAATTTCGACAATCACATTTTCAGTGGCATAAGGGACGTAAAAGCCTGGCTGGGGGCTTTAAATAAAATGGAAGTGGTGGCAGTCAAATATTGATTTCTTTTTGAGGATTTTTGCTACAAGAATGGGAGTTAGGTAATAGACAGAGAGAAATGTGGAACCAAGGGAATGTTTGTTTTTGGTTTTGGTTGTTGTTGCTCTTGCTTTGTGTATTATTTCTATTTTTAATAGAGGAGAGAGTAATGAGTATCTGTATGCTGTTAGAAGTGATCCAAGATAAAGAAAAACCTAATTATGGAAGAGATAGAAGAGTCATTGCAAGAGTAAAGTTCTTGGCTGGGCGTGGTGGCTCACGCCTGTAATCCCAGCACTTTGGGAGGCTGAGGCGGGCGGATCACGAGGTCAGGAGATCGAGACCATCCTGGCTAACACGGTGAAACCCCGTCTCTACTAAAAATACAAAAAAAAAAAAAAAAATTAGCTGGGTGTGGTGGTGGGCGCCTATAGTCCCAGCTACTCAGGAGGCTGAGGCAGGAGAATGGCATGAACCCAGGAGGCAGAGCTTGCAGCGAGCTGAGATAGCGCCACTGCCCTCCAGCCTGGGCGAGAGAGCAAGACTCCATCTCAAAAAAAAAAAAAAAGAGTAAAGTTCTTAAGCTGATGAAAAGGTAAAGAATAAAAGGAAACAAGTGAGGAGGGAAAATGGGTCTGAGGAACAGGGAAGTACTTCTTTTTATTATTATTATATTTTAAGTTCTAGGGTACATGTACACAACATGCAGGTTTGTTACACATGTATACATGTGCCATGTTGATGTGCTGCACCCATTAACTCGTCATTTACATTAAGTATTTCTCCTAATGCTATCCCTACCCACTCCCCCCACCCCACGACAGGTGTGTGATGTTCCCTGCCCTGTGTCCAAGTGTTCCCATTGTTCAATTCCCACCTATGAATGAGAACATGCAGTGTTTGGCCTTCCGTTCCTGTGACAGTTTGCTGAGAAGGATGGTTTCCAGCTTCATCCATGTCCCTACAAAGGACATGAACTCATCATTTTTTATGTCTCTATGGTATTCCATGGTGTGTATGTGCCACATTTTCTTAATCCAGTCTATCATTGATGGACATTTGGGTTGGATCCAAGTCTTTGCTGTTGTGAGTAGTGCCACAATAGTGGATTGGTTCCAAGTCTTTGCTATTGTGAATAGAGCTGCAATAAACATACGTGTGCATGTGTCTTTATAGCAGCATGATTTATAATCCTTTGGGTATATACCCAGTAATGGGATTGCTGGGTCAAATGGTATTTCTAGTTCTAGATGCTTGAGGAATCGCCACAGTGTCTTCCACAATGGCTGAACTAGTTCACACTCCCACCAACACTGTAAAAGTGTTCCTGTTTCTCCAGCACCTGTTGTTTCCTGACTTTTTAATGATCGCCATTCTAACTGGTGTGAGATGGTATCTCATTGTGGTTTTGATTTGCATTTCTCTGATGGCCAGTGATGATGAGCATTTTTTCATGTGTCTGTTGGCTGCATAAATGTCTTCTTTTGAGAAGTGTCTGTTCATATCCTTTGCTCACTTTTTGATGGGGTTGTTTGATTTTTTCCTGTAAATTTGTTTAAGTTCCTTGTAGATTCTGGATATTAGGCCTTTGTCAGATGGGGAGACTGCAAAAATCTTCTCCCATTCTGTAGGTTGCCTGTTCACTCTGATGGTAGTTTCTTTTGCTGTGCAGAAGCTCTTTAGTTTAATTAGATCCCATTTGTCAATTTTGGCTTTTGTTGCCATTGCTTTTGGTGTTTTAGTCATGAAGTCCTTGCCCACTCCTATGTCCTGAATGATATTGCCTAGGTTTCCTTCTAGGGTTTTTATGGTTTTAGGTCTAACATGTAAGTCTTTAATCCATCTTGAATTAATTTTTGTATAAGGTGTAAGGAAGGGATCCAGTTTCAGCTTTCTACACATGGCTAGCCAGTTTTCCCAGCACCATTTATTAAATAGGGAATCCTCTCCCCATTTCTTGTTTTTCTCAGGTTTGTCAAAGATCAGATGGTTGTAGATGTGTGGTATTATTTCTGTGGGCTCTATTCTGTTCCATTGGCCTATATCTCTGTTTTGGTACCAGTACCATGTTGTTTTGGATACTGCAGACTTGTAGTATAGTTTGAAGTCAGGTAGCATGATGCCTCCAGCTTTGTTCTTTCGGCTTAGGATTGTCTTGGCAATGCGTACTCTCTTTTGGTTCCCCATGAACTTTAAAGTAGTTTTTTCCAATTCTGTGAAGAAAGTCGTTGGTAGCTTGATGGGGATGGCATTGAATCTATAAATTACCTTGGGCAGTATGGCCATTTTCACGATATTGATTCTTCCTATCCATGAGCATGGAATGTTCTTCCATTTGTTTGTGTCCTCTTTTATTTCGTTGAGCAGTGGTTTGCAGTTCTCCTTGAAGAGGTCCTTCACATCCCTTGTAAGTTGGATTCCTAGGTATTTTATTCTCTTTGTAGCAATTGTGAATGGGAGTTCACTCATGATTTGGCCCTCTGTTTGTCTGTTATTGGTGTATAGGAATGCTTGTGATTTTTGCACTTTAATTTTGTATCCTGAGACTTTGCTGAAGTTGCTCATCAGCTTAAGGAGATTTTGGGCTGAGACGGTGGGGTTTTCTAAATATATAATCATGTCATCTGCAAAGAGGACAATCTGACTTCCTCATTTCCTAATTGAATACCCTTTATTTCTTTCTCTTGCCTGATTGCCCTGGCCAGAACTTCCAACACTATGTTGAATAGGAGTGGTGAGAGAGGGCATCCCTGTCTTATGCCAGTTTTCACAGGGAATGCTTCCAAGTTTTGCCCATTCAGTAAGACATTGGCTGTGGGTTTGTCATAAATAGCTCTTATTATTTAGAGATACATTCCATCAATACCTAGTTTGTTGAGAGTTTTTAGCATGAAGGCTGTTGAATTTTGGTGAAGGCCTTTTCTGCATCTATGGAGATAATCATATGGTTTTTGTCTTTGGTTCTGTTTATATGGTGGATTACATTTATTGATTTGCATATGTTGAACTAGCCTTGCATCCTAGGGATTAAGCCCACTTGATCGTGGTGGCTAAGCTTTTTGATGTGCTGCTGGATTTGGTTTGCTAGTGTTTGACTGAGGATTTTTGCATCAATGTTCATCAGGGATATTTGTCCAAAATTCTCTTTTTTTAATTGTGTCTCTTTCAGGCTTTGGTGTCAGGATGATGCTGGCCTCATAAGATGAGTTAGGGAGGATTCCCTCTTTTTCTATTGATTGGAATAGTTTCAGAAGGAATGGTATCAGCTCCTCTTTGTACCTCTGGTAGAATTCGGCTGTGAATCTGTCTGGTCCTGGACTCTTTTTTGGTTGGTAAGCTTTTAATTATTGCCTCAATTTCAGAGCCTGTTATTGGTCCATTCAGGGATTCAACTTCTTCCTGGTTTAGTCTTGGGAGAGTGTATGTGTCCAGGAATTTATCCATTTATTCTAGATTTTCTAGCTTATTTGCATAGAAGTGTTTATAGTATTCTCTGATGATAGTTCGTATTTCTGTGGGATCGGTGGTGATATCCCCTTTATCATTTTTTATTGCATCTACTTGATTCTTCTCTCTTCTTATTAGTCTTGCTAGCGGTCTACCTACTTTGTTGATCTCTTCAGAAAACTAGCTCCTGGATTCACTGATTTTTTGAAGGGTTTTTTTGTGTCTCTATCTCCTTCAGTTCTGCTCTGATCTTAGTTATTTCCTGCCTTCTGCTAGCCTCTGAATGTGTTTACTCTTGCTTCTCTAGTTCTTTTAATTTTGATGTTAGGGTGTCGGTTTTAGATCTTTCCTGCTTTCTTTTGTTGGCATTTAGTGCTATAAATTTCCCTCTACACACTGCTTTAAATGTGTCCCAGAGATTCTGGTATGTTGTGTCTTTGTTCTCATTGGTTTCAAAGAACATCTTTATTTCTGCCTTCATTTTGTTATGTAACCAGTAGTCACTCAGGAGCAGGTTGTTGTTTTCCATATAGTTGTGCAATTTTGAGTGAGTTTCTTAATCCTGAGTTCTAATTTGATTGCATTGTGGTCTGAGAGACAGTTTATTATGATTTCTGTTCTTTTACATTTGCTGGAGTGCTTTACTTTCAACTATGTGGTCAATTTTGGAATAAGTGTGATGTGGTGCTGAGAAGAATGTATATTCTGTTGATTTGGGGTGGAGGCTTCTGTAGATGTCTATTAGGGGTGGAGACTTCTATAGATGTCTATTAGATCTGCTTGGTGCAGAGCTGAGTTCAAGTCCTGGATATCCTTGTTAACTTCCTGTCTCATTGACCTGTCTAATGTTGACAGTGGGGTGTTAAAGTCTCCCATTATTATTGTATGGGAGTCTAAGTCTCTTTGTAGGTCTCTAAGGACTTGCTTTATGAATCTGGGTGCTCCTGTATTGGGTGCATATATATTTAGGATAGTTAGCTCTTCTTGTTGAATTTATCCCTTTACCATTATGTAATGGTCTTCTTTGCCTCTTTTGATCTTTGTTGGTTTAAAGTCTGTTTTATCAGAGACTGGGATTGCAACCCCTGCTTTTTTGTGTTTTCCATTTGCTTGGTAGGTCTTCCTCCATCCGTTTATTTTGAGCCTATGTGTGTCTCTGCACATGAGATGGGTCTCCTGTAAACAACAACACACTGATGGGTCTTGACTCTTTATCTACTTTGCCAGTCTGTGTCTTTTAATTAGGGCATTTAGCCCATTTACATTTAAGGTTAATATTGTTATGTGTGAATTTGATCCTGTCATTATGATGTTAGCTGGTTATTTTGCTTATTAGTTGATGCAGTTTCTTCCTAGCATCAATGGTCTTTACAATTTGGCATGTTTTTGCAGTGGCTGGTACCAGTTTTTCCTTTCCATGTTTAGTGCTTCCTTCAGGATCTCTTGTAAGGCAGGCCTGGTGGTGACAAAATCTCTCAGCATTTGCTTGTCTGTAAAGGATTTTATTCCTCCTTCACTTATGAAGCTTATTTTGGCTGAATATGAAATTCTGGGTTGAAAATTCTTTTCTTTAAGAATGTTGAATATTGGCTCCCACTCTCTTCTGGCTTGTAGAGTTTGTGCTGAAAGATCCACTGTTAGTCTGATGGGCTTCCCTTTGTGAGTAACCCGACCTTTCTCTCTGGCTGCCCTTAACATTTTTTCCTTCATTTCAACCTTGGTGAATCTGACAACTATATGTCTTGGGGTTGCTCTTCTTGAGGAGTATCTCTGTGGCGTTCTCTATATTTCCTCAATTTGAATGTTAGCCTGCCTTGCTAGGTTAGGGAAGTTCTCCTGGGATAATACCCTGAAGAGTGTTTTCCAACTTGGTTCCATTTTCCCCATCACTTTCAGGTACACCAATCAATCATAGGTTTGGTCTTTTCACAAAGTCCCACATTTCTTGGAGGCTTTGTTCGTTTCTTTTTACTCTTTTTTCTCTAAACTTCTCTTCCTGCTTCATTTCATTCATTTGATCTTCAATCACTGATATCCTTTCTTCCACTTGATCGAATTACATACACTACCTGAAGCTTGTGTATGCATCAGGTAGTTCTTGTGCCATGGTTTTCAGCTTCATCAGGTCATTTAAATTATTCTCTGCACTGTTTATTCTAGTTAGACATTCGTCTAATCTTTTTTCAAGGTTTTAACTTCCTTGAGATGGGTTTGAACATCCTCCTTTAGCTTGGAGAAGTTTGTTATTACCGATCTTCTGAAACCTACTTCTGTCGGTTCGTCAAAGTCATTCTCTGTCCAGCTTTGTTCCATTGCTGGTGAGGAGCTGAGATCCTTTGAAGGAGAAGTGGTCCTCTGGTTTTTAGAATTTTCAGCTTTTCTGTTCTGGTTTCTCCCCATCTTTGTGGTTTTATCTACCTTTGGTCTTTGATGATGGTGACCTACAGATGGGGTTTTGGTGTGGATGTCCTTTTTGTTGATGTTGATGCTATTCCTTTCAGAACAGGGAAGTGCTTTTAAAGAAGAAAAAGAAGAGAGACAATGAATATAGGAACAGAAATATAATCAAAGTTGGCAGAGAAATAGAGGCTGTTCTACGAGAAAACAATGATGCAAAGAAAGAGAAAAGGAGAGATAAGAAATGGAGAGAGAGATGTTTTTAATAAAGGACACTTCATTTTCCTTTGCAAACCTGCTCTACTCACTCTTTCCTATCTCAGTGAAAAGCTCTATTATTCACTGAGGTATGAAGCCATAAAATTATAGTCAACCTTTCCTGACTCTACACATCCAATCCATCAGCATGTCCTTTTTGAATTACCTTCAAGATACCTTAAATTTCCACAATTACCACCATTTCTCAGCTATCTCTGTAGTCCCAGCAACCAACCTCTTTAACCTGATTACTGCAACAATTCTTCAAAAACCTTACATGGAGTAACTCTTAGCCCTTTACAACTCCATTGTCTACATAATACGTGAAACAATGTTTTACAAAAGCAATTCAGATTCTATCATTCTAATGTTCAAAACTTGGAGAGGCTTACAGTCATCCTTTGAATAAATCCCAAACTCCTTAGCATGGTGTCAAGGCCTAGCATTAACTGGCATTTTCCTACCTCTTTGAACTAACTTCTTACCTTGCTCCTCTGATCAGTGCTTTTCTGTGATGCTCTAACACACAATTTCTGCCTCAGGACCTTTACAATTGCTGTTCTGTCTATCTAAGATGCTCTTCACCTGGCTGTCTGCATTATTACGTCCTTTATGTCATCCACGTCTTAATTTAAATGTCATCTCTTATAGAGGCTTATCTGACCCAGCTTTCCACAGGATTCTTCTTTCCCTAGACTGTGCTATCTTAACACCCTCATTTATTGCCTTCATAGTCCTCATCACATTTAATCCTTGAGTGTTTAAATCCTCATTTCCTCTATCCTCCATAGCTGCATAAATTCAATGAGGTCTGAGACTCCTCCTTTACAAAGACTTCCCAATTTAATACAAAGTAGATACTTAGACGTGTTGGTTGAAAGATGGATGGATGAAAGGAGAAAGGAAGAAAGAAGAAAAAAAATGAACATTTTCAAGGGTGGATTTGAATTTTGAAAGCCAAAACTCATTTGGAATTTCTAATGTAAATGTACTTCATAATCATGCTGAATAGCTGAAAAATCAAGGTGAAATATGACACTGACTTTCTTGAGACTAATATCATATTTGAAGAAATTTTAAAAATTATTATAAATTGAAATATATTTTAGAAATAACTTTATATACATAAGTGTTTTTAGAAAACGACATATATAGGTGTAAAAGGTAATAAAATTAAAATACTTTGACTCATGTTACTCTTGTTCTTAAATTCCTTCAATGACAGTACAACCAGCAAATGCTTGAAACTCTCTAATATAAAGTTGTTTATTGTGCATTTTTAGCTTATCTCTCCTGCTTTATCTCTAGTTACACATTCCTTGTATTTTGTGATCTGACCATGGATAATTAGCCCCCTTCTGACTGCTATTCCCTTCTCATCAATCCATGGATGGTTTATCTAGCCCATTTTTATCTCAAAACTCAATTCATATATCACTTCTGCCTGTAACTTTTACCAACTGGACACCCTTCCAGTCTAGATATGAGACTTTGCACTTGGCTCCCAAGGCATGGTGCATAGAACACCCTCAGCCTGTAGCCTTCTCCTCTCCTCTTTCTCAGTTCGTCTTTCTTCAGGATACAGATGCTGATATGGTTGTTCAGACTTCAGGACATGTGGGTGGAGTCTATTCAGACAAGTTTGTACTCCCCTCCCAAGAAAAAGCTACCTCTTTTTTTCCTACATTTTCAAGCTTCATACTGCATTTTTTTCAGAATTGCCAATAGTAGCCTTATGGTTGTGAATGTGGAGAAAAGAAGCATTGCTACATTTGGGGGCTTATGTCATGTACTGCGATGTGATTTCTAGAATACTTTTACATGGGGTATTCTTTAAAGACTCAGTTAACACGCTCATTTGCTATTTTTTCTGTGCATGTGCTTCAAGTATCCAGAGAAGAAAAGGGAAAGCATAATTGTCAGAGATGTTTAGATGTTTAGAGTTAGAACTGATTTACTACATTGTATCAATATTCCCTTGAGGGTCACCATTTTCCTTACATTATTGGTCAATGTAATTCCAAGGTCTACAACTGAACTAAGTTCTACTGGGAACTCAATATAGTTTGGTTGAATGAAAGACTGGTTCAATGAATACATGAAAATGTTCTATGTATTCTATATGAAGATGTTTTAAAATTGTGCTGTTTTTTGTTGTTTATTTACTTGTTTGGTTAATTTGTTTAATGACTTCATTACCTTCTCTTTAGCCGGAATCTGTCCAAGAGAATTTCCTTTTAGGCTTTAAAGCTGAATGTATTGGAAGCATTTGAAACTACTTATAAGTCTAATAATGACCAACAGAATTGCCTGTTATTTATTTTCTTCAAAAATTTTAAATGTGATATTTAAACATATTAAAAGTAGTTAAACTGTTTCCTAGTTACATGTTTTTTGCTTAGTTAGGAAGGTTTTATGCTTTTGTTAACCTTCAAAAGCAAAGGAACAACTGTGTTGTCTGGTTTAGGTGAGATAAATTCCAGCTTTCTGCTCCTTAATTTTGTCATTTGTACAATAAACAAATGATATAACCTATTTCATACAGTGATTTCGAGGATTAAATAATATTATTAAATCACATAATATTTAGTGTTATTTGCTAACGTTCTTACCATAGTTCCCTAAATATACTAAAACTTAAAGTTTGTCATTGCCCAATCATAAACTGGCCAATTAGCAGCTTGATGATAAAACAGAAGTAGATGTTTTTAATTAAAATTAGACTATAAATATAGACTTTAAAATTTTTATTATGAGTTAAAATAAATTCAATAAATGAATTGGGAATGAAATACATATAGGCAAAGATTTAATTCTAACTGAAATCTGAACATTTGCCCTATTGATATGCACAGGAGACAGGGAAATACTGTGTAGAAGAGAGCTGTTCCCTGGAAAAGGCCCTACCCTCCAGCCTGAAGACCCAAGTCCCTAAATGAGGACAGGCATTTCTGTTTTCATGCCCCAAAAGTTGCCTTTTGGCCTGCCATACCCCCTACCCTGCACCCATATAATCCCTGAAACCCAGGCAAGCCAGCAGATCAGCAGATGGACGGACAGCAGAATGATGTGGCAGAGAAAGAGAGAAGAGGAGGAACATTTGAATGCCAAGAGGAGTTCGACTGGGGGTGGTTGGAGAGGAATCCAGCTGCTGGGTGACCCTCTTCCAGGGGAAGACCACCTTTTCACTCCATCCCCCACCTTCCATCTCCCCATCTATCCCATCAAAAGCCACCTCCAGGTGAAGACCACCTTCTCACTTGATCCCCACCTTCCAGCTCCCCCTCCATCCTACTGAAAGCCACCTCCATCACTCAAAATCTCACATTTATCCTTCAAGCCCGAGTGTGACCTGATTTTTTCTGGGATAATGCACAAAAGCTCAGGATACAGAAAGCTTTCACAGTGGCCCTCTGCCCTTTTGTAAGGGCAGAGGGTCCATTGAGTTGATTAATACTCAAGCTGTCTGTGGGTGGCAAAGCTGAAAGAGCTTTGGGGTTGTAGGCACCCACTCGTAGACATTACCTTGGGGCTAGACCCCAAAGCACTCACCCCCAGCCTCTGCCTGTCTCCATGATCCCCCTCCCACCAAGGATTTAAGCAGTAGGTGACTAAACATGCCAGCCACACCCCTGTCCTTAAAGGGGGAATGCTCCCATTTCACTATCTTCTGAAATGCAAATGTAACACGCAGCTCCTTCAGCTCCCAATCTTTCTCCTATATCTTTTATTCTACACAACCCTAAGAAAGACATTTTAATGTTTAAGGGAGGAACTCAACAAAGGAATCTATAATTTATTTAAAATAAATGCATTTTTACACGTAAGACTTAAAAACCCCATGTCTGTGTCATATATACCACTTTAAAGTGACATATTGTACTTGAGTTTATTTATAGAGAACATTTGTATGAAATGAGAGTAATGATAATTATTGCCTATCTTAGACTGCTTCTTCTGATAGCAATAGCCTCTTATGAGTGGAAGTCAACAGATGAATTTACAAAGCCCACAAAATCTTACAAAACCATCTTTCCTTTACCTAATCTAAATCTGACAGAGGTTTTAGTCTAAATGTCATTTTTATAGAGCATAGCTATGTATTACCCTACCTTCAACCCTTTCATTTTATTTTTAACTTTATTTTTATTGTTTTCTAACTTTATTGAGATGTAATTCATAATTTTTTAATATACTCACAGTATATAATGTGATGATTTGATATATGAAAAATTGTAAAATGATTGCTACAATCAAGTTAATCACCACTTCCATCACTTCACTTAGTTACTATTTGTGTGTTTATGTATGTGTTTGTATGCGTGTGTGGTAAGGACACTTAAGATCTATTCTCTTAGCAAATTTTTATAAAGTGACTTTTTGCAGGTGTACCTCTCCTCTCATTCCATTCTGCTATGTAACCCTTCCACATCCCATGTTGTGTTTAGTTGGTTGGAGAAGCTTCCTTAAGTATATCCTAGACTTGTCAAATTTTATGGTCATTTTTCTTCAAATTTTATATTTGGATTTTGATTGCCAACTGGTCTCCATAAGCATGATTAACATTTAGAAGGGTTTTTGGATTCTTAATCAACTAGGATTCTAAAGTTGACCAGCTTTTATTACAGCCTATAAAGCAATCGTGATCCAAGCTTAGAATCTTAGGTGTAAAATAAATATAAAATATGTAACTATTGGGCTTTTCTTTATCTAATCATATTACACAACAAAATAGCAGCTTCTAATACTTAATGTAAAACATTTCAGAACTTCCACTCTGCTAATCTCAAGAAATATATTTATTTCTCTCATCCTCAAAAAGTCTGAGGACTCTAGGGATGCTTATTTATTTCAAATAATTAGTACTAGTGACTATTGTATTATAGACAAGAGATTGGAATGTCTGAAAAGCCCATTCAAGAACCTTATTCTTATTTGACTTCTGTGACTTACATAGAGTTCCTGCTGAAACCCCCAAATATAGCAGTTCTGTGTTATACTTGTTTTGTCTCCACTGTTTGTTGTGGACCTATATATTCATCCCGGATGCATTCTTTTCTGCTTGTTTGTTTAGTCTTAGGATAATGATCTTGATACATAGCCCAAGATAGCTTAAAAGCAAGTCTTGATTTCAAGCAACAGCATGGACAAAGGTTGGGGTGGGGGTAGAGAACCTTTAAATAATACGGTATTAAAGTTGCACACGTCAATTCTTCTGACATCCAAATGCCCATAACTTAGTTGCAAGGTGTATTAGGGTTCTTAAGAGAGACAGGACTAATAGATCAGATGTATAAATGAAGGGGAATTTATTAAGGAGTACTGACTCACAGGATCACCACGTGAAGTCCTACAATAGACAGTCTGCAAGATGAGGAGCAAGCCAGTCTGAGTCCCAAAACTTCAAAAGTAGGAAAACCGACAGTGCAGTCTTCGTTCTGTGGCAGAAGGCCTGAGTGCTCCTGGAAAATCTCTGGTGTAGGACCAAGCATCCAAAGGCTTTAGAACTTGGAGTCCAATGTTCAAAGGCAGGAAGCATCCAGCTGTGAGATGGCCAGAAGACTCACCCAGTCTGCTCTTTCCATTCCTGCTTTTATGCTGAAGGCCGATTAGATGGTGCCCACCCAGATTGAGGGTGGGTCTGCCTCTCCCTTGTCCACTGACTCAAATGTTAATCTCCTTTGCCAACACCCTCACAGACACACCCAGGAACAACGTTTTGCATCCTTCAATCCAATCAAGTTGACACTCAATATTTACCATCACAAGTTTGGAACTCAGAAAATTTCAGCCTTTATTTTGTGTGGCCAAGGGCTATCCTAAGAATAATTTATTAGCATTAAGGTAACCAGGAGAAGGGCTATTGGGGTATAACTATTGCTGCCATTGTCCACTTCTCTGGATACCCCACAAATTCATTATATCAGTCTTCCAATTATAAAATATGCACCCCAACCTCCACGAGCAACCACTCATAAGTTCTATGCAACTGCTTAATAAGAGTGCCCAGCATTTTACAATGATATTGAGTGGAATCATAGCCAGTACCCAGAAACCTAAAATACAAACTATTTCTAAGCCCTTTCTTCTAATACAAAGCCAATACCCAAAGGGGGAGTAATCCCAAGATAGCTGAACTTAACCTCTTGTTTAGAAAAGGGTAGAGTCCAGATATAGAAGGCTCACTGAAGCCATAATAACTATCAAATGCAGCTGGGCAGGAACTGAGACAACTCCACCGGGCAGCAGAGTAAGCCACTGGTCTCATTAAGATTTTGTTCTGTTATGAGCGGAATTGTGACCCCCAAGAAAAGACATTTTGAAGTTCTACATCCCAGTACATCAGAATGTGACCTTATTTGGAAGTGTAGTGATTGAAGATTTAATAAGTTAAGACAAGGTCACACTAGAGTAGAGTAGGCCCATAATCCAATACAACTGGTGCCCTCAGAAGAGGAAAGAAACACAGACAAGGAACACAGGGAGAATGCGACGTGGAGATGGAGGATCAGAGTGATGTATCCACAGTCAAAGGAAAACCAAAGATTGCCAGCCCAGTAAACCATCAGCGGCTAGAAAGGGGCAAGAGAGGATTTTCCTACAGGTTTCAGAGAGAGCATGGCCCTGCTGACACCTTGATTTTAGACTTCTAGACTCCAGGACTGTGGGACAATACCTTTCCGTAATTTTGAGCCACCCAGTTTTTGATACTTTGTTACAGCAGTGGGAGTTTCCTTTGTATTCTTCCCTCTCCATGGCCACATCTGAAGTGACCTCTGGAAAGTATGCACTTGGAAGGGAAGCCCAATTTTTTTTTTTTTTTTTTTTTTTTGGAGACAGAGTCTCAATCTGTTGCCCAGCCTGGAGTGCCGTGGCGCAATCTCGGCTCACTACAAGCTCCGCCTCCCGGGTTCACACCATTCTCCTGCCTCAACCTCCTGAGTAGCTGGGACTACAGGTGCCCACCACCACACCCAGCTAATTTTTTTTTTTTTTTGTACTTTTAGTAGAGACAGGGTTTCACCGTGTTAGCCAGGATGGTCTCGATCTCCTGACCTCGTGATCCGCTCGCCTCGGCCTCCCAAAGTGCTGGGATTACTGGGGTGAGCCACTGCGCCTGGCCTGGGAAGCCCAATTTTTATAGCATGCTTCCTCATGGATCAAAGGCAGGGCGTCAAGAGCTATCTTGGATGTTGTATTACTACCGATTGTGGCCACTACAGCAGTGGTTTGAATGACAGGCAGGGAGGATGCAGATTTTGCAGGCTCTTGATCCCTGTTATGACACAGAAAAACTATTTCATAAAATCAATAAACAACAATTGGATAATAAAATTTTTAATAAAATGATTGTTGACAAGTGTTTACTGAAACAATAGAATTAAGAGCAATACTAATTAAGTATTGAAAATGTCAATGCATTTTGGATGTTTTTGGCCATTTTCCACATCGTTCTATGAGAAAGATAAATACGGGCTCAATTAGCCTACAGGCAGACGTAACAAAAACCATGATTCTGATAAGGAAGGCATTCCCTGCATGCAACCTGAAATACAAACTGACTGGGAGGCCAGTTATTTGCAGGCTGGCAAATTTAAAATCCAACAATTTCTGTATTTCAAACTAAAACAAGTAAAATAGAAACAAGAGGTTTAGCCAAAGATAACTCTAGCCTCACATTTTCTCAGTGTATCTCTGCTTTTGCTACACTGTTTCAGTGGACTCACTCACTTTACTCCTTTGTTGAGACACCTCCTCTAAAAATTGATGTGATTCCTTGCATCTTGCTTACAATTATTATTTTCACTTGCAATTATGTCCTATGTTTCCTCAATCAACAGTTTTCCCTTCTTTACTGGATGATCCTATTAGCAAACATGCTTCCATAGCTTCTATCTTCTTTTAAAGCATAGATTCAATTTTAAAAATCAAACAAACCCACATATCTACCATGATCTCATATTTATCGCTACCTACCATCCCATTTATATCTTCTTCTTTATATCATAACTCTCAATGATAACTAAGTAATTTATATGTATACTCTCTTCTTCCCATCTATACTTTTTGACCTTATTTCAGTCAGGTTTTGGCATCCACCACTGTCTTTAAACTATTCTTTTCATGGTCATGAATGATATCAAAGTTTCCAAATTCAATGGCCAATTCTCAGTCCTCCTTTTACTTTTCCAAGTCAGTATATTTTGACAGTTAATCGTCCTCCAGAAGTAATTGCCAAGTACTATTTCTTTCAAAGCCTTTACATTGATAAATTCGACATGTATTTTCCCAGTTTGTTTTTCCCATGACTGTAAAAGCCAATGCCTCTGATATAATTCCACTTTGATACTTAATAATCAAAACAATCTTGGCCATTCTAAAATATAATTCTTAATTCTTTGCACACCACAAGATAGAAGAAATGAAAACAAAAACAAATGAGCAAATAAAATTCTCTTCTTTTCCCAAGAGTTTTGTATTAGTCAGGGTTCTCCAGGAAACAGAAACAATAGGGATGGGTAGGTAGGTAGGTAGGTAGGTAGGTAGGTAGGTAGGTAGATGGATACATAGGTAGACACATAGATAGATACATAGATATCTTGTAGGAAAATCTGGGTTCTTGTCACACAACCAGGAAAGATTAGGCTTGCAGACACTTTGAAGGGTAAGGGGGATGGAATTTCTTGGGCGAAAAGGAGAAAGGAAAACAACACGGGAAAGCAAGAGAGGGGTTCCTGTTAACAGGCCCTCATCTCATAGATTGAATCCCAGTTTCCCATACAGGAAGAGGAGGGGCCAGGCTCCTCCCCACTGCAGACGGCATGAACTTCCGGTGGCTCCACCTTGTTCTCCCAGTGCACAGACTGTACAGAGGTTCTCCGGGCACCCCTTTATACTTGGCTGTGATAGATAGATAGATAGATAGATAGATAGATAGATAGATAGATGATAGATAGATAGATAGATAGACAGACAGATAGATAGAGGGATAGATGGATGGTAGAGTACTATTATAAGGAATTGGCTCATGTGATTCTGGAGATCGAGAAGTCTTAAAAACTGCAGTGAGCAAGCTCGACATCCAGCAGAACTAACGGCCTAGTTCCAGTCTGAGTCCAAAGGCTTGAAAACCAGGAGAGTTGATGGTGTGGTTCTAGTCTGAATCTAAAGACCTGAGAACCAAGAGAGACGATGGTGTAAGTGCCCGTCAGAGAGCTGGAAGGCTCAAGACATGAGAAGACTCAATTCTTTAGTTTTAGTCTGGAGGCAGAAAAATATCAATGTCCCAGATCAAGTAGGCGGGCAAACAGACATCTCTTACTCAGCATTTTTGTTCTATTCAGGTCTTCAATTGACTGGATGAGGCCCATCCACCATAGGGAGAATAGTCTGCTTTACCCACTCAAATGTTTCTGCTGATTCAAATGTTAATCTTTCTAGAAAAACTCTCACAGACACATTCAGAATAATGTTTGACCAACTGTCTGGGCATGCCATGGTCCAGTCAAATTGACACCTAAAATTATCACAGTATCATGTCACAGAAAATGGCACCATTAAGCTCCCAGTTGTTCAGATCAAAACATCTGAAGTTAAGCTTGACTCCCTTTTTTGTACTCCTTACATGCAATCCAGTAGAAATCCTGGGATCTCTATATTCAAAACAGCTCCATTATCCAACTACTTCTATCATCTCCACTGTTATTATTTTAGTCCAAACTAAGACCATCTCTCATCTTGGCTGCTGAAATAGCTTTCTAACTCAACTTTCTGCTTCAATTCTTGTCCCTCTAGAATTTATTCACACTGTATGTAACAAAATTCTTCTAAAATACAAATCAGATCATTTCACTTCCAGGAATGTAATCTTTCATTGGCCTTCCTTAATATTAGAAAGAAAATTCCAAATATGTATGTTGATTTACAAGGCTCGCTGTGCTCTAACCCCTGGCTACCCTCTGATCACATTTCCATTTACCAGCCCCTCTGCTGACTATACTCTAGCTGGAGTCCTGTCTCCTTCTTAAACAGACTTTTCCCTGAGGTAATTTTCACTGAGACATTCAAATGGCAAGATGCTTTCATTCATTCAGATTTCTACTCAAATGTAACCACCTCAACGTGATCTTTTATGACCATCTACCCAACTTCCATCACCATCACTCCCTCCCTGGCTTTATATTTATTCAGAGCACTTAATAATGCTTGACTGTTTATCACACATTTATCAGTTATTATCAAGGTCAACTGCCAAAATCTAAGCACAAAAACAAAATCTGTCACTGTTATCAATGCTGTGTGTGTGTGTGTGTGTGTGTGTGTGTGTGTGTATTTTAACTCAATGCTTTATTTTCCTTCCCTTTATCTGGTCTATATTGAAACGACTCCAGTTATCTTCATAAGTTTCAATACCTGTAAACCACAAAGTAAAGTCCATCTATATCCCAGATGACTCCTTAAAGCTTAGACAATACTGCAAATGCATACATGGAAACATTTAAGATATGCATGCAAAGAAATATGGAGATAACACAGCTCCATCTGAATTGAGTCCAGCCATCAACAAATATCTTGCCAACCATTCTCAAGAATTTAGAAAGATATTTGTCTTAAAGTAATGGTCTTATAATGACCATTTGAGTAATTTTTTTCAAAGCAGAGAGTTGCTGCAAGATAAATGTCACCAACAGTAGAAACACAATATTAGTAACTTTCAAGTGATAGCTCTTTCAGTGAAATAATAACTTTAAAGCACCGTTCTCCCCCTCACAGTTGGAAAATCCAACTCTTCTCAGCTCACAATACATCTGACAGCCCCAGTTTCTCCTAAATCCCATCCCATAAATCTCAATGATAACATCAGCCTGGGTGCCTTAGCCTGAGTCCAGCTTCAGACTCTGAGTAACTTGGAAACATTATGGGAGTAGACACATGTCTACTTCATTCCCCACTGTATACCCAGCCCCTAGAACAATGCCTGAATGCAGTCAGGGCTCAGAAATCACAAAGACTTCTTACCTTACTCATTCTTCTCAGCGGCTCTGGAGATATCTTACCTCTTCTTCCAACCAGAACTTCTTTGGTGAGCAATAACCCACTAACCCAGAAGCTTGAGGGTAAAACAGAGCTAATACTGCTGGAAATCAAGTCCAGAACTTTGATAGCAGTGGCTTTATTAGTGTAAGTGCCATAACATGCTACTCTATGTGTGTGAGTGGGCAAGAGACAAGCAATGAGGAGGCTGCATATCTTGTGCCTTGGGGTTGTGCCTATTAATTTCTGAGGTTCACCTTGTTATCCTAATCTTAAAAGGATATGGCATTTCAAATTTGAGCAAAGACCCAAGGATAAGAGCTCACAACCTTTTGCCATTAGGAATAATGACGTGGAAAGGATGAACAATATAAACCAATATGTTTGAAACATGTCCTCCTGTTTTTTATTATAAACTATTTTAAATGCTGACAAATTCATTTTTTATACAGCTATAGCATCTTAATGTTAGCTAATTTTACTATTTAGTAAATCTTCCATTCATTCCATCTCCTAGCCTCCAGTCACCCTTCATCCTGGGAGTGAAGGTCAGAGAATAGCAAGGAGGAACAACTAATTTAGAGGAAACCCTTAGACATTTCCTATGTAACCATTCAATTAGCAAAGAAACGCCAGCTTTAACGTCATCATTTGTGCCTTGACCCAGTGACTGCCCATTAAACAGAGGAAGGGCAAAGCCTATCAGTAGCTTAGCAACCAGCACATTTTCCTTCCCACTTAAGGTGAGCCTCTATTCAGCAGCAATTCCGGCCCAATTGACGTTCATCTGGCTGAGTAGTTTCCTTCCCCTACTGAAATAGGAAGATCCTACAATTATGTGCTTCCCCACGGTCGAGATGTCAGGGATTAGACTCATAAAAGGCAAATCTTAGCCAATTGGATGAATATCAAGAATAGAGTACAATTCCCAAATTAGAGAGTCTATAAAATACCGTCTATTTACCACCTTTTTTTACCCTCCGTGATCTTATAGCCTATTTGCCTCTTTTTCTAGATTGCCTTACTTAATTCTCTGGCGGGAATGAGGCAGATAGATAAAAGAAAAGCAATTGATATGCATGAATTTAATCTCACAAACGGAGTATTTTGTTTATCAAAGCAGAAAAGATACCCTTAGGGATAACTTTATTCACAATACCATGAGTAAAGTAAATTTCAAGACAACATTTGAGGGTAAATAAACTATTCTAAAAGGTCTGTCAAGAACCATTATCCTTGAAAATGTTAGCAATAAATAACATAGGTTTCAAGGAAGTTCTACAATAGGGTAAAGCAAATATGTTAAACTAATTTTCATTTTGGTAAAGAAATAATATTTTGAGAAATATTAATGTAACTTGGGTTTGAAAAATGCTGTATCAAATGTGAGATTTTTTTAATCTCATGGACAGTAAAATGCTATTCTCTGAAACAGATGAAAATATGCTTTTTTATTAAATAATATATTTCAAACGTAACATATTTATTATGAAATTGTGCTATGATCTTAAATATATTCTAAATTTAGGTAAATTAAAAATTATTCTAGTAATTGGACAAACTATTTCTGTCGAATTGTGATTTGTGTGCATGCAAATGGAGATAAATTTGACTAAACTCCATAATGTAACATTGTCAATTTTTTCTAAAACGTGTAACCTCTTCAGGTTCTGAGTCTAGGAACTAGGCAATTGCCTCTTTGCTTACAAATAAAATATTTGGGATATGTAAACAGTGGTTAACTGTCACTTGTGAATTATTATTGTTCAAATGGTAGGCTCTTAGGAGTAACTTCAAAATTATTTTAACAATATATTTTTCATCAAAAATATGTCTTTAATGTTGATGTTTCATTCTTTATTACTACAGAAATGGTACCTTAGTTTATTAAAGTTTTTCTACCACATGAAGCATACACAGTATTTAGTATATGGTCAGATGGTTTAACCTCAATTTCTGGTTGTTTTCTGTTAAGAACTGAAAGAATAGGAGTAAACCATGTGAAACAGGAAAAGAGGTCAAAGTTGGTCATAACTTTAAACAGCTGGGGCTCAATCGTTGGCCACCTTAAAGTTGCATGAGGGAGGGAAAACATGGGCTTTCCTTCACTGGCTTTAATCCTCCCGTGGTCAAGGGTATCCCCAAGAGATGTTAGCTTTTCTACATTACGAGGTTTTTTTTAAGCCTCACCTGTACCAGGCAGATCCCTTTCAGAAAAGCCTGAGAAAAATGCTAAGAGATTCTTGGCAGAGCTGAAGCAAGATGCTGTCAGGTTCAGCTCTGTGAAGCTGATTGTACAGCTGGAGTAGAGGTGAGCTGAGAGGACTTCACAGTAAATATAAGAGGTGTCCTATGGGGTGCATCTTTGCTCAGATATCCCCCTAACGAGCTCCATTAAGTCAAATTCATGAGAGAAACTTCAAGGATGCGGACCAGTTGTAATCTGTTCTAAAGCCTTCACACTGAAGAATTAGTGAAGTAAGTTCCAGTCTCCTGTACAGCCACTGGTACTGATCATTGTTTTCATTGCCTCTTCTCTCCACTTTTCCTTCTATATCTCCCTCACCTTTGAACAGCACTGTGGGATGCATAGGTTGTTTGCTTAGTCAGATAATATCAGTCTTCATCCTCAAAGGATCTAAGGTCTTAGTTGCTTTATATTCGCAAAGCTGTGGTTGCTGCAATTGTATTCTTACAACTAGTGCTGAGAATACAAGCACCATGAAATGAATGCCCTACTTAATGCCTCATGTTCAGAAAGTAGACCTTCTTACCCTCCTTAGTAGCAGCAACCTCAGCTCCTATATTCAAGCTGAATTACCCCTCAACAGTATAATAACTCTTCGTTTTGTCTGCTCATTTGCTACAAAAGCACAAAGTAACTACGTTTTACTTTCTGGTTGAGTGGTTCCTCTTCTGTACGAAACAGGTGCTCCTAAGCAGGACAAATTGTTCTTTTTATACTTACCAGTGTTGCCAGGCTATGGTCCTCTGTTATTCAATCAAAGACTAATCTAGGTGTTTCTGGGAAGGTATTTTATAGAGATGATTAAAATACATAATTAGCTGACTATAACTGAGGGAGTTTCCCTAGATCATCTGAGTAGGCCTGATTTAATAGTTGAAAGGTCTTCAGAGCAGAGCTGAAGTATCTCTGGAGAATAAGAGATTCTGCATGACGACAGCAGCTTCAGACTGTGCCCAAAACTTGTAGCCTGCCTTTCCTGATGGCCTGCCCTACACATTTTGGACTTTCGGACTTGCCTGACTGTATCTTATAATCACACAACATGCAGGCCAATTCCTTGAAAAAAAAAAAAAAATCCCTCCTTAACCCCTGTAGGTACTGCTTCTCCTACTAGATCTGTTTCTTTGATTGAATCATCCCGACCCAGTAGGTTCTGTCTCTTTCTGTCTCTAAGTTACCTATTGCCTGGCACATTGTTTTAAAGTAACAAGCTTGGGCAAATTAGTGATTTGTCACAATTTGTACTTACAGCTCTTTTATATGCCCTCTAAACACTATCAACTTTAATTTCTTTTTATACCACATCTTTTGTTCTATAACAAATTTCCATAAATTCTTGCTGAGATATTAGTTGGACATGTAACAGACAACAGATAGGATGTTAACTAAAAGAATGTCAATGTCACCAAGAAACTGAACAAGAGCCAAGTTTCTAAGGAATGCAAACAACATGGGCAGATGACAAGTGACGGGTCTAATATTTTTATATTAGCCATTATTTTTGCACAGACTCAATAAAGAATTAATTAAATACCCCTTTGGAACCAGGGCCATTTCAGTGAGTTACAGCACTTGAAACTAAAATTGAACATTTTAAAATGAACATGTCCCATGAGGTAAACATTCTCTACTGAAATATGGTCAGCTACTATGAAAACCTAATGATTTATCTTTTGAGACCCATAATTAAATAATAAGTCTCAAACCAATAGTATTGAGATAAACAAATATTTATAAATTCTGGGTCATTGAATGATAGAAGACATAGTATCTTAAATTTAGCTGACTGATTTAACGTGATCAAGCCATTTGTAAGTGGATACCAATATTAATGAATATCTTTTATTAAACCCTAATACTACTTTTGTTTATTTAATATATATATTTCTTAAGTATATGTAGCTGTTTATTTTATATATATATTTATTAAGTATATGTAGCTATACATTTAATATATATACATATACTTTAATATATATAATTTAGAAATCATATCTTTATATCTATACCTATATCTCCCATGAAGTTGAATTAATCTCAGAAAACTGAGGCAACATCTGTATTTGTCAGTATGAATTCCTGTATGCTACAGTAACAAACAGTTCCCCGTATATCAGGCAGAAGTTAGTATTTTGCTCATGCCACATACCCCATGCGCATTAGCAGCTGCCTCTGCTCACACAGGGCACACATTAGCAGCTCCAGTCTGCTTGATGGAGGCTCTACCACCTCAATCACAAGGTTTCATGGTTGTGTGCTGCCTCATAGCTCATCATCTTGTAACTATACCATCTTCAACATGTGGCCTTGATGTAAGCTCAGTAAGCTAAGAGAGAAAATGGAGAATTGTGTATAAACTTTTTATTACTTCACCTCCAGTGTGGATCATACTACTCTTGCTTACATTTCATTAGCTAGGAATAATTATGTGAACCCAACCAAGGTGACTGGAAAACACACAGAACAGTAAGTAACCAGAGTGCTTGTTGAGTACCCTTTCTTCATTACAGTCCTCTCTTACAGTCTGCAATGTACTTCCTTTTCTCTCATCTTCTTACATAAAGACTCACTCAACTTCTCCCAAAGAGGTACACCCAAAAGTCTCATGCACTCTTTATTTTCTACTCAAAAGATCTCCAGAGATGTGTGGCATATTAATTAATAAATAAAAATATGTAGTCAAAGAGGCAAAATAACTTATTATATTATTTTGATGTCTGTCAGAAGGTAGAAAATATAATAACAGCTATTAGAATCCAAGATATGTTACAAATACATGAAAGTATTTATAGATTTATACAGGTTACAATGAGTAATTTCCAAGTCTGACAATTGTGTTAATTCCAAGATTTGAAGTATCATTCTTTAAAAAGTTATGGTTAATGAAGAGTGAAATACATCAATAATTCTGGGACATAGGAACAAAATATTAACATAGGAAGAGAGAAAAGAAACAATTTGGTATAAATAAGCAGTCACTCTAAGTTTCTTAGGACTTACTATTTGATGACTAGGGGCTAAGATGATATGTACACTTATTTACTTAATTTAATTTTCCTTTCTTCCACCACTTGTTGACCTATTATAAATATAGAATTCCTAGCACATTAAGGTACTATGTGATATTTTTGTGTTTTTTCTTTGTCTGTATTAGTCACAATTCTCCAGAGAGATCGAACATAGGATATATATAAATAGATATATGAAAGGAGATTTATTAGGGAGAAATTGAATCACACAATTACAGAGACTGAGAATTTACTCATATAATTATGGAAGCTAAGAAATTCCATAATAGGCAGTCTGCAAGCTGTAGTACCAGGGAAGCCGTTAGTATGGCTTAGTCCAAGATGGAAGGCTTGAGAACTCTTAGTTTGAAAGCAATGGCCCAAGAGCCCCGGGGACCACTGGTGCCAGGCCTGGGGTCCAAAAGTCAGAGAACTTGAAGTTCTGATTTCTAAAGGCAGAAGAGTGTTCAGGCTCTGGAGAGAAATAATTTCTCCTTCCCCTGCATTTTTTGTTTTTTAACATCCATGCCCCTTACCAATTGGATGGTGCCACCTACATTGAGGGTGAATCTTCCCCATTAAGTCCACAAACTCAAATGCAAATCCCCTCTAGAAACACCCTCACAGACACAACCAGAAATAATTATTTACCAGTCATTTGGGATCCCTCAACACAGTCAAGTTGACACCTACAATTAATCATCACAGTATCTCAACAGTTGAAATGGAATAGAAGGCTAAGTTAACAATTGTTTCCTATACACTTTGCTTGACAAAATACATGAGCTGTTCAACAGTCATCTTTGCCTTTGGGGTTCCTTTACAATAGAAGATGGAGGAAGAATAGCAGGATACGTAGTGAGTAATATTTAAATTAGTGAAATAAATACAATTAATATTGAATCATCTTGCTATTCTCGTAGACCCCAATTGGAAACAGTGCAATGTAATAAAAAGTGCACATAACTCAGCTGCTTTAATTTCTACTTTAGAATGAAAAAGCATTAATCTGTCAACAAACAGAAATCATCAACTCAAACTATTGAAGATAATGCAAATGCAAGACACATTAATATTTTCAAAGTATTAAAAACCAGTGAATAAAAGAAAGTATATATAAAAATTGTATGCATTTCTCAATCAAAATTAAACATATTTGTTGATTATCATCATGAATAAATATGAGGGCTACAAACAAATTTACTGTGTGGAAGTACCTTTGAAACATCATTTAAGTAGAATTAAAATTTGCTAAATACTAAATTTGAATGTATTATTTTGTCTGGAAGTTACATGGAAATTCCTTAGCATACTTATCATTTCTATCTCTTATAAAAGTAAATTTACTTAATATAGTCTGTGCTCCCATTGTAGACATCAGTCTCTTATTAGGTATATGGGACTAAAGTTTAGACCATGTCCTGTGGGACCCAGTTAACTCTCTCCAATCCCAGCTCATGTTATTATCCTTCTTACACATGATGTGACAAATGAATGCCAGTGGCTACAAGGGCAGGTGAATAAAACTAACATTCCAAGATAGAATTAAGCCTCAGGTTGAAATTCTCTATGAAGTAAATGCTGTTTATTTGGTTTCTGTCCCCTGTGGCACCAAAATTTTAAATTTAGCCATTTGGTAGAACTAGGGTAGTTTCTATATGATGTTAACTTCAGAAAGTTAACTTGAGCAGGACTAAATGTTTCTTAACTTGGAAATTTATGGCCATGGTTAAACATCTGAGAAAGATTGATTCCCCCATTTGATTAAAATAAAAAACAAGTAAACAAAAATTTCTAGATAAATACATGTATGCATGTATACACATATACCCACATATTACACATATATCTATATACATAGATATAGACATACAAATATAAAGACTAAATAAATTTCTTACACTGTGTTAGATCATCTTATCATAAAGCCATAGAGTGTGGGGAAGAAAACAGTCTACATGTCTATGTATTTGGCTGGTGGAGATCCTCTTTTGCAGGTTTCATTTATTCCTGTTCAATAAAATCTTGTCTGTAGTGTATGCTGGGATTACATTTTTTCCCTCCCTCCCTCCCTTGCTTGCTTCCTCTCTCCATCCTTCCCTCTCCTCTTTCCTTCCTTCTTTCTCTCCCTTCTTTCTTTTTTCTTCCTCCTTCCCTCCTTTCTTCCTTCCCTCCCATTTTCTTATCTCCTTTTTCCTTTTCTTCCCTTTTTCCTTTCCTTTCCTTTTTTCTTTCCTTCCTCTCCTGTCTTCCCTTCCTTTCCTTCCCTCCTTCCTTCCTCCCTTTCTTCCTTCTTCCTTCCCTCTCCCCCACCTTTCTTCCTTCTCTCTGTCTTTCTTTCTTCAGACCCTGATCACTGAGATATAATCACTGCGTATGTATTTTTTCACAGAGTGGACCTTAAGTACCCATGTCTCACCAACCTGAGCCCACAAGTTCTACCAAATCTGAAATAAGACAAATTTCTGCTCTTACTACTGCAGGCACTCTGAATTTTTCTTCTGCTCTGAATGGAGCTTTATGCTTGAACAGTTATGTTCTCTGTCTCTCTTTTGAAGAATTTTTTTTTTTTTTTTGAGACGGAGTCTCGCTCTGTTGCCCAGGCTGGAGTGCAGTGGCGTGATCTTGGCTCACTGCAAACTCCGCTTCCCGGGTTCACGCCATTCTCCTGCCTCAGCCTCCCGAGTAGCTGGGACTACAGGCGCCCACCACCACGCCCGGCTAATTTTTTTGTATTTTTAGTAGAGACGGGGTTTCACCGTGTTAGCCAGGATGGTCTCGATCTCCTGACCTCATGATCCACCCACCTCGGCCTCCCAAAGTGCTGGGATTACAAGCATGAGCCACCGCGCCCGGCCAGGATATCTTATTAGTACAGCCACCCCACCTTCTCATATAAAGCATCATTAACTCAGGCTCTTGTTAGTTTCCTTCATATTACTTCTCAATTAATATTTATTTATTTGCTTCTGTGGTTATTGCCTATTTCATCCATTTGAATTTAACTTTCAAGCGGGCAGGGATCTTTTCTGTTTTTGTACCATTTTTCCCAGCACCTAACACTGTGTGGCACACAATGGGAGTTCAATAAATCATCTGTTAATGAAGTGATTATTATAATTATTGATGTAACTTTATGCAGGGCTTCTTGGTGAGCTGACCCACTTAGTGAGATGGCCTCGTTCATAAGTCATGCCTGATATTCTGTGGGATGATTGTAAGTTGTAAATCACAGGAGAGTTTTCAGCGGGGCAGGGTTTTTGGAACACGGTATTAGTTACTGGTGGCCTCCAGTAGAGGTGGGTGTAACCCTAGGAAACAACCATTATTCAAAGGCAGTTTTCTGAAATCAAAATGCATTGGATACCATTCTCAGCACTCACAATGGTGGGACCAGCAAAGGGGATCTGGGAAGGGCAGCAACAATTCTTATCACCATCCATTCAGCTGAATCAATAATGTGATTCTAAGAGCAATATTCTTTAACATATGTTCCTTAATCCAATATCTTCAGGGTACTTTTGAGTATGAGAACTTATGAAAGCTTTAACTAAACCAGATTGATAGGCATAACATAAAAAGAAATTAGTTTCTGACCTCTAATAGTAAAATTGAGCTTAGTTTTATTTCATTTGATAATAATTTCACAACCCATTTGGAGGAAAGATTCCTGTTCGTTAGTTAATAAATTAACTCTGAAGGCCTGAAAGTGTACCCAAGAATGCTCAGATATTCTTCAGAAGTGATTTTTCTGTTGGAAACTTAGAATAGGATACTTGGAACACTCTAGTTTGGCTAATGGCAAGGGACCCACTTCTTTGATGAAGTCATTCAGATCTGGATAGTGTCACCATGAAAAAAAATGATTCCTCCAATTTTTTACTATAAGGAAACCTATCCATTGGACATAATGTTCTCTTCTTTTGAAGGAACATAATTAAAATAGTGGAAAAGAAACTGCCACTTCAGAGTTGTTTAAAAATGATTTAACACTTTAATTTCTGTGTAAAATGTCTATGCTTAAAAAAAAAAAAATAAGGCCAGGGTGAGTGATGCAACTCTGTTGCTTTGGAGTCGGTGAGATGAGAGATTTGCCTTTCATCTATTTGGGAGCAAAAGATGAGCTGCCAAAATTAAACAATTTTTAATTTGTACTAAATATAAGAAAAGTCTATATTAACACATGTTAAATATAAGAAAAGTAACTTTTATTTCTCTTTTGGTAGACAAATTTTTATCAAGCACATCTACTGTTTTGATTAAATGTATCTGAAAACTCTCAAGTTATAGGTGCCACAGGAGAAAAAAATGACAAAATAATATTGTTGCAAATACATTATGTAATTTTAGAAGATCAGAATCCTATACCTTCAGAAGTAGGAAGTAAATGTCAAGCAGCATAGTCATTCTACTAACCTCCTGGTATAGTACTTCCTATTGGTGGGTTAAACTTTCTTCTAGAGTAGCAAATTGTTATGCCTTTTGTTCTGAAGACCTCTTTATACTCCTGAAGAATGTAAAACACAAAAAATACACCAGCAACACATTCCAATATCAGCCCTAGTGATGATATCATCACATGTTGTCACCTCTGAGAAGTCCAGCATACACTTGAAAGAGGATGAAAATAAAAAGACAAATAATGCCTTAGTATTACTCAGAAAATAAGTTATGTTCCCACAGACCCATTGAAAGAGCTACAGGTATTCTAGTGCCATATTCATTTTATAAAGAAAATCTAAGGGATTGACTAGAAGATGGGAATTGACAGTTGTTCAATATTACATTCTTTTGCACTCAGTATAACAATATTGTAATTATTACAGAAGAAGCTGAGGTGCATTAGTTGGCAAATAATCTAAACATAATTTAACACATTGTTATATTAAATGTATTCATTTGCCTAATCCCAATCCTCATATATTATATATTTTTCTTGCTTAATTATTTCTTAATATGTTTATAGTAAAGCAAACAATTTAATCAAAGTCCACTTACTTAAATTAAAAAAAAATCTATTACGCTCTTTGAATACCTAATTTATATTTTTAATATGAAATGTGGATTCTGAGCAATCTGTTTAAATACATACTATTTAAAGCCCTAAATTAAAACATACATACTACATTGAGTACATATCTGCTTGTACTATCAGGATAACTTTCTGTAAGGTGCGACTTTTCAAATGTTTACTGTACTAATCATACAATTAAATGGTTGCAATTTAGTAGTTCTTGTAAAGAATTTGCATTCTAAATAATAATCTAATGACTCATATATGTGTTTCTAGCCTTAAAGACTCCTTTTTACAAGACAAATTGGAAAAAGACAATAAATTTCCTATCAAGATTTGTATCTCCAGATGGTCTAGATAATTACAGAAAAATTCAGAGACATTTTGAAATGTCTTTTTCTTAAGGAGAAGAGACAGATTTAATTTAGGACTAGGACTGAAAGTCTGAATTCAGACAATACTCATCCTTAGCCAGTATGTTACTCAGCAAATCCAGGTGATATGAAAGAAAGGGAAATTCATTTGGCAGAGAGTTCAAAGGATATTTATTTAAGCCACACCAAAAAAAAAAAAAAAAAGTAATAAATAGTTTCTAATGAAACTTGTCATGAAAAGAAAGTTCCAACAAAAGTGTGAACAAATATATTCCTTTAAGTCCTAGTCACAGATTGTTACAGTTTAAATCTGAGTCACAACCAGGTATAGAAGATGATAATTTGGAGGTCCAACAATTACCTACTTTTAAGGTTTTGGGGATTTTTTTTTTTTTTTAGATAAAACCAATATCTATTTTAGAAATTATCTAAAAGACTCTAAGGCTTTGATACATCTTTCCTGAGTATATCACTTTGAGTTTATAGAATATTTAATGTAGCTGAATCTTTAATGAAATGCGACACAATTATTTTGAAAAAAATTTGACACGTATTACTCCCGTATTAAATATGTAATGGACGTCAGTTAAGATCTAGCTAGAATCATATTGTTTTTAGAATTTACAAATCTCCTTGTCATACCTTTTCATTGAGACTCACATTTTCACTGAAATGTAGGTATTAAGGCCATCGACCCTATTTTAGGTTTTAGGAGACTCAGGCTAAGGAAAAAAGAGTGACTTTCTGTGGGTCCTAGAGAGATAGGACTCAGGTCTTCTGAGTCTTAATATAATATTTTTCCATCACACCATAGCTTTGTCTAGATTGAGTGACCAACATACCGTTCTTTCTAGTTTCCTTATCCCCTTAGGAAATAAGAGATTAAACCTTGTTTAACTTCATTAGTAGCCTTATCAAAACCTATAACCTAAGAAGTCAAAAAAAGACTATCTCACCATCTCTCCCCTGAATATCTCTTGTTTCTTCACTAGTGAGTAAAATACATTGTTTCAGCAAATCGTTTTGCCATAACTAGACACCAAAATTTAAAACTGAGAAAAGAAAACGTGATAGAAAAGTAAGATGGCATATCTTCACATTACAAGAAAATAAGTAAATAAAAATAAATCTGCCAGAGTGACTCCTTGATAATAGGATAATAGGAGAAACAGTTTCAGCCAGGAGACTACGCCCTTCCGTTATGCCATACTTTCCTGGCTGAATTAAGAGTATCTCTCATCCCCCAGTGAGAACCTGTCTGAGCTAGCTTAAGATTTTTATCATTCAAGAAAATTCCATTTGGAAGTGAGACTCTCTAGATAACTTGGAGACACCCATAATAAATTATCGTACGTGCAGATAACCTTCCAAGATAGTATTTAGTGCTCAGACAGACTGCTTTTATCAGTTTAAGCTATATGAAATTGCCATTGTTTTGGGGTCAAACCAGTTCGATAATTTCATATGGTGCATCTCAGACTTCACTTGTATAAGAAAGCAAGATACTTTCATTAAGAGTATGAGCTTTAGAGTCTAAAGATCTTTATTTATATGGAAGCACTTGCTCATACTAATCAGGGAAGGTTAATTAACTCTCAAATGGACATGATTATAATTGAGGTAGGGCCTATAGAGTTGCTATGAGGATTAACTGAAACTACAAATACAGAGTCTAGCACAGTATGGTATCAGATTGCTATTCAATAAATAATGGATATTATAGGGCTAATATTGTTGCTGAGGTCCTGTATTCTAACTGTGAACCCTATCTAGCTGTTGCACCCAGAAAGACTTGCTATTTACTTCTGATAAACTTGGACTGCACCTCATTTTTTAGCATATTACTGTCATGGTTAGCCATACAGTCTCTTTCATAAATGGTTTTCTGAGGTCATCTATATGAGTGAACCCAGTTAGTGCTAATAATAGAATTTGGCCATGAAGCCTGTACCTGTTAATGCCAAGAAATCTCTGTGATTTGGAGGATAGAGCATCTTTAGCACTTGGATATATTTACACACAAGTTTTTGAGTCATTCAGAGATTTCACTTTTAATTCATATGTGGAGAATGTTTTAGTATTTATAATAAAATCAGGTACAAAATATAATATGTATTACTTCCAATATTTCACTGCTATTTACTCTTGGCTCCAGGCAATCAAGAATCTTTAATTTGTTACTCTGTTTTCTCAGATATTCTTTTTAAACTATTCCTTTGAACTCATAAGGAGCTATTACTTCTCTCAGCCATTAGCCTTTTCACACTTTTGCTCTTTCTGACCACTGTGTGCCAGAGATTGCAAATTCTTTGAGGTCAGGCTTTGTATTGTTTACCTTTGCATGTGACTAGCACATACACTTGCACATTACAAGAACCCCAACAATATATTATAAGTAGAACCAATTGGAAAATTCAAATGATAAGCAGATAATTGCAAAAATGTGTTTGCAAAATTATAGTTGGAAATTGGAACACTTGAAAATTTTTTTTTAATTTTTTTTTTTATTTTAATAGTGAGCCACATATTGGAGATGATTTAAGGCTTGCAGACCGACCATGACTGCCAATTGACCCACACTGTAGCTGAAATAATACTACCAGAAAAAAATTCTACCACTGAGTCCCAATGACACTTCAATCCCCCTATTTGATGTTAGACTCGCTTGCCTCTAAGGCATGATCTTTTTGATGTGTGGGGATATAGAGTGTTGCTTGGGTTGCTGAGAATAAAGTTTGCAATGGCCAAGGAGACCTGGTTATACCAAGGGAAGATTTCTGCAAAAGGAAAATTCTTCAAGTTTCGATGTCCACGTTTGCATTTATAAGGGGCTGAACAAGATGGTAGCCACTAGCTACATAAGCTACATAAGGGTATGTACATTAAAATTTCAATTAATTAAAAAGCCATTTCCTCAGCCATACTAAACATATTTCCAGTACTTAATAGTCCCATGAAGATGACACCTACAAAATTGGATAGCAGATATTTTCATCTCAGAATGTCTTATTGGACAGCACTAGTCCAAACAATTGATGGAGAAGATCATTTGGGTGTAGAGAGGCAGGTTGTAATTTATAACTCATTATCAGGGAGGGTGAGTATAGGGCTGTCACGATATCAGAAATGCCTTGGCAATTCTCAGCTGTTTGATGCATTAACACACTTCTTCCACCTGGAAATGGAATTCCAGCTCTTTCTACTGAGACACACACACACACACACACACTTTTTTTTAACAAGCAAACACAGATCTTTTTTTCTAAATTGAATGATTATCATTAAAATAATTATTCCTCGTGTATTTTTTCTTTACATTCTCTCTGTAATATCTTGCTGATCAGATTATAGAATTTCCATTACATAAAAAGTATTTTTGTCGTTTTATCAATCAACCAACCAAAAAACGAAACTAAAACAAAATTACAAAACAAAATTCAGACCTTTAGGTGATGTTTTTATTTTAAAAGGCTGTCCAATCTAGGAAATATTGCATAACTAACTTATTATTGTCTTGGCTTCTCAAGATGCAAGTACAAATTTTGACTTTAAGCAAATTCCCTCTGCTGTTATTAGCATGATCACTATGAATAAAAATATATCACAATTTAAAATACCAAAATATGAAAAATAGAAAGTTTGCCATCAAAAACAAAGATCCAATATTGATTTTATTTTTTCAGGGAAAATATTTCTGGAGGTTTAAGTCTTTACTACTGACACATTTGAAAATCAAGACAATGGAAAACCCCTACCCTTTTATTGAGCTCATATTTTTCATCTGTATATGGAACTTTTCAAGTAAGAAGATATTGTGTCCTATGAGTGACCTTAGTGTTCGGGTAAATTACTTTCTTTCTATGAAGAGTCTAAAACATGCATATAAATAGGAATGTGCATAAGCTTGCAAAGATATTACTGGCGTTCTGCATTTTCCATAAAAAGTTATGTATGCCTGAGGCTAAATGCCTAGCTGTATTTCATCCTAAGGTTAATAGAACTTCATGAAATATTTAGACTTTCATAATATGGCTTTTACATAATTTTTCAAGACAGTCAGAACTTTTTGACCATTTAAATGTTTTTACCTAAAACAGAGCAATCACCTGGCGTTTGGTTTACAACATGAATTCTTTGTCCAGACCTCTCTTTGGAGTGGCTGCTTCGGTCTTGTTCCTGGTTGATTAGACATAGATCTCTCTGATCTGACCTCAGATAACATCTATGCTTAGAACTCTCGTCTCTCAAATGTTGTGCTTTGATCATCAATCATCTTTGAAAATATTAATATAGCAATGCCCAACTCAACTCAGCTGACAATTCAGTCGTCCGGGACACAATAAAAACAAATCAACACATAACTGGACCAAAAGCTGAGTACCCAGTTTGTTTTTGATGGTGGTAGTGGTGATGCTTAAATACACGTGTGTGTATATGTCTGTGTATATTTTATCACATGCATACACACACACACACACACACATGGATTTAACTGGATATCACATATCTTAAAAATTCAGTTAGTTCTAGCATTTCTCCCATCTAAGCCAACTAAATAAGATTTTTGTAACTATTACCACTTACTGCTAGAAAATTTCCTTTAGTTTAAATTATCTAGACATTAAAAAGAGGGAGGAAATATTTTATTTTACTACAAAATAATTCTCCAGCCTTCAAGTAGTATTAAAGCAAAAACATATTATAATATTGAATTTCTAAGGGATGCTATGAATTTTTTGGTCTTATCTAAACCCATCACAAATCCCTTTTTAAACAATGGTCAACATTTGAATGAACTGGGCCATTGCAGAAACTCAGCATCTTACGAAGCATTTCCTTCCTTCTTTTTCTCTTCTCTTCTTCCCTTCTTTTCTCTTTCATAGATTAAATAATTAGAATTTAGGACCTATTACCTTTTTTTTTTCATTAAGAATCGATCTCAGAGCTACACCTATTTGTTAATTCTAAATCATTGTTTTCTGGAGCTAAACAGATCTAGTGACTTTTCATGTAACTATTCTTAAAATATACATATGTATAATATACACATATATAATTATACTTCTATAGGTATATTTCTATTATATTACATTTACATATGTATGAATATACTTTTATATATACACATAAACACACACACACACAAACATACGTATTTTTTTCCTCTCCTCTAAATATCACTCCCCACCCCAGATGATTAATTCAAAAAATAATCAATACCAATCTGACATTGTACCATGTGCCACCAGAGACAATGAGTTCCCTGTGTTTGAATAGTAAACAATATTGAACAAACATTAAATTCTGAACAATGTTGGACCCTAGGAGGCTCAAGCTTCACATTAGGGTTTTAAGTAGATTATCATCATATTTCATTTAAATCCTAACTTTCCATAATTGTGAAATAATCAAGTTAGAGAATTTTTCCACTTCCCCAATAACTAGAGATACATTTACAAAATTACTCTCAGTTATCAAAGCATTTACTTAACAGGCTATTTCCAAGGGATACATGAAATAATCTATGCAAAGCATGTAACACATTTCTTGATATATAGTAAGTGCTATAATTTTTATCAATTACTCTTGTGTTATTATACATAAACTAAACTCTAAGCAGTAGAGCTCTATTACACTTTCCAATTTATTTTTGTATCTGAAATACATGTTAACGTGATTTCTGGCTATTGTGTTTTTTCTTGACTGGTTAAAATGGGAAATGAATAGAAATGCTGTCATCTCACAGTAGTGAGAAAATCATCCCAATTTTAATGATATACAGCAGATGAATCACCTACTTAATGGCATGATCAAACAGACCTGGAAATACCAGTCACTCCCATTGCAGCCCACAGATTTATCTGTTTATGGATGGAAATAATGCAAACATTCTTCTTGAAACCACTCTATTACCACAAAATATCATTATTGACTAGACAGTATAATCCTTCTCAATATGTGTGCCTTGGCTTGTATAGTAGAGAAAATAATATAAAATTTAATAAGTAGTAATATTAAATCAAAGGAGCAGAAACAGAAATTCATTTCATGGTTTTATCTGGTTAATATTAAGCACTGGCATGGTCTTTATAAAATTAGGCTATTTCTTTAATTTATATCCTTTAGTTATAATTTTAAAAGATGTAAACCATTAATTTACATTTTAGAAACATTCTATTTGACACTGTATATTAACTTGCATTCATGTGAATAACATTAAATTGGATATGAAATAGCAGTCTTTAAGGAAATAGTGTTTTAAATACATAAAAGTAGGTAATAAAATGCAAAGTAACAGCCAATATATATAGAGAACTTACTATACGTGAGGCAATGTGCCTAGCATTTTGCACAGATTATTTCAAATTTCTCCCAAAATATCCCTGTAAGGTAAAGGGTTGTTTATGCTGACAGTAACAAGTTGTCTATTTATTTTGGGGTATCATACTTTTTTTTTTTTTTTTTTGAGACGGAGTCTCTCTCTGTCGCCCAGGCTGGAGTGCAGTGGCGCGATCTCGGCTCACTGCAAGCTCCGCCTCCCGGGTTCATGCCATTCTCCTGCCTCAGCCTCCTGAGTAGCTGGGACTACAGGCGCCTGCCACCACGCCCGGCTAATCTTTTTTTTTTTTTGTATATTTAGTAGAGACGGGGTTTCACCAAGTTAGCCAGGATGATCTCGATCTCCTGACCTCGTGATCTGCCCGCCTCGGCCTCCCAAAGTGCTGGGATTACAGGCGTGAGCCACCGCGCCCAGCCAGGGTATCATACTCTTAACTGATAATCTTACAATGATGGAAAATAGGATGTAAACAAAATATAAATGTCATCTACTTAAAATCCTACGATGAGGCCTGCACTGTCTGTGCACTGCTCCTACTAAGCACTGTTCCAATGTAGCATTCAGGCATGGGGACTCATTGCCTCTGGATATGGCCCACTCTATCTCTAAATAGTTCTAGCCGTTAGACAACTGGGGCCAACCCAAGAGAGATAAATTTTGGAGCAATTTCGGGTAGTGTTTTCTATTTTCTAGAGATAGGACAGAAACAAATTAGAAAAAATATCGGGAAACATGCACTGTGTCCTGCCTCACTATCCAAGACTTCTTTTTAACCAGACGAATCTTCCCAGTCCTTTAAAATTGTTCTGCATCTGATCTATGTCAGCTCTCATCAGCATTCTAGCAGTGCTCTTGTGAGTCAACTCTGGATTACCTACCTCTCTTTCTCTTAAAGACCAATACTGAGAAGAGCCCAGTTGTCAGCTACACAGACTTTCAATTTGACTGCCTAATATCTTGTTCTCTCTCTCTCTTAACTCTTGTGAGTGTAGCAACTTTCTTAAACTTCTCTGTTCCTCATCTATAAAGGAAAGATTGTAATAGCGTCCCCTTCTGGACTTGCTGTGAGGTTTCAATGAAATAATCTGTGTAAAGTTTCTAGCACAGTTTTTAGCACGTAAAGAATACTCAGCTAATGCTTTGTATTATTAGTGTTATTAATATGACAACTGTAATCAGTTTCAAGACTTGATCTACTCATAATATGATGGCAATTTACAATAATTCTTCTAATGTGTTTAAAATGGAGTTCGTTTTTGACAACAATGTAAGAGGGGTGATTAAAATTATGTATGTGTGTATATATATATATACAGTGTATATACACACTGTGTGTGTATATATATATACTGTGTTTATACACACACATATATACATATATGAGCATATGCATATATAATACATATGTAAATACATAATTTACCCACAAACACCCAAAACACTAGTAGTTAAAAAACCATTTTCAAATATATCACTAAGTATTTCTACCTTACCTAGGTCTAGATTTCAAATAGAGTTAGAAATTAACTTATGCAGTTGATAAACATTTATTGAAGAAATGAATTGTAAAGTAATACGCTTCTCCAGTCAGAAAGTTTTTCTCATGCTGTATATTCAATCAAATTGACAAGTGACCTTGATTTTACTTCCTCAGTCTCTTGAATTAATTCCTTCCTTTATTTCGTCATAACTGTTGTGAGCTCAACTTTTATATCTAACATGTAATCTAGGAAAACCTGAAAATCAGTGTCTCTGCTCCTTTCTCCTCAATTTACGTCCAGGACATTCCATGCTACTAGAATAATTTTTCTTAAATGTCAGTTGGATGATTTATCACCCACTTGTCAAGAACACGCAAGGATTCACTATTGCCGGCTAGTTACCCTCAATCTGGCCTTCCTCAGACAGTTCAACTTACCTTTCCAGGGTCAATCTCTCCTATTTTTTTAAATGTATACCTCAATCACTAGACCACATGTCCTCCTTGCTACTCTTTAAAGACAATGTTCATTTTGCACTGCATTTGTATTTGTTCACGTAGGCTAGCATTTTGCTCCCACCTCATCTTCATTTTTTGCAACTCTTCCAAGTCTCATCTCAACACCACTTCATCCATAAAGTCTCTCTGATCCTCCCATTCAGCACAACCTCCTGAGACATGAAATTCCAATGAACTTTGTTTGAACTATTTTAGGGCCCTTATCTTACACAATCGTGTATCCTAGTTATTCTTGCACTTATGTTATTAAACATAGATAGAGGGTTCTGTTTTTCCTAGTAGCCCCTCACAATATTTAGCCAAGTTTCTCAAAAATCACATGAGCTCAAGAAATGTCTGTTAAGCTGGAGGTTTGATGGATCCTACAATAGGCACTCATATTACATTTTTGAAATTTATATTTTTAGAGAAAATAGATCTTACTGTTTTTCTCTATTATAAAGATAGACTGAGATAAACAAATACTTTAGAAAAGAAACTTTGAAGAAATAACAAAAAAGCCCTCTGAGTGTAAATCTATTTTGTAAATGATTTTGAAACGTCTTACTTTTTATATCTTATTGACATATCAAAATATTCAAAACACCATTTACCTCAGTTGCTTTAACACAGTTCCACGAAGTATAATAAAAAGAAAACTAACAATAGAAAAGAAAAGCAAAATTACTGTCCTGGTTGGTACTACTTTACTTGAAGATCCAGTGAAGTTTCACCCAGGATTTTTTTCAAGTTTTGTGAGTTTCACCAACCACATAATCATAGCTTAAAACACATAATAAACATAAACTAATACAAGGAACTAGTTGGGGGATTCTTGGGACCTGCACACAGAAAATTCCCATGTTAGAATTAGGCCAACTGACTGGAGATCTGGCTACAATGGATGGCTATTTACTGCTCATTCAGTAATCTTCAGCTGGCCTTCGAAGTAAGGACTAACTTGTCTTTTCAGGGCTGGGAAGAAAAGAGAGAAATTGTGGTTTTGTTAAGTGCTGCAGGAAATATCCGGTCTTTTCTCTTCCTCCACTGTTTAGAAAAGAGCATGTATTGGCCAGGCACGGTGGCTCATGCCTGTCAGTAATCCCAGCACTTTGGGAGGCCGAGGCGGGCTGATCACGAGGTCAGGAGATCGAGACCATCCTGGCTAACACAGTGAAACCCTGTCTCTACAAAAATACAAAAAATTAGCCAGGCGTGGTGCCGGGTGCCTGTAGTCCCAGCTACTCGGGAGGCTGAGGCAGGAGAATGGCGTGGAACCTGGGAGGCGGAGCTTACAGTGAGCCAAGATCGCGCCACCGCACTCCGGCCTGGGGGACAGAGTGAGACTTCATCTCAAAAAAAAAAAAAAAGTCCCAGAGAGATACTCTTCCCCTCCCACTATGTGAGGAATAGCAAGAAGGTATTGTCTATGAAACAGAAAGCAGATCCTCACCAGACACTGAATCTGCCAATGCCTTAATCTGAGACCTCCTAGCCTTCAGAACAGTGAGAAATACATTTCTGTTACTCGTAAGCTATCCAGTTTGTGGTATTTTTTTTATAGCAGTCTAAATGAACTAAGACATTATGCTTTTAAATGATTTAGATATTTATGGTAGGATTCCTATAATTGCATATCTTGACGTTGCATTTCCTGAATTACTGTGTATAATATAAAAATCAGAGTACCACACTCATCTACCAGCCAAGCTGGGCTTGTCTGACTTATTCTTTGGTCCCTCACCTCCTTCTTGATTTGGGGGGACATTCTTCTATGCAATTCCGGGTTTTTCCTGTAACCAGGTCTTAGTTTTAATTTGGTCCACTCTGACTGCTATGCTATCCGGTGCTTGATTTCAATGAATAAATTCTAAGAAAGGTAGATGCATATTCATAATTCTTTTAAGTAAATGTGTAAAATATAACTTTTGATTTTCAGGTTGAACTAAAAGATGTAAAATTTAAAAGGACAGAAATGGCACAAATGCATGTAGCAAAATATCTGAGCCTCCTAAAACAAAACCAAATAAAAATATGTATTCTCTAAAATTTTGCATATTTCTCTGACTTCCTTATCCTCTACTCCAGTGGTGTAAAATTTCACTTAGCACCTGTTGGAGTGCTCTTGGCACTAAAATATCACAACTATTGCCAAAGTCATTTCTTATTTTCTAGAGCAGAACCAATCAGACATTTCTAAAGCTGCCTCCCTTCAAACTTCATTATGACCTCCTTAGCTCTCTAGGTGGGGTTTATCTTTCCTCTCTGGAGGTAAATTCTCTCACCTTAGCTAACTCAGGCAACTACACCCCCTATGTCAGCTTTTTCTGGTTTTGCTGTTAATATAGGAGGTAATTATCTGATACGGTTTGTGTCCCCACCCAAATCTCATCTTAAATTGAGGCTCCCATAATTCCCACGTGTTGCGAGAGGGACCTAGTGGGAGACAACTGAATCATGGAGGGGGTTTTCTCCATACTATTGTCTTGGTAGTAAGTAAATCTCATGCAATCTGATGGTTATATAAGGGGTTTCTGTTTTTGCTTCTCTCTCATTCTCTCTTGCAGGCGCCATGTAAGAAGTGCCTTTCAGCTTCCATCATGATTGTGAGGCCTCCCCAGCTACATGGAACTGAGTCCATTAAATCTATTTTTTTTTCCCAGTCTCGGGCCTGTCTTTATCAGTAGCATGAAAATGGACTAATACATTATCCTTGACCCAAAGTTTTATCACATTCCTCTTCCAAAATTTTATGAGTAACACTCCCCTTTTCTGTTATCACTACATCCATAATCCTGACACAAGAATAACAGATTTGCCATTATTTGAAATCATATGAGAAATGTTTAATGTTTTTGAACCGTGCGTAGAAAGAACAGCTGTCAACATTGAATACATACATCCACAATGTGAACAGAGTACTCAATCTGTATTGGGGTATAGGCTTAAAAAAGTAAGAGGAAATCCTGGGCCCTGCTCTTGAAATCCAAAGCTTTGAATTAAGGTGATAGGAAATGTATACCAATGCAAACTGAATGCTGATGTTATATGGTTGCTTCTTGTAGTAGTGAGAGTAGTTTCAAAACTGGGAGCTGCTATCATAAGCATTATGATAATATGGGAAACCAACTATACAAGAATCCAAAATATGAAGTCATATACTCAGGGGTGTCAAGGACCACAGATTAATGAGAAAATAATTCATAGGGGAAGTTGGCCTTAGCAGAGGTATTTATACATGGTTGAGGTAAGAAGGTTTGGTGCTGAAGGGCTCCTGTCCATGGCAGGGTTACTATTCCACCCCTAAGGCAGCTTGGGCTTTCCATCTACCCTGCCTGGGTTAATGCAACCTGAAAAGTCCAAAAATTAGAAGCAGAGCCGGGTGAGATCTTGATGTAGATGGCGAAAAAGTAAGTTTTTAATGTTTGAAGCTTAGAATATGGCTGGAAGTAGAAAGGAAACTGAAGGAAGCTAGTAGTGAAAAAGTGAAGTAGACTATTGACAAAGTAATAACTAGGAATTTTTGTTTCATTTGTTGAAGCTTTTTGTATTATACTGTGCCTGATATGATCAAAATATTTGAAGGAAGACTTCTAGATCTTGTGAGTTGACACTGTTTATGCTGTCATTAAGAATATCTATTCCAACATGCAGGTTAAGATAAAAGAAGAAAGTAGCTTGGACTATTTTAGAGTTTCTTCAAGAATGAGAAAAGTACGCCGGGCGCGGTGGCTCATACCTGTAATCCCAGCACTTTGGGAGGCCGAGGCGGGCAGATCACGAGGTCAGCAGATCGAGACCATCCTGGCTAACATGGTGAAACCCCGTCTCTACTAAAAAAAATACAAAAAAAAAATTAGCCGGGCGTCGTGGCAGGCGCCTGTAGTCCCAGCTACTTGGGAGGCTGAGGCAGGAGAATGGCGTAAACCCGGGAGGCGGAGCTTGCAGTGAGCCGAGATCACGCCACTGCACTCCAGCCTGGGCGACAGAGCGAGACTCCGTCTCAAAAAAAAAAAAAAAAAAAAAAAAAATGAGAAAAGTAACGGTGAAGTCTCAGTTCCATATAAAGGGTGCTGAAACACCAGAAATACACATAGGTGAGTTGTGGGAAGTAGAAAAAATACAATCAAAGAAAATTCCTGAAGGGTATTTTTGGGGGGAGTGGTGGTAATAATAAGATATTTTGATGTATTTTTCTAGCATCCACAAAGTCAGTTTTACTCTCCTTAAATTCTTTAAATTCTCCTTTTATTCTCCTTAATTTGACCCTTCTGTACGTGTGAGTCTAATCCTGACAAATCAACTCACATGAAACCAATTCACAGAGTCTCTGGCTGAATGGAGGCTTTAACCAATAACAACTTTCCTACCTCTCGAGTTGAACACATGCCTCACTCATTCCATAAAGGACCCTCTGTATGACAGGCACTGCTTTAGGCACTTGGGATATGTGAATGCACGAGTATACAAAGCTAAAAAACAAACACACACGCAGAAAAACCAAAGCCACCTTGACTTCACAAAGTTTGTGTGCTAGTGAGGGGTGGCCACAATAAACTACAAACAAGAAAGTTAAATTATATAGCAACTTAGAAAATGATAAATACTGTGGAAAAATAGAAATAGCAAAGGAGATTGGGTGCAAGGGCTGGAGAGAGGGTTGGAATTTCAAATGGTGTGGTCCCAATAGGTCTTATAGAAGTGATCTTTAAGTAAAACTTAGCACATTTTATGGACTGCCAAATATATTGTAGCTGCATGGAATACATAGTGAAGAAAATAGTCTGAGACTCCACTGTTTAAATCTTAGCACAGGGGTGGGGGAGCAGTCAATAACAGTAAAGAATTATGTAACGTATCAGGTAATGGGAATGTTAAGAGGATAGTGATCGGAATGAGGTGCTCTGTCTGGTAATGTGGACTGTGAGGCTTTTTATAAGGCGGTGTTTGAGCAACAGAACCTAATTCATATAATTTCTCAGTATGGGACCCATAGAAATTAGATACTCCAGCAATTCATATGTTCTAACCCTTCATTGGGGAAAGCAATCCCAAGGAAGGGGGTTGAAGATGAATCGATGTAAGGGAGGAAAGGAGAGCAAGGTAATAAAAATGGTTGTCTCTGATCTGGCTGCCACTCTGATCTGTAAGAAAACAGCAGGGTCTAAATCTTTTAGGAAGATTTTCTAAGATGCTGGCATTCCTGGGCTCTCCATTGGGAAAGAAGGGGAAAGCACTTATGTGCTGGTCAAGGGTCTCCTTTGTGAAAGTTGCACTCTACAGGGTGTTCACTTCCCAGCACTTCTGGGCTGCTCTTGTCCAGGTTCTAAGCTGGTCCCTGGTGTATCAAGCCTTAGCTGCACCAGAGAAGCTCTTGGGTAGAAGATAAGAGAGGATCACATGGAGCATAGGCATGATGTAACTCACTGTGCGTTGTGCGCATGTGAAGTTGAGAGGTAAACTTGCAAGCTCCATGGCCTCAAAGGTGGCTGAGTGGCCTGTGGTGCAAAGGTCCGCAGGTGAATGAAGCTTAGCAGACCTGATACAGTGCACAAGACGAAAAGTGCTTTATAGATATTAACTAATTTAATGCCAATAACAATCCTATGCTGTAAATGCTATTTTCATCCCTATTTAACAGAAAAATAATCTAAAACATAAAGATCTTTAATAACTTACCTGGAGTCACACAACTAGTGGGTGTCAAGATTCAAACAGGCCTTTCGCCTCCAGAAACATGCTCCTTAACCTTGTGAGTACCAATCTTACTCCACAAGCTAAATTGTTTTTAATTAATGGTGAAAAAATTCTCTTAAATCTTTTAATAGTTTTCTGTAAATTATGATTTCTAGTATTGCTTCATTTATCACAGAATCAGTTCATTTTAACTAAATTCTAAAGTAATGATATTTAATAGTCGTAGAAAGAATCACTGAGAAAGCAGCAAGAAGTGGAAGAGGAAAAAGTGCATAAATAGTACCTAGAAGGGAGCCTATTTTTATTTTATTTGATATATATTTTGACAGGAAAGAGGACTTTTACCTAAATACATTTTCTGGTATGTTATTTCTGCTCCATCAGATGAAGAAAATTGAATTAAAAATTTTGAATTACTTCAGTGGGTTATCTTGATGTAACCGTTAAAATTGTCTATTTCAGTCTGCATGTTAAAGTAAAAGAAGGACATAGTATACAAGGGGTTTGAATATCTTTTGTATATTATGAACAATTTGAACTCCATTTGCTTTGAGTGTTTCAGTTCCAAGCACCAGTTATCTGAGGAATGATAGGCAGAACAGACTTAAATTCAACACGTCAGTATGAAATTCTGCAGCCCTGGTAGAGAGGATGAAAGAACAATTGGTAATAGGTTCTGTTATCTTCTCAGTCCCTGTTCTGTTTGGGGATATTATCCATTTAAGTGAAGTCATTCCAAAGCACTGAGAACAAAATGTCTCTAATTTCACTCATTTTGAGAGATATTTGATTAACATTTTACCTATGCATGTATATCACACAGACACACACACACACACACACAGCCCTTCACAATTGTGCATAGAACTTAGGGTTTCTCTCCCAATATTAGTCTAGTCTGCATAGCCAGCAATGTTCTTCTCTTGAGGAGGATTGTAAAAGGATATTTTAAAAGTGCTTTTTCTAATGGAGAAGTGAATCAGACAAAGTAATCGTAAACAAGACATGCCATTTTTCTTGATGAAATATCTGTGACAGTCCTCGTTTAACTGGTCTCTTTGATTCAGTCTTGATGTGGTTTGTCCTCTTGTTTGCACTCAGCACTTTGTGCAAAGAGAAATCAGCACCTTTTCAAAATCAACAAGAAAAGTGGTAGTTACAATATTTTGGCCTTCATTTTTACTGTTGATTAAATGTGATTGTAGTTTCTTTCCTACTGAAGAACACCTAAATTCTGTCTCCCAAATAAAACAGAGAAGGGTGCATCTTTCTGTGCAATGTCACTTTTGGACCAATGAACATTAATTATGCTGTTTATTTCATCCAGAAAAACCGGAGATAAAATGTCATCCAAAGTCTTTTGATTTCTTATCCCATAGAACCCATGCTTTATCAGAACAGACATGTAGCTGACAAGGGCAATTTTTAAAATAAGTTTTAATTAGAAACTTTCCTGAAGTTCTACATTTATTTCTGCTTTAAAAATTACTAGCTAATGTCAAAGATGCTGAACTTTTATCTAGCCACTTCAATCGAAAAGGTTGGTATCAAGAAAAATACTGATTTTAGTCAATGAACAATGTTCACACAATGTAATAATAGAGAAAAAGTGATACTTGGGGAAAATAAAAATTAGTTTACTTCTTGTCCTTTTGTTCATAAAACAGTATAATTAAACTCAGTAAGTTACAAGTAGCATAATTAAGAACTACATGAGAGCCATAAAAATACTTGCAGATTCATTCAAAAGTTCTAACCACTGAATTCTGTATTATTTTTTGGGTCATAGCAGTTTCTTAAGATTTTCAGATTCAAGTTGAAGCAATGACTAATATCTTCTCATGAACATACTGACGTCAGTTACTCTTGCCATATCCCCTAGAAGAGTCGTCACGTTGGGTAGATTCTATTGGATAAATAACTCACAGTGCTATCCTTCTTTCATCTGTGACACTCCCCTCATATAACTAATGACCATTTATCCTTATCTTTTGTCTCATTATCTCCTAATAGATTATCTATCCTCCACAATATTACCAAGGTTGATTTATTTGCAAACAGATTTGTTGATTTCAGTGGCTCACTATCACCTACAGGAGAAGCCAGAATGCCTACAAGGCTCCCTCCATACCTTAACCTTCCCCATGACTACCTGGTATCTGGCAACACACACATACTCCGTATTTCCTGAACACCCCATGCCCTTGATCTGTGCCTTAGCTCTTGCTCTCCCTTTTGTTGGGAATACGCTCCCCCTGCTCTTTCTGCCTCCCCACATTTTTGTCCTTCATTGTATACACGATTGGCCTCTGAATGTTTTCTGGTCTCCCTAAAGAATCGGTCGTGTACATCTATGTGCTTCTGTAGAACATGCTCTACTTCTCTGTGGTGTGTGGGTCATGTAGACTACTTGAGGTTGTCAGTGACTCATTCATTCACTCAGCTCCTAATTAACAACAACTCACTTTGTGCCAGGCACTCTACTTCATGCTGTGTATGCAGCCGGTGAATACGTCAAACACAATCTCTCCATTATCAAGGACAAGTGGATCTCAATCTCAGCATCCATACTGACCACTTGGAGCACTTTGCAAAAAATGCAGATTCCTGAGCTACACCCCCCAGATATTTTGACCCAGAAGCTTAGAGTATAATGCAACAATGTGCTTGTTGTTAACACTTCTAGAGGATGATGATCGATTTGGCTCACTTACATGATGTGAGAGACAATGCAGTACAGTTTGTACCCTACTAGGCAAAAGAGATAACTTTCAACTTCCATTCTATTTTATTCTTCTAATTTTGTAAACTTTATACTCACAGCAAGCAGGCTAGTGCTTGGTACTTTTTATGTGCTCAGTAAATATTTTCGAATGGATGTATGACTCTCTCGTAGAATTTACAATCTAGTGAAGAACATGGAAGATTACAAAGGCACTTCTAATACTACATGCCATGGTTCAGGAATGATGGTGCTGGCCTAGAAGAGGATATCTAATTATGGTTTTTCAGTTAGAAAGTCTTCTCAGGAGAAAAGATAGGGCAACTGCTACCCAAAGGATAAGTATGTTACCAGATAAAATAGTTGATGTGTAAGAATGCCAGGCAAAAAGAAGTGCCTGCTCAGTATGTGGAGAGCATGACCTACTGACAGTGAAAATACAGTTATAATAAATGTGTGCCAAATGCACAAATAATCTGTGTATTGTTGGACTATGTGTTAGATATCCCACGCAATAGCTGGCAAACGGGAGGTGCTAAATAACTACTTATTAAATGAATAAACACTGTTCTGTCATAATCACTACATTTTAAATGAGATTGTAATTGCTATTTTCTAAAACAAATAAGCACAAAAAAGCACATATTTCTTCATTTTCTCTCAATGTGTCCTCATGCATATTTGAATGCCTCCAAGACCAGTTTTTCTACAAAGGAATGTTTACAATTAAAAAAATAACACTTTAGTTCTTAACTTATTTTTGACATTTTATGGCAAAAACAAGTTTTCTGGTTATCAGCTCTCCAGAGAATTCCATTTTAATTGTAATATATTGTTTATAGTAAAATACATTTGGAATTATTTTTTATGAATTAGTTAATTAAAGATATATGATCTAGTTGAGATGACAGTATTTTTTTCCTTTCATGTACTATCAGGAACTTCTAATAACTACTTTCAGTCAAATATAGTTATTTAAATCCTGTCATTATATACAATCACTAAGTTACAAAATTGTAAATTCAAAGCCTCTCTTCTAGAACTGCCAGGCATTCTACTAGGCAGAATAAACGTTAACAGTGATTTTCTTTCATAAGTCAATTCCTATGCTGCTGCCCAGCAATGCAAAACACTTACTTCCTCTAGTGGCTAATCATGTTGCCTACAAAAGAAGAATTTCTTTTTCTTCTGGGCTTTTAGATATTATCTAAGAAAAACAGTGCATTTTTAAAATTGGTTCTCTTCTTAATTAAAAAAAAGCTTTGAAATCAGTAGAAGATTTTATAAAAGTATAAAAGAGAAGCTGCTATTGTTATTTTTAAGAGTAAAATAAAGTACTACAGCCTATCATGAGTGTAAAATTCATGAGTCAAATCTGTTTCAGTTGTACACAGTCCTTGACACATAGTAGGCACATATAATGTATCTCCCTAGTTAGAGGTTTCTATAGAGTGGGGTTTTGAATATTTATTAAAATTGTGGGGCTAAGGGGGCAATTATTTTACCAGATTCAATCATAATAACAGAATGTGATACTAAGATACGAATGACAAATAGCTCACAATAATCCAGTTAAGAATTCTGAAAAATACAGCTGTGTGTATCAGAATTAATAAAATACCAAAATGACATTTCGAAAATGAGGAAAGCATGAATTTTTCAATAAGTGGAATGGTGAAAATTAAGTATACACTTGGGAGGACATGACAGGAAAGATATATCCCTATTTCACAACTTTTACACAAAATAAATTCCAATTGGATTAAAGATCTAAACATAAAACTGAAACCATATGCAAACTTACATGGCTTATTTAATATGATACCAAAGACTGAACTGAGAAAGGATTGTAGTTCAACAGATTTAAATGTTTAAAAATGTTTGCTTATCAAACCATATCAAATCAAGTAAGAAAGCAAAAGACAAGAATAGGAAAAATTTTGCATTGTGTACAAATAGTCAATATCTTTAATATAAATAACTCCCTTTTATGAATTATTTAGGAAAGTGCAAGTAATCCACTAAGGTGGTTAAAGAAACTGAACTAGTAAATCACAGGAAGAAATAAAAAATCAGTATGGCTAAGCATCTTAGTACTTTGCATTATGTTTATGAATTATATTACAATGAGGTCACTAAAGATTAAAACAGGGGACATTTTCCATTGTTATTAAGACTGAGGACAAAGGAGTACTCAAGGGTAACAAGTTAATGAAAGAACAAATTGTCTCAATTTTTAAGTTAATGAGAGAATAAATTGTTTCAATTTTCAAGTTAATGAGGGAATAAATTGTTTCAATAGTCTTCAATCATACAATACTGCAGTCAGTAAAATAATATCTATTTTTAGAACATTGACAGAGAACAATGTCTTGGACATATTTTAAGACAAAACCCTTGAACAAGGTAGGTTTGAACTGCACAGCTCCACTTATACATGGATTTTTTTTTCACCTCTGCCACCCTTGATACAGCAAGATCAACTACTCCATTTTCTGCCTCCTCCTCAGCCTACTCAATATGAAGTTGATGAGGATGAAGACCTTTATGATAATCCACTTCCACTTAATGAATAGTAAATATATTTTCTCCTCGTGATTTTTTCAACAACATTTTTCTCTTAGCTTACTTTAATGTAAGAATACAATATAAAATACACGCAGCATACAAAATATATGTTAATCAACTGTTTATGTTACCAATAGGCTTCTAGTCAACAGTAGACTATTAGTAGTTAGGTTTTTGGGGAGTCAAAACTTATACATGAATTTTTGACCATATGGGGTTTGGTATTCCTAATCCTCATGTTGTTCAAGGGCAAAGCATGTAAGGCATCTATATAGTTACTATAGCTATTGTCTTAGTTCATTTTGTGCTTCCCAGACAGAATTTCACAAACTGGGAAATTTAAGAGAAATGTATATCTTCGCAGTGTTCTGGAGGCTGGGAAGTCCAAGACACAGGTGCCAGCAGGTTCATTTATCTGATGATGATCTGGTCTCTGCTTCCAAGATGGCACCTTGAATGCTGTGTCTTTTGAAAATGGGGGAATGTTATATCCTCACATGGCAGAAGACAGGAGGGCAAAAAGCGAAAAGGGGCAAACTCCTTTCATTAAACCCTTTTATAATGGAATTAACTGACTTATGAGCAAAGAGCCCTCTTGAACTAAGCACTTCCCAAAAGATCCTATCTCCCAACACTGTTGCATTAGGGATTGTTTCCAACACATGAATTTCGGGGGACTAATTTTGACCATAGCATTCCAACCCTGGCTCCCCAAATTGATGTTTTTTTCAAATACAAAACACAGCTATTCCATCTCAATAGCCCAAAAAGCCATTCTGATGCCAACTTAAAAATCTGAAGTCTGGAGTCTTATCTAAATAAGTTATGGGTGAGGCTCAATGCATGGTTCATCCTGAGGCAAATTTCCCTTTAGCTGTGAGCCTGTGACATCAAACAAGTTACGTGATTCTAAAATTCAATGGTGGTACAAACACAGGACTGATATTTCCATTCTGAAAGGGAGAGATAAGCAAGAAGAAGTAACAAGTCCCAATTAAGTCCAATACCCAACAGGGCAAACAATCTTGAAACTTAAGGCCTTGGAGTAATCTATGTTGACTCCATGTCCTGCTGCTTGCACACGCTAAGGTGAGCGTTGGGTCTTCTATGCTCCCAGCAGCTCTGTTTCCGTGGTTTTGCTAGGCACAACCCATGCTTCAGCACTTATGCATTGAAGCCACATGGCAGTGACTTCTAGCTGGTATCGCATGCAGGTGGCTCTACAGTTCTGGGGTCTTGGAGGCAGCCCTACCCCATGGCTCCACTAAGCATTGACCTAGTGGGGTTCTCTGTGGCAGCTCAACCTCTGCACAGGTCTCTGCCCAGACCTCGAGGCTGTCTGCAATGACCTCTGAAATTTAGGAGAAGGAAGCCGTACCTCCACTGATTTTGTAGTCTGCAAACCTGCAGAATTAGCAGTACGTGCATGCTGCTAAGGCTCATCACTGTGCCCTCCGGAGTGGCAGCCTGAGTTGCACCTGCATTCACTGGAGCCATAGCTGGGGTGGCTGAGGAGAGCTGCACCAGAATGCAGAGAGCAGAGATCTGAGGCAGCCTGGACAAGTGAGTTCTCCTGCACAGGATCTCTGAAATGCCTTTCAGATCATTCTCTCATTGTCTTGATGAATAGCACCTGGCTTCCTCCTAGCCATACTAATCTCCTTATTACAATGTATCTCGGCCACATCCTTGGTTTTCTGTCCTCAACATGCCTTTTAAATACTTTACCCAACCAGGCTGTGAATTTTTTAAATCTTTACTTCCTGCTACTCTTTTGATTATAAATTCTATCTTTAAGTTGTTATTCTTTTTCCATTTTACTATAGGCAGTTAAGAGAAGCAATGCAGAATTGTGACTATTTTGCTGCTTAGAGATTTCTTCTGCCCAATATCCTAATTCATTTCTCTTAAATTTTGCCTTCCACAAAATTTTAGGACATAGACATAATTCAGCCAAGTTCTTTGCCATTTTATAACAAGGATGGCCTTTCCTTCAGTTTTCAACACCTCATTCCTCATTTCCATCTGAGACCTCATCAGAATGGCTTTTACTACCCATATTTCTATCAAAATTTAGTTCACAACGACTTAAGTAATCCCTAAGAAGAATGAGGGTGGAAGCCTTCTGAGCTAAACAGCTCCTAAAAGGCCACACCTTCCAACACTGTTGCATTGGGGATTAAGTTTCTAACGAGTGAATTTTGGGGGACACAGATTATAGCAATTATTTAGATATCTTGATAATTTATATATAACCATAACCATATAGGTGATAGGAGATAGTAGAAATATATAGTATAAGGTCTTTCATATTCAGCCATGCACATAAACACCACACACACACACACACACACACACACACGTCCACATACATGTTCATAAATATTTAGGTATACAGATAGTTTGCATCCTTTCCTGCTCTCACCAGCCTGGGTCAAAAATGTTATCATCAATTTCTTTCATGATAAGTGCCAAGTCCCCAATGTTTCTGATCATTTTGCCTTGCCATTAGCTCAAGTATACTCCCAAATTCTTCAGCAGTGACTCCTTTGTGGTGAAATCCTGTGGCTGTATTTGGTGCAGATTACCTTTGTTAGGCAATTGTGTTGTGAGACAGAGCTCTCTCTTTTACCACTGCCATTCATAACTTTGCCAAAGGTTTGAGAGAGGACATTCTTTCCCTAATACCTCCCAGCAAAACTGAGCACAGGTTATTGAGATAAACACTGCTAAAGCTCAGCCATAGAGTACATGTAATAGCAAGAGTGACTACTCTTTACTACTATTTACTTTAGAAAAGGTTGCTACTGTAGAGGTCATGAACAAAACAGAAGAACATTGACGCCTTACCTAACCACAAGAGTCCTTCATGTGGTCGGTAGTTTCACTCTCTGTCAGGTGGAATTAGCAGGTATTACCACACATGGAAATCTAGGCCCAAGTGCTTTCTCAGCCCCAGAAAAAGACAAAATCCTTCTGTTCCTCTTTCAGAACCAGGCTGGCTAACAATGGGTTATCTCTTCCCTGCAGGTGAAATCTTGTTCCTCATACAAAGGCCAATTCTTCCTCATGGTTTCAAAAATAACAACAACAAAAAGATCATAATATTATTATTCAGTCTTAGGCAGTACTAATGTGGGACAATATGTGTCCATGAAAGACTGAACTGTACCACATCCAATACTATTTCTTTTCTATAGTTGTATTTATATGGAGTGTGGGGGGGTGAATAAATATGTTAAGCATATTTACTTTTTTGCTGCACCCATCAACTCATCATTTACATTAGATATTTCTCCTAAAGGTATTTTTATCTACTGACTGCTATCTCCTCTTCACTATTGATTTTCTTGACCAAAGTTTCAACTAAAATAAGTTTAAAAGAAAAAAATAAGATTATACTTATTAAAATAAGTTTAAAAGAAGATTTGGGAAAATAGTAGAATATTTTTTCAGTTCTTCAGAGTAATGATTCTGTTAACTATAAGTCAATTTATGTTGCAAACACAACACTAAACGTCACAGCTTGTACTATGTGTGCTTTAATTACATCAAAACACTGTTAATTTCCAAGTATAAGAATGTTATTCTTATTATATAAAATAAAAACACATAAGGAAAGTTAAATTCCAATCTAGAATGAACCTAATTACTCATGTGACAAAATATTTCACAATTTTACAAGTGTATTTTTTGATATTTTATATAACTTTTCAATCCTATACCACTTCAAGAAGCTAAACCATATGACCCATATGAGATTTGACTCAAGTGATATTCTAGCAGTAGGTGCCTAGAAAGGGGTTTTCCTCCAAACATGAGCTTACTTGGCATGAATGGCTGTTCTAGTGTACATGACAAAAATTAGTGGCGTGAGGGGCTTACTTGGCATAAGTGGCTGTTCTAGTGTACATGACAAAAATTAGTGGGACTCGCACCTTCATTTCTGAGTTAAGTCATGGGGTAGGAATGCTGAGAGAATAAAGAGGTTTCAGGTAGCAGGTGTAGGCAGAGAAGGCCTGAGGCATGGGTGAATTTTTGCCCACTTAAATGGCACTAGAAGTGGCTGAAATAGAATTAGACCCATAGAAACTAGAATGAGAGAGGAATACAAAGGATAACAGAGCAAAGACTTGTTTGGAATGAAGAAATGAGAGCTAGTGGGATGGTAGATGTCCCATCGGGTGCCAGTATAAGGACAAATGACACCTTAGATGTCCATCTCACTCACACCTGAACACTATGTGCCCACAGTTTAGTTGCAAACCAGAGGCAAGCGGTCATGGGACCTTAAATTAACTCAAATTGTTTTTTTAGTCATCCAACATAAGGGAGGTTAAATGAGATATTGTGTAACTATATAAGCTAAAAAGATGTAAGCCTAAGACTTGGCATATACTTTAATTGTAGAAGATGACTACTGCTTCAGATAAAAAATTAAATCCATTTATTTATCCCTATAGTAAAAATAATTAAAATGACAGAAAAAAATATACAAATGATTAAATATATGTACTCATACATATACACACAAGTGAATAAACACACACACATATATATAAATCCATAGTAATGAGTATCTGTATGCTGTTAGAAGTGATCCAAGATAATGAAAAGCCTAATTATGGAAGAGAGAGAACAGACATTGCAAGAGTAAAGTTCTTGACTAGGCGTGGTGGCTCACGCCTGTAATCCCAGCACTTTGGGAGGCCGAGGCAGGAGGATCACGAGGTCGGGAGATCAAGACCATCCTGGCTAACACGGTGAAACCCCGTCTCTGCTAAAAATAGAAAAGCAAAATTAGCCAGGTGTGGTGGCGGGCACTTGTAGTCCCAGCTACTCGGGAGGCTGAGGCGGGAGAATGGCGTGAACCCGGGAGGCGGAGCTTGCAGTGAGCCGAGATGGCGCCACTGCACTCCAGCCTGGGCGACAGAGCGAGACTCCGTCTCAAAAAAAAAAAAAAAAAGAAAAGAAAGAAAGCTGGAAAAGTTAATGGAGGAGATGGAAATAAATGATAGATAGATGCTAAGGAGAATTTTAAAAGTTAATTACAAGAAATAAAATGTATTTCTCATGAACTCTTTCTGGAAAATACTTAGAAATAGGAGAAATCCAAAGAAGAAGGCAGCATGGGAAGCAAGACACACCAGAGCCAACCTGAGTATAATACAAATAAATACCTACATGATGGCAATGAAGTAGACTAAAGAAAAAGAAACCAATTGGATTATAAAATTGAAAGAAGTATTTAGAGTACCCATGAACAATAACTCCATTAAAAAGAGATAGACGAACACAATTTGTATCAATAAGAATTAATAATAATATTAAGGTGTATATTTTCCATTGCTCTTTGGAATAAAAGCAATGGAAATTAAAAGCCATTAGAGGAAAACAATGCTGAATACAAAAGCCACACTCCAAATAAAAAGGAAGATAAAACATAGCATGCTTTTAAGTAGAGATGAAATACAAAATTACTTCCCAATCAATAAAGAAAACCTTCACTGCTCAATCAATGCAGGAGGAAGGAAAGTGACAATTGCCATTCTGATTTAATGTAGTCACTTTAAAATTATAACATAGTAATAAAAATAAATATAATAATAATATAGTAATTTCCCACAAATTTTTCTCCTAGAAGTTATATGAGATCCCTGTATGTGTTTGTTGGGTGGCATGTGTGGGTGGTGGTTGGGGAGAGTGGGTACAGATCAAAGTTACATATAAATACTTCCCTGTTAGTTTGTCTTGGAGAAGCATCCTGAAAGTAAAATTTAGATTTACTCCTAGATAGTTTAATTTAATTTTAAAATCACATACTTTTGGTTTTTAAAAGATCATAAAATAAATACAAAACAAAAAAACATATAGTTGCAACACAAACTACAGGTGAAGAAAGATTTCCCTAAAAGGCGCCTAGTCAACATTGAAGACCTGACCAAGAGTGGTTCTAGAAATCAATTTCCATTTTAAAAAACTGTGGATCAAAAGTGAAGAGACTTTTACATTTTTTGATTATATTTCCTGCTTTTGGCAATTTTTATGGAGTGAGTTGCTTTTATAATTTCTTAATTTTATGCATTTTACATTTTGTGAATTGCACCTGAAAAGATCATTTCCCAAGAAGATATTAGCTATTTTTGGAAAGGGTACAATTTTTGAGGATAATGGTATACAGAGGGAAAATTCACAGAAATGTATACAGAATTGTTAAAGCTATAAAATGATGGCTCATTTTAAATTTACTAGCTGCTATACTTCAAACTGAGAGTCCGGTATGAACAAGACACAGGCACTGGTATCAGATACTTGCAATCTAGATTGGCAGGTTTAGAATGATTTTAACAAATTCTATAATTTGGATTATGTACAAATGTGATTGGTCCCTAAAAGAGAGTGATGAATTTTATTTTTAATCTTTTCTCAAAGAAGAAAAATTACTTACTTGGAGAAAAATTCAATGTGGAGTTTAAGATTATATGAGGGTGTGTTTTTTTTTTACAGAATCAGTGTTGGGGGCTGGAAGGAAAAGTGGAGAAAAGAGATTGGTGAGGGAAGTGTTAAAAAGATGAGGCCCATCATGCTAAGTGAAATAAGCCAGGCACAGAAAGACAAGTCCTGCATGACCTCACTTATATGCGGAATCCAAAAATGTCAAACTCATAGAAGTGGAGAGTAGAATGATGGTTACCAGGGGCTGGGGGTAAGGGAAATGGGGAGATGTTGCTCAAAGGGTACAAAGGTTTAGTTATGCAGAATGAATAAATACTGGATCTTTCATGTACAGTATGGTGACTATAGTTATTAACACCTCATTATATAATTTGCTAAAGGTACATCTTACATGTTCTCACCGCATACACACACAAAATGGTAACTACCTGAGGTGATAGATATATTAATTAGTTGATTACGGTAATCATTTCACAATGCATATGTTTTTAAAACATCATATTGTACATCTTAAATGAATACACTTTTTATTTTTCATTTATAACTGAATAAATTTGAAAAAAGATAGCGAAATGATCATAAGGTAGAAATAGACAAATAGAGGGCACTGGCAAACACAATCAGGATGTTACATTAGCTCCAGTAGTCTTTAGAAGTAGACCAGACACTCTTTCCAGAAATAATTTAAATTCAACACAGAAAGAAGGACTGGAGTGGTTATGATGTATAGATTGGAATGTTTCTGCCACTTGATCTGCAGAAAATGGCAAGTGTGGTTTTTCCCTGTTGGTGGCACAGGGAAAAATAGGCTTGATGTTTATGATTCTTTATATGGGGAGGGAAAGCTGAGAGAGGAGTGTCATTAGGCTGACACTATTTCTGTCCACTCAGAAGCTTTTGCCCAGGTACTGACAATAATCATGTGACTCTCAGTAGTTTGGTCATAAAGGATTGGCTACTACTGGTTGAGTAGAATTACCCAAATAGCACTATAATCTCAACAGCATTAGCATAATACTCTAATAGGATACCGTATTTATTAGAATATAAAATAAACATAAATATCAATAGAAATATTTTATTTTATGAACCCCGGCTAGTTGCAAAACACATTCTAATAAATGCTATACAAACTATCGCCAAAATTCCTGAGTTTAGCATGCTTACAGAATGAATATAGGGGATCTTCTAAATGGTATGCACGGAAAGTGTATGCTATTATTTGATTTTCAAAACTAAAAATCAATATGCTCCATATACTGTGCCCTAAAAGCAACAATATAAACAAAACTTAAAGATGCGTATTTTGGGAATGCAGGTCTTTGGGTTGGAAAACAGCAATGATGGAACACTAATGCATTCAAATCAGGTGTCCTATATTTTATTCCCTTAGGAATGAAAACATTGTAATGCTGTGATACACATTCTGATCTTAAGGAAACTACTTTGGAAAAAAAGAGAAATAAACTGTTAATTTATTTGTGGTATTATTTAGCCTATTTCTAAAAAATAGTAAGAGATTCCAAAAACATTTAAAGTAGTAAATTGAATAATCAGTGAGATAGAGCTGGTAATGAGAATAGTAAGAATAACCACATACAAGGATCAACATAACAGGGAAGTGTTCCACTTAGAAGTGAAGATAATTTGTTTTAATGTCTTTATTTGGATTTATGTCTCTTAAGTTTTCAATATTTGAATTTTTTTTACAAATGTAAACAAAGGGAAGAAATGTGCCACAGATATACATACATATATATATGTATATATATATAAAACTAATCATTAGAAGCACACAATATCTGCTTTGACTTGCACTGCTCTGGATATCTCTATACATACATATATATATAATTTATAATGTGGAGATATATATATCATATTGCTTCACAAATTATTTTTACTTAAATATGGTCTTAGATTTAAAAAAAATGTGAAATTTGAAGAGTAACATGTTTTAGCTGTGCATGACGGCACGTGCCTGTATCCCCAGCTACTTGGGAAGTTGAGACAGAAGGATCGCTCGAGTCTAGAAACCAGAGGCTGCAGTGAGCTATGATCATGCCATTGCACTCCAGTCTCGGCAATAGAGCAAGACCCTGTCTCTAATAAAATAAATAAATAAATAACAATAACAATAAAATAAAATAAAAATATATGTTTTACTAGTCAATAGTATTTGGAAAATACAATAACACAATTTTTTGACGTATTATAAGTTTGACAAATCTAAATTGATTTTTTCTAAAACATTCAAGGGCCTTAACAATAATAAATACATCCCTTTTCATTATTTATGAACCGGATCACTTTTATTGTTCTTTATTGTTTTACAGAAAATTTTTCCCCCAAGAGATGAAAGCAGTTTATAGATGTTTAGCCCATAATTTGCTATTTGAGGTTTCAAATTGTCAGTGGTCAATTATGTTTTGTAGACTACAAGGCATTTATTTATTTATTATTTATTATTTACTCTTTATTCTCCTGACTCATGTTGATGAGACTGTAGCAATATTAACTTCACAGAAGCTTTATTTTACATTTGGCTATGTACACTGCAGTCTCTGGATTTTAGCCAAATATCATAGAATGGAGGGAAGCCATCATATAACAGGTGCTACTGCTATGCTAGGAGATTTTTGTGCTAAATTATTAAATGAAAAGCTTACTAGAAAGTCCAGAGTAGACCAACATAAAAGTGATAATTCTTAAATTCATTATCTGTAATTTTGCCTTAAATAATTATTAACAATATTTTTCACAATGACTGCTTCTTCAAAAGAAAAACTAAAATGACTTGACATTCTGCACATTAAATATATAATTTTGAATATTGTCTTCAATCAATTGTTCAGATTTGTAGATATAGTTTGCAACAGACAAGATAAGGCATGTAACTATTTTTCATTAACGACTATCTTGCCAAATATTAATGCTCAAATCTTATTCATCGTTCCTTACATTTCTGTGTTTAAATCACTAAATCCATTCATGTTTTATTGCAAGATCTATAGTTGTCTTTGGCACATTTTCTTCAATCTTGGTTTTTTCCAAAGTCTGAGAAACCATCTGGAAAACTAGAAAACCCACAGACTTGTGGGGACTTTCTGGTTTATGTAATTCGGAATGTCCACAGTGAAAAGTTTTAAGTCAACTTTCTGAGTCAAAATTGCAACTCTTTGCCAATTTTTATTTTTTATTATTTGCAAGCCAACTCTCCATTATATAGTGTTCATTTCAATAACATAGATGGATTAGAGTAATTGACATAGTATATAAGTTATATCATAAATATGTACATGAAATAAATTATTGACATAATAAATTGTGTGATTTTTATTTCTTCATAGATAAATGCTAGGCAATCAAAAATTCCATTAGATTTTTCTAACGTGTCAAAATTGAATTTATAATTTTTCTACACACCCGATTGCTTACTCCTATATTGGAAAATATATTTTATCCTAAAAAGAATGTTTCACTTTTACCTTTTATTTTCTTCCTCTCTAAACCTAATCATTAGGTAGATCCTATCAGGTCCACATTCAAACACTCCTTTCCTTCCTCTTATACTTTGCAAGCCATCATACCTTACCAGTTTCATTTTCTCCCGGTCACTTTGCCTCCCAACATCCAAACACCTTCAGTGTTGATCAGGAGACAGACTTCTCAGTGACTAAAACTTTGTCCATAGCCCAGTATATATAGTTGAGCAGAATGTTTTGATGCAGGCTACGGCACTAAAAGCAACACACAGACTACATTCAGACAGATTGGTTCACTTTTTCTAGCATCAATCTCCAAATAAACACCATCAGGTCTTTTTTTTTTTTTTTTTTGTCATAATTGATTATTAACCTTGTATTTGTCTTTGATTTACATAAGGAATTTTTGGAAACATGTGTCCTTATGTCCCAGTCCTGGGTATTATAAATCTGTTATTCCGGGGTGGGCCCAGAATTGAATGTTTCTAGTTAAACACCATGAATTTCCTTGTTTCTTTGTATACAAAATGGTCTTCCTTTTATCACCAAATATGTGATACCGTGTGTAAAATGCTAAACATTGTAATTTCTATTAAGTCTCCTATTATAAATCTCCTCTTCCCCTAACTTGGAAAGCACCTCTTGGTCCTCTGAAATTCTACCTTACTTGATAGAGAGTGAATATCTCACATGGACTGCATTTATGCACCAAATGCCTTATCTCCTTTTTTCACTGCACTTTCTTTTTCTCTAAATACAAGCTCTGGCTTCTTCTATCTTTGGATTGCCTAAAGTCCCTTACAGTTTGAAGATGCTAAATATTTATTGTGTGGGATAAATTTATCTCGCAAAGAGCAATGTGTTGATGGCAAAAATTTCTCCAGCTGAGGTAAACAATATGTCTTAGACTAAATTTTGATCAATTTCCACATTTTGATTAAGTAATAAATAGTGTGTCCATTAATGCCTGACAATGCTTATACTTCAGCCAGAGTGTCAGCATTTTACCAACTAGAATATTAGACGGTTATCCTTCTTGGAGAGGGCTATGGCATTTCAATGAAGTAGAGTCTCCTCTCTGTATGATCCTCCCCATCTTTCCGCACCTCCCCCGACATACCTAGAAAACACTGTAGAAAATAACTGTCTTTGCTACTGACTGATCTGAAAGCAAAAAAGATTCAAGGACCAATACTGGGGAATAATTAGATTTTGTTCAGGTACGAAAAGATGATTCCATAAGAAAAGATGATTCCACGTGGTACATTGCCAACTGAAAGGAAACCTGGCACACTGGTCAGGGGATTCAGCTTGTGTATCACATCTTTCTAGAACTTAATGATTTTTTTTAATTAGAATCATGAGGTAACTATAAGATCTCAGTCCCTGAGTTTTCAGCTTCTCAAGGTGAACCCCAAAAATTATAGTCCTCATTGACTATAAGACTATGCTAAGGAAAATTGTTTATTTCTAAACACTGCAAATGTATTACTACTTCTCAATCATGATATCTCCCTACTTCTTCCCAGAGGGACCTTTCTATCTTATTTTGGCCATTTCTAACATCTCTGCCCCCTGCCTTTGGATCATAGAATATTTGGGGAAGACTTTTCTCCATTGACTGTGATTCTCCACTGATTGTGGAGAAATGCTCCTTTTTCCCATGTAACTCTGCATTTGGAAAAGCTATATTTTAAAATAACTGTATTATTTTTACAATTATTATTATTTTTTCCACTGTCAAACAGTTTACTAAGAAGTCAATTGATGGTGTGAGGGAAAAGTTTAAACAAACATCCTAGGGAATTAAACAAACATCCTTATAGAAAGTCTTGGAAGTAGATGATATGGGGGTAAAATTGAGCACCCGCTACCCATAACTTGGGCTGTATCATGTAGCTTGAAGTACAGGAAAAGCTACTGCCAAGCTATACCTGAACCTAATCTGGTAGTTCTGTAGTTCTGAAGAATATTTGCTAATTCAACAGGAGAAATTTATGGAATATTAATATAACCTCATTCAAACCCTCTAAGTATACCTATATGTTTTATTTCTGTATTTAGATATAAAATAAATAAAATATTAAAACAGTCTACCCCAAACAAAAAACCCTCTATCTGAATTTTGGTAGTTAACATCTTATTCCCAAGGATATCATTCACATTTTTAAAAATCTGGGTTATATCATACAGTCTCTGTTTTGATGATGTATATTTAAATATAACTATCGATAGTTTACTTATAGATAGAATACATACTTCCTTAAATATTATCTTAAAGAATAGATTACAATTACATAATTTTAATTCATTTGGAACAGACATTAAAACCTCTCAGCAAAAAGCAAAAATGATTGTGCCCATTGTCTTCATGATAGTCTTTTAAGGTCTACTTATACAATCAAATAATCCCCAGAAAACAAATACATTGAACACTCAGGACATGCACACTCTTTCAGGACAACCACGGCAGATTTTCTGAAACTGCTTAGCATAATTATGCTACCAAAAAGTAAGCAATTCACTTTAACTTTTTGAGGGGAGGCAAAGGGATAACATTGTTATGAACTGAATGTTTGCGCCCCTCCCCAAATTCCTACACTGAAATCCTAACCCTTCATGGTTTGAAAAAGAATGCATTTTAAAATTCAAATCAGTGTTGAATACATTTAAAGGTATACAGTTTGCTCTTATGCAGGCTTTACCCCATAAGTTTTGATTATATACATTTTTATTTGATAAAAGAAAGTCCACTAAATCAACCAATATTTATTAAATCACATTGTATCTATATAAAATGCCTGGTGTTTTGTACTAGAGCTAAAAGTGTCAGCAAACTAGATATGTTCTTTATACTGATGGAATTTATGCACAAGTCGGGGAACCAGACAATAAACATAAATAATTATAATTGTAAATTTTGAAAAGAGCGTTAATATAAACAAAAAAGAATACTGCGTGTTAGGGAATGTTAAGTATGTAGTAGTTTATTTTAGCCAGGATCATTAGGAAAGATTCTTTGAGGAAATGTCATTAAGTGAATATCTAAAAAGAAAGTAGTCAAATAATAAGCTCACTGTACTAGTTGTGCTTTCCTGTACTTGTTTAACCATTTACCTGAATGAAAGATTAGAAATGGCGTGACTTGGGACTACCAAGGAAATGGCTATCAGAGAATGGAAGGTATGAGGACTTGTAAAATGCTCGAAAATAAAACAAATTATAAGTTTCCTGGAAACCTGTTCCAAGGCAATTGAGATGTAACACGGATCTGGAAGGAATCCATATCTAGAATAATTTGAATACACTGGTAAATACATTACGATATCAAAAAGATGCCCCAAATCACTTTCTGAATGCTTTTAAAAGCATGGATTTCTCAAAAGAGTAGTTATCAAACTTGAACAAGTATAGAATTACAGACAGAGCTTATTAAAATGTATATTTCTGGGTCCTACTGCCAGTGTTACTGATTCAGTAGGTCCAAACATTCCACAAATGCAGATTTTATCAGAGCCTTTAAGGGCAAACAGTTGAGAAAAAGGGCATTTGTGTCAACTTTGTTGATTCAGCAAGTGATTAAGTACAGTTCTGCTGTCCCACAGTGTTGCCATTGGTTGGAGTTCCTACATCTTTAGAATGTGTTGTCCTCCTCCAGGCAGTGGTGCCCCCAAATCCATTTACAGACAAAAAACCAGCCCTTATTGCAAGCACACGTACTTTCTCTTCCTTTCTCTCAATTAAATTGGAATTAAGCAACATTTAATAAGCTGGTAATTTTCAGTGAAGGAATACACAGCCTATGGTTTGGTACATGAACGGGGAACAGAGTAGGATTAATTTAAAGAGAACAGTGAGTTTGGCACTCTGATGGTGGGCTTTGGCATCCTCATCTTTCTCGTTGTCACTTATACTCCATCAATGACAAAACTAATGTGGTTTTTGTTGCTCCCTTGAGCCAGGAGCTGTGTCTTACTAAAGAGGACCCTAGCTTTCTCTGCTGGCTCAGCAGTTCACTTCCTAGATTATTTTTCCCACAGGGACATAACCACTAGTTTGTCACCAGAACGTCTCTGGACCTGTCTCAGACTGGGATTAACATAAAGGAGTGGAACTGTACAAAAGAGAGAAAGAGATAAAGGAGGCTCCTCCTCTCCTCAGCTCCCGGGCCTGTCTCCCCTTCTGCCTTTCCACCTTTTTCCTTACCCTTTCCAGATTCCCAGATTCTGGGATTATGAATAGAAGCTTCTAGCTCCTGTTTAACTCCTTAGTTACCCACCCTCATTTGCCCTTCTCCAGGATCTCTCTTCTACTTTTTCCATTGTGCCTTGTACCTCCCTCTGCTCCTCACCAACACCACCTCTCTCTAGCTCCTGAGCTCAACCATCTTCTGAACTAGGAAGAAGGACATGAGGGGTTGTATATCAGGATGAAACCACATTGAACCCTGGGGAGGAAGACAGGGGCATCTCTGGGCTGAGACTGCCATCTCCTTACCACTGTCCTTTCTCCACATGAAACATTAGGGTGGGCATTCTGTTGGTGGATAGCTCAACCTTCAGTGCTCAGTTGTACTTTTTTATTAAGCTATAATATCTATTTTTTTCTTTTTTTTGTAAATATATAAATATTGAGTTTCATTAAAATAGATAACCCCCTCAAAAAAACACACTGCAAAGAACCACCGTGTGTGTGTGTGTGTGTGTGTGTGTGTGTGAGTGAACTTCATTGTCATTAGTAGGAAAACTTATTTTTCCATTCACACAATGTACCCAGACCAAAACTTCGATTTAAAAGTTTGTACACATAAAAAATAAGGGAAGTTTGCTTACCTATGCATTTAAATTGGCAAGCTGAATTGAGCAATGAACTGTGATTTAAAAAGAGCAGAGAGTGCGCTGATGTTTATTTTCATTGGAAGAAGACTATCAGATTCCACATTTTAATACATGTTCTCTAATCAGTTACTGTTTTCACATATATTTTCCTTAATCAGCTATATAGTATCACCTGGTTCCCATTCTGCTAACTATGCCTTTAAATATGTCACAGCTGTGTTAGAATTGCCAATGAAAAATTACACTTACTGTTTAACTTGCTTTCCAGTCTGATATATGCCATGGCTGAAGTAGATTACAAGTATTTTGGAAGACAGCCTTCATGCTCGACTTCTTGACCAGATATGTGCCCTATTTTATTTTCCGATGTTTATCACAAGCTTTCTATTTTATGTACTCTAATGACATATTTAGTAGCTGACTGATTGCCAGATGAGAGCAACACTAGCATCACTGAAAAAAAAATATAGCCAAATGACTTTAACTGGGTTCATATGAATTTCAACAGGATAAATGGACATTCATTTAACAGCTCTTCCAGTTTATACTGTTGAAATGCTTTAAAGGCACTCTCTCCCACAGGAGGACACTCCTAAATTCCTGCTACAAGCCTATGTCTGGCAAGATACACTGGTAGTAATCTTTATAACAGACTTTAAAAAATACATTCAAATTAAATGCTCATAAATATTACATGGGAAATCATTCTGCTTTAATCCTTCCAATGAGTGACACTCAGGTTTTGCTAAAAATAAGAAGGAATTTGCATTTTTGACCACCCTGATTAGGACAGAATAGACATATAAAATCTCTCTGTTGGATGAATATACAATGTTTTTTTGGCTCTTTCCAACCAGGGAGGGAACAAGAGAGAACAGGTTGAATTTTATAGGGAAAAGTATGTGCAATCATCTAAACCACTATTGCATATGTTCCATGATATTACACATGCTTAAATGGTCCCTATTTAAAAAGCAGAGAAGAATAAGAAGTAAGTAAATAAATAATTTTAAAATGGCTTTTGAAGAGTGCTTCAGTTATATTTCATTCACTGTTTGTATAAAAGACATGTTTTCCCTTTCTTTTCTAATGTTATTTTTTGGCAAAAATACCCTGTGTTGAATTACTTCCTTTATCTACAGAAAAGAAACAACATGTGTCTGGGTGAGAGACGGAATCTTTATTTCTTGATGCTATATATTGTTTTTACATTGCCATATGTTTTATTTATCTTTCTGTAAATAGGCTATATTTGGTGATAAAAGAAAAGCTGTATTTTACTCCTTCTCTAAAAGCAAGCTACTCTCTTTTTTTCCTAATAACTAAGCAAGACAAATCTCAAGCTTCCATTACTAAGACTCTGATTATTTCATCAATATAAATTGCAGGATGAACTATGTAAATATGCATTTTGATGCTGAATTTACTATACATCTACTTAAATCTTTTTGATTCCTTTTTTTATGTGTCAATATAAAGTTTATTTACCAACTCAAGTTTTGAAATCACTAAGCTATTTATCATGTTTGAACACTGTGTGTATGTGTGTTTGTGCACACACACACACCTATGAACAATCAATAGCACTGCATTTCTCGCTATTTATATGTTTATAATTTTATAAATTTGATTGGGCAGTTTGCTTTTTTCAATCAACATTGATCTATCCTTCTACTTATTAGTAATGTAACATACATACATGCATATGGTTCACGCATTTTAACTATAGTAGCTTATTATCTTATACATTGGGTCTTATTTTCAAGCTGTGTGCTGGTAAATATTTATGGAAATTTTCCTATGGTGCACATCAAGAATCAGAATTCTGAGCATTTGCAGGTGGGTGCAGGTAGCCTCAGCTACTCTGGATGCTGAGGCAGGAGGATCACTTGAGCCCCGAAGTTCAAGGCTGTAGTGTGCCATGATCACACCCGTGAATGGCCTTTCCATTCCAGCCTGGTCAACACGGCAAGACCGCTTCTCAATTCAAAAAAGAGAGTCATTTGAACTAAACATTGCTGACTGGCTGTCCCATGTGTTTGGACAGATTTGCATTCCCACTACCTGTTTCCAAGTTCTTTTTTCTCCCACCTCCTCTCCACTTGTGATATTAACAGATGGCAGCAATTTTACATAATAAAGAAGTAAAGCAGATCAATATACTATAATGACTTGGGAATATGCCCAGAACATACTTTATTTTGGAGAAAAAAAAAAGAGCAAACGTCAAATTGGAAGGTTTAGTATGACCTAATTTTGGTTGAAATATACAATAAGCATGTGTAATAACAAATTACAGGATTTCAGCTGATGCATATCAAATAGCTTGAATCATTTATAATCATTATCTCAGCAGCATGAACTTGAAGTATAAGAATAAAAAACTAATCTTTTACTTGTGATACTTTGTATTACTCAAAGTCATTATAACCAGCAAGAAATACTTAGTAATTATAAAGTAATTAATTGTTGTCAGTTAAAAAAATAAAGAGAACAGAAAGAGCATTCTAATATCCTTGCACATAAAATATTTCAAGGGGTAGCTCTGTTATTTCAAAAATAATCATGCTTCTAAGACAGTAGTGAGAGTCATGATGTGCAACCATACAAGTTGTGTGCTACACAATTCTAGGGACATCACTATACAGGTTACTCTTTAAATGGCACCTCCTAGAGTTGTACAGTGTATAACCAGACAAGTGGTAGGTAATAGTGCTGTTAAGAGATACTTCAATGAACAGCGAAGATTCTAGAATGTCTAAGAAATTATTTTTCTTGCTACAGATCAAAATGGTAAAATAACAGTCTTGGAACCTGAAATTCTTAGATGCCAGCTCTTTCCTCAGATTGGATGAAAAGCAGGGACAGTAGTCTTGAAAAAATTAGGTCACCACATGGCATTCAGATGCTCAGTTGGGTACCCTCAGGTTTGTATCCTGGCTGTCTATTCACTGGTGACTCAACTCTAAGGCCCTGGATCTCTGGGCAGCTACTGTCTGCTAATATGTTACAGTTAAGGTTTTACATCAGGTTCTATAGAGAATTAAATGCAAACTACATGTAGCTGTCACAAAGTTTTTGCTGTGTAGATAGGCTATTGGCCAGGCTGTTGTGCCCAGAGAGGCATCTGCACTTAGATTTCCTATAGAGTTGACAGGTATTTTCAGATATGCCTCATTTAAAAAAACAACTAAATTTTGACTGAAAAATTGTGTCTTCTGTTTGGGATTTAATAACTACTCTGTTAATGGAAGCCACCTAATGAAATAGTAGCATTAGTTTCAAAGCAAAGATTAAGACACATGAATGTAAAGTATTAACAGGCATAGAATATATTTTTTAACATAAAAAATACTGTTTCTGTCTGAAATAACCAACATTCTTTCTTTGTCTTTAAAGGTGGTCATGCAGAATTTTTGACACAGGTTGTCTTATTAGTATTGGCTTCTAAGAATTCTTCATTCACTATAAAAGCTTAAGAAGAACATATTAAAATTGATAATTGGCCAGGCATGGGGGCTCACACCTGTAATACCAGCAATTCAGGAGTCTGAGGCAGGCAGATCACTTTAGGCCAGGAGCTTGAGACCAGCCTGGCCAGCATGGCGAAACCCCATCTCTACTAAAAACTACAAAAATTAGCTGGTGGCATATGCCTGTAGTCCCAGCTGCTCGGGAGGCTGAGGTAGGAGAATTGCTTGAATGTGGAAGGCGGAGTCTGCAGTGAGCTGAGATAGCACCACTGCACTCCAACCTGGGCAACAGAATGAGACACTGTCAAAAAAAAAAAAAAAAAGAAAGAAAGAAGAAAGAAGGAAAGAAAAGAAAGAAAGAGGGAAAGGAAAGAAAAGAAAGAAAGAGGGAAAGAAAGAAAGAAAGAAAAAGAAAGAAAGAAAGAAAGAAAGAAAGAAAGAAAGAAAGAAAGAAAGAAAGAGAAAGAGAGAAAGAAAGGAAGAAAGAAAAAGAGAGAAAGAAAGGAAGGAAGGAAGGGATAATTATGGAATTTGCTTTGATAAATATATATGCATGTCATATTAATCTTGAACATCATAGCTCTTGGTACTTTTTGGACCCTGAGTGATTTTGCCAATACAATCCTAAAACATATAATGATATGCCATGTATTTTGATTTTAATTTAAATATTTTTAACACTGGCCTTAATTTTAGCAGGAACAATCAGTAAATATTTAACTATAGCTATTAACGCATACATATACTTAGTCATAATACATATGGATTTTATAAAGGGAGAAGAAAGAAAACACATAAAACTATGCCTTTGTTATATCAATTTTCTTTGCATAATTAAAACTTAATGCTATTTACCAGCCTCATACTGATCACAGGTGGCTGAAAATTTCTTCATATCAAATTTATTCTATTAATAATATATAGTATGTGACAGTTTTCTAGGGAAAGCTGTTACCAAAAAGGTAGAAAATGAAACTTACTTTAAAGTTAACTTATTAAATAATCAGTTCAAAATCTAAAAGATGCAAGAATTTCCAGCAATATAGCCATCATCATTGTCATTGTTTCAATGGTAATGGGAGCATAATATCAGAGTGTGTATATAAATTGAATGTAGTGTGTATATGTGTATATATTCAAAACACGATAATCAGTTTCACTACTTACACAATTTTTTCTAAGTTTAAAAGTTGTTCAAAATAAAGTTTAAATATATCTACTATATTTATACATTTATTATGCTTGCTAATAATTAGTAAATACTGAACCACTGCCCTGTGCATGAATACACATTCACCTGACATTTGAGAGAATTCTTTTGCAAAGTTTACTAAGGAAAAACAATTTAGCTAGCCTTGATTGATAGAAGTAGAAGTAGACTTTTTATAGTAGAATGCATGATGAAAGGAAGAATGGTATTTGATAGTGAGAAAAAAGAAGGTGGACTAAGAGTGATATAGAACCTAATCTTATCAAAAAATAGGGAGTTGGTCTTAAATTTGACATCAAGGGGATTTGAGATGATGTAGAGAGGAAGTCAAAGCCACTCATGTGACATTAGGTGATAAAACGTGGGAAAAGGAAATGCTGTCCTTCGAGTCATGCAAATAATTTTTGAATGGTTCATTACATTGGCTTTCACCCCTCCCAAACGAGTCTCTGTTACTGCCCCACCCTATCTGATCTTGCCATTACTATCTGTTGGTAATTTTCCACAGCACTAGATTCCAAAACATACACATATGTCTGCATTTGACACCCTTAGAATTCTCCCAGCAAAGGCACATTCCCATGCAAAGTAAATCAAAAGAAATTAAAAGAAAGCTTAGCCAATTCCTCACACAACCTGTTGCTTGGTTTTTGTTAGACCTGCCCAGATAATCCTCAGGTCTTGGGAAGAAGGAGAGTTGCTCATTTTCATGGATAGAATACTTGCAGTTTGTGCATATGGCATGTTTCTCCATGATTAAGAATGGTTACATTCATTTGGAAAAAGGGATCCTGAAGTGCACCACAGTTCACTTTTCTTCCTGATTGCTCTCAGCTTGTGTGCTGGGTAGTAGTCCAATTTTCCTTCATTTAGTTTAATTAATCTTCCTATAACACCAATATAAATGGTTCTCTGTTAAAGTCTCAACAGTGGTGCGACAATGTGTTTCCTGCTTTGCAGTTGTAATTCACTTAAAACCGAGAGAAATATTTATATTATAAATGAGATTTCTGATGTATTATCCTCATCTTTTAAGAAAAGAGATTAAATCAATTTTAGTTGATTTGATAGTTTTATTTTCACTGAATCCCTGAAGCTCATGGCTCATTACTAATTAAATTATATTTTGTAGATTAAATTATATCATTTCAATCCAAATTCTACTTCCCTTCCCCACTATAGAATAAATGTATCCAATGTAGTATAAAGCTGAATTTTATTGGTTATTTTTTTAATTTAGTTAGATTAATAATTTAATAAATTTTTCTATTTATGTTGATTAACACAATGTGTTACAAAATTCTATTTTGCTGACAATCAATAGTGTACTTCTGAACATATTTCTTATTATTGCTGGAAATATTAAGTTTCAGAATGCTTTTCCTGTGGAAATTTTTTTGTTTTGTGAGGTTTTAATTGCTTTCAGAAATCTTTCAGACATTAAAAATGTTGCAAATTAAGACAAATTCTTCTCTGATCTAAAATAATCCTGATCACTTCATAACAAACATGTAGAAAGAAGGTCATTAACTACACTTTACAGAGAATGGAAAACAGTTTATATTAACACTTTGTGTAAATCATCTTAGCTGTGCCTGTTTTTCTGCACCATTATTTAGTGCTTACTTTATTTTTTCTGCATTGCTTAGGCCAGAAGATCCCAAATAATATCATGATTTAGAGTTACCTTGGGAGATTGTAAAATGCATGTTTCCAGGCCTACTCTCAGAAATTCTAAATCAGTAGTTCCAGTTTATAGTTTGGAAATCTATCATTTTAGTGATGACTGTCAATTATTAAAATGCAATTTGTAGATTACACATGAAGGAATACTAAGAAGGAAAAATATGTTTTTGAGTATTTCTCAGTTAGAACCATTACATAGATAGATTTTCTGTTTTCTCTCCACTAGAATGTCAACTCCCTGGTCGAAAGGAAGATATTTCATTCATATTTACTATTCTATTCTCAAACACTAGGACCTGATCTATTCTAGGTGCTAAATACATCATTGCTGAATAAATAATAATGTGAATAATAAATAAAATGTGACTGCGTCTGTTTTCTACTTTGCTTTTGACAGTTGCTCAGGGTGAGGTCTTATTTGTATCCACTTCCATGAAACACAATGACATTTGTAGAAAACTCCACATAACTGTTGCTTGGTTTATTATACCTAACAGCACTACAGTTAGTATCCTTGTGATACTCCTCTTTTCAGTGAATGTGAACAGAAAAAAGAAGAAAGAGGAATAGCAGATATTTGTGATATTTAAAACAGATGCTTTTGTAGTGAAATTGTTTAAGGATTCATGTGTGGTTCTCATTGAGGAACAGAGTCCCAAACTTGTTTTTCTTTTGCATATACTTCATTCATAGAGTTCATGGAACAGTTCTTAGATTTTACTTTCAGCACATCCACCACCAGGGTCGGGTATATAATTCCTTAGGCTCAGTGCAAAATAAAATGCAGTGTCCCTACCATATTAGGGGAAGTCAATCTTCATTTCTTACAGGTGAAAAGTTCCAAAGGATCAAAACCTCCACATAAGATGTGCTTGGAACGTGGAGTGGGGGTGTGGAAGAATCTCCTGTTAAGTTGCCCACCAAATGCACCATGGGGCATGACATAGCTGGGGTAGTGATGGACCTCACTCTGACTCTTCCCAGGCCTACTCCCAAGTTCCTCATAGAGGACAAAGGGCAAAAGATACTTCCCTTTCAACATAACCTGACCTAGTGACTGTCCTGGATGGAGGCTGGCAGTGGTGGCAGGGTGGGGAGGGGGAGGGATCATGGGTTCCAGAGGATGGAGAACAAAGGCAGCCAAGAATGCATTCTAAGCAGTGGCAAAAAATGGAACCACATAAGAGCTGAGACTCTAATCCCTCAGTGCATGTTTCATGATCTCATAGGTCTTTACTTACACAACACAAATTCAAACATAAAGTTATTCAGAATGTCTCTTCTCAGGTGGTGAAATCAAAAAATTAAACTCCAAGCACAAGGTTCTTTGGGGCACTGACCCTGTGTGCCTGCCAGTGGCCACAAGTGTGTGAAGCAGGCTTTATCTACCATCCCGGGGGATGGAGTTTTCCTACTGTCTTTGTTTTGTGTTTCTATAACAGAATACTCGAGCCTGCGTAATTTAAAAAGAAAATTTATTTAGCTTGTGATTCTGGTGGCTGGAAGGTTCAAGATGGGCAGCTGCATCTGGTAAGGCCATCAGGCTGCTTCAACTCATGGTGGAAAATGGAAGAGGAAACTCTTAGATTCTATTATAATCTACATTCAAATCTGAGAAGTATTTCATCTTTTGTTTCTGTCACAATCCCTCCTTAACATTCCTGTACACTAAGATTTTCATGTAGTGTTAATCAATGCTAAAATATTTCTTTCTTTCTTTTTTTTTTTTTTGTTCTGAGACAGAGTCTTGCTCTTGTCGCCCAGGCTAGAGTGGAATGGCATGATCTCTGCTCTCTGCAACCTCTGCCTCCTGGACTCAAGCGATTCTCTTGCCTCAGCCTCCCGAGTAGCTGGGATTGCAGACATGTGCCACCATGCCTGGCTAATTTTTGTATGTTTAGTAGAGATGGGGTTTCACCATGTTGGCCAGGCTGGTCTCAAACTCCTGACCTTGTGATCCGCCCGCCTCGGCCTCCCAAAGTGCTGAGGTTACAGGTGTGAGCCACTGCGCCCGGCCACTACTAAAATATTTCTTCATGTCACTCTTGTGTAATAGCAATCCTACTTTTTTTTTTTGTAATCAAATCAATTATTCCAAACATAAGGTTCAGGTAGTACAGCTTCCTATACTTGGGATAATTTGGATGTCTTTTCTTTTCCTAGATCCATTGAAAGTTACTAGCCATAGAATTACTAAGTAAAAAGGGCCAAGTTATCATTCCCTTATATACTTTATGCTGCTCCCTAACTAAAAAAGTTTTCCAAGGATAGCTATGGGTTTCTACTTTATCTTACTACCAAAATAAATAAAATAAATCAATGGAATTGGGGGGAAAAAAAGACAAAAAAGTCAATGGAAAAAAGCTGTTTTTTTAAACAATCAATGAAAATGATGAGCCTTTAGCAAGACTGATGATGAAAAAAGTCAGAAAACACATACTACCAATATCAGAAGTGAAGTAAAGAATATCACTTTGTTGGGACGCGGTGGCTCACGCCTGTAATCCAAGCACTTTGGGAGGCCGATGTGGGCGGATCACGAGGTCAGGAGATCGAGATCATCCTGGTTAACACGGTGAAACCCCGTCTCTACTAAAAATACAAAAAAAAAAAAAAAATTAGCCGGGCGTCGTGGCGGACACCTGTAGTCCCAGCTACTCAGGAGGCTGAGGCAGGAGAATGGCATGAACCCGGGAGGCGGAGCTTGCAGTGAGCCGAAATCGCACCACCGCACTCCAATCTGGGCGACAGAGCAAGACTCTGCCTAAAAAAAAAAAAAAAAAAAAAAAAAAAAAAAAAAAAAAAAAAAAAAAAAGAATATCACTTTAGACCCTGCAGACATTGAAAGAATAATAAGGAAATACTGATAATAACTTTATACACAAAAGTTTGGCAACTAAGATAAAATGGACCAATATTCTAAAAGCCACAAACTGTCAAAAATTACCCAATATAAAGTAGATAATTTGTACAGCCTTAATACATTTTAAGAAAATAGAATTCGTAATATAAAAAACAATAAAGACATCTCCAGACCCATGTGGTTTCAGTGGAGAATTCCACTGATAATTTAAGGAAGAATTAATACCAATGCTACACAATATGTTTCTGAAAATAGAATAGGAAGAAATATTTCCAAATTTATTTTATGAAACTAGTTTTACTCTGATACTGAAACCAGACAAAGAGAGAAAAACACAATACAAAACAAAACCTACCGACCAATATCGCTCATAAGTATAATGCAAATATCCTTACCAAAATATAAGCAAATTGATTTAAGCACTATATTTAAAAAATGGTACACTGTGACCAAGTGGCCTTTATTTCATGGATACAAGAGCAGTTCAATATTCAGAACTCAATCAATGTTTAATTTTAAAAAGTCGTGCTGTCTTATATGAAAAAGTTATATGATGATGAGTAATACAACCATAGCACATGTTAAAGTAACAGAAAACATGGATGATACTTAGAGACTTGAGAATGATTGATAGTATACTATGTGTACTACCATGTCAAAGCAGTCATCTTCACCGTGCATATGCTTTCCCATCTTAAAGAATAAGAATGTGATACTCTCATCACTTTTCAACAGTTAAGCCATTTTATATCTTTATTAAATTGTATTCTTTAGATAGCATTTGATTTTAACACGAGGTTGTTTTATATATATATGGTCAAACAACATCTATTTTATCAAACTGCTTGACAACATTTAGTAATTCCTGTACTGTAAAATAAACTTTTCTATTTTAAACAGGACTTACACATCAGAAAAAGATGAGAAAACTTCCACTAAATTCAGGGTGAAGTTGTATGTACTTATAATCCTACGTACTGTACATTGTAACTTAGTTTAGCAATATTTTTCTCATCACGGTTTTTGTATAATAAATTGAAGATAATCTTCACCCAAGAGGTGGGTACAGGATTCTCGGCTTCAACAGAATCAGTAAGAGTAACTGGCTAATTACTGTTTTGTTTACCTGAAAACACTCAACGCGTCTGGTTTTACACTCCTGTGTCAAGATGTAATAAGATGCGTTAAAACCAGAAGAGTTTAAATCAACCAAGCAAGACAAATATTTAACATGAAAAGCCTGCATAAAAGATGGTAAATCTCACTATATTTCTCATTATTTTGATGGAAATCCACAGTATTACATACATTGTTGTTTTTATAGAATTTTATTAAGAACTAGGACTAGACCAGGCGCGGTAGCTCATGCCTGTAATCCCAACACTTTGGGAGGCCAAGGCAAGAGATGGAGACCATCCTGGCCTACACAGTGAAACCCCGTCTCTACTAAAAAAAATACAAAAAATTAGCCAGGCGTGGTGATGCGCACCTGTAGTCCCAGCTACTCAGGAGGCTGAGGCAGGAGATTGGCGTGAACCCGAAAGGCGGAGGTTGCTGTGAGCTGAGATCGATCGCGCCACTGCACTCCAGCCTGGGTGACAGAGTAAGACTCCATAATACACACACACACACACACACACACACACACACACACACACACAACTAGGAATAGGAATATGACAAGATTGTGTTGTTTTTCACATGAGAGATTTAAATCAAAGTAATGAAAGTATTAAGAAATGCTTTATTTTGTGTGTGTGACAATATTCAGGAAATACAACAAATTTTACTAATTAAAATAACTTTGAAGTATGAAAGCAAATTTTGCAAACAATTTGCATGCTTCTAAACTGACGTTTTAGGGCATTCTTAATAAATCTAAATAAAGTTTAACTTTAAGAAAATTTTGATCTAATGAAATTGGAGTTTCTGAAATTCTTACGCTTTATATTGATGTATCTTCTTTGTTGTTACTTTAGGTTATGATGTGTCGATTACTGTTGCAACTGTGTATTTATTATTTTGAGTAATAAAAGTACATGTTTTATCTCAGTTGGGCAAATTGAACGTATATTACTTCCTTGAGGTACTAAAATGTGTAATTACATTTTCAAAATGATTTTGAAAGCATATTAGCATCTTAATGTAGAAATACTTCTAAATGCAGAAACAGGCATTGAGGCAGCAATATATAGCTCACTTGAAATACAGACCAGTTAAACTGAATAGGATAGCTACAAAAACACAAAAACAAACAACAACTGATGTTTAAATAAAGAATACCTGTGTCATCTCATTAGGTAAGAAGACTTTAGAGAAAACTCAGCAGAGGTGTTATAGCATAAATTACAGGTTTTGGTATCAGAACCCCACTCTTAGAAGTACTACAACCTTGCAGAAATTACCTAACAGCTCTAAGTTCAAGTTTCATCAGTTATAAATTTGTAGCAAATACCTCATTGAGTTGTTAGAAGACAAAACAAATTAAAGCATTCAAAGCATTTGCCATTGCCAAGCATTGAGTAGTTGCTCCAAAGGAAAACAGTATAAGGAGGTAAGTATAAAAAAAAATTAGGGAGCATATGGCTGGCCATACTATTCAGAGAAATCTGTTTGCCTTCTTGCTAATCTAGTTGGCACAGAGGTCAGCTAATTTATTTTTCACTCATTAGAACTATTAATACTTTTGTTGCTAACTAACAAACAGTATCCCAGCTGGGCATGATGGCATGCACCTGTATTCCCAGCTACTTGGAAGGCTGAGACAGGAGGGTCCCTTGAACTCAGGACTTTGAAGCCAGCCTAGGCAACATAGTGAGATGCCCATCTTGAAAATAATATTTTTTAAAAAAACAGAATCCCTATGGGAATCTATTTCAAGTTAAAAAAGGCGTAAGTTAAGGAAAAAGTGTAAAAAATATTTATTGAAGTTAAGCATTAAAACGCTAAGAGCATACTTTACCATGCCTTGCAATGATGCTGCAGAACGGACTATAGTGATATGACACATGGGCTATAGGTACTCTCATTTATTAAACATAACTTTGTCATTTGCCAACACCTGCTAAAGTCTATACCAAGGAGCTGCTTAAGGGGGATCACTTTGAAAGTATAGAAAATTGTATTCTTTTTATGTGTTCTTCATGAATAAAGCCCCCTTGAATTCTGAAATCCTTTCATTCCTGTCAGTTAGTGCCAACTCTAGTCAGAACCACCTACACCCAGAATCTTAGCCAGCTATGCATAACACTTTGCCCTTAGCCATCAGAAAAGATCAAGCCTCTGAACAAATGAGTGCAGGACTTACCTTAAGTGCCAGTTATTGAAACTTGGATGTAAACCAAACCCCAAAAATGCTAGCTATGGATTCTGTGTTTTTTTTTTAAACCAAGAATGTATCATCTTGATCCAATTATTTTCCAAAGGGATTCTGGGGTGAAACTCAGGCAGTAACATATTTTTCTCCCAAAATAAACAAATAGACTTGACACCAAGAGAGAAACGTTGTAAATTTAATCCTTTCCCAAATAAGAAGGCATGAGTTCAGAGGGTATGATTTTCTATCCATCTTGATTGTGCTGTTTTAAAACCAGAAAGTGATATCCTGATTTCCCAAACTAATTTTAGATAGTTATTGTAAACGGATGATTTGAGCTGTCATTGTACTATCTGTGGAGTAATTAACCTATCAGTTCTTGTTCTAACATACAATTTGTATGGACTCTGTATTAGCCTGTTCTTACGCTGCTAATAAAGACATACCCAAGACTGGGCAATTTATAAAGGAAAGAGGTTTAATCGACTAACACGTCCTACATGGCCACAGGCAAGAGAGAGCTTGTGCAGGGGAACTCCCATTTATAAAACCATCAGATCTCAAGAGACGTATTCACTACCATGAGAACAGTATGGGGGAACCACCCCCATGATTCAGTTATCTTCTGGCACCACCTTTGACACACGGTGATTATTACAGTTCAAAGTGAGACTTGGGTGGGGACACAGCCAAACCATATCAGACTCCATATATTTTGAAATGTGAAAATATAAGCTATACACACAAGTAACAGGTCTAATAACAACTACCAAAGGAACAATGACTAGACTTACTTCTGAAGCTTTTTAAAAATTTATTTCCATTTGACATAGTATACCTAAATCTCAGAAATTGTGCCACTGGGAACTAAGTGGCTTAATTCCATGCATTAATGTGAAATAGGTAGTCAACAGTTGGAAGCTGGCTGGAAGCAAAAGTAGGTGTGAAGATTTAAGTAAGTGTATTTTGCTAGAAGGAAAGAAAGTGGGAAAGAAGATGAGATTAGGAACTGAAAACTGGACTTAGCCCAGAAACAAAATAGCAGCTGGATGTCACCACTTTGAATTTTAGGATTTTGCAAGAAATATAAGCAATGGCTGCCGAAATTGGGAGCACCACTAAAATATTTTAACTAAAGTGGTCCAAACCCACTAATGTCAAAATAATTCATTTAATGCTTACATATACAAAACATAAGGAGTAGATATATTTTAGTGTAACTGTTTAGGGTTGTATATTTTAATATTGATTTTATGTATCCTGTAAATAAAATCAATAAATAGAAATGGATCTTGAAAAAATGCAATACTTCTTTTTAATTAAAGAATTTGTTGATGATAAAAAATACACCTGTCCTATTTTTTAAATTTATTTTTAATTGACATATAAAATTATGTGTGTTTATCATGCATAACATAATGTTTTGAAGTACATACACATTGTAGAATGATTAAATGTAGCTAGTTAACAAATGCATTACCTGACGTAGTTATTATTAATATGGTGAGAACACTCTCTTAGCATTTTCTAAGAACACAATGCATTATCATTAATTATAGTCACCAAGCGGTTCAATCACGTGTGAGTCATTTTTTCAGACAAAGTATGCTGATATGAAAAGCCAATATTAAAAATACATTTTAAAATGCTTCATAATGGTTTTGTTGTCGAATGGGCCAATGAGTAAATGACCTTCCAAAATCTATAGAAAGGAAATTCCTGATTTTCATCTTGAAAGAAGTTTTTCAATGACAAATAGAAATCACCATTATCTTACTGAGGAAGGATTATATGATGAAGTGTCTTCTGGTGTCTATTCAAGGAAAGTTTGGAAAGCTTCTCAACTGGGATCTGAAAATCCTAACTTGGGATCAGGTAGACACAGCTTTAATCAATACTGTTGTATTATTTTGATATTTCATTTTTTGACTATGTTCTTGGATATGTGTTTTGTTTCACCAAGGACTTCTGCAATTTATTTTTTTATTTTTTATTTTTTATTTTTTGCTACAGAGTCTCACTGTCACCCAGGCTGGTATGTGGTGGCATGAAGGCCTCTGCCTCCCGGATTCAAGAGATTCTTGTGTCTTAGCCTACCAACTAGCTGTGACTACAGGCATACACCACCAGGCCCAGCTAATTTTTATATTTTTAGTAGAGACAGGGTTTCACAATGTTGGCCAGGCTGATCTCAAACTAGCCTCAAATGATCCGCCCGCTTTAGCTTCCCAAAGTGTGAGCCACCGTGCCTGGCCTACAATTTCTTGACAGCACTGATTCTTCTCTATCTTCCTAGGCCTACCAAGGGCCTTTTAGGTGTGTGTTTGACCCTGGCTGTTTTCTGATCTCAGAAACAAAGATCACCCAAGAGCTTTGAGCCACAGGAAGAAGCATAACCAAATATATTTCAGATTATCTAAATGTCCATTAAACACTACACTAATCTTGGGTTATTGTGTGAGGTCTTGAAACATGAGGTCTTAATCATGTCCAAATTAGTAATTGTATGATGGAAAATAATCTGCAATCTCTTTCTCAAAATTGTTTTCTAAAAAAAAACACTGAGGGCTTTTTTATTGTTTGAAAAAGGCAGTTATGAATCACTAAACAGAAATTAAAGCATTTTAAAGATTATTATTTTAGGAATTTTTTACTTGAAAAGTACTAAATAAAGACAAGTAGCATTTAAACAAAGAAAATTATGTTTAATAATTCTGTTGTTGAAAGCTTTATTTTAAAAAAATTGTGGCTATATTTTTAAGTATTTTTAATCAACTCCAGTATTGATATAAAGTTGGCACATTCATTTGTTTGTGATGTACTGTTTTTGCTGTTGGTGGTGGTAGTAGTAGTATTTTTAGCAGCCTTACTCTGAAATCTGGAATGAGAAAGACTTGAACTTTTATGATTGATAATGAACAAAATAATTGATTGGTAAAACAACTGTTAGTAATGGCATTTTTTTATTGCAGATCTTCTCTTTTAGAATTGGGTATAAAGTGATATGCTAAATGTCTTTTAATTTTACATACAAGCAATCAAAGGAGAAATGGCTTGGCGTTCAGATCAGCATGTCAGAGATAGGTGAAGTTACACTGGTGTGTTGGGTGTTTCCTGATGAATATCTCTGAAGACAATGGAGAAATGACACACATGAGACATTTCCAGCAGACCTGAGTTAACTCTACGCAGCTCAGCAGGACTCCATTCATCTGCCTCACAACACCACCAAATCACCACAAAATATTTATTTAAATTAGAATACAATATATTGGATTCTTTTGAAAAATTCACAATATTCTAAATTATATTTTAGAAATTATGCAATAGATAAATGAGAACATAATTACAAAAATAATTTTCAAATTCATTGCATTTATTGTAAACTTTCTTCTTCCAAGGGTTTGAATGAACAAAGAAAATCACTTTGCCTTTATAACTAATAAATAAATGTAAAAACTTTAACTTTTTGCAAGCTAGATACCAACTGCAGAGAAGATGAGACCCTGTTTTATGTAAGTGTTGTTAGTACCTGTTCTCATATTTTTTTCTCTTAGAAACAGAGAATAAAAAGCTAAAAACAAAGGTCTCATTATATTGTAATAAAATGGTACTACATAAATCTGTGCTTATCCTGTCTTCACATACTGCAATCCAAGAGGAAAATGAAGCAAGCTGAAAGCCACAAGGGGAATTCCACACAAAGATAATGCTACAACTACATAGTCATTTAGTATACACATGTATACACACACACACACACACACACACACACACACACACACTCCAAACATATTCCTAGTCAATAGACATAGAAAGGGAATAAATGGTACATTGCAAACAGCATTGATCTGAAACCTAACATATCCAGATTGCTTCTGTCACTACTTATTACCATGGCCTTGGTCATTTTTTACTTCTCCAAGCCTCGGCTTATGCATATGGAAGTGAGAAATCAGATTTGTGGGATTTTCTGCATTTTTTCTGGCTGTGTAAAATTGAGCCACCTAATAATGACCATTAATAGATGTCAAACATGCTACCGGGAAATAATTAGGCTCCACAGTCAAGTGCTACTAGGGTGAACACTAGTTAAGATTTGAGGGAGTTATAATTTTTTACAACTGTATAAAAATTTTAAGAACAGTAATGTGCCGTAAAATACTGAGAAATAACCTACTTTAGTAGACATTTTTTTAGTGCTTAAAGAGAAATTTTCACCTTACAAAACCTCAACAGTTGCAATGGACTGATTGTTTTACTCTGTTAGTTTTGCTTAAATATTAATTAAATATTAAATATTAGAATTTTCTCTGAGAGCCTGGGAATCTTGATGTTAGTGAAGCTGACCAGTGGAAACATGGGTCATAGTGGGGAATGAAAATGGAATATCATAGTGACTTACTTTCCTGTGCCTATGTCAGTTTGGAAGCCTCCATTTCAAAAATATATCAGCTTATGTTGCCAATGTTTAGGAAATATATCAGTTAGTTGGGCATGGTGGTTCACACCTATAATCCCAGCTCTTTGGGAGGCAGAAACAGGACAATCCCTTGAATCCAGGAGTTTGAGAACAGACTGGGCATGATGACAAGACTCTGTCTCTACAAAAAACTTTAAAAAAATTTAGCTGGGTGGTGTGGCACATACTTGTAGTCCTAGATACTCAGGAGGCTGAGGCAGGAGGATCCCTTGATCCCAAGAGTTCGCGGCTACACGGAGCTATGATTGTGCCCCTGCGCTCCAGCCTGGGTAACAGAGAAATAGTAAAACACAAAGATTTACCAGTGCATCCCACCAACCTGGGGGAGGCAACAAGGTTATCTTTTTACAATAAGGGATACAATTTGGATTTAAGAAAACAATTATTGAAATCACTTATTAAAAGAAGACTGCTTGCCACACTGTTTCTTAGTCTGCCATAATAAAATACCATAGATTGTCTGGCTTAAACAATAGAAATTTATTTTTATTTGACATTTCTGGAGGCTGGGAAGTCCAAGATCAAACACTTTCTGGTGAGGGTTCTCCTCCTGACTTGCAGATAGCTGCCTTCTTGCAGTGCCTTCACCAGGTATAGAGAGAAGGAGAGCAACATATCTGGTGTCTTTTTTCAAAAGGACTCTAATCCAATCAGATCAGTGCCCTGCCCTTGTGACCTCTTTTAACCTTAATTACTTCCATACACCAAATACAGTCACACTGAGGACAGGGTTCCAACTTATGAATTTTGAAGGGGACATAATTCAGTGCCTACCATTTCATCCCTGGCCCTCCAAAATTTATGACTTTAGTCAGATGCAAAATTAGTGCATTCCACTCCAACAGCTACCAAAATCTTAAGTTTTTCCAGAATCGATTCTAAATTCCAACATCTCTTCTAAATATAATCTACATCAGATATAAGTGAGACTTGAAATACACTTTATTCCTGGGCAAAACATCTGCTCCAGTTGTGAACCTATGAAATCAGAAAAGTTATGTACACAATGATGAGACATGCATGGGAAAGACATCCCCATTCCAAAAGGGAGAAATATAAAAGAAGGAAGGGAGACAGGTCCCAATCAAGTCCAAGACCTATCAAGGCAAATTTCATTAGATGTTAAGGCACAAGACTCATCTTATTTGTCTTGATTTTCTGCCTTACAGGCCCACTGGGCTGGGAACATCTGCCTCACACCTCTGCAGGGCAGCCCTGCCTCCAAGATCCTCTGCTAAGTCTCCACCCTCTAAAACTGAGGAGGATACAGCCTTGAGCCATGTGCCTGAGGTGGGAGTGGCAGCCCTGAGGCTTTCTGAATTGCCTTAGGCACTGATTCTTCCCTTTTTTTTTGAAGAATACACACTTTCAAAATCAAATAGACTTATGGGCCTGTTACAGATTCTTCCTGTAGAACCCAACAGGCTCAACATGCTTGCTTGCTTCATTCCATTCTGCTTTCTCCCTTAGTTCAAATTGGCAATGTCTCTGCTAATATAATCCCATCTCTCTTCTTAGATTCTGCTGTTGAAATAATTGATTAAATCTATTCATGATCTCTTTTTCAAATGGTTGTTTAGCCACACCATTAGTGTCCTCTTCAAAGAAAACTTTCTCTCTTCTTATTCTTTTTTTTTTTTTTTAATTTGCAATATGGTTAGACTGAGAATTTTCCAAATCTCAGAGTTCTGGTTTATTTATGCTAACAATTTCTTCTTCGATTTATCTCTGTCTTTTCACACTTGGTATTAGCAGCAGGGAGGACAAAAGCCACTCATTCAATACTTTGCTTAGAAATCTCACCACAGGTTTTCTTTCCACAAAACACCACAACTCAATTCAGCTAAGTTCTTTGCCACTTTATAACAAAAATTGTTCTTCCTCTAGTTTCTAATAACTTGATACTTTATTTCATCTGTGATCTCACCCATATTTCTAGTATGCACTTCAACACTCTTCCAATCTCTACCCATTATCCATTTCCAACACTACTTTCACATTTTTAGGTACTTTTTACAATAGAATCCCACTGCTGGTACCAAAATTATTCTTACTCAGCTTGGGCTTCCATAATAAACTACCATATACTGGGCGACTTAAACAACAGAAATGTATTTTTTTTATCCCACAGCTCTGGAGGCTGGGAACTCCAAGATCAAGGTACCAGTCAAATCAGTTTCTACTGAAGGCTCTCTTTCTGGTTTGCAGATGGCTGTCTTCTCACTGTGTCTTCTTATGGCAGAGAGAAAGTGTCTTTTATCATAAAGACAATAATCCCATTAGGTCAGGCCCCACCCTTAGGACATCTTTAATATTAATTGCTTCCTTACTCCAAAGATAGTCAAATGGAAGATAGGACTTCAATTTATAAATGTAGAGAGGACACCATTCAGTTTATAGAATCATGATCTCTTATTTAGCTACATCTCCTTGACTTTTAATCTTTAGCTTGATATATAAGCACAATATAATAACTACTCTACCACTTGGAGCAATGAATTGCTCAATCTCACATGACACTCTGAGAAGCTTATGGTGTGAATTTCAGAACAATCTGTCTGGGGGGAAGAAAGGAGAATGCGTTAATGTATTGACTTTCTTCCCACTCTCCTTCCCATGGGTCTTCCATATGGCAGTTCCTGGAAAGTCCCTGTGAGAAGTTGAAAATGAGATGCTGCCAGGTTGTGTCCATGTAAATTGGATAGAGCATGACTGGAACTTAGCATAGCAGTAGCTCAAATAGAAGGTGAATCTGAGAGTCTTTGAACTGGTGACCAAAAAATGAGTGATTCAGGCTGTTACAAATTTAAAATGGCCACAGATCCTTTTACACCCCTCCCACTGAAAGCAAGTGGTCTATGTTCCTTCTTTTTGAATCTGGGAAATTCCATAATGGATTATGGGAGAATGGAGGCTGTGCCAAGTTTCAGGTTTAGTCTTTAAAAGATTGTCAGTTTCTAGTGGGTTCTGTTTGTTGGAATACTAGTTTTTGAAAACCAGTTATCAGGCTGTGGAAAGTTCAAGTGATGTGAAGAAACCACATGTAGACAATTTGGACATTATTTCCAGCTAAACTCCCAGCCAAAGCCCACATCAACTGCCAGGCAACTGATTGTGCTATGCTGGGACATCCAACCCAATTCCAGCTGTCATCTGATAGCAGCTACACACAAGAATCCGTGAGAATGCCCATCAGAGGCTACTCAACCCATTAGACTGTGAGAGATAAAAATAAATCATTGTCTTGTGTCACAAGATAAGGGCATAAAATTGACATGGTATAAATTATTATATTAAATACTCAACAGTAGGAGTTTATTGATAATCAAAGTGGTTTTTACTTTACTTATTAACACTTTTATACTATTATTGCAGCTTATTTTGAGAGAAATGTCAGTGTATTCTGAGCTGTCTTTTTATGTTTTGTTTATATTTGCTTTGATGCACATACATAGTGAAGTTATTAGCACAAAGATGTGTTAATTAAAGATAATTAACATATCTATTATCTCACATAGTTATCCAATCTATTGAGGACAAAGTTTTTGTCTAATTTTTAAATTCATTTTTTTATATCACTATTGCCTGTCACCAATATTGGCACAGATTAGACATTTAAGGTGAATATCTTAAAAAAGGTAAAAGTTTACGACAATGTAATAGTATTTGAGAGGAAAAACAGAAGACCAGTTAGCGAGGAGGCCGTGAAAAAATCAAACCCTGACTATCCAATCTTTGTTTATAATAAATTGGTGAATTTTTCTCCTAAGATATGAACTAATCTCTTTGTAATTTCCTGATCGTAATCAGTAGTTAAAAATCTACTCTGTGAATTACAGATTGTTCAGACAAACAATTCAATTTGCCCACATTTTCTCTAGGCATGACTAAATTAGGGGGCATTCCGACTGCAAACCAGTTTTATCCAAACTACCCATAATGTGACCATTGTTTTGCTAGTGACTTTAACAATAAGATGCATTATACAAATATTTTAAAATTTCAGTTATGCAACCCATTATTATTGCTTTCAGCTACATTTACATAACATGAGTAGGGAACTAGGATATAACCCACAAAATGACCTAGGGCATTGAGTGAATGTTAAAATCATCAATGAATGTTGTCCTCCAAACTGATTAAGATAATATTTTTGATGTTTTTAATATTTTCCTGAATAAGTTTTTAACCACTGTCCCTTTATACATATAAGCATTTCTCTATTTTGTTAAATATTTGTATTTAATTAAATATGTATTTTGTTACCATATTTTTATTTATGTTTCCAAAAGGCACATAAAAAATTATCATATTAATTACATGTAATGTTGCTTTTTAATGATTTATTCTGCTCAATGAAATGAATATCATCTTCATAATAAAGTGTTGCCTAACATTCTATTTTAGGGACTACAGAAATGGGGAACATAGCTTCCTTTTAAAATAGAAAAAAGGCCACATTTTAGAAAGTGCATTACTAGGACATTAATTATAGTCTATGAAAGTTTGTAATGCTAATTTCATAATAAAGTCTTTCTTCACTGACATTGACATTCACATTAATGATCATTCTTTTATTTACTATGATAGCGTAAGGGCACTGTAGAATCCAGTTTAAGTCACATACACATGTGCAAACACACACACACACACATACACACTCAAGAGCGTTCTCAGCAGGCATTGATTATACAAAAAGACATATGCTCTCACATCTTTCTGTGTTCCTGATCCTGGAAAGATTGATCAAAGAAGATCCTCTTCTACTTTAAAAGCCAAGGTCCTTTCCAGATTTCCTTCCGCTTTCTTTCCAGTAGTTGTCAGGGCCTTAGAAATTGTAACTCCTCTAAGCATTAATGCCCCGCACAGTAGCACCTCTGTAAGACGGCAGATGCTGCTTTGAGAGAAGGTACCCTAATGTTACGCCAGAGCCTAATATTGATAGATAAACTCTATAATTATAAAATAATTATGTGAAAGTGGAGTGTTGCTGAATTTTGCATGTTGTATTATTTAATAATGTTTTACTATCATTTTGTCATTCAAGTAAAAGTCTCATTTTTCCAGGAATATTTTGCTGCTACATTTTCACCATTGAGAAGCAAAACAAAAACAAAACAAAACAAAAAAACAGCGAAACAATGCTCATAGTTCTTAAGAAAAGAAACTTTGTAGGTTAGTATCTAGGCATAATTGAGAATTATGATCATAATGAAACAACTACTAGCCTTTCAGAAAAGGTTAAAAGCTATACATGTTTGAGAAAAATACCTTTGCTCATTATAATACCTGGTACATCATGTTATAATTAAGATTGTGTCACTCTTTCCATTATAAATCACTATTTTAAAGACTCATAAAGCAGCTGTAAAAATGAGCTCCAGGCTCAACTTGGCATGTAAAATATTAACCCAAGAGAATTTATGTTTTTTATTTTTATTTTACTTTTGTACAAAACTGTCTTTCAGGCCTTCTTAAAATAAAGCAAAATTTCAAGTAGATTTTTTCTTTCAGGTGCCTTTTTGGCACTTCATAAATCAAAACCAGTCTTGCTTGTTAAAAACCAAATCTTGCAAGCACTTGGTGAATTAGGAGAGGTAATCATTTTGAGTGCTTCAAATGACTCTTTTAAAAGTGTCTTAAATATTTTAAACATTACATGTGATCACTAAATATCTGAAGAGTTTTATAAGCCACCTACCAGGAAAATTTTTGCTTCTTTCCTTTCCAGATGGCATTAAAAACATTAATGATGCCAAAGTATAGTGTAAGACACTTTGCTATTATTGGTGTGATTCACTATTTCAGAATTTAGTTTCCATAAGACAGCTCCCTATGGCAAGCCATTCCAGCCTAATAATCCCCTTGTGTAATATTGTCTACCTGTGCCCACCAAGTGTGCACAGTGCTTCACTTGGCTGATATGCACTTGCTACATACACCCTGAAAGTTCAACCAATTGCATATCTAGAGTAGAATTTTTACAATATTCTCACCATTACAAAGAATATACTTTGTCACCAATGCATATAGACTAAATATAAATCCAGAGTTCATTTGGCTGAGCAAGACTCAACTGCAGAAGCAATTGAATAGTTAACATGTAAAAATTATACACTATATAGAGCCAATAGCTAAGACATTCTATATGTCTAGATGAGGTCCTTTTTAATATGAGTTTTTTTTTCATCTCAAGTAGAAGTCTAATCAACTCTGAAGGTGAGAAAACTGATTTTTTCAGTGGGTTCTTGTCTGCATTGATATCTATCTTTCAAACCTGAAGAGAAAATGCACAAAGTTGGCTGATATTAGATGTCAAAATCATTTTAAGTTAAATAAATTTGCTTATGGTTTAGATATTTAAACACTTGAATTTAGGTCATTATCTGTGGTCATTAACAGAATTCCTTTTGTTAAGTGAGTCTTATTGTTCAGGTCCATGGATTATCTATACTTGTTGCACTCTTCCCAAGCACAAAACGCTTTTCTAAATGTTTTCGATTATATTCTTTCATTTAATTCTCACAGCAATTGATATGGTTAGGCTTTGTGTTCACACCCAAGGCTCATCTTGAATTGTAATTCCCAGGTGTTGAGGGAGAGACCTGGTGGGAGGTGATTGGCTCATGGGGGCAGTTTCCCTCATGCTGTTCTTATGGTAGTGACAGAATTCTCACATGATCTGATGGGTTTCATTTTTTTTTTTTTTTTTTTTTTTTTTTTGAGATGGAGTCTCGCTCTATCGCCAAGGCTGGAGTACAGTGGTGTGATCTCGGCTCACTGCAAGCTCTGCCTCCCAGGTTCACGCCATTCTCCTGCCTCAGCCTGCTGAGTAGCTGGGACTACAGGCGCCCACCACTGCGTCCAGCTAATTTTTTGTATTTTTAGTAGAGATGGGGTTTTACCATGTTAGCCAGGATGGTCTCAATCTCCTGACCTTGTGATCCGCCCGCCTCGGCCTCCCAAAGTGCTGGCATTTATAAGGGGCACTTTCCTCTTCACTTGTTTCACACACTCCCTCCTGCTGCCTTGTGAAGAAAGTGCCTACTTCCCCCTCACCTTCCACCATGATGGTAAGTTTCCTGAGGCCTCCTAGCCATGCTTCCTGTTAAGCCTGCAGAACTGTGAGTGAATTAAACCTCCTTTGTAAGATACCCAGTCTCAGGTAGTATCTTTATAGCAGTGTGAGAACAGACTAATACAGTAAATTGGTACCAGGAGTGGGGTACTGCTATAAAGATATCTGAAAACATGGTAGCAACTTTGCAATTGGGTAACAGGAAGAGGTTGGAACAGTTTGAAGGGATCAGAAGAAGACAGGAAGATGTGGGAAACTTTGGAACTTCCTAGAGACTCGTTGAATGGTTTTGACCAAAGTGCTGACAGTGATATGGACGATGAAGTTCAGGCTGAGGTGGTCTCAGATGGAGATGAGGAACTCACTGGGAACTGGAGCAAAGGTCACTCTTGCTATGCTTTAGCAAAGAAACTGGCAGCATTTTGCCTCTGTTCAAGAGATCTATGGAACTTTGAACTTGAGAGAGATGATTTGAGACTTGAACTTGTATTTAAAGGGAAGCAGAGCCTAAAAGTTCAGAATATTTGCAGCCTGACAATGCAATAGAAAAAAAGAAAAAGCGTCATTTTCTGAGGGGAATTTCAAGCCAGCTGCAGAGATTTGCAAAAGTAATGAGGACCCAAATGTTAATTGACTAGACAATGGGGAAAATGCCTCCAGGGAATGTCAGAGATCTTGGCAGCAGCCTTTCATCACAGGCCCAGAGGCCTAGGAGGAAAAAATAGTTTCATAAGCTGGGCCCAGGGCACTCCCTACTCTGCGCAACCTCAAGACTTGGTACCCTATAGCCTAGCCATGGATTAAAGGGGCCAACACACTACAGGCACTATTCTAGTATCATTATTCTCTGCATCAAGCATCTGGAAACCCTCCTGCATAGTCGATGGCTTGAGCACAAGAATTTTCAGGAAGTTGCTGCAGGAATGCTGCAGCAACATGTCTCACCAGAGTTTGTTACACTGTTGGTACAAGATTCAGGGGCATCCTTTATATATTTTAACTAAAACACATTGCTTGAAAACTCTTCTAAAACCATCAATAAGAACTATTTAAATTTTCTACCTGTCCATCAGTAAAGTATTAATGTGGATATGATGGCTGAGGCTTCATGCGTCTCGGGTTTCTGATATAATACTAATTGATGGTCTTTAGATCTAAATTCCTGAGTAGACAACTGATTACTCTAGCATTTCAATTTAAATTAATAAGCACAGATAAAATCCCTGTGTCCACGCCAATGTATTTACAATTGAAGACCTCACAACCAATTAGTATTTGAGGTGGAATCCCAAATTACTTAGCTTAGGAATTTTATGCTGAAGGCCATGGAGAGCTATGAAAGAGCTTTGCTAAAGTTGTCACATAATCAGAGTTTCCCCTTAAAAAGATCACTCAGGTTGCATGAAGGCAACATGCAGGAAGATTGCAAGAATAGATGATAGGAAACTACTATCATCAGAAAGCAGCCCAGGCAAAAGATGGACATGGATAAGTCCATTAAAAGAGATGTGTTCTACGCCTCATCCCACTATAGTTTACTTTTAACACTTTCTAGTGCCAGTCATATAGATAAAAATGATTAAACAGTATTTGGGTCTTCAGAAGAAATCAGAATTTTTTAAAGGCAAAAATACTCTACCTATTTTAGATATATTTCACTAAAGTACACACAAAAATAAATTATGCAGAAATAATTTAAAGTTAGAGTAAACAACTTGTGGCTCTTTAAGAAACTGTGACTCAGTGGTAACAGAGAGAAATAGACAATAAGTATAAAATCATTAATTAGGCCATAGAGCTAGAAGGGAACCTTAGGGCCAGTCTATACCTTCATGTTTTATTAAATTCTAAGTGCTCAGCCCACTATTATTTTCAGTAATAGAAAGTTTGGATTTTGATTATTTGTTTACTGTGTAACTCCTAGGACTCATTAAAAAATCTCAGAAACTTTATCATGTTTGAAGTAAATAAAAGTGTATTTTCAATGACTTTATTAAACTTAGGTATCTAATTTCCATTTTCTACCAAAAAATACAGACATACGAAAATGAGGGGTACAACTTCATGCCACGCGTTACCAGCTTAAAAGCACTTGGAAAGACTTGCTTTACTTATACTGTCTTTATCATGGAACAAAAACAAATGAGTCAGTTATGTCCCTATCAACACACTATAAATCTTTGATGTCTATACAATGCCACATTAAAGTACAAGAAGCTCTACTGTCAGTGTCTAACTACCAAATAAACTTGACAGTCAGGAAATACAGAAAGCAAACTTGGGAAATACAACACAGTCAATCTGTATCTGGGATGATACAGTGTTTTCATTTGGTAAAAGATAACATATGGCTCATGCAGTCTTTGAGGGTGATGTCACTGTGTATATACCCTGCCAACATCTCTAATGTTATAAACTTAGGGGCCAAGTAATTGTACTAGAGAAGTAAGGCAAATAAATATGTTGGGTTAACCAAAGGGAATGAAACATAGGTTTAGATTTTCCTAGTTATGAGTTAACATGCTTCTCCAGAAGATAAGGTAGAAAAAAATATCTGGGTTTAGAGTATTGAGTCCAAGACACTGAGAACACACAAGGCTCATAATAGTACAGACGTGAAGGAAGAGAAGCAATGAGTTATCACAGTCAGTAAAATTTATATGCAGCCAAATACAGAACCTGATGTGTTTTCCTCCTTTCTAGGAGGACAGATTACAGCCCTGGCAATGTAGTCATCTATACAAGAAAGAATAGATGCAATTAATTCTGTATGTTCACAATAAGCATGAGAACACATAGATTTAAACCTATAAATAATTCAAATTGTAATTTGTTTTAGCAAGAATATGTAACATTTGGGCAACCAAAGCTAATCAGACAGAGACCGACGTTGCCCATACCTGGCGCAATTCCTCCATAACTGTCATTTTGGTTTTATTTTTTCCACTCCATTTTAAGGATTTCCTTGTAAATTAAATTTTGATATTGCTTTAAAATATTAAAGAAGGAAGACAGTGAGTTAGATTAACCATCTTGTATGCTTCAACTTCTTGACCACCTGGAAGTGATTCTGGGATACATATTTCCCCGAAGGCTCAGTCTAAAATACAAACTCAAACATTATCTACACAGAAAACATATATTCGTTAATGAGAAGGATAGAGAACTCTTCTAATTTTCATTTCTGCTACTCAGAGACAGTTCAAACTTGATTAACCATGAGGCAATATAATACTGTGCTTGAAGCAAAGCTGTGTTTAAATCCCAGCTCTGTTTTTATTGGCTGTTTCAGCTTGGACAAGTTAATGTCCCCATCTTTAAAATATGAGGAATAGTAGTCCTTACTTTATAGAGATGGTTAAGGATTAAGTGAACTATTATTTAAAAGGTTTCAAATAGTGTTTGGCTCCTAGTAAGTACTATGTAAGTATTTATTTTAATTTTAAAAATTGAGAGCATTTCCTCTCAGAGAGCTATTATGTATTGTGATGATTAATTTTGTGTGTCAACTTAGCTAGACTATTTTGCCCAGTTTTTTGATCAAGTACCATTGTAGATGTTGTTGTGAAGGCACTTTTAAAGATGTGATTAGTTCTAGATCCTTGAGGAATTGCCACACTGTCTTCCACAATGAACTAATTTACACTCCCAATAACAGTGTAAAAGCATTCCTATTTCTCCAAATCGTCTCCAGCATCTGTTGTTTCCTGACTTTTTAATGATCGCCATTCTAACTGGCATGAGATGGTATCTCATTGCGGTTTTCATTTGCATTTCTCTGATGGCCAGTGATGATGAGCATTTTTTCACGTGTCTCTTGGCTGCATAAATGTCGCCTTTTGAGAAGTGTCTGTTCATATCCTTTGCCCACTTTTTGATGGAGTTGTTTGTTTTTTTCTTGTAAATTTGTTTAAGTTCTTTGTAGATTCTGGATATTAGCCTTTTGTCAGATGGGTAGATTGTAAAAATTTTCTCCCATTCTGTAGGTTGCCTGTTCACTCTGAAGGTAGTTTCTTTTGCGTGCAGAAGCTCTTTAGTTTAATTAGACCCCATTTGTCTATTTTGGCTTTTGTTGCCATTGCTTTTGGTGTTTTAGTCATGAAGTCTTTGTCCATACCTATGTCCTGAATGGTATTGCCTAGGTTTTCTTCTTGGGTTTTTATGGTTCTAGGTCTTACATTTAAGTTTTTAATCCATCTTGAGTTAATTTTTGTATACAGTGTAAGGAAGGGATCCAGGTCTAGCTTTCTACAAATGGCTAGAAAGTTTTCCCAGCACCATTTATTAAATAGGGAATCCTTTCCCCATTGCTTTTTTTTGTCAGGTTTGTCAAAGATCAGATGGTTGTAGATGTGTAGTGTTATTTCTGAGGCCTCTGTTCTGTTCCATTGGTCTACATATCTGTTTTGGTACCAGTACCATGCTGTTTTGGTTATTGTAGCCTTGTAGTATAGTTTGAAGTCAGGCAGCATGATGCCTCCAACTTCGTTCTTTTTGCTTAGGCTTGTCTTGGCTATGCAGGCTCTTTCTTGGTTCCATATGAACTTTATAGCAGTTTTTTCCAATTCTGTGAAGAAAGTCATTGGTAGCTTGATGGGGATGGCATTGAATCTATAAATTACCTTGGGCAGTATGGCCATTTTCATGATATTGATTCTTCCTATCCATGAGCATGGAATGTTCTTCCATTTGTTTGTGTCCTCTTTTATTTTGTTGAACAGTGGTTTGTAGTTTTCCTTGAAAAGGTGCTTCGCATTCCTTGTAAGTTGGATTCCTAGATATTTTATTCTCTTTGTAGCAATTGTGAATGGGAGCTAACTCATGATTTGGCTCTCTGTTTATCTGTTATTGGTGTATAGGAATGCTTGTGATTTTTGCTAGAAATACCATTTGACCAAGTGATCCCACTACTCAGTGTATACCCAAGGGTTTATAAATCATGCCACTATAAAGACACATGCACACGTATGTTTTTTGTGGCACCATTCACAATAGCAAAGACTTGGAACCAACCCAAATGTCCATCAATGATAGACTGGATTAAGAAAATATAGCACATATACACCATGGAATACTATGCAGCCATAAAAAAGGATGAGTTCATGTCCTTTGCAGGGACATGAATGAAGCTGGAAACCATCATTTTCAGCAAACTATTGCAGGGACAGAAGGCCAAACACTGCATGTTTGCACTCATAGGTGGGAATTGAACAATGAGAACACATGAACACAGGGCAGGGAGCATCACACACTGGGGCCTTTCGGGGAGTGGGGGGCTGCAGGAGGGATAGCATTAGGAAAAATACCTAATGTAAATGATGAGTTGATGGGTGCAGCAAGCCAACATGGCATATGTATACCTATGTAACAAACCTGCACATTGTGCACATGTACCCTAGAACTTAAAGTAAAATTATATATATATATATATATATATATATATATATATATATATATATATATATATATGATGTGATTAATATTTAAATTAGTAGACTTTGAGTAAGTAATATTATTCTCCAGGCCTGGTGCAGTGGCTCATGCCTGTAAAGCCAGCACTTTGGGAGGGCAAGGCGGGTGGATCAAGAGGTCAAGAGATTGTCCAACATGGTGAAACCCTGTCTCTACTAAAAATACAAAAATTAGCTGGGTGTGGTGGTGCGTGCCTGTAGTCCCAGCTACTTGGGAGGCTGAGGCAGGAGAATCACTTGAACCTAGGAGGTGGGGATTGCAGTGAGCCAAGACTGCACCACTGCACTCCAGCCTGGGTGACAGAGTGAGACTCCATCTCAAATAATAATAATAATAATAATATCTTCCAAGATGTGGATGGGCATCATCCAATCAGCTGAAAGCCTTTAGAGCAAAGACAGGTCTCTGAAGAAGTAATTTTGCCTAAGGACTGCATTTCCAGCAGGCTTGCTCTTTCTTGTGGAATTTGGACTCAAAACTGCATTATTAACTCTTACCTGAATTTCTAGTCTGCTGACTTATCCTATTAAAATCTCTATCTCTGTCTCTCTCTCTCTCTCTCTCTATGTGTATATATATATAGACTTATAGATATCTATATATACACACACTATATATACGTTCTATATGTACAAGATAATATACTACATATAATATACAAGATAATATATTATATATATAATTATCTCTCCATATATCTCTCCATATATCTCTCCATATATTATATATATAATTATCTCTCCAGATATATCTCTGTATATATCTCCATATATGATATCATATATATGATATCATATATCATAATATATATGATAATATACATATTATCATTTTTCAATTGATCTAATTTACTCACTCAAGAATTCTTTGAGGGCCTACTATGTATTAGAGAAACCATTCTCTATGCTGAGGAGTCAAGATTGAGGAAGTTTCCATCATAGATCTTTCATTTCTAATAAATAAGGAATAAATTAAAGAAAATACTTGATACTTACAAGAGCTATGAATAAAATAAACTAATGATATAATAACACCGCAGTGTGGCTACACATGACTTCAAAATACACTTGTTGGGAATTTGCCACTGCCTGTGGCAAGTTCCCTTTCTACTTCACTTGTAATTCTATTACAGTATTTATCACCTGTGGGGCATATATACGCATATATGCCCATGTACACCTGTGAATTCCTTAAGAGCAGAAACTCATTTAAATGCATATTTCTGGTACTAGCATATTGTCCTCTATATGTAATACATGTGTACTAAATATTTATTAAATATATATTTATTTAATAGATAAATTACTGCATCCTCCCATTCTGTCAATTTCTGGGAAACTCCGAAATTAACCCCTCATCTTTAAAAAGCTACCTTTATAATTTTTGAAAGGATATGCACAAGTATAAATATGTGTGTATATGAATTCAATACATGCACAGAGTTTCAAAAATCAAATCATACAGAATGGCTCAAAGGCAAATTATTAGTTTTCTTAGTTGCTTTTCTTAAAGCTTATCCTTGTTCTTCAAAACCATTCGTATTTAAATGCTTTGGTTTATAGTGGCTAAATAATATGTTGATATTACTTGTGTATGATTTATCAGGTTTGGCTTCTCATCTTATTCTATTCACATATAAATATTTACATTATTATTTTGGATATTTAAAACCATCTTTGAAAGTTGATATTATATTTAAATATTTTCCATCAACTATAGACAGAATCTAGAGGAATAGATTTTTAAGAGGAGAATAGCAGCTCCCCTAATTTTGCTTTCACTTCTTCACACACTTTCATCCCAACTTCTGTCAAGTAGAAATTTCATTGTCAAGTTTGATAACATTTACATTGTCTTTGATAAATGTACTTAAATCTTCCATTCCTCTCTACAAGAGGATTGCCAGAATTAAAAGATAATGATCTTCAGCATTACATAATAGCACAAAATGCAAGTAAAAAAGAAACAAAAACTTTAAGAAGAAAAAGGCTAATAAAACAGTTGTGATACAAAAATTAAAGAACTAGTCAATTTGTTAAGGAAGCCAGTGAGTCCAATAAAAAGGGTAAGATAGAATAATAGAAGATGCTAAGAACTGACATTAAGGTGGATATTAAGAAGGAATGATATTAAAAATATCGTCAAAACAGCGTATGTTCTTTCTCTTAATAAAAAAAATCGATCAATCAATCAATTAGAAATCCAGGAAGTATCAAAAATATATAACATATTACAAAAGCCCAGGTATGAAGTTAATTATACAGTCGGGTGATTGTCATGAGCAACTTGTGAATTGTAACGAGGGACAAAGAATCAATTTCAACATCGCCCTTTAAACGGCAAAGGCACTGTTAAATTTGAACCATAGGGAAGAAAATGTGCTTGTTGTCTCAGTACTTGTTCTATGGGGCATGTTTATGACATTACAGTAAGAGAGGAGTTCTTGGTCTTTTTCCCTCTAATGCAAAACTAACATCCCGCTAAATGCATTTTTTTTAAATGTAGTAGTGATACATTTGAAATATCTAATTAGTTAATGTCTTTTATTTAAACTGGATGGAACTATATTCCTAATCACTTTGCTATCTTAAGCATATAGATGTATAAATTGTAATTTAAAAGTTCGTGCTGATATAAAAGAGGACAAATCGAAATCATTTGGAAAAATTTCTTCAAATAGTTTTTATACCAATGACTCTGCTTAGTTTAAGCCAATTAGAGAATAAATGGGATTGAATTAACAGGCAGAATATTTTTGACTTTATCATCAGCAAATTCAGATATCATTTAAATCAGGTCAGTGACAAAATTAATTTCATACGCATTCTCTCTGCTTTTCAGTATCAAATTTAATTGATATTTTTTCTTATTTTCACTCCAAATACTTCCACCCTTCTGAAACTCCCACTCCCTGTCCACACCAATCCTGAACACATTACCATGATAGTAATGTCTTTACGTAAGTAACTTGATCTCCTCCCCCTAGAATATTATTCCCTAAATTTTCACAAGACTGACATATTGTGATTAAGATTTTGGTTTAAATGTCACCTCCTCAAGGAAATATTTTGTATTTTTTCAAATTAAACTTTAACGTGAGAATACTCTCAAGTACCTTCCAAAGAAAATAAATAGGTGACAAATTTCATAATCTGAACTATTCTTGTTCTATCCCACAGTTGATTGATGGTTTATGGAATTCTTGACTGAAAATAATTTACTCTTACAAATCTGAAGAAATTGCTCAGTGGAATTCTAGCATCCGGTTGGATGATAAGAAATTTTCTAGTAATCGGTTTCTCGTTTCTTTGTAACTGACTTGTTTTGCTTTCTCTCCAGGAAATGTTTAGGATTTTTGTTTTCAGCTTAACTGTTCATTGATTCTGAGATTAAATATCTAGAATATTTGTACTGGAAGGTTTTCTGGTGGGGTAGGAAATTTTCTTACATTATTTAAAAATATTTTCTTTTTTTCTGTTCTTTTTTTTTCTATGATCTCTTGTTAGATCTTCTGTTAACTAACAGAAGTAGATTTCTAGAACTCCCAGAAGTTAATCTTTATACGTATCTTATTAGTTGACATTTGAAAAACTATGGTTTAACAATCTAGAATGGCTAACTGATATTTCTAAAACTTTTTAGTTAGATTAGTGTTTCTAGAACTCCTACTTATTGAAATGATAATTTCTGTTTTTGTTTTTCTTTTTTATGTCTTACTACTTTATCTCTCTGTTCTAAATTCTGAGATATTTCCATGTCTTTATTTCCAGTGCCCTCAGCTTGATTTTTGTTTAAGCAATAATATGGTTTGGCTGTGTCCCCATCTCATCTTGAATTGTAGCTCCCCTAATTCCCATGTGTCATGGGAGGGACCCTGGTGGGAGGTAATGAGGTAATTGAATCATGGTGGATGGTTTTTGCCGGGCTGTTCTGGTGATAGTGAGTAAGTCTCATGAGATCTGCCAGTTGATAAAGGGGAGTTCCTCTGCACATGCTCTCTCTTGCCAGCTGCCGTGTAAGACCTGGCTTGCTTCCCCTTTGCTTTCTGCCATGATTGTGAGGCCTCCCCAGCCATGTGGAACAGTGAGTCAATTAAACCTTTTCTTTATAAATTACTCAGTTTGGGGTATGTCTTTATTAGCAGCACGAGAACAAACTAATACAAGCCGTCATTTTTTTTTATGTTTGACTTCCTTCTTACTCTCTTATAGTTTGCTTTTCATATTACTCTGGTCTTATGTTTTGTCTTAAACATAGTGGGTTTAACTCATGTTTACTCAGAACCTCTACATGCAAATTTATTTGGAAATATGATCTTTACAGATGTAGTTAAGATGAAGTCACATTGGATTAGGATGGACTGTAAATCCAATGACTAGTGTTTCTATGAGGTGAAATGACACACAGATACAGACCGAGACAACATGTGAGGATACAGCAGAAATTAGCATTATGCAGCCAGAGGCCAAGAGCACCAAGGATTGCAAGGAGCAACTAGAAGCCAACAAGAGTCAAGAACAGGTTCTTCCCTACGGCTTTCATGGGGATCATAACCTTGCTGACACCTTGAATTTGAACTTTAGTCTCCTAAACTGTAATTGAATAAGCTTCTGTTTTAAGCCACTCAGTTTGTGATAATATATGATGGGAGCACTAGTAAACTAATACACTAAGTTTCTATTCAATACTATATAGAGGTTTGTTTTTATTTTAGTTATTTTCTATTGTCTTAATAATTGTTCTTTCCACATTATTTTGTTAGCTTTTTGTTGTCCTTGAAGAGAGGCTATCAAAAGCATCTAAAATTCTTTTTATTAAGTGTTCAGATTTAAGAAAAAAGTAGTGTAAAGGCTAAGTAGGGTTCTGAGTAGATAGGGGAAACCTGTCACCTGTTAAATTTTAAATGGTTATGACAGATGCCGCATGATAGTTGGCTTTGTTCTGTGGCACTGACATCAACAATATTTGTCCTTCTGTTTCTCAGGGATTTTATCTACTTTCTTTGGAAAGAAAACCTCCAGTACTTCCTGTCAATAGCATCATTTTCCCAAACACTGTACTTCAGAATCATGGGCTCTTCTTTGAACCCTCCTGTCCATTTATTCTCCGTACCCAAATCTTCTTAACTTTTCCTTTAAATTCTCTCCCACCACTGTCAATGCATTTAATTTCCTGATGTTTTCAGTGAACTTTTAAGCCTTTGTTATTTGATGCCTGAACGTTATCAGGAAAATTTTATCTTCTTTTTCCTCCAAACCCCCTTTCATTTTATATGCCACTACCAAATTCATCTTAAAACACTTCCTTTTTAAATCACTTATTCTTTCCAAAACCTCAGGAGCTTTCCTTAACCTTAGACTAAGCCCTGTGCTTTGGGATCCCCAGGGTTTTCTAACCTCCTTGATCTGATCTTCAATGGTCTCTTAATCTTAGCATCCCCTAGTAGAGCTTGGATACTGGCTCCAATAATCTTACCATCCCCAGGTAGAGCTACTGGCTCCAATAAACTGATCTACTCACTTAAGTCCCCAAATGCTTCTATCTCACTTCCTTTTACCCATTTGTTTGTTTGTGTTAACTAACCAAGAGTACTTTTTCCTCTTTTTGGCAACCCACAATTCTAAAACCCTTCAGTGCCTCATCTATAAAAATATACCTACACACTTCATTCCACATGAATCCTTATGAAATATTTTAGTCAATGATGAACGAATGATCATCTATCATATCATTCATCATGGACCAAGGTGTGTCACAGTATTATCTTTTCATGTTGATTCATAATCTGAGAAGATCCTACTCTGCATTTATTTTACACATTTGACGCAAAGGCCTGAATACTTGATTCCTTAAATACATCTATAAAATTTTAAGGATAGAAAGTAACAATATAATAAGCCATTATTCAGTGTATTTGATTTTAAGATGAAGGCTTAAAGTAACCTTATTTATGTGTGTTTAATTAACTGAACGGTGAAAAGTTCTAATATGGATGTTCAACATTACACTTGGTAGAGTTACCATAAAGATGTGACTAAAGAGGCACAAGATGTCTCCTTAAAAAAAATAGATTATGAGTGTGGGTATAGTAGAAACATAAGAAAAATACTCAGTTTCTACCTCCCTTGCTAGAAGATCATATCTCTCATTACACAAATTTTAAACACCAGATACTTTCCCAGCCTGTTTTATTAGTAAGCCAGGGGCTGTGACTCAGACAGTATCTCCATTCTGTTAATATGCTTAGATTCAAATACACGGAATTATTCTTAGTTTATCTTTTTCTCTAACACCTCACATTAAGTCCATCAGTACATCCTGCTTCCTCTGCTTTCACAATAGTTCCAGAATCTAATAGTGGGCACCCACTTCCATTCTGCCACCATAGCACCTCAATGGTGTTAATCCAAAAGAGCCCCTATTTGATTTTTCTGCTTCCATGAATATCTCTCCAAGCTCCCATTCCCTTCCCAAAGTCCATACGCCACAGAGGAGCAGGAGTGAATCTTTGAAAATGTTGGTCAGATCATATCAATGCCATTTCCAAAACTCAACATCAATTTCACATTTCACTCAGATCAAAAGTTGGATTATTTACTACAGGCTGAGAGCTCTACACAAGCTAATTTCCTGATGCCTCTCTGATACCATTTTCTAACTTCTTCCTCCAGAAAATTTTCTTCCTTCTGTGTGCATCCTTGCTGGGCCCCAGGACTTTCAAAAGAAGAACATTCTTTAAGTATCTGTACATCTCATTCCTTTACTTCTTCATTCATATCTAAATTCAAATATGATTGTACCAAAAAAGGCTTCCTTTTTTTTTTTTTTTTTTTTTTTTGGCTGGAGTGCAGTGACATGATCCTGGCTCACTGCAACCTCTATCTACCTCTTGGGTTCAAGCGATTCTCCTACTTCAGCCTCCCGAGTAGCTGGTATTACAGGCCTGTGCCACTGTGCCTGGCTAATTATTGTATTTTAAGTAGAGATGGGGTTTTGCCATGTTGGCCAGGCTGGCCTTGAACTCCTGACCTCAAGTGATCCATCTGCCTCAGCCTCCCAAAGTGCTGGGATTACAGGCATGAGCCACCACGCCCGACCCAAAGAAAGCTTCTTTGACCATCTTATCTGAAACAAAATGTCTCTTGTTTTACTCTGCCATTAACTTGCTTTTAAATCTTATCACTTATCACAGCCTGCCATATGTTTATATTATTGTTTTGCTGATTAGTGTTTGTCCTTCCTAAGTAGAATATAAATATAAAAGCAGGGAGATTTTCTGTTTTGTTCACTACTGGATTACTAGTGCTTATAGCACTACCTGGTACATAGCAATGACTAAAGAAATGTGTGTTAAATAAGCAATTAAATTAATTAATCCTGACCAACAGAACTGCTTGGGAGATCTGAGAACTGGGATTCCATGATAAAAATCAAGAAATATGCAAGCGTCCATTTCCTTCCTACTTTTGATGATGTTTTTTGAGGATGTGATGTTGGAAACTCTGTAGCCTTCTTGGAACCATAAGCAGAGGCATCAGTAACACTCTATGGAAGGGAGAGTAGAATGCTCCAGAAAGCCAGGACATTTGGTGTTGTGTAGCTAACCAATTCTAACTTTGTTTCTTGATTAGTCAACAAAAAGTGTTTATGCCCTGTTTATTTCTCTATGATGTAACCTGTAGCCCAAATCATTCTGGACATGAGTAAAGCAAGCTTGATCCTGATGTCTACTCAAATAATATGGCAAACAATCTTAATGAGAGCCAAAAGGAGTGAGAAATTGGATGTTTGTGAACACAAGGAATGGGAATCATGAGAGAGGTTGCTAAAATTTGGGCAGTGAGAGACAGAATAGCATGAATAGGGGCACAGAAGCTCAGCCTGGTAAAGTAAGATCTGTGAGTATCTGGGTTCTAAGCTTGTTCTGTCTCTCACTAGTTTTATGGTTAACTAATTTAACCTATTGGGGCCTCAGATTCTTGCAAAATGGGAACAATAATAGTACTTAGAATGTTGCTGGGAAGATTATCTGTGACGATGAGTGCATGACACTTGTCTACACTGCTTGTTTTTGAGATTATTATTACGGTTTAGGATCTAAAATGCCAACATGGAGTGGAGTGTGGGGGGTATGCACTTAATTTGAGAGGCAAGTAGGAGACATTTTATTTTTATTATGTTAACTGAGAGCATTTTGCAAAAGTAGCAAAGAACCAGAGCTAATAGACTTCTTTCCTCCTTCCCTTACAAGGGAAGCCAAGTAACGATATATTGAATATAATTTTGTTCAACAAATATTTGAAACCATAGTTGGTTTTCTTTGTTTTGAGCAGTTAATTTTCTGTACCAAAGAGGTTTGAGAGGAAAGGATGAGAGTTCTCTTCCTTTTACAGCCAAAGTAAGTAATTCCTTATACTTTATCTAATGCCCAAAATGCCAGAAGCTTACAGGATAAGGGTAATTATTAAAATGAATACACTTCATTTTGCTTATAAACGTAGTTTGTGTTTCTCATTATTGCACCCGATCTATAACCACATTTACAGTAAAACTAAATGATCTGTATAATGCTGAATATGTAAATAAGTATATAATCTGTTGAAAATATCTAAAAACATTTTACAGACATTTATACTCTGTATTCTGGACTGATAATTCTTAATCATATTTAGTGTCTTTAATGTTAAATACTGCCAATGTTAAATGGCAGTTAAAATAGCAACCATGCTCATTTCTTCCAAATTTCTTTGCTGTGGACACTTTCAGGCTGTAGCTGAACTGTACAGAAAGATTTTTCTGGATCAAATCATCAGGAAGTTCAGTAACTTTTTTGAACTTGGAAAAGTTAAGGTTGATATGTGAACATATTTGTTCACAGTTGTTACATTCCATGTGAAAATAGCCAGTTCCAAGGGAATCATCTGCCTTTTGGCACCTCTTTCTACAAGAAACAAAATTGAGTGCAATTCTTTATTATCTCCAATTTGCTTTAACGAAGTCATTGGAAATTTAGGAAGTAGGGAGTGATACATTTCCTAAGAAATTTACTTATGATTCTTTGAACAACTTATAATACAATATGTTTAATGATAAAAGGAGACTATAGAGTCCAAACTTTCCTCTGCCTTTCATATTGTAAAAGTTTAGACCTACTGAATATATATTTATTTCTCTCTCTTTTTTTTTTTTTTTTTTTTGAGACGGAGGTTCACTCTTGCTGCCCAGGCTGGAGTGCAGTAGCACTATTTCTCTTTTCTACAGTCAACTTGACGAAAGTCGGACTTTTTCTGTAGTTTTTCTAATTAAATTGATGTGGTTTACCTATAGAAAGGTAATTTCGAAATAATTCAAAAAATATATCAGCATCCTTTATAAATGCAAAGAGCAATCACAGAAAATTTTCATAACATCCGATAAGATCTGGCTCTCCTTTTTAATTTGTAAATAACTAGAGGATGAAGCCCCTTTCACAGGCCACTTTCATGAAGCGGTGTTGTTTTCAGCAGGTTATCGTTTAATCATTAACTGAAGAGACAGATCTGGGACTAAAATATAGTTCAATTCCATATGGTGTCTGCATTCCTTGGGCATGACGCAAACATGTTCATTGAGGAAGTTAACAGTCACTACAAAGCCGGCCAAGCTGTCGTAGTGTAAAAATTTGGAGATTATTTGCAGTATAATTTTTACTAAAGAAAAAGAAATGAGAAAAGAGCAGAGTCATTCATGTAATAATAATACTGGAAAATGTTTTCACTGAAAATATTTTAAAATTCTAAAGAATAATTACTGAAATCCCTCCTTGATTAACAAAACTTTGTCTGCTGTGCTCACTTTCTTGACCTTATTTAACTTAAACTTCCACTCAGGTGCATTTTCTGCAGAGGATCTCAGAGTGGACGCACATCCTTTAAAGAGCCTGTAAGATTCCATAAAAGAATATTTTTCTCCAAATTCACCCAGATTCATCCAGCTCCCTATTTCCAAGATTCTCATGCATCTCACTCTTAAAAATTATTGGCTTAATAGATCTTTTAAACTGATGGAAAGGCAGTGTGTTTTGTTCTTTAAATGTTTTAAGGTATAAAAATGTTGACTACTATTAATCTTATGCCAGATTATTCTGATACAATTACAATTCATGTGTCTACTTCATATTTATTATTGACTTTCTTCCTCCAGCTTGTAGTCCAGGTCTAATTGCAAATTTCTCATCATATTTAATTAATTAATTAATTTTGACACAGAATATCTTTCTGCTACCCAGGCTGGAGTGCAGTGGTGTGATCTTGGCTCACTGCAACCTCTGCCTCCCGGGCTCAAGTGATCCTCCCACCTCAGCCTCCTGAGTAGCTGGGGCTACAGGCATACACCACCATGCATGGCTAATTTTTATTTCTGTTTATTTGTAAAGAAGGGATTTCGCCATGTTGCCCAGGCTGGTCTCAAGCTCCTGGGTTCAAGCGATCTGCCTGCCTCAGCCTCCCGAAGTGTTGAGATTACAGGCATGAACCACTGCTTTTGGCCTCATTATATTTTAAATAAATGCATAGGTTTTCATTTTTCCTCAACATAATTAACTTCAATACTACCATTGCCTCTGTTTTATCTATTTTCTCTCACATTCCTGTAGGGAGTCATAGGGAGTCATTACTTCAACAGAGTAGACTGTGATAGCATTTTAAAAAGTAAAATAAAATTAAATAGAATTGAAAAAATCAGAATACAAGGCACATGTTAACAGTATTATTATTACTTTGTGAGGGGTGTGTGTGTGTGTGTGTGTGTGTGTTTATGTGAATGTTGTGGAGCATGTGGTATTTACATGTCTACTGGGTCAGGATGTAAAATAAATTTCTTACAGTGGATCCTTTTCACATCTAAAAGATGTGAAAGCCACTACTTTAGTATAAATTACACTAACTTACTGATTTTACATTTCTATTTTTTGTGTGAATAACTGAGTTGTTTTTATAATTTTAGCTATTCCTATCACAGAAATTATGCATATATCTCTGTCCTTTTCATAAATAGTTAACTTATGACCTCATCAAGAGCCTTCTAACTATCTCACAGCTGACATGGATTGAAGTGAACATCTACCTTCTCACTGCAATACTTCCCCATTATCTACCTGATGTATTTTTGTTACCATTCTGAGTTTTTCCAAATCAAGAATGTTTAATATTTACATTATTTATCCTTTTGTTATCAATTATCTCTTCTTCAGTAAAACACTATATTACTTCAGGCATGTTCTCTATTATGCCTGAATTTATGAGTTTCTATCTTTTAGGGCTACATAATCTGTGTGTTCTTTGAATGTTTTAAAGCACAGAATGGACGTGTAGTAGACTGATCAGGAACACGCATACTTCCCAAGTGTAACTAAACTTGTATCTTATCCAGACCACTTAACAGCTATATGAACTATAGAAAGATAATCAACTTTTTTGTACCTCATTTTTCTCTGCAAAATGGGCCAGTATCAGTAAACTTTATGAGTATAAAGAACAAATGAGTTAATCTATGTAGAGCAATTAGTGTAGGGCCTGGTAAATGGTAATAACTTACTAGATTTTAAGAATTATTAGAATTTTTTGTGACAATACTTTTCCCTTGAGGGAGTCATCCAAAGTATATTTGTAGTAATAAAGGAATGCATTATGACGGCCTATTTAGTTTGCCCATTTTAAACATTTGCCAACAAAACATCTGGAGATGAGCTGGAATCTCAATAAAAGAAGTTGGAGGATAGCAGACAGTAGAAAAAAAATCCACTCTTATGTACAAACAGAGAATCATCCAGCAAGAAAAAAGCCATCACGATTATTAAAAGCAAAATAAACCAATAATTTTAGCCTGAGAATTAAAGGAAAGAAATGAGAAAGGAAGGAAGAAAGGGAGGAAAGAAGGAAGGGAAGAAGCCAGGCAGGCAATCGGTAAGTCAAGAATATTGAGAGCACTGCTGTGTTCTTGAATTGGAAGATTTAATATAAAAAAACACTGTCCAAAATAGACTTAATATAATTCAAAATTAAATTCAGACTTTTAAAATATGAAGCTCATATGAAATAATTAAAAAGTGAATAAGTTGATAATTTTTTTAAGTAAGAGTGAAACTTAATAGTTGTTATGCTATGGTTTTGTATAATAAATGTTATTTGAATGGCAAAATTAAATATGAAAGCATATTTTAAAGTTACAACAATGAAAACTGTGTCACTGAATCATAGACTGATCATTGAAACAGAGTAAATAGCCGTTAAATTGATTCTTGCTTACATAAAAACTTCAAATAAGAAGAATTTTTTATTAGCAAATGATGCAGTAAAATTGATCAGGTAGGCGAGAATGTTAGAGTTTTCCTCTGTAGCAAGTAAATTGTAAGAATAACAATTCAAAATAAAATAGCAAGGAATTGTTTGGATTAAAAGCAAATGTTGGTTAGTATTTATCTGAGGTAAGGACATCTTTATGTATCTAAAGTTCATTCCGACAGATGAAAAGAGGTACCTGTCTGATCTGAATAGCCAGAACACCAGGACGGGAGCATAACAGGGAGGTAGATTGCTTTCCTGGTGATCTGAAGGAGAGCTAGGCATCTCCCTCCCTTCCCCCTGAAAAAACCTCAGTGCATTACACTGAAAGCTTCCCCAGCCACCTCTGTCAAAGCTGGGACTTCTGCCCATCATTGAGGTGTTACATATACCCACTGGCGTTAGCCGCAGCCAGTTTTTATCCATGGACACTTACTACTGGCCTGAAGGCTGAACTATTTAACCCAGTGAAAAAAAATACTGAGAAAGAAATAAAAGTGTGCATGCCACTGGAGAACAAGGTATGCTTCATGGGATCTGTGCCATTCTGGCCTCATGGGAGACAGTGAACTTACCCATATATCCAGCACACTGCTACAACCAACATCTGAGAAAAAGTCATCATACAGATATTCTCTACAGGCAAGAAACTCATACAGAGCCTTTGCCACTGAAAGCATCCAGAGCCAGAGCTAGGTGACCATAAACTATACACATTAAAGTCACATCCTTAAGGGAAAAAAGTTTAAAATAACCCAGTCAAATCAAAAATAAATTAAAAAATAAGAAGAAGAAATAGTGTACCTAAATGAGAAGGAACCAGAAAAAAGTAATACAGGCAATATAAAAAAACAGACTTCCATAACATGCCCAAAATATCACACTAATGGTCCAGCAGTGGATTCAAACCATAATGAAATCGTTGAAATACCAGAGAAAGAATTCAAAATTTTGCCTATTAAATTGCTCAGTGAGGTCCAATAGAAAGTTGAAAACCAGCATAATGAAATAAAAAAAGCAATTCAGGATATGGATGAAAAATTTTATAAAGAGATACCGATTTTAAAGAAAAACCAAACAGAACTTTTGGAAATGAAAGGTGCATTTAGAAAATTACAACATTCAGTGGAAATTTTTAACAATAGATTAGACCAAGCAGAAGAAAGAATTTCAGAGCTTGAAGACAAAGGTTTTGAATTAACCCAATCAGACAAAAATGAAGAAAAAGAATGAAAATAAATTAATAAAGTTTCTAAAAATGTATATGATTATGTAAAACATCCAAACATAAGAATTGTAGGTTTTCCTTAAGGAGAAGAAAGAGCAAAAAGTTTCAGAAAACCTAATTGAAGGAATAAATGAGGAAAACTTCCCTGGTCTTTGTAGAGATTTAGACATCCAAATGTAAGAACTTCAAAAAACTCCTGGGAGATTTATTGCAAAACGAAGACATCATCAAGGCATATAGTCATCGAACTATCTGCAGTTGATGTGAAATAAATAAATTTAAGAGCAGTGAGAAAAAGCATCAGATGACTCATAAAGGAAAAGCTATCAGACTAACAGTAGACTTCTCAGTAGAAACTGTACAAGCCAGAATGGATTGAGCTCCTGTCCTTAGATAGGACAAAATACCTGTCAGACAAGAATTTGTATCCGGCAAAACTAAGTTTCATTTTAAGGGAGAAATAAAGTCTTTCCCAGACAAGCAAGTCCTGAGGGAGTGTATCCCCAAGAGACCAATCTTATAAAAAATGCTACAAGGAGTTGTAAATATCTAAACAAAAGGTTGAAATGCTCAAATACAGAAACAATAAAAAGCATAAAAGTATAAAACTCACAGGGCTTATAAAGTCGTAATACAATGAAGAAAACAAAGCAACTAAGTAACAATCAATATGATGACAGAAACAGTACCTCACATATCAACATTAAATTGAATGTAAATAGTCTAAATGACCCACCTTAGTAGATACAGATTAGCAGAATGGATTAAAAAACACAAACCAATGTCTGCTATCTTCAAGAGATACACCTAACTCATAAAGATTCTTACAGACTCAAGAGAAATGGGTAGAAAAAAAGTATTTCATGCAAATAGAAACCAAAAATTATCAGGGGTAGCTATCCTTATATCGGCTAAAAACAGACTGTATAGAAACAACAACAACAAAAAAAGACAAAGAAGGTTGTTATATAATGCCAAAGGGAACAATTCAACCAGAAAATATGACAATCCTAAATACATGTGCATGTAATTTCAGAGCTCCCAAATTTATAAAATAAATACTACTAGACCTAAAAAAAGAATTAGACTGCAACACAATAATAGTAGGGGATTTCAACACTCTACTGACAGCACTTAGCAGATTATTGAGGAAGAAAATCAAAAAAAGAAACACTGGACTTAAACTAAACTCTAGAAGAAATGGATGTAACAGAGATTTATAGAACTTTCTACCGCAAAACAAGAATAGGCATTCTTCTCATCAGCACATGGGATATTCTCCTTGGTTGACCATATGATAGGCCACAAAACAAGTCTCAATACATTTAAATAAATCAAAATCATATAAAGTGTCTTCTCAGCCCACAGCAGAATAAAACCAGAAATCAATTCCAAGAGGAAACCTCAAAACTATACAAATACATGGAAATTAGCAGTCTGCTCCTGAATGATTTTCTAGTCAACAATGAAATCAATACATAATCTAAAAACTGTTTCAAAATGAGTAACAGTGACAAAAGTTATCAAAACTTCTGGGATACAGCACAAGCAGTGCTAAAAGGAAAGTTTATAGTGCTAAATGCCTACATCAAAATGGCAGATCATAAATTGACAACCTAATGTCACACCTCAAGGAACTAGAGAGACAATAACAATCCAGCCTCAAAACAAGCAAATGAAAATAAATAACAAAGATCAGAGCAGAATTAAATGAAACTGAAACCACAAAAGCAATATAAAGGATTCATGAAATGAAAAGTTGGTTCTTTGAAAAGTTAAAAAAATAAAATGATAGATCATTAGCTGAATTTACCATGAAAATAAGACAGAAGATTCAAATCTCAAACAGAAATGAAAATGGAGACATTACAACTGATACCATAAAATACAAAAGACTATTTGAGACTATTTTCTTTAGTAGTCTCTCACTCTGTTGCTCAGGCTGGAGTGCAGTGATGCAATCACAGCTCATTGCAGCCTCGACTTCCTGGGGTCAAGCGATCCTCCCACCTCACCCTCCCAAGTAGCTTGGGCTAGAGGCATGTGCCACCACACCTGGCTGATTTTTTTCTTTATATTTGATAAAGATGAAGTCTCCCTATGTTGTCTAGGCCTGTCTCGAACTCCTGGGCTCAAGTGATTCTGTTGCATTGGTCTCCCAAAGTGCAGGGATTACAGATGTGAGCCACCCCGTCCAACTGAGACTACAATGAACACCTCTATGCATACAAACTAGAAAATCTAGAAAAAAATGGATAAATTCCTGCAAACATACAACCCCCTAAACTTGGATCAGGAGGAGATAGAAATCTTGAACAGACCAATAACAAGCAGTGAGATTTACTCAATAATAAAAAGTCTCCCAACAAAATAAAGTCCAGGACCAGATAGATTCACAGCTGAATTGAACCTGACATTCACAGAAGAATTGGTACCAATTACACTGAAACTATTTCAAGTGATTGAGAAGGAGGCAAATTCTCATTAACCCATTCTATGAAGTCACTATCACACTGATACCAAAGCCAGGAAAAGGCATCACAGCAACAACAACAACATCATCAAGAAATTACAGACCAATATCCCTAATAAACATAGAGGCAAAAATACTCAAGAAAATACTAGTCAACCAAACCCAACAGTACATCAAGCAGATAATTCATTATCAATAAGTGAGTTTCATCTCTGACATGGTTCAATATACACGAGTCAATAAAAGTGATTCACCACGTAAATAGAATCAAAAACAAAAAGCATGATTATCTCAATAGACACAGGAAAAGCATTTGATAAAATCCAGCATCCCACTCCTTTATTGTAAAAACCCTGAACAGACTATGCAGAGAAGGAACATACCTCAAAATAATAACAGCCATCTATGACAAACCCACAGCCAACATCGTATTGAAGGGTAAAGTTGAAAACATTTCTGCTAAAAACTAGAACAAGGCAAGGATGCCCATTTTCTCCACTTCTATTTAACATCGTACTGGAAGTCCTAGCCAGAACAATCCGGCAAAATAAAGAAATAATGCTCACACCAATTGGAGAAGATGCGTCAAACAATCTGTTTGTGGATGCTATAATCTCATACCTAGAAAACCCTAAAGACTCTCCAAAAGACTCCCAAATTTGATAAATAAATTCAGTAAAGTATCAGGTTAAAAAAATTCAATGTACATAAGTCAGTAGCACTACTACACAGCAATAATAACCAAACATAATTAAATCAAGAACTCAATCCCATTTACAATATTTACAAATAAAATGAAATACCTAGGAATATACTTAAGCAAAGAGGTGAATTATTTCCATAAGGAGAATGACAAAACACTGATAAAATAAATCGTAGATGACACATACAAATTGAAAACCATCCCATGCTCATAGATTATAGGGATAAATATTGTAAAAATGACCATACTACCCAAAGCAATCTAAAGATTCCATACAATTCCTACCAAAATACCTATGTCACCTATCCACAAAATTAAAAAGATAGTGGTGAAATTTATATGGAATAAAAAAGGGCCCAAATAGCAAAAGCAATCCTAAGCAATAAAAGCAAATCTGGAGGCATCACATTAACCAATTTTAAATTATGCTACAAGACTGTAGTAACCAAAACAGCATGATAATGGTACAAAAGTAGACATATAGACCAAAGGAAAGGAATAGAAAAGAGATCCCAGAAATAGAGCCAAATACCTACAACCAACTTATCTTCAGCAAAGAAGACAAAAACACACTGGGGAAAGGACACCCTATTCAATAAAATGCTGTGAAAACTGGATAATCACATGCAGATGAATAAAACTGGATTCCTATCTCGCACCATATGCAGAAATTAACTCAGGATGAATTAAAGACATAAAACTAAGACCTGAAATCACAAAAATTCTAGACAAAAACCTAAGAAAAACTCTTCTGGATATTGGCTTTGGCAAATAATGTATGACTAAGATCCCAAAGGCAAATGCAACAAAAACAAAAATAAATAAGTGGGACCTAATTAAACAAAAAGCTTCTGCACAACAAAATAATCAACAGAGTAAACCACCTACAGAATGGGAGAAAATATTTGCAAACCATACATCTGACAAAGGGCTAATCTCTAGAATCTACAAGGAACTTAAACAAATCAGCCAGAAAAATCAAATAATCTCATTAAAAAGTAGGCAAACACATGAAAAGATATTTCTAAAAAAAAAAAAGATATACAAATGGCCAAGAAACATGAAAAAATGCTCAACATTACTAATAATCAGAGAAATTCACATTAATACCACAGTGGGATTGTTCTTTACCCCAGCCATTATTTAAAAGTCAAGAAGCAATAGATGTTGTTTCTGATGTGAAAGGGAACGCTTATACACTGCTGATGGCAATGTAAATTACTAAAACTTCTATGGAATGCAGTGTGGAGATTTCTCAAAGAACTAAAAATAGACCTATCATTTTTTCCAACTATCCTTTTACTGGGTATCTACTCAAAGGAAAATAACGAATTATATCAAAAAGACACTGGACACATATGTTTATCATGGCACAATTTACAGTTGCAAAGGTGTAGAATAGACTTAAATGCCCATCAACCAATGACTGAATAAAGAAAATGTGGTGTATGTATGTATATGCACCAAGGTTACTACCTTAGCCGTAAACAGAACAAAATGATTTTTTTTTTGTATATGCACCATGGACTACTACCTTAGCCATAAATAGAACAAAATAATTTTTTTTTTTGTAGCAACTTGGATGGAACTGGAGACTATAATCCTAAGTTAATTTACTCAGGAATAGAAAACAAAATACTACATACTACATGTTCTCATTTATAGGTGGAAGCTAACTATGGGCACACAAAGGCATACAGTGTGTTGTAATGGATATTAGAACCTCAGAAGGGGGAAAGGAAGGAAGAGAATTACACAAGAAAAATTACCTATTGGGTCGAATAATCCTTTTTTTTTTTTTTTTTTGAGATGGAGTCTCACTCTATTGCCCAGGCTGGAGTGCAGTGGCAAGATCTTGACTTACTGCAACCTCCGCCTCTGGGTTCAAGCGATTCTCCTGCCTCAGCCTCCTGAGTAGCTGGGATTACATGCACCTACCACCATGCCTGGCTAATTTTTTTTGTTGTTGTTTTTTGTATTTGTAGTAGAGACAGGGTTTCACCATGTTGGCCAGGCTGGTCTTAATCTTCTCACCTCAAGTGATCTGCCTGCCTCAGCCTCCCAAAGTGCTGGGATTACAGGTGTGAGCCACTGCGCCCAGCCAGGGGATGGATATTCTCAAAGTCCAGACATCACCACCACACAATTCATACATGTAACCAAAAAACATTTGTATACCTGATGGTATTATAATAAAAAGACTAATAAGAAAATGTTGGTAAAGATTTATTTGACTTTTAGATAGAGATCTTTATTTAAAACACAAAGTCTGAAAAGATATAATTAATCAAGACTGAAAAAAGACAGAAGGATGATTGTATAAAAAATCCTACTTCATAAAAATATGGTTGAATAATCACAAAGAGGTACAGATACATACTTACTAGACAGTTAAAGATATAGAGCCACCGTTTTCTTATACATTGCCAACGAAGTATAATTGGTTCAACTTTGGAACATATTTTGACATTATCTACTAAGGAAAAAGATATACAGTTCTTAGAACATAGCAATTTCACCAACTAATAATATTATTCTAGTATTGTCAAGGAGAGAAATGTGACATTGTTTTTCATTTAAAAAAAAAAAAAAGAAAACCAACAGAGACCTCAGAAATAACACCACATATCTACAACCATCTGGTTTTTGACAAATCTGACAAAACAAGTAATGGGGAAATGATTCCCTATTTAATAAGTGGTGCTGAGAAAACTGGCTAGCCATGTGCAGAAAGTAGAAACTGGACCCCTTCCTTACACCTTATACAAAAATTAACTCAAGATGGATTAAAGACTTAAATGTAAAACCCAAAACCATAAAAACCCTGGAAGAAAAACCTAGGCAATACCGTTCAGGACATAGGAATGGGCAGAGACTTCATGACTAAAACACCAAAAGCAATGGCAACAAAAGCCAAAATCAACAAAGGGGATCTAATTAAAGAGCACAGCACAGCAAAAGAAACTATCATCACAGTGAACAGGCAACCTACAGAATGGGAGAAAAATTTTGCAATCTACCCATCTGACAAAGGTCTAATATCCAGAATTTACAAAGAACTTAAACAAATTTACAGGAAAAAAACAACCCCATCAAAAAGTGGGCAAAGAATATGAACAGACACTTCTCAAAAGAAAACACTTATGCGGCCAACAAACATGAAAAAAAGCTCATCATCACTGATCATTACAGAAATGCAAATCAAAACCACAGTGAGATATCATCTCACACCAATCAGAATGGCGATTATTAAAAAGTCAAGAAATAATAGTTGCTGGCAAGGCTGTGGAGAAATAAGAAAACTTTTACACTGTTGGTGAGAATGTAAATTAGTTCAACCATTGTGGAAGACAGTGTGGCGATTCCTCAAGGATCTTAGAACCAGAAATACCATTTGACCCAGCAATCCCATTACTGAGTATATACTCAAAGAAATACAAATCATTCTACTATAAGACACATGCATACGTATGTTTATTGCAGCACTATTTGCAATAGCAAAGACATGAAACCAATCCAGATGCCCATCAATGACAAACTGAATAAAGAAAATGTGGTGCACATACACCATGGAATACTATACAGCTAAAAAAGGATGGGATCGTGTCCTTTGCAGGGACATGGATGAAGCTGGAAGCCATCATCCTCAGCAAACTAACACAGGAACAGAAAACCAAGCACTGCATGTTCTTACTCATAAGTCGAAGTTGAACAATGAGAACACATGAACTCAGGGAGGGGAACAACACACTCTGGAGGCTTTTAGGGGCCGGGGGCGAGGGGAGGGAGAGCATTAGGACAAATAACTAATTCATGTGGGGCTTAAAACCTAGATGACGGGTTGATAGGTGCAGCAAACCACCATGGCACATGTATACCTATGTAACAAACCTGCATGTTCTCCACATGTATCCCAGAACTTAAAGTAAAATAATAAAAAATAAAAATAAAAATGAATAAAAAACAAATAAGATGTTTTGTTCTTTAGAAGGTGTTCTAATCTAGCCAGTGCTAGGAAGCCAGCTTACTCAAGGGTTAATGGACAAATGCTTTGAGGCATATAACATAGAAGATTCAACAAATTTATTTTTTAAACTTCATTTTAAAATTTATAATTGACACATTTTAATTGTACATATTTATGGGATAGAATGTGATGCTTCAATGCATGTATGGGTATTATAATTATCAAATCTGTATAATTACCATATCTATCAATTTTCACATTTATCTTTTTGTGTGGTGATAATTCGGAATACCATTCAGCCATAAAACAGAATCAACTTCTGTCATTTGCAACAACATGGAAGAACCTGGAGGACATTAGGTTAAGTAAAATAAGCCACACACAGAAAGACAAACATCGCATGATAGAGAATAGAATAGTACTTACTAAAGGCTTGAGAGGGTAAAGGGGATGGGGGCTGGGAGAAGTTGCTCGGTGGGTACAAAGTTATAGTTAGATAGGAGAATACATTTCAGTGCTCTATTACACAGTAGGGTGACTATAGGAAATAACATTACATTCCATTCTTCAAGATGGCTAGAAAAGAAGTTTGGCTTTGTTTCCAAAATTGACAAATGGGATCTAATTAAACTAAAGAGCTTCTGCACAGCAAAAGAAACTACCATCAGAGTGAACAGGCAACCTACAAAATGGGAGAAAATTTTCGCAACCTACTCATCTGAAAAAGGGCTAATATTCAGAATCTACAATGAACTCAAACAAATTTACAAGAAAAAAACAAACAACCCCATCAAAAAGTGGGTGAAGGATATGAACAGACACTTCTCAAAAGAAGACATTTATGCAGCCAAAAGACACATGAAAAAATGCTCATCATCACTGGCCATCAGAGAAATGCAAATCAAAACCACAATGAGATACCATCTCACACCAGTTAGAATGGCAATCATTAAAAAGTCAGGAAACAACAGGTGCTGGAGAGGATGTGGAGAAATAGGAACATTTTTACACTGTTGGTGGGACTGTAAACTAGTTCAACCATTGTGGAAGTCAGTGTGGCGATTCCTCAGGGATCTAGAACTAGAAATACCATTTGACCCAGCCATCCCATTACTGGGTATATACCCAAAGGACTATAAATCATGCTGCTATAAAGACACATGCACACGTATGTTTATTGTGGCACTATTCACAATAGCAAAGATTTGGAACCAACCCAAATGTCCAACAATGATAGACTGGATTTAGAAAATGTGGCACATATACACCATGGAATACTATGCAGCCATAAAAAATGATGAGTTCCTGTCCTTTGTAGGGACATGGATGAAATTGGAAATCATCATTCTCAGTAAACTATCGCAAGGACAAAAAACCAAATGCCGCATGTTCCCACTCATAGGTGGGAATTGAACAATGAGAACACATGGACACAGGAAGGGGAACATCACACTCTGGGGACTGTTGTGGGGTGGGGGGAGGGGGTGGGATAGCATTAGGAGATATACCTAATGCTAAATGACGAGTTAATGGGTGCAGCACACCAGCATGGCACATGTATACACATGTAACTAACCTGCACATTGTGCACATGTACCCTAAAACTTAAAGTATAATAATAATAAAAAAAAGAAAAAAGAAAAAAAAAAGAAGTTTGGCTTTGTTTTAGGATACCAAGTAAACAGGTTTTTTTGTTTGTTTTTTTGTTTGTTTGTTTGTTTTAAAAGGGAAGGCCATATAACGTTGACTGCATTATGTCTATGCTTGGGACACAGGGTATTTCCATCTGGCAGTTAATTATTCAAAGAATAATAATTTTATAATGGTATAAAGTCATCCAGACTATAAACAATACGGACACTTACAAAGTTGTTTTATATGTTTAGTATAGTTTTGATACCCAAATCAGAATAGGACTATTTGTAATAAAGGAAGGTTACAGGTTTATCTGACTTTTGAAAAAATATTTTAATATTCTACATAACAAATGATAAGAAGATTTCCATAAAATCCATCATAACCCAGAAGTTTAAGGATGATTTTCTAAACAAGTTACAGGCATGCCTACCTAATATTACACCCCATTTTCTACTTGCCAATGAAAGCTGTTTATTTAGTAAGTAATTCCTTTTTTTTATTTCTCTTTCTCGTCTTCCTTTGCAAGCATGCAATTTGAACATATTTGTGGCCAGTGAGATGTTATCAAATCTGGTTGGGCATTTGCATGAAAAGGTTGTTCTCTCTCAATGAAATGAAACAGGTTCTGGGACCACGCTTCCTTGTCTCTTCTTTTTTTTTTGAATAATGGCATGTTCTCCAAAGCTCTAGTAGCTACCTTCAAACACTTAGGTAAAAGCATGAGGGTGAAATCATAATAAGTTAAGCATGGTACAGTGAAAAGATGACAAAAGCCTTGATCCCTTATCTCATGTTTAAGAAACGATCTGCTTCATCTACTGCCATCTTTCAACTTACTCTCACTTGAAGAAAAAAACAAATACTTCAGTCATTGTTAGTTTTATTTAATGGCAGCTGGCAGCACTCTTAACTGATTAAAAATATGTATCATGAACAAATGCTATTCTCCATACTAATGGATCTGATGGATGAAATCCAGATGGTCATGTCAATAGATGTAGAGAAAAAATTCTTCTTTAAAAAAAGAAGAGCAATTTATAATTTAGACAAATGTAATGTAGGAATCAAGAAAAAAAAAACTCTCTAAATCTGATAAAGAGCATTAGCTTGAAACCTGAAGCAAACATAATTAATCGAGGAATATTTGCAGCATTAGCCTTGAAACCATAAAGTGAATTTACACAACACACAACACGTGCTGTAAAACATGACTATACCAAAATAATGCTTACTTATTAAAGTAAATGGATGCTGAATGAGGTATTTACTCTTTTTTCTCAATGTTTTGACTGAAGTTCGAAACAATAAGAATATTGGAGAACCACATCAATATTTGTAAGAGATGTGCAGTTAGACCGTGGCATGCACAACTTGCTAAACTATAGCTAATCTTCATTAAATCCATTAAAAAACAGCTGACCACACTCCCTAATTCCATAGAAGAGAAAGTGTAGATTATCCACAAACCGTAACTATTTTTTCTTAGTTCTCTCTAGGGTCAAAATGGGAGATTTTCTGGAGCTTCGTGAAATGGAAGGAAGTTGCCTGCATTTCCAATGTTTGTTATGGCCAGCAGAGCCACCCAGCTGTACAACTCCATGATGCATTCTTTCAACTTGTTCAGTGCACAATCCCATAAACTATGAAGCAAGTATGCTTTGACATGAATGCATGTGTTTCCTCTGGGCCAAGAAAATGCCATGGAACATAACTGGAATGAACTGTCTTGATATGGTCCCAAACTGGAAAGCTAGCTTCCTGAGCTACCTCTATCTGGAGGGATATTTCCAGAAGGCAGAAGATAAAAGTGGGTTATAAGAGGCTACCACTTATAAACTTCAGCGGTGAATCGGGGAATTCCAGTGTGTACACACCTATGGGAGAGATTCTGAAGACTCCATTGACAGAGGCCTTGGAAAAGAAAGTATTTGGATGCTTGTCACACTCAGAGATATTGACAAGGAAGGCAGGTCTGCAAAAAACCCTACTTAGATATAAAGAATTTTGCCCTGTTTCTAAGTATTCTTTTACTCTCAATTAAGGAGGATCTGGAATATCAACAAAAGAGAAGAAGTAGACAATAAAACAAAATCACAATGTGAGAGAAGCAAAACCCGGGGTTTTAACCAGTTCTCTGAAATGGGTTCCATAGCTATGACCTCAACTGAAAGGGAGAGAAGACGCGTTACATTAAATATAAGCTTGAGGTTTTGGGTTAAACTGGTAATTTCAACCCCTGAAGAGTAATGGTAATTATCAAAAATGAACTTATATTTGTAACTGTGACTCAAAAGCCAGGGACTTTTCTGAGTTTTTGCTATGCAGGGACAGATAAAAGAGGTTTGACACAACACATAGGAGTTAATGAAAGGAGGAAAAATAAACTAAGTTTTGATAGCATTTAAATCAGTTCAGAAATTTCAAAACCTGGGAAAATTTTAACTCCAAATATTTTTTAGAGACTTTAAACATGCTAACATGTTAATCTGTTTATTTTGAATAAACAATATCAGACTTAATTTATATATGAATAATAAAACATGCATTTAATTTTCTATAGTCAGAATGAAAGTTAAAACAACAAATAGTTGTGTGATTCCTAGTTTATTTCTTTGCCTTCTAAATACATTTGACAAATCATCTATTCTGTCTGGTTTCTTATCTCAAATTCAATATTTCCATTAAGGGGTTAAATCTTTATTTGGGTCAAGACGGACAATTAAATCATCTAAGCTCACTGTCAAATTTACTGATGCCATGAGTGAATGTGTGGGACATTTGGCTTCAGCAGTCAGCAAACGTCAGGGGACTGATATTTTCTTTCATATGCCATCTTTTCAGTCATATAGGATTAGAGGTTTGGAGTCTTTCAGATGCACATTGGATACATAGAGTTATATTAAAGGGATTTCCTTTCTTTCAAGTGGGCTCAGTAATAGGGAAAAATAAGAATTTTTTCAATATCTCATTTTATTGCAAATGTGGATTTTAGGACCATGATGATTAAATAAGCAAGTGAATGAGGTTGAGATTATAAGGTTGAAAGCCATCTCTGCTATTCGCAAAGGAAAGAAGAAGGCAGAGGTGGGGGTGGGGCAGAGAAGAAGGCTAGGAGGAGAGGACATGGCTGAAGGAGGAGATCATGGACTGGCATTCTGAATACTGGAACCAAATGCTTTTGAATGACATAACTGGGTTTGTGCTATAAAATCAGATGTTCTTCTGGTTTCTGAGTGTCATATGTTCACTGAAAAGCATTAGAAATAATAACAAAATAATTAATTTAATCAGCAGTCCATCCAGTTTCATAACAGATATTGAATTACTAAATCCTGTTTCTGAATTTTACCCCTCTGGTCGAATATAAAATGAATAGGGAAATTATTTTCACCGCTGAAGTTTATTATAGATATTCTCTGAACTTTGCTGCCCATTCAGAAGATCTTACCCTCTCAGTTATTGGCTATGTCTGAAGAGAAGCCTGTGGTGTTGTCATGAAAGCTGCGAAGACCCGTAAGTGAAAGAGATGAATATTAACCAAATGCCAAGAGCAAAGCAAATTATGTTTAGGTTAGGACCGTGTAACAACTTGGTTCCACTCATTTACAGTGGCTGTTCAAATTGATGAGCTGAAATGTTTATATGCTGATATCAACTCTGCCCTGGTTGATTTTTATTCTAGGGTATTTGCAGAGTTCCCACTTTCAAATGCACGTAGAGAAAATAATCCCCATCAGGACATCTGGCATTGTTTTTAAACTATCACTTCACTCAGCCTTTGACTGCTAATTTGTTTTTCTTTCTAACTTGTTTAATTTGGAACAATCTTGTTGTAGTCTTTACAGCCTCTCTGTGGTGTTTCTTCATTGTAAAAAACAATATGAAATGCAATACAAAGTCTTCCACCACTCACTCCATGAAGCATGCACTATAATATAAAACAGACAGGTTGCCAATGATGGGCATCCAATAGCCTATTATTTATTAATCTTTAGCATTGATATAAAAGAAGGAATAAATATATTATTTGGTAATTAACCATATTCTTCTGCTCCTGAATTCTAAATTTTTGAGAGGCCTTGATAATCAAAAATCAATAATACTTTACTTAATTATAAATTCTGGTTCACTTTGAAAAATGGTAGAGATTATTATATTTTTCAATTGTTTGAAACGATAAATTGTTCATTGGACTGAACAACGTGTCTTTTTCTCTTCAAATAATTTTATTTCCCCAATCTCCATGTAACCTTTATATATGGAAGTCGCACGCTAGAAACATGGATAATCATGTCATTCATCTCCTGATTGATTCAGATTTATTAATAATGGTACTTATGAGTATTAAAGGTATTTGACTTCCATCATCCACTACTGTGGTAGTTATGCTACTGCCCTATTTTTAAAAACCTAAATTCTAAAATCATTTTGATCAACCTCCAACCATGGACAAATTACTTCATACTTGGCTGTATGTACCTATTAAAAGATATACTATACAGTGCAATATGTCATCCAATGTTTTATCTGAAAATATGTATTCCAACTATAGTAGGTTACCAGGGGATCTAAAATGCCATATTATTTCAAAATCGAAGACATGTAGTTCATTTTAGTTAATGATTTTTAGAATTCAAGATTAGATATGGATCAGTCTACACTATTAAGTTTATTACATTAAGTCATCAGGAGAATAAGTAAAAGGGTGTTTTGCTTGTGGGAAAAAAAAAGAGACAAAAATATGTCTGGTTTTCAATTAGATAAAACCTTCAAACTGCTCAAGGCATGGTCTTTATTGATTTAAAAATAAAACCCAAAGTAATACATTATATATTCCTATTTAATTATGTATAAATATGATGGACTTAAAACATTAACTTTATTTCTTCTTATTTATGATCAGTTTAACTACAAATATAAGCTGTACCTTTGCATATCAAGTCCTATATTAAAAGATTATTCTTTTTGAGATTTAAAGAGCACATTTATAATATTTAATTAACTGTAGGAGGACTATTTTTGTAGATTTTGCAATTTGTTTCTCAGTTTAATATAATAGATTTTAATTAAAAATGTAGTTTCTATTCATTGGTGAGTATTGCATTATTCATCACCAGGGTACAGGATCTAACAAATATGTAACATTTTAAAATAGCAGTGTTGTCACATACTTTAGGGGCTCGATATTAAGTAGAAGGTGTTGTTTAATAATAGTAAAGGGAAAGACAAATAATTGTTTTTCTAGTCTAATTTGTTTTTGATATTCATAGCAAAAATCTCCTTTGGCTTCTATGATAAATACATATTTATCAACTGCCTTCCTTAGAGTATAAAGTAAAACAAAGAACTCTTGCCATGTCCCTAATCTAAAGTAAACCTGGTCATAAGCCAAATTATTCTGAAGTGCCTGCTAAATTTGAATCTTAGAATATTTGCCAAATGTGTAACTTGCCTTAACTGTGTATATTGTACAGTCAAATGTCAACAGTGTAGTTACATTGCTAAAAACCTTGGCTTTCAGCCTCATCTTGCAATTGAGTGCAGACATAACATATGAAAAATACATTTTATATAATCTAGTGTCAGTGGGCATGGTTACTATGATAAAATTAAATATCAACAAATAAAAAATAGGCCTTTGCACTAAAGCCATGCTTTGTCTTTCAGTAATATTAGATGTTAGTGAGAAAAATGTTTTCCTTTAAATGATGCAAAGATTAAGTAAAGAAACTTGCAGAACCTATTATACTTGTTCTCAAATTTGGAGTTCTAAAACACAATGTTCATGAATAGGTTATAGAAGTACAACAAAATTATCAGGGACTTTAATGGAGGTTCAATGAGGGAAAAATATATGCGTGTCCATCCAAAAAAGCAATTCTATTATTTTGGGGATGGTGAAACATTGTTTGGAAATGAAAACAATTATGAAGATAAAGCTTTCATCTTTCCAGCCCAACCAGTTAACTTAACATTTTAGACTAAAATTTGGTGCAAAAAGTTGCCATGTTTTCTAAACTTACTAATAGTTATATTACCTATTTACAAAGTGCTGCTTTAATATTTTAAAGCCATATTAAATTTATTTATACTAGCAATTTTTCAGCCTAATTCCAAGGATGATACTCAGGGTGTTATGAATCTTTTCTGAATGCCTGCAAAATTTTGATAGAATAGGCTTTGTATTAGTTTGTTCTCATGCTACTAATAAAGACTTAACTGAGAATGGATAATTTATAAAGGAAAGAGGTTTAATGGACTCACAGTTCCACATGGCTGGAGAGGCTTCCCAATCATGGCAGAAGATGAAGGAAGAGCAAGGGACGTCTTACATGGCAGCTAGCAAGAGAGTGTGTGCAGGGGAACGCTTCTTTATAAAACCATCAGATCTCTTGAGACTTACTTACTACCATGAGAACAGCACAGGAAAGACCTTCCCCCATGATTCAATTACCTCCCCCTAGAAACCTCCCATGACACATGGGAATTATGGGACCTACAATTCAAGATGAGATTTGGGTAGGGACAGAGCCAAACGATATCATTCTGCCCCTGGCCCCTCCCAAATCTCATGTCCTCACATTTCAAAATGAATCATGTCTTCTCAACAGTCCCCCAAAGTCTTAACTCATTTCAGCATTAACTCAAAAGTCCACAGTCCAAAGTTTCATCTGACAAAAAGCAAGTTCCTGCCACCTATAAGCTTGTAAAATCAAAAGCAATTAATTATCTTCCAGATAAAATGGGAGTACAGGCATTGGGTAAGTGTACCTGTTCCAAATAGGAGCAATTGGCCAAAACAAAGGGGTTACAAGGCCCACGTAAGTCTTAAATTTAGTAAGGCTGTAATTAAACCCTAAAGTTCCAAAATGATCTCCTTTCATTCCAAGTCTCATATCCAGTTTACCCTGATGCAAGAGGTGAGTTTCCATGGCTTTGGGCAGCTCCACCCCTATGACTTTGCAGGGCACAGCTTCCCTCCTGTCTGCTTTCACAGACTGGCATTGAGTGCCTGTGGCTTTTCTAGGTGCACAGTACAAGCTGTTGGTGAATCTACCATTCTTGGGTCTGGAGGATGGTGGCCTTCTTCCCACAGCTCCACTAGGCAGTGCTCCAGTAGGGACTCTGTGTAGTGGCTCCAACTCCACATTTCCCTTCCACACTGCCCTAGCAGAGGTTCTCCATGAGAGCTCCTCCCCTGCAGCAAACTTCTGCCTAGACATCCCAGTGTTTCCATATATCCACTGAAATCTAGGTGGAGATTCCAAAACCTCAATTCTAGACTTTTGTGTACCCACAGACTTAACACCACATGGAAACTGAAAAGCTTGGGGCTTGCACCCTCTGAAGCCATGGCCTGAGTTGTACCTTGGCTCCTTATAGCCACAGCTGGAGCAGTTGGGATGCAGAACACCAAGTCCCTCGGCTGCACACAGCAGCGGGGCTGTGGGCCAGGCCCACAAAACAATTTTTTTCTCCCAGCCCTCCAGTGCTGTGATGGGAGGGGCTGCTTGGAGGGTCTCTGACATGCCCTGGAGACATTTTCCCCATTGTCTTGGCAATTAACATTTCGCTCCTCATTAGGCAAATTTCTGCAGCCAGCTTGAACTTCTCCTCAGAAGATGTTTTTTTTTTTTTCTATCACATCATCAGGCTGCACATTTTCTGAATTTTTATACTCTGCTTCTGTTTTAAACATAAGTTCCACTTCCAAACCATATCTTTGAGAATACATAAAACTGAATGCTTTTAACAGCACCCAAGTCACATCTTGAATGCTTTACTGCTTAGAAATTTTTTTCCACCAGATGTCCTAAATCACCTCTCTCAAGTTCAAAGTTCCATGACTCTCTAGGGCAGGGGCAAAATTTCACCAGCCTCTTTGCTAAAACATAACAAGAGTCACCTTTATTCCAGTTCCCAACAAGTTCCTCATCTCCATCTGAGATGAGCTGCATTTAGTCAAAGTCATTCAACAAGTCTCTACAAAGTTGCAAACTTTCCCATATCATCCTGTCCGCTTCTGAGCCCCCCAAACTGTTCCAATCTGTGCCTGTTACCCAGTTCCAAAGTCACTTCTACATTTTAGGGTATCTTTAGAGCAGCATCCCACTACCTGGTACCAATTTACTGTTAGTCTATTTTCATGCTGCTAATAAGGGCATACCTGAGACTGGGTAATTTATAAAGGAAAGAGATTTAGTTGACTCACAGCTCCAAATGGCAGAACTAATCATGGTGAAAGGAGAAGGAAGAGCAAAGGGACATCTTACGTGGTGTTAGGCAAGAGAGCGTGTGCAGGGTAACTCTCCTTTATAAAACCATCAGATCTCCTGAGACTTTCTTACTATCTCAAGAATAGCACAGGAAAGACCCACCCCCATTATTCATTTACCTCCCACCGGATCTCTTCCACAACATGCGGGAATTATGGGAGCTACAATTCAAGATGAGATTTGGGTGGGAACACAGCCAAACCATATCAGGCTTGTATATATTGGTTTAGGGTAAGAGATGGGGGTTAGAAAATCTAAATTCTTCATCACAGTCTTCAGTAGATTTTGACCCATTCAAAAGCTAAGAATCACTAGTATGTTCCATTCTATTCTGATACTTGGCTGCTTCTGTCATTATACTCTTCTACCATTATCCTTCCTTAAAAAGTTATTTTGCTGTAGGCAGATATTCTGAGTAGTTGAAACGAAAGTTTCAGTCTTAAATGTTTTCTCCATGATGTAATTTAATAGTGATCTGGGTAAAACTTAAAACACCACTTTTAATAGAGTGATACCCTAATAAAATACACTTTCATGGAGCTTTGTTAAATATGTCTGCAACAGTGTGCTACTGTTTTTAAAAACATTTTCTATTTTATATTATACAGATATGAGAAAACTGCCATTCTAACAATTACAATGAGCTCAAATGCCTTCAGTCTTAGAACAAAACCAGATGAAAATTATTGTTACTTAAAAAAAAATAGATCTTTTAAAATGAACTCTTCCTCCCACTCCAAATTTCTCCATTGTGATGTAACTTAAATATTGCTGTTTCTTTAGTAAAAAAATTAAAAAAGACACGTTTTGATTATTTTCATAATTAATATATTAGTAGCAATATTTTTCTAATTGCCATTACTCTTTTGTACTTTGTTATTTTTGCTGTCTTTAACCTAGACATTGGGAAAGAAAATTTTAAAAAATGTTTTTAACAGCTTCTTTAGGAGCCCAGTTCATGCTTAGTACAGTCATCAAAAATTCTACTAAGCTTCACAAACTATTATATAGATTTTTATAATACCTAGTTTCTTAAAAAAGGAATTAGATTACAGAAATTTGGGCTTAAAATATTTTAACTTTTTATTTTGGGATAACTTTAGATTTACAGAAGAGTTACAAAACCAGTGCAAAGAAATCTAGTGTAACTGTCAACCAGATTCTCTCTATGTTAACACTTAACATAATCAAAGAGTTGCTAAAGAAAATAACTCCAGTACCTTTATTGTAACTAAACTACTAACTTTTTTTGGTGGGATGTGGGGTTCACTAGTTTTCCCAGTCATGCTCCTTTTCTCTTCCTAGCTCCCATCTAGTATCCCATGTATTTATTTGACATGTATGCTATGTTCTTTCTATCTGTGACAGTCCTTCAGTCTTTCCTTGTCTTTTATGACCTTGACACTTTTGATTAGGCTTGTAAGTTATTTTATAGAATGTCTGTTAATGTGCACCTGCCTGGTGTTTCCTCATGATTATACTACGGTTATGAATTATCGGGAAGGATACTATCAAGGCGATGTGCCATTCTCTCCACCTCATATCAGTAGATACATGATATTGATATGTATTACTGGTAATGTTAACTTTGATTAATTAGTTAAAATGATACCATGTGGATTCTACAACTAAAATAACTATGCTTCCCTTTATACTTATGAAATATTTGGGTATAGTGGGGAGATTCTTTGAGTTTACAAGCATCTTGTTTCCACTTAAACTTCTACTCACTAATTTCAGTATCCATGGGTGGGTCTTGTCTGCAACTGTGATGTTCTAATAGTGATGCTCTATTTACCCCATTTCTTCTACATTTATTAGTTAAGATTCTTTTGTAAGGAAGGAATGTTCCCTCTCTGTTATTATTTACATATTCTGTTTCTTATAACATCAACATGGAATCATGTGTGATTGTGCTATTACTGAAAAAGAATATTTAGAAACCAAAAACTGGGGGTTAAGTGGGCTCATTGCTAGTGGAATTTCACTGCTTTTATTAACTCTTGATGAATAGAGACAGGAAATATATGTATGTGTATTACTGCATGCATTCACACCTATCTGTCACACACGTGAGCATGTGCGCGCACGCACACACACACACAAATTCATTTCAGCACCACAGGTGTCATTCTTCAAACTATATTTAGTTGTTGTTGTTATTCACATTGTTCAGTTACAGCAACAGGATTCTATGAAGTTGGTGCTTTCATTTGGGCTCTTATAGCCTTTCCACATGCTCCCATCCTTTTCTGTTTTTATTTGTTGGCTTTGGGCACTTTCTTAACTTCAAGTAAGAAAGCAATTTTAGTAGCCACAAGATTCTCCAGGCTCACTTTATATTTTCCCTGCCCCTTCTCTGAGATCTTCCATATCTCCTAGAAGTTCTGACTCTTTTTGTTGGAAAATAATATTTAGAAACCAAGAACTGGATGTTAAGTGTGCTCACTGCTATTGGAGTGTCAGTGCTTTTAGTAGTTCTCGGTGGATAGAGACAGGAAATGTATGTATGTTCATTAATACCTGCATTCACACCTATCTCTCTGTTAACACACACATACAGTTCATTTCAACACCATGGGCATCATTCTCTCTTTCCTTCTTTTCTTATTTATAACTTCTTGGGAAGTCTGACTTTTATTATCAAGAATATATTTGTTTATCTTTTCAACCTTAGTATAAAAGTAAAATAATTTAAGAATTTGTAATTCATTACCAACTAGAATATAGTGTTTGTGTACAGTTTGTTTGCCTTTAGCCATACAATATTCAGTCAAAATAATGTTTTTCACAGTTTCCAAGAACAGCTCCCTTCTTCGTTATCCCCTTGAGTGTGGGTATGTGATTCATTTGTAAGACATTTAGATCCATTTATTGCAATCTACATTCCATCTTTCCCCATACACTGACTGGTATGTTTTTAACATTCACATGCAGTGATAATTATTTTTTGTGGTGTACAGTTTGATTTGTTTTGACAAATGGATACAGACATGTACCCACCGCAACAATTCCATACAGAAGAGTCCTATCACCCCCAAAATGTTCTTCTGGTAACTTTTCATCATCAAACCATCCCCATTTTTCCCAAATCCTGCAATAACAGATCTGTTGTTTTGTCCATATAGTTTTGCTTTTTCCAGAGTCTTATGCAGATGGAATTATGACGTGTACAGTTTTTGGGTCTGATTTTTTTTTTGGCAACTAGCAAAATATATTTTAAGATTTATGCATATTGTAGCATCAATAAATATTTTTGTTTCTGTTTTTTGACTACTATTTTCCTTGTAGGGAATATGCTAAAAAGAGAATTTAAATCACCCAGGCTGGAGTACAGTGGCAAGATAATGGCTCACTGCCGCATAAAACTCCTGGGCTCAAGTGATCCTCCTGCTTCAGCTTCCTGAGTAGCTGGGACTATAGGCAGGAGTCACCATATTTGTTAATTTTTTTTTAATTTTTAGAAATTGGGTCTTACTATGTTAACCAGCTGGTCTCGAACTCTTGGCCTAATGTGATCCTCCTGCCTCAGCTTCCCATAGCATTTAGATTACAGATATGAGGCACTGAGCCCGGCCAACCTCACTTTTTTTTTTTAATAATTTTTTTCTAGTGTGCTCCAAATTTAAAGATAGGTTACATTGATTTTCTTTCAAATGTATATGAGGAAAAGTTTTTTTTGTTTCCATTTCACTTTTCGTCTGAGCTATGGTGAACAGAGTTCCAAGGAAAAGGGGATAATTACTAGTTAAGTTGACATTTAGTAACTGGTGTTTTACTGAGTAAAGTTATATTCATGTCCAAAGGCTCTACAGAAATATACATGTAGTTGGAACAAATCTGAAAGCATCATCATTTGTAGAAATGCAGAGAAGTTATTTAGGGAAAGTATTATGTCCAAGCACAATAGTCTATGATCAATAATCAGGGACTGAGTTCAAACCCTAACTCCAGTGCTTACTACCTGTTTACTACCTGTGTGGCCAGTGTCTCAATGTCCTCATTTCTAAGGTGGGATAACAATATCTACATCACAAAGGTTATTTTGAGCTTTAAATAAGATACAGATTTTTAAAGTGTTTAACATAGTACTTGGGATGTAGTAAGTGCGTAATAAATGTTAAGTATATGTAGATATTTATTTATATATCTCCTAGAGAAAATTCCCTGCCCCAAAACATGTGTTTCTAATCTAAATAACTAAATAACTAGGTGATAAATTCCTGAGTATAAGATTAGAAGTCTGCTGAAAGGGGAAGGAGATTGTGGAGAGGACTCTGTTGAGTGTCATCCTCTATAATAGTGTGACCAAAGAAGGCTGTCTAAACTGTGCTTCACATAGAATTTTCCAGTTCTATCTGACATTCCAAAAAGAGGGGTCAGAAATGAGGCCCCAAAATAGCCTTGTGTATGTGTTTATGTTTATAAATGGTTGATTTATTACATAGTAATTGGTAAGTTTATGGAAGTATGTAAAAGATATACACAAAAGGCAAATCCACTTTATTGTAAGTTGGACTGACTTTTATTGTGGACGTTCAGTGTTGATCTTTCCTAGATTGCAATAATTCTACCTGTGTGACATCTTTTCTATCTGTACAAGTTGAAACAGTGTCAACAATAAAATAAAAATGAGTATGTGGCTGTTATTTAACCATTTAAATGCATCTCCAGATTCGTTATCTTATTTGATACTTTAACACACATTTACACACACACACACACACACACACATTCACACAGAGATCTTGTGAGGTAAGAATGGCAGACCTTGCTAATCTTATTTGACTTTTCTCTGAGCTATTGTATTACCTCCTTAAAAGCTTTCCTGTCTGTAATCTTTTGCTGTTTCCATTCTTCTTACTATTGCTGAATAATTATCATCAAGCATCCATCATCTCTCTACTTCAGAAGAGTTTAATTATTTCTGATTATTATTCTAAGTACCAGAAATAGTAAAAAGAAATAATTAATCAAGAAAATAAATAAATAAAATATGACACATCTTTTCCCCTAGGAGAATATATCCATCTAGATCAATGCCAAAATTAAGTGTGATAAGTACTATAACAGAAAGATATAGAGATCATCGTAGAAGACAGAAGAGAGAGACATCTAAGTCAGACTTGGCAGGCAGGAAAAGCTTCCTTGATGAAGAAATGTATAGTCTGAATTTTGAAGGCCCAGAAGGAAGTCCAAGATGGTAAGAGGCCGAGCATTTCATTTTCAAGGCATTATAGCTGTAAAGGCACAAAGGCATGAAACACGTGGGGACTGTGGATGGTTCAGTTAACAGAGGGAGATAGTAGTGGAGTGGTAAAAAATGATGAGAGGCAGTAAAAATTCATATGACAACATTTGTGATAAATATAACATTACCTTAAAAGAGTTGGAGAAAATGGATGCACTTTGAGCCTCTATGTAACATGATTGTAATTATAGAAATACCATTCTGAAAATAATGTGGAAGATGGATTGGACATGGGGTATGAGAGCTGGTGAGACCAAGCAGCCAGGCAAAGGGGTGTTGCAGAATTTCAGGATGTAGCAATGAGTGTCATAAGTTGAATAGTATTTATGAGACTGCAATAAAATGAAGGGAGCTAGAAAGAGATAACTCAGAAGTATGGGGAGAAGATGGGGATTGAATTCATGAATTTAGGAAACACATCTATGGTGTGGGCTTGTGGGTAAAGGGATGTCTCTTGTATGCAAATATGGATGGAAAAGGAAGAACAAGTGCAAGAAATTAATACAGCACATGTTATTTGGAATATTCTGTGTTTAAAAGTAGACATCTGATAGGCTTTTATTCTATTTTATTTTATTTTATTTTATTTTATGATGGAGTCTTGCTCTGTTGCCCAGGTTGGAGTGCAGTGGCACGATCTCAGCTCGTTGTAACCTTTGCCTCCCAGGTTCAAGCAATTCTCCTGCCTCAGCTTCCCAAGTGGCTGTGATTACAGGCACACGCCACCAGGCCAGGCTAATTTTTTTTCTTTTTAGTAGAGATGGAGTTTCACCATGTTGGCCAGGCTGGTCTTGAACTCCCTGACCTCAAATGATCTGCCCACCTCAGCCTCCCAAAGTGCTGGGATTACAGGCATCAGCGACTGTGCCTGGCCTGATAGGCATTTAATATATGTCAACTGCTGGACACAGAGGCATGAGATAGAAAATTGGCGTTTATTAACATACACATGGAATATGAAGCAAAAGGTTTGGATGAGTATACTTAGAAAACTGATGTAGGAAGGACAGAGGACTATAGCTTAAGCTACATTTAAAGGACAATGAAAAAGAAGACCATGCAGGAAGCTGAGGATAAAGGCTAGGTGAATCAAAAGAAATCAGAGAGCAGCAGGATGGCTATCAAGGAAGAAGAGTTTCAAGAAGAAAGGGGGTGCTCAACTTTGCAAAAAAACAAAGAATTTCAGTCAGAAAGGAAAGAACGATATTCACTGTATAGTCAACATTAAGTCACTGAAGGACTTAAGAAGAGCATTTGTATTGACCTATGGCTGGTGTTGTGGACTAAACTATTTCCCTTAAAATGTGTATGTTTAAGTCCTAACAGCTAGTACCTCAGAATGTAAACAATTTGGAGATAGAACTTTGGTTAAGCAGGACAAAAATACAGTCACATAGAAGGAATAAGTTTTAATATTTGATAGTACATTAGGAAAATTATAGTTAAGAACAATTTATTGGATATTTCAAAATAACTAGAAGAGAAGATTTGTAGTGTTCCCAAAACAAAGAAAAATGTTTTAGGTGAAGCTGGGCGCAGCGACTCATGCCTGTAATCCCAGCACTTTGGGAGGCTGAGGAAGGTGTATTACCTTAGGTCAGGAGTTCAAGACCAGCCTGGCCAACATGGTGAAACATGTCTCTAACAAAAAAAGTACAAAAATTAGCCGGGCATGGTGGTGTGCACCTGTAGTCCCAGTTACTAGGGAGGCTGAGGCAGGAGAATCACTTGAACCCAGGAGGCAGAGCTTGCAGTGAACTGAGATGGCACCGCTGCACTCCAGCCTGGGCAACAGAGTGAGACTCCATCTCAAAAAAAATAAAAGATGTTTGAAGTGATGATGGATATCGTAGTTACTCTGATTTGATCATTATGCATTGTATACAGGTATGAAAATATCACATCTACCCACAAAATCGCTACAAAACTAAACAAAATGAGTTGTTAGAGTGGAACCTGATCTAATCTGACTGGCGTCTTTATATGAAGAAGGAATTTGGACACACAGAGGGACACCCTGGGTTAGTGAGCAAAAAAGGAAGACCATGTGAGGACACAGCAAGAAGGTGACCGTCTGCAACCAAGGAGAGAGGCCCCAGAAGAAAAAAAGACACTGCTAACACCTTGGTCTCAGTAAGAAAATTAATTTTGGCCAGTTGTGGTGTCTCAGGCCTGTAATCCCAGCACTTTGGGAGGCTGAAGCAGGCGGATCACGAGGGCAGGAGATCGAGACCATCCTGGTCAACGTGGTGAAGCCCTGTCTCTACTAAAAATACAAAAATTAGCTGGGCATGGTGGCACGTGCCTGTAGTCCCAGTTACTCTGGAGGCTGAGGCAGGAGAATCGCTTGAACCCAGGAGGCAGAGGTTCCAGTGAGCCGAGATCGTGCCACAGCACTCCAGCCTGGTGACAGAGCAAGACTCCATCTACAAAAAAAAAAGAAAGAAAAGAAATTTCTCTAGTTGAAGTCACTCAGTCAGTGGCGTTTTGTGATGGCAGCCCCAGCAAATTAATTAACCTGGGAAGGAGGCAATTTTATGAAAAGATGAGGACTAAGTTGGAGCAATGGATGTGGGTCACTCTTATAAGCTTTACAGTTAAAGGCAGCATTTTTTAGAGTAGAGAGAAATTTTTTTTTTTTTTTTTTTTTTAAGATGAAGTCTACCTCTGTCGCACAGGCTGGAGTGCAGTGACGCAATCTTGGCTCTCTGCAACCTTGTGCCTCAGCCTCCTGAGTAGCTGGGATTACAGGCGCTGGTCTCAAATTCCTGACCTCAAGTGATCCGCCCGCCTCAGACTCCCAAAGTGCCGGGATTACAGGCATGAGCCACTGTGCCCTGCCAAGGGTAGAGAGAAATTCGACGTGGAGAAACAGCCTTAGGGTTTGTTGGCTGGTTTCGTTTTGTTTCAGATAGGAGACAAGTGAGCATGTTTATACACTAAACATGTTTATACATATTTTTATACACTAAGCATGTTTATACAAATGTTTATACACTAGTGAAGAAGGACTTTTTAATGCCCTAAAGTTCTAAGAAACCTCAAGAAGAGGCTAATAACTCATGCATTTCTTCATTTTGGACCAAGACACTGGTACCAGCCATATAGACAGCAGTAGGAATCATTCAGGGGATACAAAGGTATGTAAGGTATAGATATTTCACTCAAAGAACTTTCTCTGCAATGGAGAAAACAAACACATAAGCAGTATATTACAGAGCAGTAGAAGGACTGTTAGGTTAAAACATACAGAAACATCTGGAAGAAATGACTACACTGGCCAGATGTGGTCTAAGAATGTTGTTTAGAGTAGGCTATACCTGACCTGAATATTAAAAGACAATATAAATTATTCAGCAAAAATAAATAAGGATAAGGTTAATAAGAAAATGATAAAGTAAGTTTAGTAGCTTTTGCAAAAGCAGGAAGGCAAAAGGATAGCATAGAACAATACTGTTAAGAAGATGTGCTTATTCTTTAGTTAGAATGAATTGCTTCTTTTATTTTCTCACACACTAAATTAGTTTAGTTTGACTGAATTAGTTTAACTAAAGTGTGTGTGGGGGGGATTTAATAACTACACATTTGCAATAATTTTGCAATAACTATTTGCTGCAGTGCAAAACATCACTAATAAGATCTATATTGATTTGGGGTCCAGAGCATTTAGTTACAGGAATATCATAAAGGCTACCAATATGTTAGTTTCCTACTGTACACATTGCAGCAAGTTTAGTGGCTTAATACAAATTTTTCTTATAAGTGTGAAAGTTAGAAGTCTGAAATGGACCTCATTGTTTTAAAAATTGAGGAATCAATAGGACGGTGTTTCTTTCTGGATCTTCTAGGACAGAAATGATTTCCTTGACTTTTCCAGCTTCTTGAGGCTGCCCACATTCCTTGGCTCATAGAGGTCTTCCATCGCCAAAGCCAACAACGGCCTTTCAAGTCTTCCACTTGTTGCATCACTCTGATACTGAATCTTCTGTCTCCCTCCAAATTTAAGAAACTTTCTGATTATATTGGGACTATGTGGGTAATCCCGGATAATTTCTCCATATTAAGGTTGCTAGCATAGTCACAGATTCCAGAGACTGAGAGGTGAACATCTTCGGGAAGCCGTTATTCTGCCCATCAAAGTATGTGCTCTGGTCCTGAAGATTCAAATTCAATCTACATGCAAAATACATCCACCTGTCTCATCATCCCCAAGAGTCTCAGTACCTTACAGAATCAACTCGAAGTTCCAAACATCTTTTACTTCTTATCAACTCTACTATATGGAGAAGATTTTTGGAAGTAAAGGATGTGTGAAATTATTTGTATATTTTAATTATTTAATTGCATGTATTTGATAACAATTTAAATGACAACAATTTTGGTCAATGTAAAAGAAATGTTTAGTTTAAGTCTCAAAACTGATGTTACGAACATTGTTATGTTCATAAATGAGGGTAACAGACTAAAAATAGCGAGTACACTCTATTAGTATCTCCTGTGGACATTAGTATCTCATGTGGATCAATTGGGAAATCATTATTCCTACAATAAATTTTCAGAAATAAATCTGAAAATAAATCATGAGTTGTATCACATCATCAGTGTGCACATTTATGGAAATGTAATAGAATGGCCATAGAATATAGGTTATGCTTATAGAATTCTACTCCAGGAACTGGAAAATTTACAGCTGCCTAAACTTATCACTGAACTCAAGAAATAACCCCTTCAGATATTTTCCATGAAGCTTTACTCAGAGTTTACCACAGGGCTTAAAAGACTACTGAAACTACACTTGGAGGCCTTAATATTTTTGAAAGAAGGAACATTTTATAACCAGAAAATTAAAAATAATATTATTAAATTTGTGATCAATCTATAGACATTTACTTATGGCAGAAGGGTTGCTTGGGAAAATGATTTATCTTCCATCATCGCATATTAATAAGAAACCAGAAAATAGCTTCCTTCTGCCAATCTTGACTGCTAATGATAATTACAATAATTTGTCTGGTCCCAGTTGTGGGAGGAACGCCATGATTTCTTGTAACTCTCTGTGCAATGTCATCAGCTCTCTTAAAAACCCTGAAACTTGTGTGCTATTTCACTTTTCACATTCTTTTCCTTACCCAAAATTACTATAGCAGAGCTAGGTTTCGACCTCCAGTTTTTCTAATTCAAAATCCTATACATTTTTTTTCACTTGTCTCAACTTGAAAAAAACAGCAATGGTAGATGTTTTCCAGGGAAACTGGCATTTGTAGATATTGCAGCCAATTTGTGTGTGTGTGTGTGATGTTACATGTCCATTCACAAGTGGACACAGTTCATGTTTTCACTCAGATGCCCATCTTTAACTCTTTATCCAACTTCAATTGCCTTGCCTGTCTCTTTACATTTTAATTGATCAGTAAATACAACCAATTCTGATTTTGAAAATTGCCTCAGCCTTTTCAGGTCTTCATTTCCTCTGTTATAGAGGAATATCATAGAGGTAAAGTGCTAGTTTCCTAACAACATATTAAAGCTACATACAGTCAACATGACTTGTTGATATTGACCTTGGTCACCTAGTTAAGGTGGTGTTAGGTTTTTCCACTGTAAATTTACTATTTTTCAACTCTTTCCATATTGCACCCTTTGGAAGAAAGTCACTATTAACAGCTCATACTGAAGAAGTGAGTTGTTTTGATTATTTGGTATTCTTCTACAAGGCAGATTTGTTTCTTCTCTACTACCTATTCAATTGTGTATTGATATCTGTATGGACTCAGACATTGATTTTATAATTTGGACCATAATCCAATGCTACTTTGTTTGCTTTGTTGCCCAAATTGTTCTAGCTATGGACACTTGGAGCTTTTTCAGTTTGTTCCTCGGACCCTTTGACATGCCCCCATCATTGTGGGTTTTCTTTTCTTCCTTTTTTTTTTAGGACTTTCTGGCATTATAAGATATAGCCCTAGATTCAACTTGCATATTTCATCTATTTTTAAGTTATTAAATAGCATTTACTTTGTGATCCCATTTGGGGAAATACATGGAATTCAGATGCATGTATTATAATATGGAATAATATCAAACATTAATAGTGGTTATGCTATCTCCGGGTAATCGTACTATTAGTGATTTAGTTTTTCTCTTTATGAATCTTTATTTTTATTATGACATATTACTTGTGTTAGAAATCAATAATATTGGATGATCAGAAAGGAAATAAAAATATTCTGAAGGCAATAATAACTTATTTATAAATCAGTGAAGCCTGTGTCTCTAGACTGACAGGACATGAGGCAATTTTAGAGTGGCAGGTGCCCTCTACTGGTCAGCTGCTCAAACCCTCTATAGACTAAGAGCTGCATCCTTAAAAACAAAAGCCCACCATTTTCTTAGCACTGATATCTCAGGAGGTAAAAAAGTACTTGGGCTTTTGCTAGAGATTACATAGCTACATATCTGAGGGGTCACTACGTGAACTTAAAAATTGACTCCTATAAATGTGAAGTCTGTACTGTGGATTGTGAATTAGAAATGGATATGTGTGAGAACAGGCCTAGAAAAATATCACACATGCTGACTTGCCAATGTTGGACCTCTTGAGTCTAATCTACAAAAAAATCTCCTTGGATGAGAATATTTTGTTCATGACCTCTCTGCTGAGAATGTGACCATGTCTGCTACAGAGCTTAAATAAATAATGCTGAGACTATTCATTACAAAGCTCCCAAGGAGAAAAAAAAAGCAATTTATTTTATGTACTACCTTAATTAAGTTTAAACTGCCTAGTGTGAATTTTTGATGAAGAACAAAGATATAATAAGTGATTTTGCCTAGGGAAGCTCATGTGCTGAGTCAATACTTATTGAGCACAGTTCTCTTTTATATTAGATGCTGCTCTAAGAAGCTGCGTGCAATACAGCATCAGATGTTGCAGAGCTCTGCATATGGGGGGCTTGCACTTGTGAGCAGAAACAAACAATAGGCAATAAACTTGATAAATGAGTAAATGACTTGATTGGTAGCAGGCATAAAGAAAACCACAGTGTATTAAGGGCCACTGGGAGGAGTAGGGGTGGAGATGCAGCCAGCTTGCTGTACTAAGAGAAGAGACAGAGTAGGCCTCTTTAAGAAGGTGATGTTTGAGCAAACTAGCAATACATAAACAAATAAACCTTAAAATTCTTTTTTTTAAATTCTGAGAGTCATCTTTTATATAACAAACTGTAGTTATTTCTAATTCCTCCTAGGATAAAATGAAAAAAATTTAAGGAGGCCTCCAGGGCTTTGTAGATTCCAGCCTCAGCTTGGTTCTCCAGCCCATTTTTAACTAGCCCCTCTTTTTGTTTACTCTGTTTCAAGCATATTGATTTTTGTTTGTTTGTTTTACTTATTTTCTTTAATGACCAAAGCCATTCCCAACTCTGAATCTAAACACCTTTTTCCTCTGCCGGGATTCTGCCCTTGCCACCATTCCTACCCTTTAACTCTCAATTGAAATACCATTACCTCAATAAAACCTTTTCCGGGTCACACCAACCATCTCAAACTAACAACTCCCTGAATTTCACCTTCCAATGTTACCATGGTTATATTTAAATTCCTACGTAGTGAATTTTGTCTTCTCCCAGCCTCTAGCCACACTCTACTCCTGGACCGGAAGCATTTTGAGATCAGGGGCTTCATCTTGACTGTCTTCCCAGCACTTCGTATGGTAGCTCATAGTAGTCGCTTAATGGATATTTGTTGAACAAATGAGTCAAACTTTTTGTTTAGTTCCCTGCTGCCCCATATGGATAACCTTGATTATCTGAACATTTAGGGGAAATCTCATGGAGGCACCCTTTTATAGTACAGAATTTCCCTCATGCCTTCTTTGCTACGAGGTAAATTTAAATCATGGGTGCAAGGAGTCAGACATGACAGAGGCAGAGATTCTTGATTCAACAAGTATGTATGTCTATTTTCTCTTAGAAGCTCAAACTTTTGTATGTTCCACACTTTATATCACGCACAATGATGGAATTATGGGAAAGTGAAACATCGTAGTTTTGATTATAGTGGTGATTAATTTGGCACCGGTCTCAAAGCCGAAAAGAGAAAGGGGGAGAAGAATGGGGAGAGTCCCTGAACAGCTGATCTATGCTGCCAAAAGACGCAGCTTCTCAAATTACTTGGAGGAGCCAGAGATCCCTTAAATAAAAGGAGAGGTGTCTAGGTTTGTGCATTTAAAGAGACATATTCCTTTAAAGCAAATTTTTCAGCGCTGACTACACATTAGAATCACTAGGAAAGATTTTATGAATACAGGATATACAAGTCATACCCTAGGTCAATTATATCAGAATCCCTAGGGCCAAGACCTAGGTATTGATGGTTTTTAAAAATTTCTCAGGTGTTTCTAATATACAACCAAGGTTGAGGATTACTGATTTAGATAAAAGCAATTTACTCTGTTAATATGCAAATATCTCTAGATGAGGATATATATATATATATGTAAACAGTTTAAATATAATACACGTAATACTTATAAATAAATTAAATAGAAATTAAATAAAATGAAATATCAGATTCTTTCTAGTTTACCTGGTCAGTAAGAAAATGTTTTTGATGAGGCTAGACAGGGCGCTAGTGGGGGAGAGAAAGTTCTGGAGCACTCTTTCTCAATTGGGTAGTGAATGGCTGGGAAGGATTAGGAAAAGTTCTAGGATATTAGTAATCTAAAAGAAAACAGGGCAGAGTATGGAGGGGATGTGGACAGAAAAACCTGAAGTTAGAGATGACCATGTATATTTCAACATTCCACAAGTATATCTAGGTACGTACTGAATCCCAAAGAGAATGGGGCTCTCAAAGTCCACGGGCTGGAGAAAAAAATTTTTGTCCCCAAAGGGTCTGAGAGAGAGCAGGGAGTAAAATTGTATAAAAATCTGTTTGGGAGAAGAAGTCATTGGGGCCATGATCATAAAGCTAGAAACAAAGACCTTCAATTTATGTAATAATTAACAGCAGTGACACTGTGCCTGTAAAGTAAATAGAATTGGATGCAACACACACACAAGATGGTGAAGCTTGTTTTGAGAAATCTATGCCTCACTGAATTTTATATTCTTGAAAGACATTTTCATCAGTTTAGATACTTGACTTCATCAACTGATTGACTTTCACTTAAATGTTACTCTTAATGCAGACTCTAACCAAAAATTATGACCATGTGGACTTAATTAAGTCTAAAGTGTTTAAAAATTATTTCAGACTCGAATCATCTACTATATTGTTCATACCAGTAATTATGATTAGGCAGGAAATTTAAGAAGACTATTGGAATATGAGAAGCAAGGAAGGTAACGTCTCCCTTATATAAAATAAATAAACTTGGATTTGAGATTCCCTAACTGTGGACATAGCTAGTCATTTTGATAGAACAAGTTCCAGTTCTGCCACACTGGCATTCTTGGTAAGTACCACATATATAGCTTTTAATTTTGAACAAATACTCTGGTAGATAACAGTTGCTTCTCATGCCAGTTCAATTGAATTAGACCCAACTTGGCTTCATAGGTGCAACTGAGGATTAAGGATGGCAAGATCTCTCTGACATCCTCTGTTATTTAATGTTGCCTAAGAAAGGAACATGGGGCCAGGTGTGGTGGCTCACACCTGTAATCCTAGCACTTTGGGAGGCTGAGGCAGGCAGATTGCCTGAGCTCCAGAGTTCGAGACCAGCCTGGCCAACATGACGAAACCTCGTCTCTACTAAAAATACAAAAAATTAGCTGGGCATGGTGGCAGGCGCCTGTAATCCCAGCTACTCAGGAGGCTGAGTCAGGAGCATAGCTTGAACCCGGGAGGCGGAGGTTGCAGTGAGATGGTGCGGCTGACCTCCAGCCTGGGCAGCAGAGAAAGACTCTGTCAAAAAAGAAAAAAAAGAAAGGTACATGGCAAGCCTACATACCAGGTGTATTTTCCAATAGTATTTCTAACTTGAGGCAGCTGAGCTCACATTGCACATAACAAAATTATGAAAATGACAAAATGGAAGCTGAACTCAGAGACATCAGGAAACAGATACTTAAATATTATCAGACCTTACTCTCCATCCCATATCTGCCTCTCACTTGCTATCAACTTGACCATTTTCACCTGTGGCTTCAGAGGATAATGATAATATTTACTTAATTTAATGTCTCCTATTACAATTGGGTCAGATGTTTTATGCACTTAAAAACTTACTGGCATCCATTTCATGCAATAAATTTAACACCAGATTGCCACTCAAAAGAAAGTATCAATTAAGCTGGAATATGTCAGCATTGGCAATACACAGATCAAACAAAAACACAAAATAATTTGGCTTACACTCTCTGCCTGTTAAAGTAACCAATGAAACTATTTTCCTGGGGAAGCTTTTCAAAGTATTTAGCCTGTCACAAACTGGCCCTTTGAAACTGTATTCCCAAAGACAAGTTGTAGAACCCAGACGGTCATTGAGAATTGTTGAGCCTGGAGGGTGAGAATTTGTGTCCACCACAGTCGAGAATCAGAAAGGAGGATAAGATGAGGAGAGAGAAGAAAACAATAGGTAAAGTCTGTGTAGTATGGAGGTGTGTTTCCAGAGGATATTGAAGAGCAAAGGAAACACAGGGATGGATGCTGGAGGCCACTACTATGGACTGAATGTGTCTCCCCAAAATTCATATGTCGAAATCCTAATGTACAATGTAATAGTAATTTGAGATGGGCCTTTGGGAGGAATTTGATCATGAGAGGAGATTCCTTATGATGAGATAAGTGCCCTTATTTTTTTAAAAAGGACAGAAAACAGCTTGCTTCTTCTTCTCTGCCTCTCTCTCTCTGTTTCTCTCTCTCTCTCTGTTTCTCTCTCTCTGTTTCTCTCTCTCTCTCTGTTTCTCTCTCTCTCTCTGTTTCTCTCTCTCTCTCACTCTCTCTCATTCTCTCTCTGTCCCACATGAGAAGACAGTGGGAAGATAGCCACCTATGGAGTGGAGGAGTACCCTCACCAAAACTGATCTCAGATGAGACTGGAACCCTGATCTCAAACTGCCATCATCCAGAGCTATGAGAAATGTTTGCTGTCGAAGTCACCTCGTCTAGGGTAATGTGTTATAACAACCCAAGCTGATGAAGAAAGCCACTGTCTGATTAGATGGGTCTCTCCTAAGGAATTGGTTTCTTGTTAGGTAATGTACCCTGGTATCAAGATTTGGAAAACAGTGTAAATATTAATTCAAAGTAATTATTTGAGCTGTGCTGGTAACTAGACCTACTAGAGTAATTCTGGCTCAAATAGTTCTTGTGATATGCCCTGCTTATTCTTATAAGGATTGAGAAGTTGACTAAAATTTGTCCATTATTTATTACCAGTGAACTCTGGTATTTCCTGAGGGTATTTTCTCAAACCTACTCGTTCCTTCCAGGCCTCTGCCACTTGCTCAATGTAGTATCCCAGCTCTCTGTCACTTTCCATGCCTCACCTCATGACGCTGCTTGCTAGTTCAGCCTCCCTCCTGGCATGGGCCAGACAGCAGCATATTCTCCTTACCTGCTGTCATGAAAGCTGTAATAACTGCAATGCCCAGTGCAAAGCTACCTAAACCCAGGAAGAATCTGGCCTCCCCACTTACTTTCAAGGTGGGACTAGGTAACACAGTCCAGAAATGTTGAGGATTTCAGACCATTAGGGTATATTCGGCCACTGAGAGTCAGGAGAAATTGAGGAGCCAACAAATTATGTCTTCACATTTACTCACTCTCTCCCCCACAGGATCACTGTGGAGAAGGTGTTTTCATTGGCCTCTGCACAGGCACCCTGCATCACTCATTAGTCAGTCGAGCTTCCTGGGGCCAGCTCAGTAGCATGCCAACTTGTATGTGATTTTCTTCCCCTCAACCTTAATGACCTGGTACTGCACCCATTCCTAAAGTATTAGCACACAAGCTTTCCTTTAGGCTCTGTTGGTTAGGGGCTCTTTGACTCATTACCCCTTCTACCCCAGCTCACATACACTGTTGCCCTGCCAAATAACATGTTTATTTCAGTGATGTCAGCAGGAACAGACATTCATGTCCAACTGTGTTGATTCCTTCTTTTAGTCTATCTTGGAAGTAGCGAAGAATTTCTGCTCTGGGGCCTCTCTTTCAACTGAGGACACACATCAAGACACAGCTGTTGCACCAGAAGCTGTAATTCTGCAGGCCTGCCAACTGGCACATTCCATCATATAACAAGAATTCTTGGGATGTGGAATCCAAAACACTGGCCAGAGACATAGCTTAATATCACTACAGTGGTGTGGGATGGAGTAAATATTAGTACTTGTTTTATTTTTTCTGGTAAGTAGAAAATTGGAAATGGTACCCTCTTATAGTTTCTTGCCAAAGATGGATGTTGGCTTTCCACAAAAGTGTAGAGCTACACAAGCCTTAGGATTCTGTTAAATTAATTCTAAATATCTGAGAAGAAAATTACTAATAATGTGTCATGAATTAGTGACTCCCAAGAATTGAAGTCCACAAGAACCTCAGAATGTGATTCTATTTGGGAAAATGATCTTTTCAGATGCAAGTAATTAAGATCTTCAGATGAAATCATAATTCTGAACTTAGTATGGGTTCTAACTACAAAGACTGATGCCTTTATAAGAAGAGGAAAAAACACAGAGACATAGAGGTGAAGGTCACCTGAAGATAAAGACAGAAATTGAAGTTATGCTCCCACGAGCCAAGGAAGGTTAGGGGCCCCCAGAGGTACAAGAAGAAAGGAAGTATTCTCTCCTTCCTTTGGAAAGAGTGTGGCCCTGGCTATATTTTGATTTTGGACTTCTAACCCCTAGAACTGTGAGAAAATACATTTCTGTTTGTTTTTAAATCAGTTTGTTGTATTAGGTTGGTGCAAAAGTAATTGTATTTTTTACCATTACTTTTAATGGCAACAATCGTTAATTACTTTCACACCAACCTAATACATTGTTAAGGCAGACCAAAGTATTAGAGAGACCCCAAAATCAGCAGCAGAAAATGTCAGCGGTCTAAGAGAATGAAGTGAGGAGTGAGAACATACACACGGAATAGGCACGAATGGCAAAAATCTTGATGCTAAGTCGTGTTTTTGGATGTTGCATTACAAATACAATGAGCCCTTATCAATTAAATGATGGGCTTTCTGGTACTATTGAATGACATCAGTTTCTTTTACTTGGGTATATTAACTTCCTTAACTCTACATGAAAAAGTCTTTGCATATCTAGAATATTTCATCAGGGAGTCAAATTGTCTCCTGGATATAAACATCAACAAACCAAAACAAGCTTACACAAGTGGAAAGCTTGACATTGTTGAAGAATGAGTGACAGAACCTCAAATGTTTGAATAATGTTTCATTCACAGCTGTTGTGGCTTCTATCTAGTTGGCAAAACATGTAAGTCTAGCCATGAGCTACCTACCCCAGTCTGAGAAAATTATTTTAACATCTAATGGCCCTTGTCATGTAACTCCTCAAGGTTATACATTTTTCCATTGATTTTACCATGGAACCTAGAGTTATCAAGAAGTTAAGAAGGGAAATAGATATAAATCCACTTATCTTTAATTAAAATTTTTCCTAAAAATTTTTGATATAGGCTTTTTGTAACAAACTGCCTTTAAGTAGGTTTTTCACAACAAAAGTCTACTCATATTCATTATAATGTTTATTATGAGCTCTATGTTATTGCCTTAATGACAGTTTCTTGATAACGGAGAATTTTCAAATTAGGTAATTTTCAGAATTAGTTGTGTCACTTTTATATGGAAGCACACTTGTTTGTAAATAGTTACCTTCACTCAATTAAAAGGACCATTTGAGTTCATTTCAAACTAACTGAAATGATGATATATTTAGCAGGAGTTTATTGATCAAATGCATGGACATTACAGTTCTTACTTGACTTTAATGGCAAATTTCAACTTTTGCAGAATGGGGTTACTTTGCTTTGGTAAACTTTTCTGATCAGAGAACATTGGTTTGAATCTCATGGTATTTTTCAGCAGTTAGGCTATGCCCACCTCTGGGAAAATGTACCAGTTTTTTTCATACAGCTCATTAAAAATATAAATTTAAAAAGCATGTGTGTTTGGGTACTTTCCAGGGATTGAGTATAAATGCATAGTTTTCTAACAATTGAAATAAATAAACAAGGGACAATAGACACAGGAGTACTAACCAAGCCGCTCCTTAGTAGTGTGACAATATTTCTCTTTTCCTCTTTCTTAGTCTCCAAGTAATTCTAACACATTATCTTTCTAACGCTCACTCCTAGAGTCATGGGACTTCTCCAGTCATGGGTCATTATTTCAAAGATGAGATAATTCTTCAGGAATGACTTCCAAAGTGGTTTTGCCTCAATGAGTACTCTGTTGAATCATTAACATAAGGCTAAGCATTTTAAATTTTATGTCTCATGAATTCCACAATGAGAAAGTAAAGGAGAAATTACTTATTGTCAAAAGGAATGAGATTTTGACTATAATAATTATCTTCTCAAGACAAGAGAATAGAATATAAAATTTACATTTTAATAAAAGAAGACAGATACAGAATATAAAGAAATGTTTTATAAATAAGATTTTAGTAAGAATTTATATTTTAATTATATTTTAAGAGAAAAGTAAGATTAAATAACTGGTGATTGTAAATCTGTCTCTTAAATCAGTGTTCCTCAATTATTTTATCTAAAAATGGATATCAAACTTATATTAACAACTTAATTTTACATCCAATAGGGAAACATACAATTTAAACTTTTTTACAGTAATTTTAAAGATAAATATATAAACGGGCTTTGGCACTAATTATTTAAATGAAATAGCTGTTCTCTGAATCTAACTGCATTGAACATTTTCAAAGCCACAGTATATATTTTAATTTACTGCATGTAAAATTCACCCAGTCAAAAAATAAAATCCTCAGTTCTCTTACTCAGGCAGCTCATGCTATAGGAGAGTCACAGAAGTTAAAATAAGTATAACGGTTTCACAAAAGATGTAGGGTATAGAATAAAAGAAAAGCCTTACAGATGGGAACTGAAATATGAAAAGGAGTTTCTAGGTGGAAAAGGAAATAAATGAAGGTCAAAACAAAAGAATAAAATATGCAAAGGCCTGGAATCATAAAACAGTATAGATCATTCTGGAAAGGCAAGAAAGAGAGAGGTGGAGACAGCGATAGAATAGAGACAGAGATGGAGATGAAGATGGAGATGGGAGTAGAGGTGGAGGTAGAAGGAGAGGGAGTGGTAGAGCTAGAGATAGAGATATAAATGGAAATGAAGATGGGGTAGATAGAGGAAGAGGTAGAGGTAGGGATAGAGATGGAGATGGAGACAGAGATAGAAATAGAGAAATAGGTAGAGACAGAGTTAGATAGAGGAAAAGTAGAGGTAGATTGAGAAAGAGGTAGAGGTAGAGAAAGAAATAGCATTAGCAATAGAGATGGAGATAGAAACAGACATGCAGATGGAGAGAGAGATAGAGGTAGAGGTTGAGGTACAGGTAGAGGTAGAAAAAGGAAGAGGAACAGATAGAGATAGAGACGACAGAGATTGAGGTAGAGGTAGAGACAAGTAGAGGTAGAGTAGAGACAGATAGAGGTAGAGGTAGGGATAGGGATAGGGATAGAGATGGAGATAGACGTAGAGACTGAAGTAGAATAGAGATAGGTAGAGGTAGAGTAGGGGCAGAGGAAGAGGTAGAGGTAGGGATAGAGATAGAGATAAGAGATAAAAATATATAGAGATAGAGATAGAAGTCGAGATTGAGGTAGAGGTAGACAGAAATAGAGACAGAGTTAGAGATAAAGGTAAGGATAGACAGTAAGAGAAAAAAAGAGACAACACAGAGACAGAGAGAATTTCCATGTGTGTGCTCACATGAGTGCATGCACACATGTGCGCAAGTGTATGTGTGTGTCTATGTGTGTTTGATGGTCTTTTTTCCACATATTAGGGAGTTGAACATTAAGATGCAAGACACTGGGAGTTAGAGGCAAGAGACTCTAAAAGGAAACTCCTATCACAATGCTATCAATTTTAGGAAGGTAATATTGGCAATAGAATTTTCTGTAGAAGGTGGATTCCCCTCCTCCTTTGGATATATGTTTATTAGATTCAACGAATTCCATAACAAGAAGTAGAGAATATTACTCCTCAGAGATTGGTGTGAAATTCAAACTCCCAAGGTATTACAGATGCAATGTTACTGGATAGAGCTATGGTGACCATAAAATTTATCATCCATACTGGATACTTATGAGAGCAATTTGGCACTCCAACAATAATTAAAACTAGTTGATTTTTGAAACTTTTTGACAAGGAAATTGATGTTTATATTAGTGGGCATATAAAATAATTTTCTATTATAAACAATTTTCAAACAGAAATATTTCCAAAAAACATACACACACATTAAAGCAAAATTAAAAAAAATATAAACACAATAATTTTCTTTGGTACATAGTCACATTCTTAACTATACCTGATCTAGATATAACTGTCTCCAAATACCAAGTCACTGGAATTTTTTTTTCCAATTTTCAGTTATGCTTTTGAGATTATACGGTATTGTCCAGAATTGTTGTCACAGTTGAATTTAATGATTTAAAATAACATTTTACCTGTAAGACACTAACATTTTTTAACTGAGAAAACACTCTGTCTAGAAAAACTCAGTAATATGAGAATTTTCTCAAGTATAGTGTTCACTTCATATTGAAATGTCTTAATATTTCAGCCTAAATATTTTAATATTTAGTAGTTTTCCTGCCTTTAAATGTTTTTCAACAAATATTTTGAAAAACAAAACTCATCATTATAAATCATCTTTATTTATGTTCTTTTTATTAAATGCTGAAAAATGATAGGGTTTTTATTTCACTCATTAGCTTTTTCACAAATATTTTGTTGTTCAGTTATACTCAGCATGTATACAATATTAGTCGATTTTGGATAAAATGTAAAAATGTTGACCATGCCAAAAAGAAATAAGTCAAACTTCAGTTTTTAATTGTTGTAATATCAGAACTTAATAGGTATGCATACCATATGCAAACCATAACCAAATTCAAATGAAGTCCATTTCTATTCCATGTCTTTATTCAATGCTGAGAAATGTGAGCAATTTTCAATTTCAATCTATGATAGTACAGAATATAAACATATTTGATGAAAACTAAGAGCCCCACCAGAAGTTCTTCTCAATAAAATCCTCAATAAAATACTGGCAAAACGAATCCAGCAGCACATCAAAAAGCTTATCCACCATGATCAAGTGGGCTTCATCCCTGGGATGCAAGGCTGGTTCAATATACGCAAATCAATAAATGTAATCCAGCATATAAACAGAGCCAAAGACAAAAACCACATGATTACCTCAATAGATGCAGAAAAAGCCTTTGACAAAATTCAACAACCCTTCATGCTAAAAACTCTCAATAAATTAGGTATTGATGGGACGTATTTCAAAATAATAAGAGCTATCTATGACAAACCCACAGCCAATATCATACTGAATGGGCAAAAACTGGAAGCATTCCCTTTGAAAACTGGCACAAGACAGGGATGCCCTCTCTCACCACTCCTATTCAACATAGTGTTGGAAGTTCTGGCCAGGACAATTAGGCAGGAGAAGGAAATAAAGTGTATTCAATTAGGAAAAGAGGAAGTCAAATTGTCCCTGTTTGCAGACGACATGATTGTATATCTAGAAAACCCCATCGTCTCAGCCCAAAATCTCCTTAAGCTGATAAGCAACTTCAGCAAAGTCTCAGGATACAAAATCAATGTACAAAAATCACAAGCATTCTTATACACCAACAACAGACAAACAGAGAGCCAAATCGAGTGAACTCCCATTCACAATTGCTTCAAAGAGAATAAAATACCTAGGAATCCAACTTACAAGGGATGTGAAGGACCTCTTCAAGGAGAACTACAAACCACTGCTCAAGGAAATAAAAGAGGATACAAACAAATGGAAGAACATTCCATGCTCATGGGTAGGAAGAATCAATATCATGAAAATGGCCATACTGCCCAAGGTAATTTATAGATTCAATGGCATTCCCATCAAGCTACCAAAGACTTTCTTCACAGAATTGGAAAAAACTACTTTAAAGTTCATATGGAACCAAAAAAGAGCCCGCATCACCAAGTCAATCCTAAGCCAAAAGAACAAAGCTGGAGGCATCACACTACCTGACTTCAAACTATACTACAAGGCTACAGTAACCAAAACAGCATGGTACTGGTACCAAAACAGAGATATAGATCAATGGAACAGAACAGAGCCCTCAGAGATAATGCCACGTATCTACAACTATCTGATCTTTGACAAACCTGAGAAAAACAAGCAATGGGGAAAGGATTCCCTATTTAATAAATGGTGCTGGGAAAACTGGCTAGCCATATGTAGAAAGCTGAAACTGGATCCCTTCCTTACACCTTATACAAAAATCAATTCAAGATGGATTAAAGATTTAAACGTTAGACCTAAAACCATAAAAACCCTAGAAGAAAACCTAGGCATTACCATTCAGGACATAGGCATGGGCAAGGACTTCATGTCCAAAACACCAAAAGCAATGGCAACAAAAGACAAAATTGACAAATGGGATCTAATTAAACTAAAGAGCTTCTGCACAGCAAAAGAAACTACCATCAGAGTGAACAGGCAACCTACAAAATGGGAGAAAATTTTCGCAACCTACTCATCTGACAAAGGGCTAATATTCAGAATCTACAATGAACTCAAACAAATTTACAAGAAAAAAACAAACAACCCCATCAAAAAGTGGGCAAAGGACATGAACAAACACTTCTCAAAAGAAGACATTTATGCAGCCAAAAGACACATGAAAAAATGCTCATCATCACTGGCCATCAGAGAAATGCAAATCAAAACCACAATGAGATACCATCTCACACCAGTTAGAATGGCAATCATTAAAAAGTCAGGAAACAACAGGTGCTGGAGAGGATGTGGAGAAATAGGAACACTTTTACATTGTTGGTGGGACTGTAAACTAGTTCAACCATTGTGGAAGTCAGTGTGGCGATTCCTCAGGGATCTAGAACTAGAAATACCATTTGACCCAGCCATCCCATTACTGGGTATATACCCAAATGACTATAAATCATGCTGCTATAAAGACACATGCACACGTATGTTTATTGCGGCATTATTCACAATAGCAAAGACTTGGAACCAACCCAAATGTCCAACAATGATAGACTGCATTAAGAAAATGTGGCACATACACACCATGGAATACTATGCAGCCATAAAAAATGATGAGTTCCTGTCCTTTGTAGGGACATGGATGAAATTGGAAATCATCATTCTCAGTAAACTATCGCAAGAACAAAAAAATCAAACACTGCATATTCTCACTCATAGGTGGGAATTGAACAATGAGATCACATGGACACAGGAAGGGGAATATCACACTCTGGTGACTGTTGTGGGGTGGGGGGAGGGGGGAGGGATAGCATTGGGAGATATACCTAATGCTAGATGACGAGTTAGTGGGTGCAGCGCACCAGCATGGCACATGTATACATATGTAACTAACCTGCACAATGTGCACATGTACCCTAAAACTGAAAGTATAATAATAAAAAAAAAAGAAACACACCTGCAACTACATGTGTTAAATTTCCATCTTGAATATAAACTTACTAACATTAACATACAAGTAACTTTTGCAGTAGTTGCTGATGCTTCTTCCTCAGAGTTGCATCTTTTGATTTTCACATAGCCAGTGAAACTACTGTGGCTCACAGAGTAGACGTGACTGTTACAGCATTTATGAAAAATCAATTTGTATCATAAACTTTTTTTTTTTTTGAGACAGGGTCTCACTTTGTTATCCAGTCTGGAGTGCAGTGGTATGATCTCGACTTCCAGGGCACAAGTGATTCTCTCGCATCAGCATCCTGAGTAGCTGGGACTACAGGCACATGCCACCATGCCCAGCTTATTTTTGCATTTTTTGTAGAGATGAGGTTTCACCATGTTACCCAGGCTGGTCTTCAACTCCTGAGCTCAAGTGATCCACCCACCTCTGCCTTCCAAAGTGACAGGATTACAGGTGTGCACCACCACTCTCGGCTATCATCAACTTTCTTGAGAAATAAAAATTCAGCCTTTAACATTTTATTATATATGCCCTTCATTGCTTACAACTTTGCTGCTTTAAGGGTTTACCGCAAAACTAAAAACCAGACAATGTCATTAATGAACAATACCATATACTCTCCCTAGCACTTTCCATGAGGCGACCCAAAGTGGTAACAATTAACAGTTGCTGTGTATGAAACGGCCTCGCTCAGGAGGAAACACGGCCCCTCAGATGAACTGGTAAGTCAAAACTGTGAAAGGTCTCAATTTCAGATTTGACCATAATTACAAGACTGGCATACCACAATTTCACATGTGTATACTGAGAAAAGGCATCAGATCCCTGGATCAGAGACACAGGTGTTTTTTTGGTAACAATAGAAGCCACAGCTGGCTTCTCTTCATCACTTCCAAAACCCCCACAGAGTGACACAAATTGCAGCTATATGTTCACCCGTGCATGCAGGAGGTCATATCACAGAATTAGAACCCCAAAATTAAGAGAATCTGATTTTTCATCAGAGTTTCTGGTGACCAATCTCTTCCTTAGAGACAGATTACGCATGTTAAACCAAGTTTAGACTAAAACTGCCTCCTTACATATTTTAAGTTTGAACGAAAGGTTTTTGTGTACGTAGTGAACAATAACAAGTGGAGCTGTGGTAAACAGACCGTAGCCTACACTTGTGCCAATCACTGAGTTTTGGCCAGTCAAATGTAGCCAACTGTTCAAAGCCTGTTCAAATAAGGCAAACACCAACCTGTAACCAATTCAGCTGTTTCTGTACCTCATTTCCGATTTCTGCACGTCGCTTTCCTTTTTCTGTCCCTAAGTCTTTTTCCACCACGTGGCTGCGCTGAAGTCTTTGAGCCTAGGCTGGCTCAGAAGGCTGTCGGATTGGCAAACCGTTCTTTGCTCAATTAAACTCCTTTAAAGTTAATTTGGCAGAAATTTTTATTTTATCAGGTAGTGTCAAGTTAGGCAGAGGGCAAAATTGCACAAGAGAAAAGGGTGAATGGCACTAGGTACATCTCTTTAAGGTTGTAGGTATGGGTGCTACTGAGGTAACTATGGAAGTAGGAGGAACAGAAAATGGAACAAGATTTTAGTTTACAACATCTGTTTCACCTTGGAATATAAAGAAAAGTCATCCCCTAAGATGTGATGGCTGTGAAAATATAGCTGAGACCTAAAATAAACTGGCAAAAATTTGACACGGTGGTTAAAGGTGTTATCTCAGAATAGTGAACTTCTCTATTGCAATCACTCTATTGTTGTTGTAAGGCAAACATTCCTTTTATCCTCTTTGAGCCATATTCTTTCAAAGGAATAAGTGTTATACATGCAACTATAATTAACCAAAATGAACCCGCTGTTATTCCTTGGAGAATTCTGTCCTATATATTCCACATATTGATTTTTTCTGTGTATAATTTGGGCCTTTAATTACTTCATCAAAATTACCTATTGGAGTACTTAAATTATTAAAGAAACAAAAATATCCACTGGATAAATTACCTCTACTTTAATGGAAACATATATAGAGTTCTAGAAACATCTTTAGGTCCTACAAAAATTTTATTTTACTTTATTTATTTTATTTTATTTTGTTTTATTGTTTTAGAAACAAGGTCTTGCTCTGTAGCACAGGCTGGAGTGCAGGGCCATGATCATAGCATGGCATTAGCCACAGTGGCTGACAAATACTTTTAATGAAATGAAACTATATTTCTGACATGAATCACACAGTGGTTATCTGATATTATTATAAGTTTACCACATCCATTAGATGAAATATGACCCATTCATTCTTTGGCTAAATGCACCATTCTTTGTCTATAGAGAAAATGTCATATCTGAAAGTTTCACGTCCTAGTTTACACCACTTGACTTTTTTTTTCCTTTCCAACTTTTATTTCTTTTTCTTGCCTTATTGTGCTTGTCTTGTTCGATTTTCTTTCTTTTTTTTTTATTATACTTTAAGTTCTAGGGTACATGTGCACATTGTGCAGGTTAGTTTACATGTGGATCCCTTCCTTACACCTTATACAAAAATCAATTCAAGATGGATTAAAGACTTAAACGTTAGAGCTAAAACCATAAAAACCCTAGAAGAAAACCTAGGCATTACCATTCAGGACATAGGCATGGGCAAGGACTTCATGTCTAAAACACCAAAAGCAATGGCAACAAAAGCCAAAATTGACAAATGGGATCTAATTAAACTAAAGAGCTTCTGCACAGCAAAAGAAACTACCATCAGAATGAACAGGCAACCTACAAAATGGGAGAAAATTTTCACAACCTACTCATCTGACAAAGGGCTAATATCCAGAATCTACAATGAACTCAAACAAATTTACAAGAAAAAAACAAACAACCCCATCAAAAAGTGGGCGAAGGACATGAACAGACACTTCTCAAAAGAAGACATTTATTCAGCCAAAAAACACATGAAAAAATGCTCATCATCACTGGCCATCAGAGAAATGCAAATCAAAACCACCACTTGACTTATAAATGACATTTTACTTAGTCGTGTTTATTGTGAGTCATCTATATCAAAGAACTATTGTTATAAGGTGTTTTACACATTCCTATCGCACGTAAAAAGAAGAAGTGGAGTTAGAATGCATTCCATGAGTATGCCTCGCTTTTAAGTATGTAATTATGAGCTGCAAACCATGAAACACTGTCTATGACACATCTTTAATGATACATTTTCAGAGCAGTACATCATAGCAACTGTGAGAAGTTAAAGCTTTAAATGAAGTCAATTCTATAGGATTCTTCTTTATATTAGGCTTTGATTGTCAATCTATGTATGCAACTTAAATACTATATATACATACATATAAAAACATACACCAACTATACAAATTAGAACATGTATATAAACTATATAACTGTATTTAGTATTAAAGTTATTTACACTTTGACAGCAAATTGTTTTTAAACATACGTGAGGTTATATCTGTTTCTTTGTATATTAATTAATATGTGTGTATAGATATATTATTTTAAAATACAGATATATATGTGTGTATATATTTTTTTCTTTAAATTTGGTTGGAAAAACTCTAGAAATATGTATTTTAAGATCAGAGCATAAAGAATTTCTATAATTTAAAATATTACAAATAAATAGCATCTGTAGCTTTGCTGGATATGACTAAACATTTCAATAACTCTGTTTTTGTATGATTCTATAAAAAATAATTAGGCTGAGTGCCATAGCTCATACCTGTAATCCTAGCACTTTGGGAGGCCAAGGTGGGAAGATTGCTTGGGCTTAGGGGTTAAAGCCCACTCTGGGCAACATAGCAAGACCTTGTCTCTACAAAAAATTAAAAAATTAGCCAGGCATGGTGGCTAATACCTGTAGTCCCAGCCACTTGGGAGGCTGAGGTAGGGGGATTACTTGAGCCCAGGAGTTTAAGGCTCCAGTGAGCTACCATCATATCACTGCACTCCAGCCTGGGTGACAGAATAATAGAATAATTGTATTTTATCATTTTTAATATGTTTGCTGTCCCATTTTGAATACATTTCATTTTAATTCATTTCTTGTTAGGGATGTTTTAGTGGGCATATATTATTTGAACCACTTAGCATCTATTCCCACTTCAAATGGAAATGCTCTGATTGACCTCTCAGGCTCCATGACTTGGCAGAAGTCATTGATACCCTGGTCTTGGGCTGGGCTGATTACTCAGTCCTAAGCAATCAAAGGATTGCACCTTCCTTACCTAACGCAGATCAGGGCCAACAAGAAAGGGATCGTGAGGCTACCAAATGCAGATCATACACTGATGCTCACACTTGTGGTACTTCTAATACAACTGCTAAACTAAAATGTATATTTATTGTTAATATTTCTTTCTTTTGTGAATTCATATTCTTCAACCTAATTTTAACTGAGCTATTCATATCTTATGAGTATTATTGATAAGGTATCTCCATTTTCTCAGTCTCATGTTTCTATTTGAAGAGAATTTCAGTTTGAATGATATTCCTGGCTTCTCTCTCCAATTATAACTCATTTTTCTCCATGGGGGATAATATGACTTAACTAAATGGTATGTTTGAGAGAAGAAACTGAGCATACTTAAACCACCCTCTTTACCTCAGAGCTAGAAGTGTTGGAGTGGGGCACACTCCAAAATTATTCTAGAATAATTTTTCTAGAATACATTTATTGGTTCTCAATTGTTGTGTTGTTACAAACTGCCACAAAACTGAATGCTTAAAACAACTATTAATATTTGGCTCACAAATGTGTGTAATCTGCCATTGTGGCTGGGGTCAGTAGTGCAGTTTTTTTCTGCTGGTTTTTGCTGGGCTCACTCATACATCTGCAGATAGTTGACGTGTAACTAAGTAACCTACCCCTGTTAATTGGCTAGCTATTGGCTGAGGTCTGGAAAAATGTCAGAAAAAAATATATTATTATTCTGAGACTGGGAGAGCAGAGAAAAAGCTGTTCTGGGGATTCAGATGATGACACCAAGATAGCTGGCAAAATTATCTTATAAATTTTGCCAAGATTATTTGCCAGGTAGAACATGGACAGTGTAATTTCGCTTATTTTGTTTCCTTTAATAAGAAATGAAGCAAAAGAGATGAGCTGAAGGAATTATTTATTTTGTGATCAGAATTTTGAGGAAATATACAGGGACCGGTTGGACAGAAAGACAACATTTCTTCTATCCTTAGTTTCAAAAGCGGCTAAAAGTTTCTTAAAATAAATGAGGCCTGTGGCCAAAAATTATTCAAACATGGATGTGAGACTCTTTAAAGCTCAGAAAGATTTTGAATCTGATAGACCATCTCAAGCTAGAAGAATGGATTTCAAGACTCTCTAGGCCTAGTCCCATAACAGCCCAACACTTGCCCAAAGTAGAGAGTGGGCTTTTTGGAAAGCAAATGTAGATATGGCTTTATTTTTTTTTCTAACATACTAGAGTATAATCCATTGTTTAGAAATCCCATGAACTCTTCAAAAGAATTTATCAGCGAATCAAAGCCAGTTCGGACTAAGGAGCTGGAAGTTCTCAAATTGAAAATAGGTTTCCGGGCCACCAAATATCTTTGAAAAGAAAACTGGATGAGAAAACTCTTTAGCTGCTGACACAGGTTGGTTCTCAGGGAAAAGGAAAACAGATCAGAAGGAAGAACCCAAAATCCAGAGGGTTTAGCTAAGATCTACAGAATTTGTAAATTATTTTAAACTGAATGAAATCATCCAGGTGCCGTGGCATGTGCCTGTAGTCTCAGCTACTCAGGAGGCTGAGGTGGGAGGACTGTTTGACCCCAGGAGTTCACGGCTATACTACAGTATGCTCATGTCTATGTTGTCACTGCACTCCAGCCGGTTGATATAGCCAGACCCTGTCTCTAAAAATAAACCAAACACATGAGATCAAGCTTAATAGTCTAAGAGCTATGTTTATTTATTTATAAATTTGCCTACCTGGGTGCTTCAATAGTCAACACACAAATCTGGCAATTCTCTATAAGAGTTCTGGTCATTTAAGCTTTCTTGAGCTTCTGCTGTAGATAGTGACATGAAGTCTGCAACCATTATAACCAACTCCAATTTCTAAAGATTCCATGTCTTTTTTTTTCCCCTATGTATTCCCAAAAGCTTGAGAATTTCTTGAATGGCTCATTTTCAATGTACTAATGGGAGCCAAAAGATGACACACTAGCTATTGGGTTTGGACAATTATTTTAGTTGAAGTTAGACCGACCAATTTTCTGAATCTGGTGGAAATCTCAGGCACTAGGAACTCTGGGGATGGACCACCATTCTTTCATATTATATTTCTGAAGCTCTTAGCCAAATAGCAAGCAATCTCTGAGTCATAAAATTACTTGAAATCCTGTTTTGGTTATTTCCAGTGGAGAGCAGGCCACTGTAGAGATATTTAGGTACAATAGTATCTGGTATCTGTCAATTGATTATGTGAGCAGAGGTGGTACAGCTTTGGTGAACTGGGCTGCTGAGCGCCAGATCGAGCCCATGGCCGTGAAGCAGGGCAGTTAAGAGCCATCGTAGGGGTGGGTCTCTCTAGTGGCAGAAGCAAATTGCCAAATAATAGTTTGTCTGAGAGAGGAGATCTACAGGGAGATGATACTCTAGCTATGATGGCAAAATCGGTCCCAGTTAGAATGACAGTGCAGAGATAATGACCAAATCTTCTGCTGAGGCTGCTACCACCAAGGCTAAAGGACCCTCTTCAACTGAAATATTTAAAAAGAATGATTGCACGGGAATGAAAACCTCAGAAGTTATTACTCTTTAACATATTTGCAGGAAGTTAAAGGAAGAGGCTAATCTCAATGCCAATGAAGAATAATCCATTTTCTTTTCTTTCCTTTTCTTTTTTTTTTTTTTTTTTTTTTTTTTTTTTTTTTTTTTTTTTTGAGACGGAGATTTTTTCTGTGGCCCAGGCTGGAGTGCAGTGGCGCGATCTCGGCTCACTGCAAGCTCCGCCTCCCTGGTTCACGCCATTCTCCTGCCTCAGCCTCCCTAGTAGCTGGGACTACAGGTGCCCGCCACCACGCCCAGCTAATTTTTTGTATTTTCAGTAGAGACGGGGTTTCACTGCGTTAGCCAGGATGGTCTCGATCTCCTGACCTCGTGATCCGCCTGCCTTGGCCTCCCAAAGTGCTGGGATTACAGGGGTAAACCACTGCGCCTGGCTGAATAATCCCTTTTCTTAAGAGCATGACTTCAATTGCAGCCTGAAATCTGGCCAGGGTACATGAGCATAGCCCCCCTTATGATTGTACCCTGCATCTGATACAGAAGATTCTCAAGTGTCATCAATCTTCTAAAATACAAAAAGATTTTACGTATTAAAAAGATGAATTACTTTTATGTCTTTAAAAGCAACAATGCTGTTTGGAGGCATCTGTTTTTAGAAATTCTGAAATCAATCTTTAAGCTAGAGGTAGAAGCAACATTAACAAATTTACGATTAGGGAGTGAGACAAGAATTAGGTTTAGATAGGATAATCTAAATTTCTTAATATGGGTTAAAAAAGACTAGTCACAAGAAAAACAGGGTTAAACATATTCCTTTATAACTTTTAAAATTATTTTAAGTATTAGCAAGCAAAAGGAAAAGCAATTTATGATAAAATCATCAGATTAGCAGTAAAACTTACTTTTCAAGTTTGCGTTATTCATGGGGGCATATTCGCATCACATTCCTTTCATTATGCTCAGGATAGCTGGGCATGGTGGTTCATGTCTGTAATCCCAGCACTTTGGGAGACCAAAGCAGTGGGATCACTTGAAGTCAGGATTGATTGGCACCCAGCCTGGACATCAAAGCGGGACCTTGCCTTTGCAAAATAAAAATAAGAAAATTAGCTTGGTGTAGTGGCATGTGCCTATAGTCTCAGCTACTCAGGAGGCTGAGGTGGGAAGATTATTTGAGCCTAGGAGTTTGAGGCTTCAGTGAGCTGTGGTCACAACACTGCACTCCAGCCTGGGTGACAGTGTGAAACCCCAACTCAAAAAAACAATATTAAGATATAGATATTGCTTAATGTCTTTTCATTTCAACTTTGATAAAACAACAAAGCAAATAATTCCAAAATATATTTCTCATATTAAAAGTGACCTGCCCCCATTGAAAGAAATGTATCATGTTTTGTTTTGCTACATGCATGCATTTGTTGCATCAGTGAAACACGTGAAGTTACTGCAGTGAGGTGTGAACGGGAGCATGAGTTACTCAAAAGAAATTATGTGCAAAACCATGTATACTGAGGCCTTTGTGAGTTAATTTCTTTTTGAAGTTGGCTGCAGAACTTTGTGGTTTGGTTTCCATTCAGTAAATATTCCCAGTGTTTACATAATGCCAAGCAAAGGGACACATGTTGTGGAAGTTTGTTAGAGGGATTCGAACTTTAGGATGAATCTTTTAGTGGAAATTGAAAAACAAACAAGATTTATCTTAAAGAAGTATATATTTAATATATATGAAATACAAGTAATCCGATGTGCAGCATATTCATTCAATGGAATCTTTCTTTGTGTTGTTTTAAGAGTATTTACAAAAATGAAAGAAAAACTGCAGATAAGTTTTCTTTTCTTTATAATCAGGAGCAATGTTTAATTATTTATGAAATCTAAAATTAATAAAAATATATGCATTATCTTTTAGAACAATAATTATAATGGAAGCTATGTTACCATTTACATTTTCTTTTGGAAACACTTTATAATCATTATGGGTTTTGGGAATTTTCAGAGGCACTAATGCATCGTCAGTATTCGGTAATTCTGAAAAATAAAAGTACCGACATTAAGAAATATTCACTGACATGTGGTCGATTCTCGGATATGAATCCGATGGTCCTCGAAACATGGAAAGTCTGCTGTCACGCTGCACGCCACATCCTGTCAGAACTGGAGTCACACTACAAATCACTTAAATGAGGCTGGAAACCTTTCCAGACAATAGAATGTGTAACTCTTGAAAATGAAACAGAGTGACTGGATCACTCCTTGGTCATCATCACACTGAAATAACATTCAGTGTTTAGCAGTGAAGAATAGGTTAATTGTAAGTGACTGGAATATAAGGTTACAAAGAAAATGATTTAGCGGCAATATGTAGTAAAAAAATTCTCTTTCAACAGCAAGTTTTGCAATTTCATAATTTCAAAAGGGCATTTAATGAAAAGGTTTCCTCTTATCCTGGCCACAATTCCCTTCTTTAGTGGTGATATTTTTAACTTCTTACAGACTCTTTCAGAATATGTATATGGTTATATGAGTAAAGTTAAATATACACTCTTAGTTTCTCCATTTTATTACACAATTGTATGCTCACATATATGATATATATTTTATATATTGTTATATGACATATATTTTATATATTATGTTATATGACATATATATTATATGACATATATTTTATATATTATGTTATATGACATATATTATATGACATATAGTTTATATATATTTGATATGTATTGTACTGCATGATATATAGTTTATATATTACATTATGTGACACATATTTTATATATATTATATTATGTGACATATATTTTATATATATTATATATATATAACTTTTAGAACCTGGCTGTCTTCTTTTATTCTGCAATCAATATATCTAACATATCCTTCTACTTTAATATTGAAAGTTTTTTTCCTTGTTAATAATCATATTTAATATTTTTATTTATTTAAATAAACACATACATACATCATGTTCATTTACTCAGATGACAATCTAAGTGTGATATTAGTTTATTTAAGCAGTTGTTTTTGATGGATAATCACTGTCCAAACCTTGACTAGGAAAAGAAAATGGCTACAACGAATACCCACTATGTTCCTTATTGTACACATGTGTGAGTACATGTTTGTAAGATACATTCTTAAAAATGGCACTGCCTTTTCATAGACTGCATGTGTCTTCAATTTCAGTAGCTATTGCCTAGTTAAATATGTTATTGATCTTTCAGATTTTTGCCAAGCCCCAAAGGTAAAAACCGGCAGTATAAGGTTTTTCTTTCCTTAATTTTAACCAGTATGATTGATGCTAAGTCTGTTTAAAATGAATTAGAACATGAGGTTGACCTTGATGAAGACAAAAGAAAAAGGAATATAGAAAGAGAGAAAGGAAGGGAGAGAGGGAAGAAAAAAGAGAAGAAAGGAACAAAAGATGGAAGGAAGGAAAAGAAAGTGAGAAAGGGAAGAGAGAAGGACAGGAAACAAGGAAAAAAGATGGAAGAAGGTAAGAGGAAATGAGAAAAAAAGGAAGAGAGAGAGAAAGAAAAAGAGAAAGAAAGAAAAAGGAGGAAGGAAGAAAGAACAGAAAGAAGGGAGGAAGGGAGGAAGACAGTGCTGTGGAACATATTCCAGGTGGCTGTGAAAGAATAAAGGGGATCCAGATGAAGCAGTGAACACATATGTGCAACAGGGAGTGTGTTTCAGTAAATCAGTGGCAGACAATGGAGTTTAGATCCAATGCATTCTATCATCACTAGTGAAGTGTCCTGAACAGAAACACTCAAGGATGAGTTTAGTATTGTATTTCAGAATTTATGGAACAAGATATATGCAGTGAAGGGGACCTGTAGCAAGAGAGATGGTTCAGCTGACATCTACAGCCATCTTGACCTAAGGTGATATGTGTGATGAGAGCTAAAAAGCAAGCAGTAGATACTACAATTTGATTCTATATAGGAGATGAATAAATAAATGAAACAAGATTTTCAATTATACTATTTTAGCTCTCATAGAAAGTGGCGTTTCTGTTTTTATGGAAGTAAAGAGGAACCGGCAATATAATTAGTTGAAGAATGATTTCCCTCTATTTCAATTTAATTTACAGAGGAAACTCTTTTAAAAAATAATTTATAGTATATTTATCTAGTCAAGAGAATGATTGAAATAACTGAATATATTTGGCAATAAACTCAGGGAAATTTTTAGGAATCTGTACCCCTCTTCACCTCTTTAATCTCTATCAGTAACTTCCTCCCCCAACTACCCAAACTAAGTGTACAATCTATATGGAGCGTTTGAAGTCACTATGCACCTATATAGCTTTAAGATAACCTGTTCAACACCTCCTATCACAAAATCCCTGAGTTAGAGTCTTAGATATAGAAATTCTGGAACCACCATTGACCTGATTATCTTGAGAGGTATGATTTGCATCATCTTACCTAACTTTGGTTTTGGCACGATTTAGAGGTAAGCTCTACGAGGGCAGGGATGTTTTCTTGTGCATTGCTGTTTTCTTAGTATCTAAAATAGTGCTGTGGACATTGAAGATACACTTTAAATTAAAATATCTTGACACTTCAGTATTTGTTAAATAGATCTCTGTATGTTGGAAGTCTAATTGCACAGTAGAACTAAGGTTAAGGAGGCATTATAAACTAAAGGACCACATGTCTCACTAGAAAACAATGTGTATTCAATTTTTCTTAATGTCGTAGTGACAACTCAGTGATCTCAACGGCGAGTTCTGTTCTCCCTGCAGGATCAAGCCCTCTGAATATGGTTTTTATTTTTTATGTTTCTTTTTTTTCTTTGCAATGTAAGTTTCAAGTATCATTATTCTCATGTGTTGAATATTAGCAATCCAGCTGCTTGAGTCGATTTAAAAGCATTTAATTTTGTTTTTCTCTCACAGCTTCTGAGCCCACCGAAGTGTACTGCAATCCATCAAGACAGAAAATCCTGCATTTTGTGGTCCAGAGTATTTGGAACTGATTTAGCTGTACCTGGATCCAAGTTGATTTGCCTTCAATCTCCCAGACTTAACTGTTGAAGTCTATAGCACATTAAGCATTTAGGTCTACAGAGTCACAGCCATTCACTGACCCGGCTCTAATTTTCACTTGGAGTTAGTACTTTTTGATTTGGGATTTGTGAAAAGGCAAAAATATTTGTCAGACACCCACTGCCAGGAATGCTGATTTTAATTTCGTGACTTCTACTGCAGAAAAAAAAAAAAAGTTAATTTTCCCACTTGGAGTTTTTATCCATGGATATCAGGCTACAATATTTCCCCCAGAGTTATCTTTCCTGCTTCCTTCTTTTGGCAAAACTTACATGGAGGTGAGTTTCCTCAATGTGGGCAGAAGGTTAAAGCAATAAGAACTTGCGGTTGCTGGCCTTCCTTGTAGCCTGGTTTCTGAATGCATTTAGGTTGATGTGGCATCGTAACACTCTCTAGGGCTTACAGGAAAACTTCGTTCTGTTCCGGAAGCTGCTGTGAGCCAGCGGCTATGAACTTGTGGCCCAGCCACAGGGAATCAGGAACTTCTGAGTTAGAGCCCAGACGCCACTGAGCCTCACTGAGTGACCTCAAGCAAGTTACTTAACATTTGCCTGCTCCTCATTTTCCAGCTGTAAAATGGGGAAAAAAAATATATTTGCTCATTCAAGTTAAGCAGTTTGCAAGTTGTTCCTACCGTACTGTGGGTTAATTTTTATGCATGTTTTTGGTTTTCATTTTTTGCTTTGTTTTTTCATAACAAATTTAAAAGGGGAAAGGGGGTGTAATTTTATTTTTTAAAAGATGACACATAAAAATTGCCACAATTCGAACTGAACTTAAAAGATGTCAAGTATATCAAAATATAAATGTATAACCTTTTTTGAGCTGTGCTGTAACACTCATTAGATATTCCCTGCCAATTATAGTGTGACTGCAATGAAGATGAAGTTTTTTTCATGTTTTCTCTCTACTGTGGCCCCAGAATTTAGAACAGAGCCTGCCATACAATAAATGCTCAAAATACTTGCTAAATGCATTTAATGAACAAATTAATGAATGAAAACATAATAGTCCAAGAAAATTATAGAAAAAGTAAGTTCTTAATTTTACTATATATATAGACATTTGTTTCCTAATTAAGAATTAGAACAATAGGAAACAAAAACAATAAAAATTATAACTATCAATTTATGATACTATAGAATTCTTTATTGACTCTTTGGCTATCTAAAAATCAAAGATATCTGGGGAGCCTACAGAGTTTAAGTTAAAACACTGTTGTCCCATACACTTTCATACCCCAAAGAACCATTGTTTATTAATACTTTTTTTTGAGACAGAGTCTCATTCTGTTGCCCAGGCCGGAGTGCAGTGGCATGATCTCAGCTCATTGCAACCTCCTCCTCCCGGGTTCAAGTGATTCTCTTGCCTCCACCTCCCGAGTACCTGGTACTACAGGTGTGTGACATCACGCCTGGTTACTTTTTGTATTTTTAGTAGAGATGGGGTTTTGCCATGTTGGCTAGGGTGGTCTTGAACTCCTGACCTCAAGTAATCTGTCCACCTCTGCCTCCCAAAGTGCTGGGATTACAGGTATGAGCCACCGAGCCCGGCCATTTATTAATTTTTTTTAATGTTACATATTATTTCAGGAGATTGCAAGAGAAGAGAATCATATTTGACAAAAACACATAAAAGAATAATTGCCTAGCTGAAATATATATTTTTGAAATGTAAAAAGAATGAGAAATTTTACACAAAAGAACATGGTAAATTAAGCATTGACATAATGCCAAACAAACTTTCTAAAACTCGTTTCATTTGGTGACAAAATATATTTTTGTTCTTATTTTAGAATATTACTTTAGCATTTAAAAATAATTAAACATTTTCCCATTATAGGATTAAAATAATTTAATTTCTGGAATTTTCTTTTTGTTATCAATTACTGTGGCATCAGACAGTTGTTTAAAGAGTGAATAAGAAGTATGATAGCAGTTTCACTAAATGGCAAGAAAAAGGTAGCTGAAAAGAAGTTAAATACAAATTTCTAGCTTTTATTTTATCACAATCTTTGAAGGTATTAAAAGGAAAAACCAATACATTGTAGTAGATTAGTTTTAGATTGAAATGAAAGATTTGCTTATTCTTTTATTTGGGAAAAAAAGATGAGTTTGTCAGAGAATTAACTTTTTTTATTTCAATTTAAGAGTTAATAGGAACGCCTTTACACTGTTGGTGGGACTGTAAATTAGTTCAACCATTGTGGAAGACAGTGTGGTGATTCCTCAAGGATCTAGAACTAGAAATACCATTTGACCCAGCTACCATACCATTTGATGCCATTAGTGGGTATATACCCAAAGGATTATACCTTTTGATGCCATTACTGGGTATATACCCAAAGGATTATACCTTTTGATGCCATTACTGGGTATATACCCAAAGGATTATAAATCATTCTACTATAAAGACACATGCACATGTATGTTTATTGTGGCACTATTCACAATAGCAAAGACTTGGAACCAACCCAAATGTCCATCAATGATAGACTGGATAAAGAAAATGTGGCACATATACACCATGGAATATTACACAACCATAAAAAAGGATGAGTTCGTGTCCTTTGCGGGGACATAGGTGAAGCTGGAAACCATCATTCTCAGCAAACTATCACAAGAACAGAAAACCAAACACCACATGTTCTCACTCATAAGTGGGAGTTGAACAATGAGAACACATGGACACAGGGAGTGGAACATCACACACCAGGGCCTGTTGGGGGGTGGGGGGCTAGGGGAGGGATAGCATTCAGAGAAATACCTAATGTAGGTGACGGGTTGATGGGTGCAGCAAACCACCATGGCACATGTATACCTATGTAACAAAACTACACGTTCTGTATATGTACCCCAGAACTTAAAGTATAATTTTAAGAAAGTGAAAAAAAAAAGAGTTGGAATGCATTGTCAATGACTCACTTATTGAAAATAACTGAACCAAGGTAGGAGCTTAGGTTATATGACGTTGCCATTATTGTTTCTAATGAAAGCAAAGTAATTACTCTCTTTGATGTAGATATTTTTTAGCCATACTCTAGGAGTGAAGATTTCTGTGGACATTTGTTCTGAATATAAACAACTCCAAAAAATTACTCAGGTTCTTGCTAAACTTCTTTTCCTTTTGGTGTTCTTTAATGTTCTTCTGAAGGCACATAGCAGAAAGCCTCCATTTAGTGCTGAGAACTTTAATGCCCCTCATCTCCCACTAATCTTTTTTTAATGATGAGAAGGAATGTTTAGAATCACTAAATCCTTGTAATTACTTTTCTATTGCTGCTGTAACAAATTATTGTTAGAATTTTAACAAGTGCAAATTTATTATCGCACAATTCTGCAGGTCAGAAGTCAGGTGGGATCAACTGGATCTACTCTGGATCTCACAAGGCCAATGCCAAAGTGCTGGCATGCCAGGGTTTTTATCTGAAAGCTTCTGAAAAGAATCCATTTCCAGGCTCATTCTGGTTGTAGACAGAATCCAGTTTCTTGTGCTTTTTGTGATCAAGGTCCCAATTTCCTTGCTGGCTGTCAGATGGGGTTTGCATTTAGCTTCTTAGGGGCCTCACTCTAATCTTTGCATGGAGCTCGATGCCTCAGCCAGCAAAGTGTATCAAATTCTTTTCACACTTAGAATCTCTCTGACTTCTCCTTATCTCTGCCCCCAAACAGAGGACATTCTCTGCTTTTAAGGGCTCATATGATTAGATTGGGTTCACTTGGATAATCCAGAATAATCTTCTTAGTTTTACATCATTCACTTTAATTGTATCTACAAAAGATTTTTCTGCCATTTAGTATGATATATTCACAGGTTTAGAGAGTGAACATCTTTAGGAAGACATTCTGCCCATCACATTCTTGAATTCACTAATTGTTGGAACTATTAGAATAAATGGATAAGAAAAAAAGTGCCCTAACCTAGAGATGGCAAAATTGAAATATTTAGAAAAAACTCTGTAATGCAATAGACAAAAATTTGAGCAACCTACCCTGTAACGTAAAGGTTCAGATCCAAGGCCTGTTTTGATCCACTTTTCCAAGATGCTGATATCAGATGAGCTCATCTGGAAATAATTAGACTTAAAAATCATCTTTGAATTAAATTAAAAATCTGAAAACTAGAAAGGATAGGATGTTGCTTAAATCAAGATTACTACCAGCCCATATAATGGTCTTAGTTTCATTGTATGGATTCCAAATCTTTTTCACCAAATAATTTCTTTATTTTTTTCTTTTTTGCTTCTGTGCTTTATAGTTTTGAATCCAGCTGATTAGTTTGAATCTTGGACATATCTTGTTTTTGTTACTGTTGTTGATGGTGGTTGGTTGGTTGGTTGATTTTTAACTGCATTATGGTGAGAAATCTGCAGATACTTCCAATTTTTCAGGAATGTTTTGAAAAAGCACTTCCACTGTGCTGCCTTCCAGTTCTCCTCCTCCCAGACTGTCCTTGTTGCTTCTTGAATAAACCGAGCTTATTCTAACCCTTGGACATGGTTTCCTCCTTATGGAGGGTGCTTTCCATGATTGTCATTGACTAACTCCCTGATGTTCTTCAGATTCAGTTTGGTCGTCATCATCTAGGAATTCTATTTGTCTACCTAATATAAAGTATACATTCACCTATTCAATGTCATGTTACTCCATCTCAATTTTTTTCCATAGAAACTGTCACCAGCTGACATTTTTTATCATTTACTTATTTTTGATCGAATATTTTTTCCTATGTCCTCCTATAGTAGTACTAATGAATGAATGGATAAATAGGTGCAAGTATATCATTGCAGCCTTTTATTTTTGAACATTCTTCAAGACAAAATGACACAGATTACCTATAATTCCAGATTTCTAGCTATTGATACATTAGAACAAAAGCTGAGAATAAAATATTTTTTGCTTTAGTTAATGGATATGATATAACAATAACTTAAGATGGTAGCATCTGTGGCTCTTTCGAAAACCCACTGTGATTTTCCATTGTCTGCATTCTTCAATTGTCCCCTTAGGGCCATTATTGAGATCCATTCTCCCATGCTACTGCCCTGTATTTGGGGCTTACTTTTGTCCCATTTCTCTTTCATCAACAAGTCACACTGGGAGGGAGCAAACATCTCGATGTGGATTTATCAGCAAATCTCTGGCACAGAGTGTTAAACCTGTCTAGAGTTTCAAATAGCATAATATGTTCTTTTCAACCACTATATAGACTTCATGTGTCCTGTGAAATACTACAGTTGCTATACTTCAAGTCCGAGTTAATGTTAAGAGCAAGTTTTGAGAGGAGGGTCCATTTTTTTGTACTTTTCACAAACACCCGTCTGAAAACAGTTACAGAAGTCTTGGGAACAGTTTTTCATAGCTTATCACCTCTTGTTCCCTCTGGCAGACATAGACGGCCACCCTGTAAGTCACAGGGATGGGTTTTCTGTGGTAATTGCTAAAGCATCGTCTTCCTGGAGTCTTTTCTTGTTTTCATGACTTCTGCATACACTTTTGATTGATATTTAGGCAATAGTGGATATATGATATGTTTTTAGGAAGTTAGAGATTCCTTTAGATTTTTTAAAGAAGAGGTCCAATATTTTCAGAGCCTTGGAATTCGTTTCCAAAACCTCAGAGAATAGGGGGAAATGGTGTAGCACTGGTTACACTGCAGTTCCTGGTAGGGTGTGGAAGATGGTGTGGTGAGCTTGATTTCCTGTTTCAGAGATTAAAACAATTTTCTGAGGAAAAACATTTTTTCAAAAATCTTTTGGAGTATCCAGGGAGATTTCCTTCCAAGTGATTATTCCACAAAGGTAAGGAGGTGAGTCAGCCAGATGTGCTTTTTCTCATTTGGATAAACTTTTGATGGTCTCTGCTGAGGGACTTGAGTTTCCAACTTTTTGGACTCTGTCCAGCTGTTCTATTAGGGGAATGCACTTTTCAAATATGTTCAAGAATATAAGTCCTTCCAAGTACTTCTCTGACAAGTGTTTCTGTAAAACTGAATGGCAATTGCGGCATCCAAAAACATTAGAAATGTGTATCTTTTGCATATCACAACAGTACAAAGAAGAAAGATGTGTGCTGCCCCCTGAACTGTAGTGCTTTTCTAAAATATGTTTGAACTTCAGATGTGTTTGCTTAAGGGTGTGATGGAACTAATATTCTTTATTTTGTGATAATGATTACTTGAGCACTGTCTGTGCCTTTTTTTTTTCCAAAGGAAGTACATTCTAAGCATTGCTTAATATCTGGCAGTCATTTAAGCAATAGAAAGAAACATTTGATATTTTTTGCATCATTTTCCATCCAAATAATAATATCAAAGCAAAAAAATACCCAGACACTGGTTGTAAAAATATAGAAATTGTGGCAACAGCCAATTAGTTCCCAGAAAGTCTTTTGGTTTCATAAAACTTTCCATAATAATCATGCATTGGAAAATCTTCTGATACAAACAGGAGTCATAGTCAGGCTAATACATTAAATGAATCTAATTTATCCTCCTATTTCCAAAAAAGAAAACACATAGTCTGAAATAGGATTCACAGAGCAACAACAAAAGCAAAAAAGATCAATATGTATTTAGTACACAGTAACTGAGGCAGAAACACTGCTATATTCATACACTATTACATTTATACACTGTTTACATGAAGGAATTGTTGAGTGCTTGAAACATTTCAACGTGCAGTGCAACTCTGACCTGAGGTAGGATACAACAGGAAAAAATCAGGGATTTTCCTGAAATCAATTCAATGCTGGTAACAAGTACTTCAAAGACTGATCTATGGTTTCTACAGTGTTATTCACCAGGAAATGTACCCTCCAATAGCAATATACCTTCTCTTCACTGTGTGCCATGGATAAATTTTAAACAAGGAAATTTTAAGATTGAGAAACTCTATGTTGTTTTACAGCTTCCTTCCTTAGAGCAACTTTGGGATTTTAAATAAGTACCTTATGAAATTAAGTCATATGTGTTCTGTTTCCAGTACACTCTGAATATATGACTATATTGATTTTGGTGATTAGATCTATATCTTACCATGGTTGTATTTCTTGCTCCCAATAGACAAAAAGCAACCATAAGCCCCTTCTCACATGTTTAGTGATAGTAATCACTTCTAAAATAACTTTTTGTGAAATGACATTCCTCTTGATAACTTCACACATCGTATTTTGGATTTTAGACCTTGGCCATATAATCAGTTAATTTAATTTGAATGTAAGACACAGCTGGGATAAGATCCTGCTAAACTGAATACAAGTTAACTCCTTCTCTCCTCAGTCTCTCCTCATTTAAGATAAATATGTCATCTGTTTTCTATTGGGATCTTGACTAAGGCAGTGTTGTTACAACAGTCAAAATATGCTGTGTCTACTGTAATTTGTTTTTGTTTTGTTTTGTTTTGTTTTTGAGACAGAGTCTTACTCCATCACCCAGGCTTGAGTGCAGTGGCGCGATCGTGGCTCACTGCAACCTCTGCCTATTGGGTTCAACTTATTCTTGTGCCTCAACCTCCTGAGTAGCTGGGATTACAGGCATGAGCCACCATGCCCGGCTACTGTAGTTTGAATCAAGATATTTCTCATGTAAATAACAATGTGAACATCTTAATTTCAGAAAATATTCTCTAATTAGACTCATTTTTTTTCTACAGTACTCTTCATTTAAACAAAATCTCAAAAGCATATAAAACACAAATGTTCTGAGTCTTGCCAACTTTTGACTACATACATATTTGTGTACCTAGACTATATTCACAAGAGACCTACTAATGTAAACAGATAAAACATGAGTTATCAAAGAGTCTTCCCCCTTTATTTCCGAAATTCAAAATGAATGCCCTACATGCTCTTAAAACCACTCTTAGCTATTGAGAAAAACTTGAAAGCAACAATTGCTGATTGCCAAATTTTCCCATAATTCTATCTCCTAGGCATATAGAAGAATTGTAATTTTTGTCCCCCATAAAAGTAGGTAGGGCTACTTGACTTGACTTGGTCAATGAAATAAGAGCAGAAGTGACATGTCACTGCCTCTGAAAACGAGAGCCAGTGTCTAGTTCTCCAAGCTGCCTTCTTTCCTCATGCTTCAGAAAGTATGAAGACACAACTCAAAATAAAGCTTCCAGCATCCTGGAGTCTTGAATAACTCAGATGAGGAGAGCCCCTCTGTCAAAACAGTATGAACACTTAGGATCTGCAAGGAATATACTTAGCTTTTTAACGTACTGAGACTAGGGGATGTTTTTGTTACTTCAGCATAATCTTGCCTATCCTGACTGATACAACTACTGTTACCATCCATCGTCCACCTGTGTTTCTTTCTTTGTCTTCAGCTCAGAAATCCCTTTGGCCACACAACTGTTACAACTAGCTATCATGCAGTCACCTATGTTCTACAGATGCAGCATAAATATCCATATCCCCTATTGTTGCTAGATGCTATTGCAAAGGAAGAGGAGATGGCCTTTTTGAAACACTGTGCCACTTGGACAGCCAAAGAACTCTGCTTATGTTGCAGTGAAACAGTATCTCTCTTTAACAACTTTATTAGTTCTAGTCATTGTCCTTGCCATGAATAGCACTGATAGTTTTACTCCTGTCTTCAAGCAACTCATTTCCGAATTAAGAGACTAAGTAGGGAAATTATGTTCTGTAACATCTCCCGTTCTCCTATTCTTTCTCTTGTCCCATGTAAATACAGCAACAAAAATCTCTGTTTTGCTCACTTATAAAACAAATGGTCTCATGCTAATCATTGAATGTAAACAGTTGGTGGTATTGATAGGGGGCAGGCAAGTTGTTCAGGCTAGTAGAATCTGAGCCATACTTCACCCACCAAAAAATGTCAGGTTCCAGCAATGAAACAGATCATCTGAAGCTGGTGCCTCACCTCGTTTTCCTGTTTTACCAGTGATTTTACTGAGTTTTTAAAAGCCACTGAACTATAAAACCTTTTAATCTGAAAAAGTAATAGTTCATCATAGATTCGAACTATTATGTAGTTTTTTTTTCAATTACTTACTGTCAGATTATCTTTCTCCCAATTGTTTATAAATAATGGTAATTCATATTAGACGGTACCTTTATTGGGTGATTCCTCATGTATATTTATAAGTCAGCTCATACAAAGTTACAATTTCAAAGATACATATGAACATAAAATATTTAGAATGCAATGAAAATTCTGATTCTCTGCGAATGACTTGCTCTTAGTTTAAATTTTTTATTAAACTGTTTCTGTAGCATAATATATTTTATATTAGATTTATTCTTCAAAAATGAGCAATAAACAAAGGCTGATTGGACCACATGATTTGACTATTTTTATTTTGCATGTAGTGCTATAAGCCACAGATTTTTTTTTTCTGATTCTCATCTCCCAGTTTTCCCAGCTACCCATTTAACCAGCCAGCCACCCTCCAGTTCATTACACACCAATGTGCTACATCTTCTTTTTATCAACTTACCCTTTTATCTAATACTTCTACCTAGTATTTTCCTAGTATTTGCACTTCATATCTCATGTATCTAAAGTAAATACATATATTTTAAAACTTTATATTTTAAAATTTTATCAAAACAGTACATGTACAATACTTAAGCAAAATAATGTCAGTAGGTTAATATTTTAAAATAGCAGTCACTGTCCCATCCCCTCTTCTTCAGGTTTTATTTTTATTTTTAACTTTTATTTTAGGTTTGGGGGTATTATGTGAAGGTTTGTTACATAGGTAAACTTGTGTGATGGGGGTTTGTTGTACATATTATTCCATCACCCAGGTATTAAGTATCCAGTAGCTACCCTTTTGCTCCTCTTCGTTCTCCTGCCATCCCACTTCAAGTAGACTCCAGTGTCTGTTGTTTCCTTCTTTGTGTTTATAAGTTCTTGTCATTTAGCTCTTATTTATAAGACAGAACATGCAGTATTTGGTTTCTGTTCCTGCATTAGTTTGCTAAGGAAAATGGCCTCCAGCTCCATCCAAGTTTCCGCAAAGGAAATGATCTCGTTCTTTTTTTATGGCTGCATAGTATTCCATGGTGTATATGTACCACATCATCCAATCTGTCATTGATGGGCATTTAGGTTGATTCTATGTCTTTGCCATGCCATTGTGAATAGTGCTGCAATAAACATTCACATGCATGTCTTTATGGTAGAATGATTTATATTCCTCTGGGTATATACCCAGTAATGGGGTTGCTGGGTGGAATGGTAGTTCTATTTTATAGAACATTAAGGAATTGCCATAGTGCTTTCCACAATGCTTGAATGAATTTACACTCCCACCAACAGTATATAAGTATTGCCTTTTCTCTGCAACCTTGCCAGCATCTGTAGTTTTTTGACTTTTTTTTTTTTACTTTAAATTCCAAGATACATGTGCAGACAGTGTAGGTTTGTCACATAGGTATACATGTGCCATGGTGGTGTGCTGCACCTATCAAACCGTCCTCTAGGTTTTAAGCCCCGCATTCATTCGCTATTTGTCCTAATGTTCTCCCTCCCCTCTCCCCCAATCCCTAACAGGCCCCAGTATGTTTTGTTCACCTCCCTGTGTCCATGTGTTCTCATTGTTCAACTCCCACTTAGGAATGAGAACATGTGGTGTTTGGGTTTCTGTTCCTGTGATAGTTCGCTGAGGATGATGGCTCCCAGCTTCATCTATGTCCCTGCGAAGGACATGATCTCATTCCTTTTTATGGCTGCATAGTATCTCATGGTGTATACGTACCACAGTTTCTTTATCTAGTCTATCATTGATGAGCATTTAAGTTGGTTCCTTGTCTTTGCTGTTGTAAATAGTGCTGCAATAAACATATATGCACATGAGTCTTTGTAGTAGAATGATTTACATTCCTTTAGGTATATACCCAGTAATGGGATTGCTGGGTCAAATGGTATTTCAGGTTCTAGATCCTGGAGGAATCGCGACTCTGTATTCCACAATGGTTGGACTAATTCACATTTCTACCAAGTGGAAAAGCATTCCTATTTCTCCACAGCCTCATCAACATCTATCGTTTCTTGACTTTTTAATAAAGTCACCATTTTGACTGGTGTCAGATGGTATCTCATTGTGGTTTTGATTTGTATTTCTCTAATGATCAGTGGTGTCAAACTTTTTTCCATATGTTTGTTGCCTGCATAAATGTTTTCTTTTGAGAAGTGTCAGTTCATATTATTTGCCCACTTTTTGATGGGGTTGTTTTTTTCTTGTAAATTTGTTTAAATGTCTTATAGATTCTGGATATTAGTCCTTTGTCAGATGGGTAGATTGCAAAAATTTTCTCCCATTCTGTAGGTTGCCTGTTCACTCTGATGATAGTAGAATCTCTGTGTAGAAGCTCTTTAGTTTAATCAGATCCCATTTGACAATTTTGGCTTTTATTGAGATTGCTTTTGGCATTTTCTTCAGGAAATCAATGCCCATGCCTATGTCCTGAATGGTATTGCCTAGGTTTTCTTCTGGGGTTTTTAGAGCTTGGGGTTTTATATTTAAGTCTTTAATCCATCTGGAGTTAATTTTTGTATAAGGTTTAAGGAAGGGGTCCGGTTTCAGTTTTCTGCATGTGGCTAGCTAGTTTCCTCAGCACCATTTATTAAATAGGGAATCCTTTCCCCATTGCTTTCTTTTCATCAGCTTTGTCAAAGGTCAGATGGTTGTAGACGTGTGGTGTTACCTCTGAGGTCTATGTTCTGTTCCATTGATCTATATGTCTGTTTTGGTAGCAGTACTATGCCATTTTGGTTACTGTAGCTTTGTGATACGGTTTGAAGTCAGGTAGCATGATGCCCCCAGCTTTGTTCTTTTTGTCTTGACTATATGAGCCCTTTTTTGCTTCATATGAAATTTAAAGTAGTTTTTTTCTAACTATGTGAAGAATGTTGACGGCAGTTTGATGGAAACAGCATTGAGTCTATAAATTACTTCGGGCTCTATGGCCATTTTTACAACATTGATTCTACCCATCCGTGAGGATGGAATGTTTATCCATTTGTTTGTGTCCTCCCTTATTTCCTTGAGCAGTTGTTTGTAGCTCTCCTTGAAGAGTTCTTTATGTCCCTTGTTAATTGTATTCCTAGGTATTTTATTCTCTTTGTAGGAATTGTGAATGGGAGTTCATTTATGACTTGCCTCTCTGCCTTTCTGTTTTTGGTGTATGGGAATGCTTGTAATTTTTACACATTGATTTTGTTTCCTAAGACTTTGCTGAACCTGCTTATCTGCTTAAGGAGTTTTTGGTCTGAGACAATGAGGTTTTCAAAATATAGAATCATGTCATCTGCAGACAAAGACAATTTGACTTCCTCTCTTCCTATTTGAATATCCTATATTTCTTTCTCTTTCCAGGTTGCCCTGGCCAGAACTTCCAATATTACGTTGAACAGGAGTGGTGAGAGTGGACATCCTTGTCTTGTGCTGGTTTTCAAAGGGAATGCATCCAGCTTTTGTGCATTCAGTATGATATTGGCTGGGAGTTTGTCATAAATGGCTCTTATTATTTTGAGATATGGTCCATCAATACCTGGTTTGTTGAGAGTTTTTAACATGAAGGATGTTGAATTTTTTCAAAGGCCTTTTCAGCATCTATTGAGATAATCATGTGGTTTTTGTCATTGGTTCTGTTTATGTGATGGATTATGTTTATTGATTTGCATATGTTGAACCAGCCTTGCATCACAGGGATGAAGCCGACTTGATCATGGTGGATAAGTTTTTGATGTGCTGCTGGATTTGGTTTGCCAGTATTTTCTTGAGGATTTTTGCATTGATGTTCATCAGGGATATAGGCCTAAAGTTTTTGTTGTTGTTGTTGTGTCTCTGCCAGGTTTTGGTATCAAGATGATGCTGGCCTCATAAAATGAGTTAGGGAGGAGTCCCCCCTTTTCAATTGCTTGGAATAGTTTCAGAAGGAATGGCACCAGCTCCTCGTTGTATCTCTGGTAGATTTCACCTGTGAATTTGCCTACTCCTGGGCTTTATTATAGTTGGTAGGCTATTTATCACTGCCTCTATTTCAGAACTGGTTATGGTCTATTCAGGGATTCAATTTCTTTCTGGTTTAGTCTTGGGAGGGTGTATGTGTCCACAAATTCATCCATTTCTTCTAGATTTTCTAGTTTATTTGCATAGAGGTGTTTATAGTATTCTCCAATGGTAGCTTGTATTTCTTTGGGGTCAGTGGTGATATCCCCTTTACCATTTTATATTTTTGTCTATTTGAATCTTCTCTCTTTTCTTCTTTATTAGTCTACCTAACAGTCTATCTGTTTTGTTATTTGTTTCAAAAAACCAACTCCTGGATTTATTGTTTCTCTAAAGGATTTTTTTATTTCTCTATCTCCTTCAACTCTGCGCTGATCTTAGTTATTACTTGTCTTCTGCTAGTTTTTGGATTCATTCACTCTTGCTTCTCTAGTTCTTTTAATTGTAATGTTAGGATGTTGATTTGAGATTTTTCTAGCTTTCTGATGTGGGCGTTTAGTGCTATAAGTTTCCCTCTTAACACTGCTTTAACTATGCCGCAGAGATATTGGTACGTTGTCTCTTCATTATCATTGGTTTCAAATAACTTCTTGATATCTGCCTTAATTTCCTTATTTATCCAGAAGTCATTCAGAAGCAGGTTGTTCAATTTCCAGATAGTTGTGTGGTTTTGAATGAATTTCTTAATCCTGAGTTTTAATTTGATTGCACTGTGGTCTCAGAGACTGTTTGTTATGATTTCCGCTTTTTGAGTTTGCTGAGGAGTGTTTTACATCCTATTATGTGGTCAATTTTAGAATAAGTGCCATGTGGCACTGACAATGTATATGCTATTGATTTGGGTTGGAGAGGTCTGTAGATGTCTGTTAGGTGCACTTGATCCAGAGCTGAGTTCAAGCCCTGAAATCCTTGATAATTTTCTGTCTTGTTGATCTGTCTAATATTCATTGTGGGGTGTTAAAGTCTCCCACTATCATTGTGTGGGAGTGTAAGTCTCTTTGTAGGTCTCTAAGAATATGTTTTTTTGAATCTAGGTGCTCCTGTTTTGGGTGCATATGTATTTAGGGTAGTTAGCTCTTCTTGTTGAATTGATCCTTTTACCATTATGTAATACCTTTCTTTGTCTTTTTTGATATTGTTTGGTTTAAAGTCTGTTTTTTCAGAGACTAGGACTGAAACCCCTGCTTTTTTCTGCTGTCCATTTGCTTGGTAAATTTTCTTCCCTCCCTTTATTTTGAGCCTATGTGTGTCTTTGCACGTGAGATGAATCTCCTGAGTACAGCACACCGATGGGTCTTGACTCTTTATCCAATTTGCCAGTCTATGTCTTTTAATTGGGACATTTATCCCATTTACACTAAGTTTAATACTGTTCTGTGTGAATTGGATCCTCTCATCATGATCCTATTTGGTTATTTTGCACACTAGTTGATGCAGTTTCTTCATAGTATCATTGGTCTTTATATTTTTTGCGTGTTTTTGCAGTGGCAGGTACTGGTTCTTCCTTTCCATATTTAGTGCTTCCTTCAGGAGCTCTTGCAGGGCAGGCCTAGTGGTGATGAAATCCCTCAGCTTTTGCTTCTCTGGAAATGATTTTATTTCTCCTTCTTTATGAAGTTTAGATTGGCTGGATATGAAATTCTGGGTTGAAAGCCTCCACTTTCTTCTGGCTTGTAGGGGTCTGCTGAGAGGTCTGTTGTTAGTTTGATGGGCTTTGCTTTATAGATAACCTGGCCTTTCTAGCTGTCCTTTCTCTCTGGCTGCACTTAACGTTTTTTCCTTCATTTTGACCTTGAAGAATCTAGTGATTATGTGTCTTAGGGTTAATCTTCTTGTGGAGTATCTTAGTGGTATTCTCTGTATTTCCTGAATTTGAATGTTGGCCTGTCTTGCTAGGTTGAGGAAGTTCTCCTGGATGATATCCTGAAGTGTTTTTTCCCACTTGGTTCCATTCTCTCTGTCTCTTTCAGGTACTCCAAATCAATTGTACGTTTAGTCTTTTTACATCATCCCATGTTTCTAGAAGGTTTTGTTCATTACTATCCATTTGTTTTACTCTAATCTTGCTTGCATGCTTTATTTCCAGCAAGATTGTCTTCAAACTCTGATATTCTTTATTCTGCTTGATTGATTTGGCTATTGATACTTGGGTATTCTTCTGGAAGTTCTTGTGCTGTGTTTTTCAGCTCCATGAGATCATTTATGTTCCTCTGTAAACTGGTTATTCTAGTTAGCAGCTCTTGTAACCTTTTATGAAGGTTCTTAGCTTCTTTGCATTGGGTTACAACATGCTCCTTTAGCTCAGCAGAATTTGTTATTACCCACATTCTGAAGCCTACTTCCGTCAATTCGTCCATCTCATCCCCCGCCTAATTCTGCACCCTTGCTGGAGAGGTGTTGCAATCATCTGGAGAGTAAGGGGCACTCTGGCCTTTCATGTTAAGCCTTTTTTTCATTGATTATTTTTCATCTTCATGAGTTTATCTAGTTTCAATCTTTGAGGCTGCTTGGCTGAGGTTCTTATGGGGACTTTTGTTGTTGATGCTGTTGTTGTTGCTTTCTGTTTGTTTTTCTTTCAATGGTCAGGTGCCTCTTCTATAGGGCTGCTGCAGTTTGCAGGGGGTTCACTTCAGGCCCTCTTCATCTGGTTTGCTCCTGTGCCTGGATATGTCACTCGAGGAGGCTGGAGAACAGCAAAGATGGGTGCCTGCTCCTTCCTCTGGGATCTCTAAAATCAAGGCGTATCAACCTGAGGCCAGTAGGAACGCTCCCATGTAGGGTGTCTGACAAACCCTGTTGGAGGGTCTCACCCAGTTGGGTGGCATAGGGAGTAGGACCCATTTAACAAAGCACTTGAGCTGTCCCTTTTTGGAGGGGGTGTGCTACGTTGGGGAGAAATCCACTTGTCTGGGCTGCCTGGATTCCTCAGAAGTACCAGGAGGAAAGACTAAATCTACTGGTCCATGGGGACTATGGCCACCCCTTCCCCTAGAAGCTAAGGTCCAGGCAGATCAGAGTTCTGTCCCTGAGACCCTGGCTGGAGTTGTTGGAGTTCCTGCAGGGAGGCGCCACCAAGTGAGAAGGTATGGGTCAGGATCAGGCCTGAAGAGGCACTCTGGCCACAGTCTGCCACAGCCAGTGTGTTGGGCTGTGGGGAATACCTTTTGGGACTAAGCCGTCCAGCCTCCCTGGCTCCAGCATGGGCAAAGCACAGCCTGGAACTACAGAGATGGCTGCTACCTTTCCCCCACCCTAGGAGCTTAGTGTGTTAGGCAGCTGGCAGTCCCAGTGTTGGCTACCACCCCTTCCCTAAGGAGTTCAAATGGCTTAGACAGCAGGCAGCCTTAGCTGTGGTGCTGGCTGCCCCTACCCCCAGGTACTTGGCAAGCTTAAGCAGATTCTAGCTGAGTGGATGTTGAGAATCTGTGCATCTCTGTGGTTGGGACCCTAGGCCCTGGTGGCAGGGGCTTACAAGTGGGATCTTCCGATCCGTGGGTTGCACAGTCCACAGAGAAAGCATGGTTTCCTAGGCTGGGTAGCACGCTCACTCACCGCCTCCTTTGACTGGGGGATGGAGGCTCCCCTGCCCAGTGTGGCTCTCAGGTGGGCGGCCTCAACACACTGCTCTTCTTTCCTCTCTGTGGGTCATGCCAGCCACCTAGTCAGTTCCGATGACAGCGCCTGGATCCCCAGTTGACGATGCAGGATTCGCATGCTGTTATGGTTCTTTTTGATGGGCTCTTCCAATTGCCACTGCTTCTAGTTGGCCATCTTGGCCCTGATCCCCTTGACTTTTTAATAATAGCCATTCTGACTGGTGTGAGATGGCATCTCATTTTTGTTGTTGTTGTTGTTGTTTTGTTTTGTTTTGTTTTTGTATCGAGTCTGGCTCTGTGGGTCAGGCTTGGGTGCAGTGGTGCAACCTCGGCTCACTGCAACCTCAACCTCCACCTCCTGGATTCAAGTGTTTCTCCTCTCCTGCCTCAGCCTCCCAAGTAGCTAGGATTACAAATATGAGCCACCAAGCCCAGCTAATTTTTGTATTTTTAGTAGAGTTGGCATTTCACCATGTCGCCCAGCCTGGTCTCAAACTCCTGACCTCAGGTGATCCGCCCACCTTGGCCTCCCAAATCATTGTGGTTTTAATTTGCATTTCTCTAATGATCAGTGATATCAAACTCTTTTTCTTTTTTTTTTATTATTATACTTTAAGTTCTAGGGTACATGTGCACAACATGCAAGTTTGTTACATATGTATACATGTGCCATGTTGGTGTGCTGCACCCATTAACTCCTCATTTACATTAGGTACATCTCCTAATGCTATCCCTCCCCTCTCCCCCCACCCCATGACAGGCCCTGGTGTGTGATGTTCCCCACCCTGTGTCCAAGTGTTCTCATTGTTCTATTCCCACCTATGAGTAAGAACATGCGGTGTTTGGTTTTCTGTCCTTGTGATAGTTTGCTCAGAGTGATGATTTCCAGCTTCATCCATGTCCCTACAAAGGACATGAACTCTTCCTTTTTTATGGCTGCATAGTATTCCATGGTGTATATGTGCCACATTTTCTTATTCCAGTCTATCATTGAACTCTTTTTCATATGCTTGCTGGCTGCACGTGTGTCTTCTTATGAGAGGTGTCTGTTCATGTCCTTGGCCTACTTTTTAATGTGGTTGTTTTTCTCTTATAAATTCATTGAAATTCCTTATTGATGCTGGGTTTTAGACTTTTGTCAGATGCATAGTTTGCAAATATTTTATCCTATTCTATAGGTAGTCTGTTTACTCTGTTGATAGTTTCTTTTGCTGTGCAGCAGCTCTTAAAGTTTAATTAGATCCCACTTTGCTTTAGTTGCAATTGCTTTTGGTGTCTTTGTCATGAAATTTTTGCCTATTCCTATGTCTAGGATGGTATTGCCCATGTTGTCTTCCAGGGTTTTTATAGTCTTGGGTTTTACATTTAAGTCTTTAATCCTTTTCGAGTTGATTTTTGTCTATGGTTTAAGGAAAGGGTCCATGTTTATTCTTGTGCATATGGCTAGCCACTTATTGCAGTACCATTTTTTGAACAGAAAGTCTTTTCCTCATTTCTTGTTTTTTTCAGCTTTGTTGAAGATCGAACGGTCAGAGATATGCAGCCTTATTTATGCACTCTCTATTCAGTTCCATTGGTCCATGTGTCCATTTTTGTACCAGTACCATACCATTCTGTAGCCTTGTAGTATTGTTTGAAGTCAGGTAACATGATGCCTCCAGCTTTGTTCTTTTTGCTTAGCATTGCCTTGGCTATTCAGGCAATTGGCTTTTGGTTTCATATATATTTTAAAATAGTTTTTCCTAGTTCTGTGAAGAATGTTCTTGGTAGTTTGATAGCAATAACATAAATCTCTAAATTACTTTGGAAAGTACAGACATTTTAGTGATATTGATTCTTCCTATCCATGAGCATGGGATTTTTTTTTTATTTGTGCCTTCTCTGATTTTTTTGAGCAATGTTTTGTGATTCTCATTGTAGAGATTTTTCACCTCACTGGCTAGCTGTGTCCCTGGTATTTTATTATTTTTTTGTATAAGCCACAGATTAATTAATGTATCTGATTTTGGCTAGTAATATAAATCTATTGTATCAAAGGGGCTCTGATCTAATTTCTTTAACACATTGAAATCCATAAAAGTATATAGCTTTTATCTTAGGTGAACTATTGCGGCACATTTTCACAGACTATCAGAGGTACAGAGAAGTGTGTGTGTGTGTGTGTGTGTGTGTGTGTAGGGGGTGACACTTTCAGAGAAATTGGGAATTCACCTTGGTAAAGAGAGATTATACTTATTCTTCATGGTAATCAGTCAATTCCTACTGAGGGTGGATGTAGGAATGGTTTAAGGAACTAGGCTGGATTAATAGTGAAACACTGACTTAATTGTGTTCCCTGAAAATGGCATCTGGAGCCCTCCTGCTTCTAGTATCTTTGAGAGCTTGAGGTACTCTCCATCTGCTCTTGACTTCCCATTAAGTCTTTGAAGAGTTTTAGGCTATAGTTTCTTTGTTCTTTTCTCTTCTGCTTTCTATGTTCCAGAAATTTCTCGGTATTTCCTTTTATGTTCATGACATAGTTACTTGTTTCTCAGCACTATGATGGAATAATTTGTAGTTTACAATTTTTTTGGAATTTCAAGTTTTTGAGGCAGAGATATGTATGCAATCTGCAATCCAGATCCGACCTGAAGCGCATTTACAGAACATTCTGAAAATCTCTTAGATAAAGAAGTTATATCTCAATGTCTTTAGAATTTCCAACTACTAAAATATAAACTTTATATAATTTATAAAAATATTTGGGGCCAATAATACTAATAGAAAATATTCCACATAACCATTTGGTTTTGTAAATATTGTATTAATACCAATACATTAATCTTTTATATTTGTGGAATGCATTTATTTTTGCAAAATGTGCTGTTTTCTGTGATATATATTATTGATTAAATTAATATTTGCTATTTTTCAGTTATTCCAATATTTGTAGAGTTTATAAAGTATATATTTTGTCATGCATAAGAAACATAAGCATGAGTGTAAAAGAGACAAAAACTGTTGGCTAACAGTTCTTAAACGCTTACAATGTAAAATCATTATGCTGAAGAGTTTGCAAGCTCTTCTCCATTTACTATCACACACTCTGAGGTAGAAATTATTACTATCTTCATTTTGCATATAAAAATTGGGATATTAATGTGTAGCAAGTGTTAAAATGTTAATGCACAAAGGATAGTGATAATAAAAGTTAGGGAAGCACATTTCTTATAAAGAAACACGAAAGACTTGGATATTACAAAATGAGGATTTGCCAAACAAAAAATGAATGGAAATAAATGTTATCTCCAAGGAAAAGGACAGGGGATCCCACTTATAGAGGTTCAAGTGCTTATTAACACTGAAATGTGGCCAGATTAAAGGGGCCAACAGATTTCTGGAAGGGAAACTGGCCATGGCCAGATCATGAGTTCTGATCCTCTTTAATAGATGAGTAGGAAGCCACATAAAGCTATCTATTATGGTATTACCACAATACCAAATTAAAGTTTGAGTTCAGAATAAAAACTTTAGTGATTTATACACAGCTTAATACAGGTTATTTTAAAATTTCTCTGCCTTTTTATTTAATAGAAGGGGATAGCTGAGCTTTAGAATAAAACTTGAGTTTTAGAATAAAAACTTTAGTGGTTTATACACAGCTTAATGGAGGTTATTTTAAAATTTCTCTGCCATCTTTTTTTTTTTTTTTTGCATAAGGGGATAGCTGTCTTTAAGGTGCATAGGATGTTCTACACATCTTAATAGTTTCCATAGTTACGTTGTATCATTCCCAACAAGTTAGTAGAGTGAGTTGAAGTAGGCTCATTTTACAGGTTGGAGAAGTGAGTCACAGAAAGGATGTAAAAACGTCCCTAGATTACATAAGGGGTGGGGCCAAAATGTGAAATTATCAGACTCCAAAACTTGGCCAAAATGTGTGAGAAAGTACTGAAAGTCAGAGCCCTGTGCAATATATTTCTGGGATGTAGTAACATATGTTTAGTATCACTAAGTATTTGATAAATGAACAAAAATGTAGCGTAATGTACAAAATGTACTTTATTGGATAGGAATTAAATTATTTACAAGTAAAAGAATCAGCTGGAATCAATTGGCTATTATTTCCAGTTGACTTTAAATGATAAGATGCCATAAATAGGCAGAAAAAAATCCTCAAAAGATTTCTAAGTTTATCCAACTTTGAGAGTAAATAATTTTACTACTGAAACAAGACTCAGTGTTCAATAGTATATCTATTTTCTAAAGTTTAGATGCTGAATTTCATTCCCAAATTTGCTTTTGTTTACATGTCCTTTTATTATTGTATTTACCATTTAAATCTCTTATCCTGTAGTAACCTCCTCTTACCATCCTTTCCCTTTACATGTAGAAAAGCTTTAATATCACTATATATTTATTTAACCAAGTGTTTGTGAATTTTGTGGTGGTGCACACCTGCAAGTTAATTATCATCTGGAGAAACACTCTAGACTGAAAGGAATTTCATTTTCAACAACGGTGTGAGTGGACTAGTTCTCTTTTTCTCCTCCAAGATACACATGCAAAGCTTAAAAACACAACTATAAATGTACCTAAAGGAAATTGTAACATGCTTTATTTTATATCCCCAATATCTTGCAATGGAGTAGTAAGCCAAAGATCAGAATAATGCCAGGAGAAAATGTAAGCCTATGAACCTTGCATTCTATAGTCATGATGGCCATTATTGGTTAAGGTCACTGAAAGCAATGTACAGTCGTGAAGGAATTTCAAAAGCCTGTTTGCAAATGGCTATGGCCAATAACCATGTTCTTAGGACTACTTTAGAAGCCATGAATTTTACCTTAAAAGGTTAATCTCTTAGAGATTTTTAGATTACATGGCTGAAAGAATTGCCAAAAATTTTGCTGGTCTGTTTTACATTTTTAATTATACCACTATCAACTCTGGCACCAACCACTGTTAACACCAATCATCAACCCCGCCAACACCACCATCACCACTGCCACCACTACCAGCACAAACATTATCCAAATAATAGCAGCAACACCAATATCATCGTTATTGCTACCATTACCATTATCAGCACTATGAATTTCACTGCCAACAACATTGGATTCATCGGCACCACTACTGACAATGAAAAACTCATTACCAAGAGTAACAAGTACTTAGTGAGAATATAAAGGCTTATTTTTTCCCTCTTCTGCCATGCCATCTCCAAATGTGAATAATTTGGTCTTTGTTTCATTACATCATTAAAACATCGAGTAGTATTGTAAGACACAAGGAGTGCCATTGAAAAACATTTATTGCTATATTAAACAGAACAGGTTTTCACTACTAGTAGTCTAATTTTTATAGAAAAGCTACAAAATCTACTCTGTGTGAGACCTGGAGATTTAATCAGCAGCCACAAAACAGCACTCAGTCTAACTTTTAAGCACAGAAATAAACATTACATATATTCAAGTAGTTCAGAGAGCAATGTAAGAATGTGATTTATGTTTAATCATAAAAATCCTTAGGCTTAGTTTGAAGAAACTTAAAGACATATAAGAGAGGGTTACTTTAGTATACTAACCCTGCTTGTCAATATCATGAACTAGCATTTTTGTGGCAGCTTTAATTTTTGAGACTTCTTTTATTTTAATTAGAATATAGACATATGTTGAAGGTGGAAAAAGTTAAATTGAGCATCAATAATAAACACAAATACCAGATGATTCAACTGTTATGAAATGACACTATTTGTGAATGTTCATCACTGTGAAATTTTAAATAGTCTGAAATATTAGTTTGAGAATAAAAGGCATAGATTAATGCTTTTCTTTTTCTAGTAAATTTTAAGAACTGTTTTAAAAAATGTACAGAAAAAAATAAGAAGATAAAACATGGAGTTCTCATAACCCCCAAATCCAGATTCCTCTATTACTAACATCTTATACTAGTATGATGTGTTTGTTACAATGAATAGGCCAATGCTAATACCAATCATTAACTAAAATCTATAGTTTATTCACATTTTCTTAGATTTCACTTAATGACCTTTATCTGTTCCAGGATCCCGTCTAGTAACCACATGACATTTAGCTGTCATGTCTCCTTAGAATCATCTTTGCTGTGAGTTTCTCAGACTTCTCTTGGTTTTGGTTCTAAAAATTGATTATGAAAATCTTGAGAAATACTGGTCAGGTATGTGGTAGGATGTCCCTCTATTGGAATTTAATATTTTTCCAATGATTAGGGTTAGATGTTCCCCAGATAAAAGACTATGGAGGTAACGTGCCAGTTTTCATAACAACATATCAGTGGTTCACATTATCAACACGACTTATCATTGTTGATATCATCCCATCACCTGGCTGAAGTGGCGCTTGTCAAATTTATCCATTGTAAAATTACTCTCCTTCCCATATTTTTCTCTTTGGCAGGAAGCTACTATGAGCAGCGTACACTGAAGAAGTGGGGAATTATGTAACACTTCTATGAGGGAAGCATAACAACATAAATTACTTGAAATTCTCTAGCATGAGAGATTTGCCTTTTCTCCCCAATTTCTTGGTCATTTATTTCTAAAACTATGGACCTGTGGATATTTATTTTATACTTTGGGGTATAAACCAGTTCTAATCTATTCACTCTGTTGTTCTTTGTTTCAGCCTTGGCCACTGGATGTTCTTTCTGTTGGTTTTTGTGCCTCTTTGATATACTTGCACCATTAGCCTGTGTGTTGAGTGTTTTCTTAATTTCTATAACTGCAAAATGCTCCAGGAGTATCTTGTATGTTTCCTGGTCTAGTCCTGAAATCAGTCATTTATAAAGTCCTGGTTTTGTTGTTGTTGTTTCTCTTTTTTTAAATGGAGATTAATATTAAAAATGAAGATCTACATGTTAGGTGTGCTCTTTTCTACTGGGGTATCTTTGCTTCTGGACATTTAAGGTGAGAAAGCAAAAGAAATATATATGGGTTTATAGTAACCCGTGTGTAAATACATATCTATAAATATTTCTTCATGTAACCATCTGTATCCATATTAAGTTAAACATGAGTTTGAGTTCATACTGATGTATTCAAGTTCAGTTCATTATGACATGGATCATTCTAGCCTCCTCCCCTGGGTTACCTGTCACCTCTCATTCCAGCAGTAAGAAGCTTTTTTTTTTTTCTTTTCAACTTTTATTTTAGATTCAGAGGTTTAATAACTAGGAATATTGCATGATGCTAAGGTTTGGAGTAGGAATGATCCCATCATCCAGGTACTGAGCTTAGTACCCAACAGTTTTTAAATCCTTGCCCTCTTCCCTCCTTCCACCCTCTAGTAGTCTCCAATGTCTATTATTCCCATCTTTATATCTATGTGTAGTCAATGTTTACCTACCATTTATAAGTGAGAACACGTGGTGTTTAGTTTTCTGTTCCTGAGTTAATTTGTTTATGATAATGGCCTCCAGCTGCATCCATTTTGCTACAAAGAACATGATTTCATTCTTTTTTATGGCCATGTAATAGTCCATGGTGTATATGTACCACATTTCCTTTTTCTGATCCACCACTGATGGGCCCCTAGGTTGATTTCATGTCTTTTGTACTGCGAATAGTGCTGTGATGAATGTGAGTGCTTGTGTCTTTTAGGTAGAACAATTTGTTTTCTTTTGGACATATATCCAGTAATGAGATTGCTGGGTCAAATGGTAGTTCTACTTTAAGCTCTTTGAGAAATCTCTAAACTGCTTTTCACAGTGGCTGAGCTAATTTACATTCTCACCAACAGCATATGCCTCTCCTGTTCTCTGCAGACTTGCCAGCATCTGTCGGTTTTTTATGTTAATAACAGCCATTCTGACTGGAGTGAAATGGTATCACATTGTGGTTTTGATTGGATTTTCCATGATGATTAGTGATGTGGAGCATTTTTTAAAGTTTATTGGCCATTTGTATATCTTCTTTTGAGAAGTGTCTTTTCATGTTCTTTGCCCGTTTTTAATGGAGTAGTTTGATTTTTGCTTCTTCAATTGTTTAAGTTCTTTATAAATTTTGGATATTAGACTGTTGTTGGATGCAGAGTTTTTGAATATTTTCTCCCATTCTGTAGGTTGCCTGTTTATTCTGTTGATAGTTTTTTTTGCTGTGCAGAAGCTTTTTTGTTTGATTACATCTCACTTGTAGATTTTTGTTTTTATTGCAATTGCTTTTGGGGACTTAGTAATAAATCCTTTCCCAAGGCCAATGTCCAGAATGGAGTTTCCTAGGTTTCCTTCTGGGAGTCTTACAGTTTGAGGTCTTACATCTTAAGATAAAACCATCTTAAGATGTAAGACCTCAAAAAACAATATCCATCTTGAGTTGATGTTTGTATATGGTGAAATGTGGGGATCCAGTTTCATTTCTCTGCATATGGCTAGCCAGCTACCCCAGCATTATTTATTGAATAGGGAGTCCTTTCTTCATTGCTTATTTTTGTCAACTTTGTTGAAGATTAGATGGCTGTAGGTGTCTGGCTCCATTTCTGGATTCTCTTTTCTATTACATTTGTCTATGTGTCTGGTTGTATAGTATATGTAGAGTATCATGCCTTTTTGGTTACTGTAGCCTTAGAGTATAGTTTGAAGCTGGATAATGTTATGCCTCTGGCTTTCTTCTTTTTGCTTAGAGTGCTTTGTCTATTCAGCTTCTTTTTAGTTCTATGTGAATTTCAGAATAGTTTTTTCCAATTCTGTAAAAAAAAAAGATACTGGTAATTTAATAGGAAAAGCACTGAATCTGTAGATTGCTTTGGGCAGTATAGTCATCAAATGCTTTTTACGCATCAGTTGATATGATCACATACTTTTTTTACTTTTGCTTGTTGATGTAGATTACATTGATTTACAAATACAGAATCAACATAGTATAAATCAAATAAATATCATAGGTTGTGGTACATAATTTTTTATACATTGTTGAGTTTTATTTGTTTATATCTTGCTGATAATGTTTAAATGTGTTTATGAGAGATTTTGGTCTGTACTTTTCCTTTCTTGTAATGGCTTCATCTGATTTTAGCACTACAATAATTCTGGTCTCCTAGAATAAGCAAAGAAGTAATCTCTGTGCTTCTATTTGCTGGAAGATAATGTGAAAAAATCTTATTAACTTTTCCTTAAATGTTGGTGAAATTACTTTGATCTGGTGCTTTTTTGATGATTGTTAATTATTTACTCAATTTAAAAATAGATATAAAACATTTTAGGTCATTTTTCTGTATAGGCACAAGTTTTAGTAATTTGGGTTTATCAAGGAATTGGTCCAGTTTATATAATGTGCCACACTAGTGGGCGTAGAGTTGTTTGTAGTATTTCTTCATTATCTTTTTAATAACTACAGAATCACTAGCTATGACATCATTTTCATTTGTGCTGTTGACAATTTCTGTCCTCGCTCTTTTTTCTTGGTTGGCTTAGAGTTTTTTCAACGTTGTTGATAATTCCAAAGAACTAAATTTTGCTTTCATTGATGTTCCCTATTGATTTATTGTTTTCGACTTTCTTAATTCCTGTTCTAATTTTTTTTTTTTTTTTTTTTTTTGAGACGGAGTCTCACTCTGTCACCCAGGCTGGAATGCAGTGGCGCGATCTCGGCTCACTGCAAGCTCCGCCTCCCAGGTTCACGCCATTCTCCTGCCTCCCCCTTCCGAGTAGCTGGGACTACAGGCGCCCGCCACCACGCCCGGCTAATTTTTTGCAAATTTAGTAGAGACGGGGTTTCACCTCGTTAGCCAGGATGGTCTCGATCTCCTGACCTCATGATCTGCCCGCCTTGGCCTCTCAAAGTAGGGATTACAGGCGTAAGCCACCGCGCCTGGCCTTTCTGTTCTAATTTTTATTATTTCATTTCTTCTGCTAGCTTTCGGCTTAAGTCGCTCTTTTCTAATTTGCCAAAATTAGAAGCTTAATTACTGACCTAGATATTTCTTCTTTTCTAGTATGTGTATTTAATGTTACAAATTACCTTCTGAGCACTTCTTTCACTGTATCACATAAATTGCAATCGTCTTTTCATTTCATTAGTTGAAAAATACGTATTTTAAAATTTCACTTGAGACTTCCTTCACCCATGTTATCTAAAAGTGTATTGTTTAATCTCCAGATTTTATATGATTTTTAATCTATCTTTTGGTTTCTAATTGATTTCATTGTGGTATGAGAAAACACTTCGCAGGATTTCTGTTATTTTAAATTTGTTAAGTTTTATTTTGTGGCCCACAATGTGGTCTATCTTGGTGAATGTTCTCTGTGAGCTATGGGAGAACACATATTATCTTGTTTGTTGATGGAGTACTTTCTAAATGTCAATTAGACTAACTTGGTTAACACTACTGTTAAAGTCAACTATACACTTACTGGTTTTTTGCCTGTCTGATCTATCAATAATACAAAGGTATTGAGGTCTCTTCTATGGACTGAATGTTTGTGGCCTCCCACCCCACAATTCTTATGTTAAAAAACTAATCCCCAGTGTGAATTTGGAGGTGGTTAGGCCATGAGGGTTTCTCCCTAATAAATGGGACTACTGCTCTTATAAAAGACTCCAGAGACCTCCCTTACCCTTTCACCATGTAATACACTGAATATGTGGCTATTTATGAGCCAGGAAGAAGTGTGGGTGGGGGGCTTTCACACGACAACGTATCTGCTGAAATCTGGATTTTGGACTTCTCAGCCTCTGGAAATGTGAGAAATAAATTTGTATTACTTATAAGCCACCCAGTTTATGGTGTTACTGTTTTAGCAGCCTGAACAGACTAAGTTTCTAACTATAACAATAGTTATATTGTTAGTTGGGCAAATAGTTGGATTCATCTATTGTTTCTTGTAGTTCTTTCAGTTCTTGCATTCTGTTGTTAAATGCAGACATGCTAAGTATTATTTATCTTTAAGAGAGTTTATTTCTTTATCACTGTTTAACACTCCTTTTTATCTTTAATACTCTCTTGTTCTGAAGTCAGCTGTGTCTTAAATCAATGTAGTTGTTTCAGCTTTCTTTTAGTTATTGTTAGCATGGTGTATCTTTCTCCATTCATTTAATTTTAATTTCTATGGGTCATTATATTTACAGTGGATTTCCTGTAGGCAATATATAGTTGGGCCATTTTATTTTTTGTCCACTCTGACAATCTTTTTATTTTGTGTGTTTAGACCATTAACATTTAAAGTGATTATTAATATAGTTGCATTAACATCTACCATGTTTGTAACTGATATTCATTGCATTTGTTCTGTTTCTTTCCTGCCACACTATTTTTCTGCCTTATATGACTTTAATTGAGCATTATATATGATTTCATTTTATTTCTTCTCTTAGCATGTCAATTGTACTTTAAAATACTCTGCTAATTAAAGTATTAAAATGCTTTACTCTATTGTTGCCATAGAGTTCTTTATATATAATACATTTTTACCCACTGAAAATCCACCTGCAAATAAGACAGTAATATTTCACATGTAGTGCGGGTAACTTCTAACAAAGTATTTCTAATTCCCCCTCCCACCTTTTATAAAATTACTATGATTCTTTTCACTTATGTATATGCCAGAATTTTGGAATGCATGATTCCTATTATTGTTTTAAAGTTGTTATTAAAAATGATAAAAAAATGAAAAGAAGTATTTTAACTTTTTTTGTTCATTTACTGCCATTCTTCTTTTCTTTATGTAGATATAACTGTCTGACCTGTGTGCATTTTAATCTCCCTAAATAATTTTATTTTGACATTTCTGCGAATTGGGCAGATCTGATAATTATGAACTCGCTTAGTATTGTCTTCTGAGGAAGGCTTTATTCTCTATTTCTGAAGCATAATGTTACTGGATAAAGAATTCTGACTTGGTAACAACTTTCTTTAAATACGCTAAGTAATTCACTGCACCTTCTTTTTGGATCACTTCTAATATCTAATATACTTTTTATTCCTATTATTCTATAGTATTATTGTTTTCCTCTGGCTTCTTTCAAGATTTTATCTTTGTTTGATTTTCTGCAGTTTGAATACATTATGCCTATATATACATTTTTTAGGTATATCCTGCTTGAAATTTTCTGACCTTTCTGGATCTGTGGTTTAGTGTTTGTCATTGATATGGTTTGGCTGTGTCCCCACCCAAATCTCATCTTGGCGTGTAGTTCCCATAATCCCCATGTGTTGTGGGAGGGACTTGGTGGGAGGTAATTGAATTATGGTGGTGGTTTCCCCCTCACTATTCTCATGATAGTAAGTTCTCACAATATTTGATGGTTTCAGAGGGGGCTTCCCCATTTGCTTTGTTCTCATTCTTCTCTCTCCTGCCACCATGTGAAGAATGAAGTGTTGCTTCTGTGAGTCAATTAAACCTCTTTCCTCTATAAATTACTCAGTCTTGAGTATAGCTTCATTGGCAGAGTGAGAACGAACTAATACAGTCATCCATTTTTTAAAGTCTTGGCCAATTTCATTTTAAATTTGTCTTATTTAATTCTTTCTTCCCTTTATGTTTTTCCAATTATGTATATTATATCTTTTTAACTTGTCCTACAGTTCTTAGATATTCTGTCTTTTTATTTTATTGTCAGTTTCTTTTTTCTCTTTGCATTTCATTTAGGAGGTTTCTATAGCCACATGATCCAGCTCACTGATTCTTTTCTCAGCTGTGTCGAGTCTGCTGATGAGCTAATCAAAGCCATTCTTCATTTAGATTGGTGATTTTTATTTCTATCATTTTCTTTTACTTTATTATAATATTTTTATAGCTTTTTTACATTACCTACCTGTTCTTTTACATTGTTAGTTTTTTTTCCATTAGAGCTTATAATGGGTTAATTACAGTTATTTTAAATTCCTTCTCTGATAATTTCAATATCAGTGTCATATCTGTGTCTGTTTCTGATGTTTGCCTTGTGTCTTCAGACTGTGGGGTTTTTTTCTTGCCTTTTATCATGCTTTTATTTTTTGTTTAAATCTGGACCTCATGTATTGGGTAATAGGAACTGAGATAAATAGTCCTTTAGTGAAATGGTTTATGGTGATCTGGCTAAAAATTGAGCTTTGTTTATTGTGTGCCATAGGCGTAGGTACCAGAAGCTTCAAATTTCTTTAGTCTGTTTGATTTTGTCTTCCCTGTTGTCTCTGAGATTTGCTAAGAACTCATCCTTAGATAAAGTTTTGTCATGCAGCAATTTTGTCTGTAATCCACTATTGGTAACCTGGATCCTTGCTGGTATTGGGGTAAGGTGTGAGGGAGGGTAAGTTTTCCATAATATCATGATTAAATCTCAGTATTTTAACTAGTATCTCACCTTCACAACTACTTCTTGGCATTTACTTCACCATTAGGTGAAACAGGAAGGCTAGAATGGGCTGGAGAAGGGCAAATACACTTTCCCATGGAGAGAAGGCCTTTGCTGTCAAAAACATTCTAGATGTATTTAACAATGGCTCCTTTTCTTTATCCCTTCCAGAGCCACATATGAAGATTTTTTGACTCTTCACCATAAGATGTAGGTGCAGTTCCTGGAGATTGAACCCATGAAAGTGTAGGGAACCCCTTAGACTGTGACCTTCAGGAGTTTCTCACTCTCAAAGTAGTCTACAGTCAACCTCCCGGAATTTGTCATTATTACCACTCACGTGTTCATACCAGTTTATGGCTACAGAAACGTCTTCCCCAGATAAAGCGATCTTACTTGAGACTCTCGGATTTCATATTTCTTAGAATTTCAGGGTAGTGGTTTTCTCTGTAATCCTGTTCCTCTGATGAGTCCAAGAAAAGTTATTCGTTTTCAGTTTGTTTAGTTTTTTGTGTTTTAAGAACGCATACAATTTACGATCTCTTTATGTATTGGAGTTAACAGTGAAACCACTTTCTTTTTAATATTATTAATTTTGATAGCAAAATATGATAGAGAAGATAAAACAGCATTGCATCATTAAATATATTTTCATTATAGTAGTTTTCATACAAGTTTATATTAATAATATTAAATTGACACTAATGTTTAAACTTCATGACTATCAAGTGAATACACACAAGACTTTTTAAATGAACCCTAAGATATAGTCACATTGATTGTATCAACATGAACTATCCTAGAATTGCTCAAAGATTCAAAAGAAATGCTATATAAACCTTATTACAAATAGAATTCTTCCATGTGAATAATAGAATAATGTGAAATATTATTATAAATATAGATTTCATGAACCTAATTTTTTTCTTTTTTTAAAATATATTTAGCTATAAAAAATGGCATGCCTAACTTTATTTGATAGTGATGGGGTCATTTGAGTTGCCCTTTGCAGTATTACTTTTTTTAGAAAGACATTAGAAAATTATAAATCTATATGTGTGTATATATGTATGTAGATTTGTAGAATGTGTAATAAATAATTATGTTACATTGAAGGCAGGCTGAGTATATTTTTCCAGTTAAAAAATTAGTAAACTATGTATTTTATATATCCAGATCAGCAGTCAGCAAAACCCTGGCCTATAGTCCAATCCAACTCACAGCTTTTTTTTAAGATAATGTTTTACTGAAACATAGCCACCTCGTTTATTTACATGTTGTTTATGGCTTCTTGCAAAGCTGAAAAAGCAGAGTTTAGTTGCAATCGAGACCTTATAGACTCCCAAGCTAGAATATGTATTATTGTTCCCTTTGCAGAAAAAGTTTCTCTATCCGTATTCTACATACAACATCATTTAACTTAATGTACCAGAATTTAAAATGTAAACATAGAATATGTTGATTAACTATTGGAATTTAATGAAAAACACTTAAAACTTCTAAAAGCGTGTTTATTTTTTAAGAGAATATGTAGTTATGCTTTAGTATTTATTTATTTGTATTTTCACAACATAGGAAATATTGGCGCATTGAATCTAATTTTATGGTACACTAAAATGTTCGTATCATTGCACATAACTAATCACGATGGATGTAACAAAAGCAAAGGGAAAATACTAATAGGAGATGTTTAGTGATACCTGCTATTTTATACACAAATTCATAAAATAAAACACTTGAGAGCCTTCTTTAGCATTAAATAGGTATTACATAATTGTACATTTTTAAATGTATATACTTATGTATGTATATTTTTTAAATATATGTGTTAGGACAGTTGGATTTAAGAACTTTGGTTTCATCTATTACATATCTATTTCTTCCCTATATGTAATAGATGAAAAGATTTTCATCGGTAAGTTCGTTTTTTCTTTCTTTCCAAGCACTAGCATGATAAATAAACAATTTCAAAGGGAACTTCTAAATACTGCTTTCCACATAAAGTTAAAAAATTAAGTGTGACTCAAATCCTGTGCTCATGGGCCATTTAGTCTTTTTCCTGACTTGTAACAAGCTCACATGTGACCTTGGAAATCTGTACTTGTCATGAAGTTTGAGCTTTCCGTTAGGTTGGTGGATGCAGTGAAAATTTATTAGTTAAAGTAAGGAAGCAGTTAATAGGCATGGCATGGTCAAGTCATAAACAACACTCTTTTACTGAGACCAAAAGTTTGGTAGTCTGGCCTTACTCTAAATTATACTTAAACCAAGGAACTAAAAGAGCAAAATTCCAGCCCTGACTCAGTGTTCACAGGAATTCATAATCGTAATTGAGAATGAGAGCTTTCAAAAGAGGTAGACAAGGATATTTGGGGGATTTCATTACAAATGTTTCAATTTACTTTTTAAATGATGCTCAAACCAAATATATATTCTGTTTTACTAGATGCAAAGGTACCAGTTTACCTTCACATTCCTTGATCTAAAAAGGTACACATATTTAAAACAAAGCTTTAGTACATATATGTCAAATTGTCGATTTCTGTTTCAGTTTCCCAACTATCTTCATCAACTTTAAGCATTATATATCTGTGTATGGGCCACTTTTTGCGATAAACGCAACTTGTGTTAGTTTGGAGCCACACATCCTTCTTATCCAGGTTCCCAGGTGGCCCCAGCAATCCTACCAGCCACAACCAAGTTCCCCATTGCCCAAGAGTATATAGAATTTGGTGAAATAAAATTGTTTTTTTTTAAATTTGGAGTTCCACCCACCAAAACATTTGTGCTCATTCTCTCAAGATTGTTCTCTGTTTCTATTACAGGACCCATCTGAATTTTTAGTGCCTTTATGGAATTTCTGTACTTTGACCAACCAGAAGAAGGACTATTTTTGTTAAAGAATGTTCATCCGAGCCATTCCAAACATGCCATAGAAGCAACTGACTATTGAAGGAGACACCCTTGCTTTGACATTTTATAACAATGATCTATGTAATACTTAAGACTCTTTAAATTTGAGATAATAGAAAATGTAACTCAAACTAGTTTAAACAATAAAGTGAATTTATTGGCTCATCTACCAGAGGAGTACAAAGGCTTGTGCTTGTTTATTTGAGGTTGCTACTCATCAAAGATTCTTCATTTAGTCTACTCTGCCTTCCTCAAAGAGCCTCACACTAAGGCTGGCTTCCTTCTTTTCAGGAATGAAATAACCACAGCAGGAATAACATTTATACCTTGCAACACTTCAAAAGGTTTAAAGAAAGAGCGTGCAATTCTAGAAATGGTTTTCCCAGTTTCATTAGCTGAGCTTTGTTAAAGTTCAGTGGCTTCTCAATGGTATTATGCCAGTTGGCTGAATTCTGACACAACAAGCTCCACCATAAGACACAGGTGTGAGAAGGAAGTGCAAACACTCGGATGAAAAAATAGGGCAATTCTCAAGAGAAGGTGTTATGATTGGTAAGGAGACGTGATGGTTCATTTTATGTGTCAACTTGATTGGCTCATGTGGTGCTCACATACTGGCCTAAAATTATATTGGTACATATCTGTAAAAGTGTTTCTGGATGAGATTAGCATTTGAATCTGCAGACTGAATACAGCTGATGGCCCTCCCTAACTAGTGTGGGCATTGGCCAGTCAGTTGAGGGCCTGAATAAAGCAAAAGGTGGAGGAAGGGTAATATCTTTTTATTCTCTGCCCTACTGCTTGAGCTGGGAGATCAGATTTCTCCTGCCCTTAGACTGGACTTACACCGTTGGTGCTCCTGACTCTCAGGCCTTCAAATGGGGACTGAAACTACACCATTAGCTTTTCCAGGTCCCTAGCTTGCAGATGGCAGATCATGGGGCGACTCAGCCTTCACAATTACACGAGCCAAAACCTTATAATTAATCTTATAGCTCTGTGTGTATATGTATGCTATATATACACATATATATTTATATGGCTATGTAGCTATGTATATTTTCTTTTATCCTATTGGTTCAGATTTTTTAAAGAATCCTGATGAATACAGGAAGTAATGAGAATGTCCATGACATTCAAAATCATGAAATGATGCTTATAACCTAATGATAAATTGTAACTCTGTTTCTTAATCTTATGAGTGTCTCTATTTTACCAAATAATCCAGTCAACCAATAAAAGCCATCATGAACTGGTAGATTAAAAAGTTTTTCACTTTCAAGTTATCAAGAACACTTTTCAATAATTCATGGAAAATTCACTTCAGCTCACGCATATATTGGTATGTCTTTCTTCCCTAAAGTAGAAGAAACCAGGAGGAAATATTTCAATTTGATTACACAAAGAAAATGGTTTCTGTATGCAGAAACAAACCTCAGAACTTACTTTAAAAAAAGACTAATAGTGCAATTCACTATACTTATTTTGAGCTACTTTACCTGAACACCAAATACTAAATTAATGGAAAGCATAATGATCACAACGAAAAATCAATCTTTAAAAATAGAGACAAATCTTTCTTTCATATTTATGTACTGGTCTGGGAAGCAATTAAAAATGGAGGCCGAGGCGATTGGATCACAAGTTTAGGAGATGGAGACCATCCTGGCTAGAAACCCCATCTCTACTAAAAATAAAAATTAGCTTGGCGTGGCGGCGGGCGCCTGTAGTCCCAGCTACTCAGGAGGCTGAGGCAGGAGAAGGGCGTGAACCCGGGAGGCAGAGCTTGCAGTGAGCCGAGATAGCACCACTGCACTCCAGCCTGGGTGAAAGAGTGAGACTCTGCCTCAAAAAAAAAAAAAAAAAGTTATGTCAATGAAGGAATGATATTTATCTTTTTTTTTTTCCAATAGTGGCATTTTTAGCTTAATCTGAAAACAAAATTTACTAGGAGTCTTTAACCAATTTACATTTTTTTCTCTTCTTCACATATTCCTTTCTGAAAAAATAATAACCTCTATTTGATTGAAGCCCATAATCATGTCTAAAATCACCTTGCTCTTTGTGTACATTTATCCATACATATTTACTGAGAGCCTCCTACTTGACTGGCATTGGATTTTGAATCAGGAAATAAAATAGAAGCAAAATGAAATATTTCTTGAAGGAACGGAATGTCTAATGAATTATGCCAATGGAAAACTAGGAGAGGAAGGAAAAACTTTTTTTTTTTTTTTTTTTTTTTTTGACGAAGTCTTGCTCTGTCACCCAGGCTGGAGTGCAGTGGCACTATCTCGGCTCACTGCAAGCTCCACTTCCTGGGTTCACGCCATTCTCCTGCCTCAGCCTCCCTAGTAGCTGGGACTACAGGCGCCCGCCACCGCGCCTGGCTAATTTTTTGTATTTTTTGTAGAGACGGGGTTTCACCGTGTTAGCCAGGATGGTCTCGATCCCCTGACCTCGTGATCCGCCTGCCTCGGCTTCCCAAAATGCTGGGATTACAGGTGTGAGCCACCGCGCCCAGCCAGAAGGAATAACTTTTGTCCTGGAGCACCACACACCACCATGAAGGAGGTGAGGAGGGTGACTAAGACAGCTGTAGCTAATTAGGGACAACCATATAGAGAAGTACTTGTGAAAAGATGCATGAATTAGACTTAGCTACACAGAGGAACAGAGAGAGGATCGCAAGAAATTGGATATGTATATGTGTGATTCAAAGAACTACAGAAAGTTAGAAAGGAAAAATGTTTAACTTAAATGAGGTAAGATACAGGCCAGATCACAAAAAGCACTGGATCCTATGAAAGGTGTTTGGGTTTTAATTACTAAGAATTTCAAACTGAGCCTAGAAATAATAGATTTTTTTCATGTTAGAATAGTCTGTCTTTATTACTATGAATGGGAGATTGGCTTAGCAGGAACAGAGAATGAAATGCTAAGGGCCTGAAGGAAGGAGATCAAGACAAAGAGGCAATAAGAAAGATCTAGGCTAAGAAGCTAAACACAAGGTGAAGGGTGGGAATGCTTATGGGAGTACAAAATATTTCTAGGAGGAAGTTGTTTTAATGTGGGGGAAGAGGAAGAAGTTCAGAAACATGTCAAGGTATGTTGAGCTATGAGAAAACCACTTGAAGGAAATGCAAGAAGGGCAGGGTTTTCTTAATTCTCTTTTTTATTTTTCCTTTTGGTTTTATGCATTGGCTCAAGTGGGAAAAGTCCCAGGACTCTGGGTATTTCCACTTCCTACCCACACTCCTAGTTCCACTTTCACGGACTCTCTAAAAATCTAAAGAATTAATCCCATCATGCTCTACTTTTCTATTTACATCCTTGCCACCAGCTCAAGTTTCCCAGATTCCTCTTTGCCTGGAATCTTAACCCTTACACGTGGATATGGATCTCTGAAATTCTAAACCACACTGGGCCCTTCAGATGTCCAACCTAAGCAAAATCTTCTACTTCCTCAAGCGTTCATCAAACATGCCCTTTACCGTCTTGTTCTAATTGAAATCTTTCTCATTTCTGTGGAAATGCTTTTTAACATTTGTTATTTTTTTCTCTCATAGTCTTTATAAGACTGGACATAGAGGTAGAGTAAGTTCCCTATTGTCTCTTGATATCATTTTACACCCGTTTGTTGCTCCCTTCTTTTTTCCAAAACTCCCAACTTTGAAACTCATACCCTTAGTCTATGCTACCTATTACAACCCCTTGCTGTAATTGTTTACAGCTTTGGGCTCACATCGAACCCTCATTCCATGATGATTTCTCTACCTGCTTTATCTTCCAGCTTTTCAACATGATAAAGATATATATAGTATATATATACATACACATATATATATCTTTGATAAAGATATATATACACACATATATCTTTGATAAAGATATATATACACATATATCTTTGATAAAGATAAATATATACACACATATATCTGATAAAGCTAGATATATACACATGTATATCTTTGATAAAGAGATATATACACACGTAAATCTTTGATAAAGATATATATACGCATATATATTTGATAAAGATATATATACGCATATACATCTTTGATAAAGACATATGTAGGCATATACGTCTTAGATAAAGACATATATGTAGGCATATACGTCTTAGATAAAGACATATATGTAGGCATATACGTCTTAGATAAAGACATATATGTAGGCATATACGTCTTAAAGATATATATGTAGGCATATACGTCTTAAAGATATATATGTAGGCATATACGTCTTAAAGATATATATGTAGGCATATACGTCTTAAAGATATATATGTAGGCATATACGTCTTAAAGATATATATGTAGGCATATACGTCTTAGATAAAGATATATATGTAGGCATATACGTCTTAGATAAAGATATATATGTAGGCATATACGTCTTAAAGATATATATGTAGGCATATACGTCTTAGATAAAGATATATATGTAGGCATATACGTCTTAAAGATATATATGTAGGCATATACGTCTTAGATAAAGATATATATGTAGGCATATACGTCTTTGATAAAGATATATATGTAGGCATATATGTCTTTGATAAAGATATATATGTAGGCATATATATCTTTCTAAGTGGCATTCATAGCAAAAAAAGATATATATATCTTTATATATATATATATATATATCTTTTTTTGCTATGAATGCCACTTAGAAATTTATTCTATTCTCTGAGACTCTCAGTTCATTGACTTTCTCTTCTATAACCACTTTGTTTTCCACTACAACTCTCATGTCTTATAATAGGCTTAGAACATTGTTTTTTAAACTAGGGAATTAAAAAGAAACAGTATAAAATATTTCCTGAAGGAACATAACGTCTAATAATGAATTATGCCAATGGATAATTGGACAGATCAAGATGGATCAAAGACTTAACTCTAAGATATAATAGCATAAAAATTATAGAAGACAATATTAGAGAAACCCTTCTAAACATTGGCTTAGGCAAAGACTTTATGATCAAGAACCCAAAAGCAAATGTAACAAAAATAAAGATAAATAGATGGGACTTAATTAAACTAAAAGGTTTCCACACAGCAAAACAAATAATCAGCAGAGTTAACAGGCAACCCACAAAGTGGGAGAAAATCTTCACAATCTATACATCTGACAAAGGATTAATATCCAGAATCTACAAAGAACTCACACAAATCAGCAAGAAGGAAACAAACAATTCCATCAAAAAGTAGGCTAAGGACATGAATAGACAATTCTCAAATGAAGATATACAAATGGCCAATGAGCCTATGGAAAAAAGCTCAACATCACTAATTATCAAGGAAATGTAAATCAAAACCACAATACAATACCACCTTACTCCTGCAAGAATGGCCATAATCAAAAAATAATTAAAAAATAGATGCTGTCGTGGATATGATGAAAAGGGAACAATTTTACACTGTTGGTGGGAATGTAAACTAGTACAATCACTATGGAAAACAGTGTGGAGATTCCTCAAAGAACTAAAAGTAGATCCACCATTTGATCCAGAAATCACACTACTAGGTATCTACCCAGCAGAAAGGAAGTCATTATACAAAAAAGATAATTGTACAGGAATGTTTAGAGCAGAACAATTTGCAACTGCAAAAATATAGGATCAGCTCAAATGCCCATCAATGAACAAGTGGATAAAGAAAAGTGGATAAAGAAATGTGTGTGTCTGTGTGTATGTGTGTATATATATACGCACACATACACACACACATTTCTTTATACATATATATATACACACACATACACATACACACACATACACACACACACACACCATGGAATACTACTCAGTCATGCAAAAGAACAGAATAATGGCATTCAGAAAAACCTGGATGGAATTGGAGACTATTATTCTAAGTGATGTAACTCAGGGGGATGGAAAATCAAACATCATATCTTCTCACTCAAAAGTGGGAGCTAAGCTATGAGGATGCAAAAGCATAAGAATGATACATTGAACTCTGTGGACTCGGGGGAAAGGGTGGGAGGGGTATGAGTGATAAAAGACTACACATTGGGTACAGTGTACACTGCTCCAGTGATGGGTGCACCAAAAGCTCAGAAGTCACCACTAAATAACTTATTCATGTAACCAAACACCACCTGCTCCATAAAAAGTTATCAAAATAAAACATAAATTAAAATAAGCCAGTACCAGCCACTGCAAAAACATACCAAATTGTAAAGACCATCAACACTATAAAGAAACTGCATCAATTAATGGGCAAAATCACCAGCTAGCAGCATAATGACAGGATCAAATTCACACATAGCAATATTAACCTTAAATGTAAATGGGCTAAATGGGCTAAATGTCCCAATTAAAAGACACAGACTGGCAAATTGGATAAAGAGTCAAGACTCGTTGGTGTGCTGTATTCAGGAGACCCATCCCATGTGCAAAGACACACATAGGCTCAAAATAAAGGGATGGAGGATTATTTACCAAGCAAATGAAATGATAAATGCATACACTTTGGGAGGCCGAGGCCAGCGGATCACGAGGTCAGGAGATCCAGACCATCCTGGCTAACAGGGTGAAACCCCGTCTCTACTAAAAATACAAAAAAAAAAAAAATTAGCCAGGCGTGGTGGCGGGTGCCTGTAGTCGCAGCTACTCGGGAGGCTGAGGCTGGAGAATGGCATGAACCTGGGAGGCGGAGCTTGCAGTGAGCGGAGATTGCACCACTGCACTCCAGCCTGGGCGACAGAGCAAGACTCCGTCTCAAAATAAATAAATAAATAAATAATAAAAATAAGAATAAAAATAAAAATGTTTGATTAAAGCCAAAAGAATTAAGAAAAAGATTGCAAAAGAGTCAGTGTTGTTAAATGCCCAAGAGACCAAGTTAGATAAAAATTTGGATTTACAAAAAGGGGATTCTTGGAGAGCTAATTAAGGCAGGTTTAGAGAAACAATTGGGGCAGAAGCCAAGTTACAATACATGAAAGACTCAATGGGAAGACAGGAGATGAAACCGTGGGCATAGATTGCAGGCGTATTATTCTTGGCTATTAAAGGAAGAAGTAGGAGATCCACAGAGGGTTAGCTAAAGGTGGGCACAGAGTAAGACATTGAAATTTCATCTGGGAGAGGATATCTAAAGATGCTAAGGAAATTTAATCAATAATATGGCAGCATTTGAAGACCTAGGAGGGGATACTTGATAGGATGGGGTTCAGGAACAGATAACGTGTCTAAAAATCGACATCAACAAAAATAGTCATTTTATTGCAATTGACCAAATGTTCTTTTATTATCAGTTTTATGAATTTCTTAGTTCTGAGTACTATTAACAGGTCAGTCACTTTCTATGAAGCAAAAACAAAGAAAACCTTCTGCAAGCTCCAACCTGATGGCTTTAAACTAAGTAATGTGAAACAAAAGGTATGAACTATATAAAAAAATAGGCTTCTGTACAACCAGTGATTAACTAGCAAAAGCAGAGGAGGACTCTTTTTTTTTTCCTGCACATTCTCTCCCTGTAGGAAAACTATAAGAGAAGCCAAAATCATATCAAAAGGCTTGCTCAGTGTAATGATTTGTTCTTGGTAGGAACAATAGTGGTCTTTGGCCTTCCTCCCCATTAGATGCTGTAACTACTGTGACGATATTCTCGTGGAAAGCTAATTTTAGAACCTACTGAGAATACAACTGCACCCAGGTGGGTTATAGTTACCAGAGTGTATCTGTAAATGTACATAGAATTTAATTAATCCATAAAAAGACTACTGATATAAAACCGGGGAAAAGCTGGAATGTTTTACTAGCAGGCAATGAATAGTCTCTTGGTAATGAATAAAAAACTTACCTTGCTAATAACCATGAGAAAGCTCCTAGGTGTTGAAATGATGTCTCAATAATTAAGTACTAAAGCCATTTTTTTGCACAAAGTAGAAGTAGATGTACAAAGGAGATGAAAGGCAGGCATCTTCTAAAATTTGCAGGTCCTACACAATAGTACAAGTAGTGTACCACATACCATATATACACATATTTAAAATATTTGTTGCTAGTCGTTCCCTAGGTCGATTAATCTTAACCTTGGCTATACATTTGAATCATGTAAAGAGTGTTTTAAAATGCCTACCCTGAACCTTTCAACTTGCTGAGACTTAGATTTATTTATTTGATGGAGTAGTTAGTATTTTATTATCAGCTCCCAAGTTGATGCTAATGTGCACCAGGGTAACAAAATTCTTCAAAGAATAATTATAAATACCCTGGCATGTGGTCTACGACAAGGATGACACTTACCTAACTTAATTCTGTGGAATATGAGAACATTCATGAATCAATCTCTCATTATATTTCTGTTTTTGGCCAGAGGGTACATTTGGCTGCTTTTAAAATTCAATAAAAAACTGCCTGGGAGGAAGACTGCAAAGCTATGTAGGGAATAAATACATCTCCAAAGATGGAGTTTTCTGAAACATCAAGACGCACGTGAAAACACCTTGAAACATACATGCAAATTATCTATCTTCTTAACCAATCTTAATGTGATTAGTTTCCTCTAAACTAGAGATCACAAAGATAAATATTTCTTGGTTCTAAATTTTCCAGGACAATTAAATAATCCACCAAAATAACATGGATATTTTGAATAGATAATTTCCTGTTCAGTTTAAGTTTACTTATACAAACATGAGGAATCATTTGTAGTTATTATCCAGGATAAGCCTGCAACTATGTAGTAAAGAAAATATTCTGTAGATAATACTTACCACAAACATTTTTTAAAATGTAGTAATACATGTGCTTTTTACTTTGAGGGAAACTTGCTGTAGAGTTAGCAAATATATATTCATTGAAGAGAAAGTTCAACAATCCTTGTAACAACGTTTTCAATTCCTTCCTTCTTATATAGCTGAGATAACACATTTCTAGAATGACTAAGAAATAGTTTTCTTTTGGTGCTATTTTTTTCTTAATGTCAGCATTATAAATTTATAGTAAAATGGGATGATTTACTCAAATTAGCAAATAGTTAATTCACAGACATTAAAAGTTCTAAATTTTTTATTGAAAGTTTTTAAGAAAAATTACAAAAATGCATTAGTAACCTGTGCAAAAGCATTTGAGTATTTGTTTTTCTTTCATAAGGGACAGAATACTATGTTGAGCTATTTATTAATACATAACTCATTCTCTTTTTCATAATCATATTTTCTCATACTTGAAAGCTTCTCTAATTCAGAAAGCTAGGACATCCTGCAGTCACTAACCTCAGAGAAGGTTTGTTACTTGTTAGAGAAGTACGCATTTCAGTAACACCTTCATTAGGAAAAACTTGGCTTCAAACGAAACATTATTTTCTGAGGTGGAACACACTTTTTGGCTATTGATAGTCACAGGTTCTTAAAGCACAGTAGTTTTATACATATATACATTTTATACTGGGCTTTATTTTTATATTTGTGTACTATTTACTTACTTTGAAAGATATTTTTACTCTTAGATTTACATAATGGAGAGGACACCACTAATCATCAGGCAAATGCAAATCAAAACCACAGTGAGATATACTGTCACACCAAACAGGATGGCTATTCTCAAAAAGACAAAAAATAACAAATGCTCATGAGGATGTCGAGAAATGGGAACTCTTATGCATTGTTGGTGGGAATGTAAACTAGTACAGCCATTATGAAGAACAGCTAAAGATTCCTTTAAAACTACCTATAGGACTACCATATGATCCAGCAATCCCACTACTGGGCATTTATTCAAAAGAAAGGAAGTCAGTATATTGAAAAGACATTTGTACCTTCGTGTTTATTGCAGCACTATTCACAATAGCCAAAGTATGGAATCTGCCAAGGTGGCCAGCTTTCAGATACATGGACTTTAAAATGTGGTACATATACACAATGGAATACTATTCAACCATAAAAAATGAACTCTTGTCATTTGCAGCAACATGGATGAAACTGGAAGAACTCTGGAAGGCATTATGTTAAGTAAAATAAGCGATGTTGTCACTAATGTGTGGAAGCTAAAAAAAATTTAAAAGATGACCTCATAGAAGTAAAAATAGAAGAGAGGATATTAGAGGTTAGAAAATGTAGGGGAAAAAGAGATAGAGACAGATTTATTAAAGATTACAAAATTACAGCTAGATAAGAGGAATAATTTTTAGTGTTCTATAGCACCATAAAATGACTATAGTTAACAATAATATATTCCATAGTTTCAAATAGCTAGAAGGATGATACTTAATGTTCCCAACACTAAGAAACAATAAATGTTTGAGATGACAGATATGCCAGTTACTGTGATCTGTATATGTGTATATAGTGATCTGTAATGATCACTATACATGGCACGTGTCACAACATGGCTGTGTACTTCATAAATATGTAAGATTACTATATGTTAAATTAAAAATAGATTTAAAAACTGTTTGGATGTTCAAAATGAAAGAAACACTACAATGCCTTCAGAGGTGGATCTTTCACAGTTCTATTCTCAATACAAATAAAAACTGGGACTTTTTCAGTTAAGAGCACGCAAGGCAACCAAAGACAAAACAGGATCATGCAAATACATTGAGATACCTGCCACTGTTTAATACACACCAGAATACATAGAAAAGCTCATTGTTAGTCCATATGTTCTTTCTTGAAGTAAACTGAAATACTATTTGAATTAGCTCAGCAGAAAGAAGAACAAATTTTAATGATAACGAGCTATTTTCCAAAAATGAGACTAAGAAAGCAGTAAATAATAATTTACTGCATATCCTATAAATGTGCGCAATTATTATGTACCAATAAAAAAATGTTTGAAAAAGAAAAATAGCAGATTGCTCAAAATTAAGGAAACAACATAATGCCTTCAGGGAACGTAATAAGGGGATCTTGTTTCTACAAGGACTCCCTTTAGATCAGGGTTTCTCAAACTTGGCACTATTGACATTCTGAGCTGGATAATTCTTTGCAGCAGGAGGTTGTCCATGTAAGGTTTTCAGCAACGTCTCTGGCATTTATCCACTGGATGCCAGGAACACTTTCATTTAGTTGTGATAGCCAAAAACTTCCTGAAGGCAAAATTGCCCCTGGTTAAAAACTGCTGCTATAGATACACACACAGATTGTCAGGTATTAGATGAATATAGACATTAGATGCAGATAACTATAGATGGAGACATATACAATATATATATATATGTACTGGTGTAGGTACTACTTGCTTCTCATCATGACTTCATTTTCAAAGTGATAAATGTGAACATAGAGTCTCACAATTTAAAATTTAGTACCTGGACATAAAATAGTTTTAGACATTTTTCTCATGCCATGTTCAAAAATCTCAGGGACTGATTGATTCTTTTTGGTTCACATGCCTCCCTCAGATCAATGAACTTTACTCAGGGTATATGGAGTAATATAAATACAGTAAATCCTAACAAAATACGTAAGGATGGTGTCGTGAGAGGAGTAATTAAAAGAAAGAGTCAATGCTGTTCCCCTAAAACAGAAGATTACAAAGAACCTAAATGAAATGGAAGAGGGAATGCTATTACACAATTTAATATAGGAGATTTTTCTGAGCAGAAAGCAGACAGAGGTCTTCAATGTGAAAGGGCTTCACCAACCTCCTAAAAAAATTAACAAAAATAAATACATAGATTGATGTCTAGCATATCAGTTCAATGTATCAACTAAAAAATCTCAAGAGAAAAGACAGTTTACCTACAACAGAATGAGTATTAATTTATATTATTAATCTCATCTACAGTAGCTCAAAATAGAACAAAATGGAGCTTTAATTTTCTGAGGGGAGTTGTTTTCAACCTATAATTTTATACCTATCAATCAATGAAAATAACTGGGAAATGAAGGTATTTTAAGAACTCAAAACTTTCAGCTCACTTCATCCAGTTTAAGGATTTAATGGTGAATTTGTTTGTAAAGATAAGCAGGAAAAAAGAAAACATGAGGAGGGGACAACGGATTCAATGAAGTAGAAAAGCAAAGGGAAGACCCAGAAGGACATTTGTGCTGAGAACCTAAATTGCAACAAATCTAGACTAGAACAGGAAATAGCCATAGAGAAAAGCGTCTTTCATGGGATGGTACAAAGAATATTTTAGATATTATTGAAAGTATGACAATGTAATTGTTTAAGAAAAATAAAGGTCATCACTAACTCTAAAGAAAACAAGCTACAAGAGGATGTGAAGCCTATACAAAGAAAATTAAAAGAAGTCATAGTATACATACGTAACTAACCTGCATGTTGTGCACATGTACCCTAAAACTTCAAGTATAATAAAAAAGAAAAAAGAAGTCATAATGTTGAGCTATTGCTGGAAAATTCATAGAAATATATTTCCAAATATTCTCCTTTAACTGACAAAGAACTTGTAAATTTGAAACTACAGAAAACAAACCCTCGAATTCTGTAATGAATTATATTTCTCTAACCACAATATTCTTTTTTTTTTTTTTTTTTTTTCTTGAGACGGAGTCTCGCTCTGTCCCCCAGGCTGGAGTGCGGTGGCGTGATCTCAGCTCACTGCAAGCTCCGCCTCCCGGGTTCACGCCATTCTCCTGCCTCAGCCTCCCGAGTAGCTGGGACTACAGGCGCCCGCCACCACGCCCGGCTAATTTTTTTCTATTTTTAGTAGAGGCGGGTTTTCACCATGTTAGCTGGGATGGTTTCTCGATCTCCTGACCTTGTGATCCGCCCGCCTCAGCCTCCCAAAGTGCTGGGATTACAGGCGTAAGCCACCGCGCCTGGCCAACAATAATATTCTTTTTAAAAAAGTCAAATTTTCTCTTTCTGGTTCAGATCGGTTAAATAATAATTTACATATCTTAAGATTCACCTTTTTTAGATGTACAGTGCTATGAGGTTGATAAATGTATACAGTTCTGGAACCAATACCACAAATAAGATATGGAATGTTCATTTCATCTCAAAAAATTTGTTCATGTGGATTTGTATGGTTCTCCTCACAATCACTGATCTCGTTTCTGTCCCATTATTTTTTCAGAATGTCATATCAATGCAATGAGACAGTAGAGAGTCTTTTCTTGTATAGCTTCTTTCACAAGAATACTGTCTTGGGATTTATCCACATAATTAAATCTATCAGAAGTGTGTTTCTTTTTATCACTGATAAATATTTCATCTTATGGAAATACAAGTATTTTTAGGTATTCATCACTTGATATGTACTTAATTTATTTTCATGTTTTTGGCAATGTATTTATCAGGATCCCATCAGAAGAGATGGAGTTTCAATAACTGAATAACAGATTTCAGAAAAATTATGAAAAAAAATTATAGACATGTTAATATAAAAAGTATAATTTTAGTGCATCGGTTTCTAGTTCAAGGGGTCATAAAATCTCAACCAGATTTTAATAAACTATGATAACAGCCTTCAGATGGAAAGCAGGTCACATAAAAAAAAACTGGGAATTAGAATGGCATGGTAATTCTCACAGGAAGCACTAACTACAGAGTCTGAGTAAAAATATTTTTCACCCATCCTATACTCATACATCTTAGAAAATACAGCATCATAAATGGAATATTGGTAGAAATACGAGCATTAAAGGCATGCCTAGTGAGGGTTCATAAAGAAATGAGGAAAATGCTTATTAGAAAGTGGAGGAAAAGTAATCGTTATTATGTAGTAGCAGAAAGCTTGGCGGAATTGTGTCCTACAGTTAGTTATGTGGAAAGCAGAACCTATAGGAAATGAACTTTAATATCTAGCTGAGGGGATTTCCAAGCAATGTGCTGAAGGTAGAGCCTTGTTTCTTCCCATTGCTTACAGTGAAATGTGAGAAAAGAGAGAGATTGACGGAAGCGGTGTTAGGAAAAAGGGAAACAGGACCTGATGACTTGGGAAATTCTCAGCCAATCCAGATTGCAAAGGCACTAAAATTAGGAGATTCATAATCAAGAAAGCCTGTTCTGGACAGAAAGCCAAGGTGTGGCTGGACAACCTTTTGCTAGTACTTTGGAAGGATCAAAGGATCAGAGTATTCAATTACACACATGGCCTTTTGAAAGGATTAGAGCAGTGAATCATGGTTCCCCTCAGCCCTCCAAGCAGAAGCCAGGAATAGAGATGGTATTATAAAAAAAAGATTTGTGGATGAGCCTCTTGTCTAGTGGAGAGAATCCCTGAAACATACAGGGAATATTTGCAAGATTCTTAAGAATGTTGTGCCAACAGACATACTCAATGTCAGCTTGAACTAAAAGGGAGACAGAACAAAAGGAGGGAAGGCTATTGAATTCTCCAAATTCTACATGTAGAAAACAAATTGATAAAACTACTCAGCTGCAAACATGTAGAGTCTCTACAATAGCAGCAGAGCCAGGAAACACAGAGAATGATTCTCAAGCTTTGAAACCTAATGTTGAATGCAAAAACAGATTTTGAAATTGCTCACCTCTGGTGATTCCTTTTGTGAACTGGATATCTATTAGTGTTATCTGATCCCTATCTCACCATAGTATTTTAGGAGGCAATATCATGTTTTATAGTTTCACAGATCTCCCAACGGAGAATAATTTTGCCCCAGAGTGGATAATAGTGAACGCCCTAACCATGACTAATTTAGATAAATTAGATTACAAGATTTGGGCCTTCCATGATAATGAGACCTATATCCTAATTTCTGGAACCTGTGAATATGTTGTGTGTAAAGTACGAGACTCTGGGGATATTAAGTTAAGGATCTGGAGATGGAGAGATTATTCTGGATTATTTGGGTAGACCCAATGTAATCATGAAGGTCCTACAAAAGGGAGGCAGGGGTGTAAGAATCAGAAAAGACCATGTGATTGAAGATTGGAACTGAAAGAGAGAGAGTGATTAGCAGATATTTGCTGTTGGCTTTGAAGATATAAGATAGGCCACTTCTACAAGTCAAGGATGCAGAAAGTATCTAGAAGCTAGAAAAGGCAAGGAAACAAATTTTTCTGTAAAACCTTTAAAAGGAATGCAGTTCTATTGATCAATTTTAGACTTCTAACCTCCAGAACTGCATGATAATGCATTTGTATTATTTTAAGACGTTAAGTTGTGGCTTCCCCTTCCTAACTCCACCCGTACTACCACAGCCACCTTGTCCCTCTCCCATTCTCCTACCTTAGGGTAGAAGGAATAGAGGAAAAATAAACAGAAACCAGAAATTGTAATGCAATATGAAAGATGTGTTTTATGGAGTTTTCAGAAACTTGAAACAATTCAATAGAGGGGTTTATCAGAGTTCTTAGATTGGGGCCCCATTGGTGTCTTTCCTTCATAGGATAGATGTAAACAGGGTGGACACTGGACCACACGGCAGTGTATTAAACTGGTGAGTGTCGTTCGGGGGCTCTATGTCCCATTCTGCAATGTAAGGAACCGCCATGTAAGTAGAAGGTTAAGTAATGCTGTCGGGTTTACCAGTCTGGCTAAAAGTCACAGTAGGAGATCCAGACACAGGTATCCTTCTGGAAAATACTTGAAGAGGAGGCTTTCTCAAAGCAAAAGTCTCCAGGCCAATACAAAGAAATTTGTATTGTTTTAAATCATCAACTTTGTGGTAATATTTTACAATAGCAGTAGGGTGCTAATATATCATCCATACTATTAATCAAGGGTGAAAGCAACATAAAATTACCCTCAGATATAGCTAGATCCCAAAATTCATTTTATGTACTCTTTTTCTAGGAGGATCTTGAAGGACGTGTCTTCCAAACAGAGTATAGTTCCAAAGAAGACATGGTATCCCAGCAACCAAATGTACAACACAGGAGACAGATGAATTTCTCATTCTTGTAGGCTACCATTTCTTTTGGCTTATTACAAAACAACAGGATGCTGCAGCTTTATCAAAGTCTACTTATTTGTCCACTAAAAGTTTATGGCTATACGTTTCCAACTAGAACATCTGAACACCAATATATGGAATTCTGACAAAGTTAAAACCAGGAAGAGATCCTATGAAGGCTGACATTTTGTACATCTGTTTTATAGAACAATAAAAATAAGAAGAACAAGAATAAGAACAGCAACAACATTTGCAGTGAGTCTGCTCTCTATCAATGAGTTAAATTCTTTAACACACACATACGCACACACACACACACAAAATGGGTTTGATATCATTTGGTTATTAATCACATGTATAGATAAGGAAACTAGATTTAGAAAAGTGACATAACATGCCAATGTCATTATATTATTGAAAAAAGAAATTCAATGAGAATTGATGTATTTCTATTTATAATTTAGGGCTATTGTGCCAGCTTCATACTAGAAACCACCAACTCTTATCACACAGGAAAAAAAAATCCAGTTTTACTTAAAGAATAAGGAAAAGACAGAATTAGCCACAAAATCAAATATCCCCATATGCCTAGCTGAAATCTCATTAGTGTCACAATCATTTTAAAAATTTAAAATAAGACCACTCACCTGGAGGTAAAGAGCCAGAGCATATATTTACTTGCCATGAAAAATGTTTTTCTTATACATAGTGCCTAAGAAGTATGGGATTTTATTTCCTTTTTCACAGCTGGAAAGGCTTAGTAACCAATTCACTTTTTTAGTGTAATATCATCTGGTTTTAGGCAGTGCCAGAAAAGAAATGAAAAAACAATTGAGCAAAATATATGGCTTTAAATGAATGTAAACCATGTGCATGGGTTTCATATCAAATTCTGAAATGTTTTTTCAGTTTGAATGTGAAACTATCTAATAAGGACAACATTCTAGCTAGAGATCAATTAACTTATTTGTGATATTGCTTTTATTTAAAAGAGTAAGCAAATATGGACTGGGTGTCTATTATGTACTTGTTTCTATGATACCTTTCATTTATTTTATAATACTAGGACTAACAACAATGCTATAGCATCATTTGAAGCAAGTATCCTGACTTCTGTGGTAGTTGTCTTGAGGGCTTTTTTCCTAACATTTTAAGAGAAAACTGAGTTAGGAAGATGTATTCCATCCAAAATATTTAAGCGAACTGACCTCTATAAGATGATGGATGCCAATAAGCTAATGGATACATTCATTCTCTTTTCAAAGAGACAAAATCTTTTTAAAAACATTTATTACTATTTTGGTGCAATTAGAGAGGCAAAAGTCTAATTACAAGTAAAACTAAGAACACCAGAGTGTTACGTGAAATAGGTTGATTATAATAAAGGTGTTCTGGAAAGTTATAAAAGAGCTGCTGCTTTTGCTTCCAAAGCTCTAAAATATTTAATAAATTAGAAAGAAAACACATTAGTTAAGTGTTAATTTCACTCAATTGTTTATCCTTAATTTCAATTTCCAGGGGGAAATTATTACTTGGTTTACACAGCAGGATTTTTTTTAACCATACAGAAGTTTCAGGAAATTATTTTATAGAAGTAACGTTTCGACTACTAGTGGAAGGTGGCAGGTTGAGGATAGGAATTTACCTCCTTCCCTCCCAATATCCTGTGGAAATGAAGAAAAACTCATTTTAAGGTGTGTAAATCCAAAACATAGTTCTGGAAAGCAAGAAAGAGTGCTATTAATTCATTGCACTAATTTTGAGGACTTTCCAGAGCATAACACTGATATTGGATTAAAGGAGCAACAGAGTAGGAACAGTATAACCCAAAACAAATGCAAGATCATTGTATTGGAGAGAGTCATCCTTCCCATCTCTACTTTAGAGAAACTAAACTCTAAGTCAACATTCACAAAGAACAGGGAATGATCCTAGGGACATTTAAAGGCAGAACCTATAGAAGGTTCTATAAAGGCTTCCATAAAGTCTATAGAAGAATTTAGCCTAATGTAACTCCCCGTCCTGATCACCGGCTATACAGATGAGTGAGATATTCTTTTGTCAACTGCTTTACTGACCTCTTCCCATATACCCAAGCTTTATATTAGAGTTCCACAGTGCTAGGTAATGTGCTGTTTATTATTCTCTATCATCTCTCCAACTTGATTTAAACTTTCTGTATTGCTTAAGTATCATCTATCTCTTGAAGACTTCCATTTTTCAAGTTTCCAACTCATAGCTAGATTTGAAGTCTGATTGCCTACTGACATGCCTACTTTGATGTTTCAGGGCTTCTGTAGTGACTACTCATTGGTCAGGGTTCATTCACCCATTTTGTAGTAACAATTCATCAATCACCCTTCAGAGAATCAGTAGTTTTCCAATCTTCCCATGTTGTTCAAATTAGGTTGATTTCTTTTCTGCTCCAAGCATCAACCTATGTTCCAGATTTAGTCAATCACATGAATCAGTTCTGATCAATGAGAGACAAATAAGTGGTTTTTGCAAAAGATATTTAAAAAAAAGAAAACATTACTGGGGTGGACAAGGTGAAAATAATATAAGCATGGATTTTAAAGGGCACATGCATGCACACACACATACGAGGACACATATAGAGACACAGGGCCCAGTGTAGAGGGACAAAGACAAAATTGTTACAAAACAATTTGAACCTCATCTTCTAATGTCTTCCTCACATTATCACATTTTTGTCACCTTTGAGATGTTGCCATGTAGTTGGATTTCTCTTTACCAGGAATGCTCTGTGATCTTGGTCTTTGCCTAGCTGTTTCCTTCTCAAACTTCAGGACTCAGTTTAAATACTAACTCAAGAGAGATTTTGCTCAACTATCACTCAAAATGGCACCATCAACATTCTCTATAAAGGCTAGAAGATGTGGCTGCTATATCACTGTGTAGTGGTTTCATTCATTTGTTTATTTTTATTATCTGTCTTTTCCCTTGAAATTCAAGCTCCGAGTCAGTAGGCACCAAGTCTGTGCTGTTCCCTGTTATAGTCCTAGAAGCTAGATTAGTGACTGGCACCTAGTGTGCTCACTAAATTTTTTTCTTTTTTTTTTTTGAGATGGAGTTTTGCTCTTGTTGCCCAGGCTGGAGTGCAATGGCGCCACCTCGGCTTAGATGTCAGCCTCCCGAGTAGCTGATTCTCCTGTGTCAGCCTCCCGAGTAGCTGGGATTACAAGCATGTGCCACCATGCCTCAGCTAATTTTGTACTTTTAGTAGAGATGCGGTTTCTCCATGTTGGTCAGACTGGTCTCAAACTCCTGACCTCAGGTGATCGGTCCACCTCGGCCTCCCAAAGTGCTGGGATGGGATTACAGGCATGAGCCATCATGCCTGGCCTCACTAAATATTTTCTAATGAATGAATTAATTAATTAATGAATAAAAACAAAAATTGTATAACTACCAAAACTTCAGAAGTTGAAGAAAGAGTCCTGAAATTATAAGTACACTAAATTCCTCATCTTATATAAAAAGGACTTAATAAATATTGCATAAAATTGGTAAATTTAAAAAGGAAGGTATAATTATATCAATGTTAGGATAGCAAATAGCAGAATAATTTATACTGAAACTTAACAGGCTTCCTTTCAAATGTAGAACTTGATTAATCATAGTGTTAGTCTGCATAGTTTGGTATTTTTTTAATATGTGTGACTAAGGGTGAAGGTAAAGGAAGGAGGCTTTTAAAATTAATTAGATATGCCTCTGCTTTATTTATTGACTTTTTCACATGTATTTACTTTTTTCACATGTATTTACTACTCTAAATTACAACAATCTTCATATCAATTTAGTTTAATTCATAGAATAAATTCAACTCAGCACTAAAATCTGAAGTATTCCCTATACTATAAACTGATAAGCTTGTTTGTTTTATAACATAAATGAAAATTACTTAAAATATCTTACTAAAATTTTAATAAAAATTCATAGAAGTTGGATAATAAATCAGTATAAAGTACAGCCATGTATTTTATGTCACTGTTTTCAAGACACTAGCATATCTAAGGATGATCAATACTTTGGTCCTGCTCTAAGGAAGAAGAAAAACAGAAAAAAGCTGACATTCATTTAGAAGCTACCTGTATGTGGCCCTCTGCTATGTCCTTGTCCTTCATAAATTCACACAACAACCCTGAGAGAAGATTTTGTAGTGAAAGGGACATTCAGATATTGGGAAACTACTCTAAGTTTCTACAGTTAAACATGTAACAAAACTAGGTTTCACTTTTTTTTTTTTTCTGGCCTATTCTATTTCCCTATAACATATTGTTTTTATTACAAAAACATGAACATTTTGAAAATTTGTATTTAAAAGCGTAAGATGCTTACTTTAAGGTTTATTTTCATTTTATGCTATTTCTATTTGTCATTTAAATATGTGATGTTTCTTTATACCTATGTTGCCCTAACATAAAGTATATTTTGGAGAAAATACGTTATATATTTATGGAGGTAGGCAGGTATGTATGTGTTTATCCAATTTATTTGGAGTGAAGTTGAGCACATTCCTTAGTATTTTTTTTTTCAGTGAAAAATGTAGGACTATCTTCAATGGTAAAAAGTGAAGAAAAACATTAGTGGTTTTTGAAACACAATGTTTCAACAAACATGTAAGTGAAATGTACTTCGGGCAATGAGATTTGTTGATTGTGTGATATAGACAGATATTTGTGAAGATGGATTTGGCTTTGGTAAAGGGAAATTAATTTATAATATTTAAAATAGAGTTATTACAACTGATTATTACAAAATAATTTGACTTTTTACTTATGCCAACACTCAGATTCTGAAGAAAGCTCAGCAACATTGTGCAATATCAATTCTTTCCTACTCTTTGCATAAATAACATTTTTTCCATGTGCAGGAAATTTGCAAATTTCCAAATGGAGGATTTGAATATACTCATACTCCACTAACTAAAAACAGTTATATGTTTTTCATGAGCCCTATAGCAATTCTTATATTGGAAGATGCATATTGACCAGTGATGGTTTGGCTCTGTGTCCCTACCCAAATCTCATCTTGAATTGTAATCACCATGCGTTGAGGGAGGGACATGTAATCCCCATGTGTGGAGGGAGGGTGTTGATTAAATCACCGGGGCAGTTTCCCCCATGCTGCTCTCATGATAGTGTGTGAGGTCTCAGGAGATCTGATGGTTTTATCAGTTTCTTGCATTCCCCTCTTACAATTCTATCTCCTGCTGCCATATGAAGGAGGTCCTTGCTTCCCTTTGCCTTCTGCCATAATTGCGAGTTTCCTGCAGCCTCCCCAGCTATGTGGAGCTGTGAGTCAATTAAACTTCCCTCCTTTATAAATTACCTAGTCTCTGGTGTGAGAATGAACTAATACAACCACATAATCAAAAAGTCAAATCTGAAGGTCATGTTGAAAGAGATGCCACGGATTGTTTACCAAAAGCAAAAGAAAGGTAAAAATTAATCTGTCTGCTTCATGTATTTGTCCCCTAAGAGTGATATGGCTTTGAGATTTCCTCAATGAAAACATCCATGTCATACTAATAAGGAAAAGTTATGTCTGAGTAAATTTAAATTATTATGTTTATTTAAATATTCAGATAACATTACTTTATATCACTAGTTAATATCATTCAAAGTTTATTGATATTTAATTTCATATGGGATTGTCTTCAATAATTTGGAAAACTCTTCCAAATTTGACAATCTTCAAGTCTAAAGTTAGAGGTAAAGCAAATATGCGTGTAACTATGTAAAAATTATTTGAAAGCTAGTGTGTGTGTGTGTGCGTGTATATTTGAATCATGAGGTTCTTTGACACTTACCTTTTACAAAAAAATTTGTATTATTTAGTTTTTAGTTCAGATTCTGGGATTGAAGACTTCAGAATACTTACATTGAGCATGCTAGGTAATTATCCTTTATGTTAGAGATATGGGTTGGAAGTCAGAAAAAAAAAACAGGGAGAGTAGAGGACAACATGTTCATTCAGCTCATGTTCTCTCTTTATAAATAAGCAATTGAATACTAAGTACCTTACAAATTACTTCTATTGTTTGCATCCTGTTTTAGTCTGTTCTCACCCTGCTATTAAAAACATACCCAAGACTGGGTAATTTATAAAGGAAAGAGGTTTAATTGACTCATAGTTCCACATGGCTGGGGAGACCTCACAATCATGGTGGAAAGCGAATGAAGAGCAAAGTCATGTCTTACACAGCCGCAGGCAAGAGAGCTTGCGCAGGTGAACTCCCATGTATAAAACCATCAGATCTTGTGAGACTTATTCACTATCAGGAGAACAGTATGGGGGAGACTCCCCCATGATTCAATTATCTCCACCTGGCCCCACCCTTGACATGTGGAGATTATTACCATTCAATGTGAGATTTGGATGGGGACACAGAGCCAAACCATATTAGGTGTTCAAAGTAAATAAGCCCTGAGAAACTCAAATAAAACCATTGATTAACATTAAGTACTTGTTATTGAAACAAAACACACAGCTATCCTTTTATAATTAAGTAAATATTTAATGTCTGTGTTTATGTAGAAATATACACTATGTTGTAAATTTATGTGCAGGATTTTTTTTTAATTCTTCAATTAATTTTATGCCTGAAATTTCAAATCATAGTTTTAAAGCTGAAATAGGTAAATAGGTGCTGAAATTCATTATGTTGATTTATGCTGAGTACATGTCCCAGTTGCCAACTATTGCATGACAAATAAAAGCAAACTTAGTGCTGTAAAGAATGACTACTTTATTGTGTACCCAGATTCTGTAGGTCAAGAATTCAGTGTGCCAGCAGGAATGGCTTGTTTCTGATTCATGGTATCTGGTGACTTAACAGGCAAGATTTCAATTGCTAGGAGTAACTGCAACCTAGAATCATCTGGATACTTTTTCATATACATGTCTGACAAAACCAGATTGGGAGGATTCAAAGACCAGGCTCAGGTGGGGCTGTCAACTGAGGATCTACCCTGGCTCCTGTCACAATTCCATGTGATGTGAACCTCACTGAAGCATGTCACATTACAATAGTTGGTCTTTCTATATGGAAGCTTAAGGCTCTACTGTGATCAGAATGTTTGTACCCCCTCATAATTCATATGCTGAAATTCTCACCTTCAAGGTGATGGTTAGGATGTGGGCCTTTGGGAAACTGATGAGGTCATGAAAGAGGAGCCCTCATAAATGGGATTTGTGCCTCTTTTCCCCTTCCCCCATGTAAGGATATAGCAACAGGGCACCATCTATGAAAAAAGAAACAGGCCCTCAACAGACAAAATCTGTTGGCATCTTGATTTTGGACTTTCCAGCCTCTATAAACATGAGGAATACATTTCTGTTGTTTATAAGCTGCCCAGTTTATGTTATTTTGTTATAGAAGCCTGAATGGACTAAGACAGGCTTCTGAATGAAATGTTTCAATGAATACAGCAGAAGTTTCATGGCATTTTATGACATAGCTTAGGAAGTCAAATAGTATCTTCTGCTATATTTTATTGGTTATGACAGTCAATTCAAAGGAGAAGGATACATCCCTATGTCTTGCTGGAAGATTATCAAAGAATTTGTGGCCATGTTTTAAAATCACTAGAGTCGGCCTTCTGTTCACAAATGATTTGCATTTCCTCCACATGCAAATTCACTTCTTTCCGAAACCCTCCCTCCTAAAGTCTCATTTCATTCCAGTATCATCAGGTTCAGACTCAAGGTTCAAAATCTCAATCTCAATCAAGTCCAGGTGTCCATAATACTTCCCAGGTATAATTGCTCTTGATGCACAAAAAAAATGAAGTATCTTCCTCTCCTCACACCCAGCGTACAATGGTGAGAGAATCAAGGACAATGTAAAAGAAAAGACCTATCAGAATAATTGCATTTAATGTAAAGTTATTCAGTTATTTCTGCCATATGCAAATTCCAATGATTATATTTTAATATGACCAATTTTGAAATGTAATTTTAAGTATTTCATACTTACAGATATCTACTCATCATCAGCATTGGCACATTATCAATAAGATGTCATTATTTCAAAGTGGCAAAGGAAGATATTTTAAAACTGTATTCAATTTCCCAGAAACAAAAAGATGAAGACAAAAGCTAGATGATCAAACAGTTTTAAAAATATTGCCAATAGCTTAACAATATAAGACATGTGTGGAAGGGAAAACTTGCTGAAGCTTGAATTGTGTCTTCTGGGAAATAAAAGGGGCAATGACTAATTGCCACAGGATATTGGCAATTGCAGATGCCAGGTTGTTTCACAAAAATAGGAAAAAAATAAAACTACCAATCTCAGATACTTTACTTCACAAACTAAGAGCCAATTCCTTTGATCTTAAATATTATAATAATCACAATGTATCCCAAGGTAAAGAAAATAATACTATGCAGTGATCATGGAAGGATAAAAATATTAGTAGGTATATGCTACGACACAAAGCCTTTGGTAGAAAACATTCTAATCTGGAAATCAATGACACAATGGCAAAATATTGCAATTCTGAGCAGGAAATAAAGAAATGCTTTTTATTGTTCTTTAGTTCCAGAAATAATAACAATAGAAATAGGGTGATTATGTGGATTAAGTCAATCAAGATTTTTTTCTAGTCAGATTGTATAAGTACTTGAACTATACAGAAATTAAAATACAAGGAAGACAAAACTTCATGGCCTGGAGTCTGTGAGAATCCTCTATTGACTCAAGTCCGGTGTTTGAATTAAACAAATCCCATCTGTTCCAGTTCTACTATCTTGAAGTCAATAAATTTTTATTCTAATATTTAAAGTTACAATATCAGACTCCATTTGATAATACCAGTATGTTTAAACTCTGGCCCATTTCCAACATTTTACATTACTCCATTGCTGTACTTACAACATCTGACTTGAGTACAACTATCTGATTTGGCTTGGTGTATATTTCACTGGTGTACTCACCTGCTCCCTTGATGATTCTAATAACACGGTCTCCAAAGAATGGACAGAAATTCCTGGAGAAAACAGTGTGCTCCTAAAAATTAAGTAGAATTTTCTTCCGGGTATTGCCCTGGCAAAAGGAGGTAAGAGAGGGGATTCCCTGACAGTGTACAGGAATTTCCACTGCATTTCCTCAGAAGTGCAGGGAAATCAGAAACTTCTAACAGTCATTCAAGAGTAGAGATAATTAAGGGGAATATAATAATTTACCAATTTTAAAAAGAGACATATTATATGGTTCATAGGACCTAGTAGTAATCAAGTTTAAAAAATCAGTACATAAATAACTTGAATATATCTACTTATATGTTATCTATCTATCTATCTATCTATCTATCTATCTATCTATCTATCTATCTATGTAAACTTTATAATACCAGAGAACAGAAACTGATTTGTTTTTTATTAGTTTGTTTTCCCCCCGGAAACATTAATGGCATTGGAATGTACTCTGGTTTAGGCAACTAAGATGTTTCTGAAAAGGAATTGCTTAAATGAAATTACAGTAAATTATTTATTAAAGAGAAATTTAAAACAAGTTATATTCTATAAGTAAATAATTCAGGTCTCATATGATGGTTTTAAAACAATATTTCGTTTTGTGTCTTAGGTTTTCTGGTAGTAAAACAATTTGATTAGATAGACGATAGACAGGTAGTTATCATTAAACAGCACAGTATTTCAAATAAAGTTCCCCACAGTGAATATTAGCAGATTTTACCATATTATAAATTTTTCAAACATAATTATATGAACATTAAAACTAAAGATTATAAAGTGACAAGTATTGTAGTTCATGAAATTCTTTCCAGAACATGCCTGACTAGACAATAAGCACACACACTAAATATTCACTGTTGTAACTTAAGATGATAGCTTGTACACAAAAACATTGAAGAGTTTTGAGATAATTTTGAAAATACCTAAATAAGCAATATTTACATATTATGGCTCAGGGAATAGATATTAACAAAAATTATCCTCTCTCAGGCCACTGTCTAGACCACAGGAAACCTGGTCAACAACATATGGGATGTCACCAGATTCAGACTCAGAAGTTTCCATAATGCCGTTGCCAACAGCTAGACACAGTGAGTCATGGGGGCCCCAGTAACCAAACTCTCATCACACACAGGCTGTTTAGATAGTGATGGAACTAACATGAAATAAAATCAGGCCAAATAACATCTTAAGGTTCTAAAGAAATATTTTAGATTCAACAGATCTTCTAAATTCAGCAGTATCCAGAAAGTTTTGCCAGAGCAAGAGAAGTATAATAAATTAGAAACAAGTTACTTTCCGCAACTCAGGTTGCTTTGAAAAAGAAATTATTACAAGAAAAGGATTTAATCTAGACAGTTACAGGTAGTCACATCCATGTCAATATTTATATCTCTGTCTATATAGTAAGCTTGATATCTGTGTACATCAGTGAATAATAGTACCTACCTCAAATGAAATTAAATAAAAAACAAATGAGATACCACAATTGAAGTTGATTAGCATGTTAGTTGTGTAAACAGTCACATGTGAGCACAAGTGTGCACACACTACTTTTATTGGGTCCTTATATTTCTTGGAAAAAAATTACATTTATATTTACCAGAGGAGCAGAGTTATAAAACATAGCAATATGCTATTCCACATACAACAATAAGCATGTCTTGGAAGGCAAGCTAGATCAAAAACTGACGTATAAGATGGAGTTTAGAAATCAACTGTAATTATATGTCTGGAAAATTCATGCACTTTAGGGAAATCTAGCTCCTGCCAGCTTTATTTGTATGCTGTGATTTATCTTAAAGTAACGTCATGCCTCATGCCAGTGACTGATTCAACACATAACATTCTACAAGTCACAGGAGTCCATTCAGGAAGGAACGATATGTGACTCACTCACTATCATGAGAACAGCAAGAGGGAATAATCACCATAATCAGCACCTCCCACCAGACCCCTCCTCCAATTCCACATGGAGGAAGAATTTGGGCAGGGACATAAATCCAAACCATATCAACCGTGCTTTTACATAACCTACCTTTGTCACCCAGATTTTCAGTAAAACTTTCCCTCATTCATCACCAATGTGTTCAAGGCACTTCAGGGAGAAAAGTATTTCAATATATTATTTAGAAAGGGAAGAATAAGTTCAAAATACATGAACCTGATATGGATACTGGTCAGGAGAAAACAAACCCACTGGACAAACTTGGAAAGACAGGGGAGGTTTTTTGCACATGAGTGGGGACAATGTTTCATGACTCGGATGAGCTGATGAGTTGGATGATGTTTCACGAGTTGGATGAGTAGGGAATAAACATAGCAGATCTAAGGAAACAGGAACACACTGCACATACAGTGTATGTGTAATTATGCACATACAGCAGCTGTAAAATGTAGTCTATCCAGTGGGAAATAAGATTCTTTAAATGTAAATATTCTCTAAAAGGCACGTTACTTACCTGAAGTTTTTCTGATTTGAACATGTATGTTCTTAGTTGCAAGTATTGGTTGAGTCACATAGTTCATGTATAAGTGTATATAAGGGGTGTGAAATGGGGATATAATAAACATAAGAAATGTATATAAATACTCTTCTCTATATGATAAAACTAAACATATTCCAATATACAATTCTTATGTACATCTAATATGGAAACAGTACAACAAAGATAATATAATATAGTCCACTCACTACTCACCAAAGAGATGGTGAGAATCCTAATCTAGAAGAACCAATAGAAAAATAATAGTGCGTTATGCTCATCTTCTCTTTTTCGTATTATGTCCTCTGCTAATTCTTAAACTTTATAGCACTATCATTACATGTAATCTGCACATTTTATAGTTTTTACTATAACTTACAGTTTGATTTTAGAGTTGAAAGGCACATAAATCATTTTAAGTAGAGTATTTACACAGATTTTATTTCTACCTACTATGAAGTGCAAAATGCCAATAGCATACTTTCCTGACTAACCGGGGGTAGCTTTTCTTTTATTCTTTGTCCCTGGAAATCACTCAGACACTGGTGTTCCATGAAGTACCTAGTTAGGGAGTGTACCTAGTTAGGGACTGTTCTCATGCTGCTAATAAAGATATAATTGAGAATGGGAAATTTATAAAGAAAAAGAGGTTTAATGGACTCACAGTTTCACATGGCTGAGGTGGCCTCAATCATGGCGGAAAATGAAGGAGGAGCAAAGGCACATCTTACATGGCAGCAAAGAGAGCATGTGCAAGGGAATTTCCCTTTATAAAATCATCAGATCTCATGAGACTTAATCACTATCACAAGAACAGCATGGGAAAAACCTCCCCATGATTCAATTACCTCCTACTGGGTCCCTCCTACAACAGGTACCATCTTCAGTTAAAATACCTACATTAACCAGCCACATTCCCTCTGAACAAGGGCTTAAACTTAGAAAAATATGATGACAAGTAGGACTGCACTGCAAGCAAGAAAAATAAAATATGATTTCTAACTTTTCCATTCCTTCGTGTTGGAAATAAAAAAATAATAAATCATTGTTACTGATGCCAGATTTTGTGTAAAGAGTTAATGCTTATGTGAATCAAAATAGATTTATAAACCTTTCAACACTGCAGCTTGGCCTTAGAACCTTTCCTGAGATACCTCCTTTTTTTTGTGAAAGCAGATGGCACACATATATGCAAATTAAAAATAGACTTTGGTTATAAAACAAAAAAATAAGATTCAACAAGCTCAACTTAAATTATTAGCTCAGCACAGGCGAGTCCAACAGTAGCTATCATTAAATTCAGACCGGCCCACCATTGTAAGAAAGACAGTAATAGTTATGCAGTATCTGCAAGGCATTTTGAATCCATTACATAAAAATGTGTGCTTGGAATACTATGCTATAGTAAGCATTATGAGACTATGCCCACTTTTACCCTGAGGAGTGTAATTAAGTGCAATGCTCAAATGAATGGTTTGCAGTGACATGTATTATCCTCCTAAGCTGGCTCAAAAGAAGCTCTGAGTCTGTGCTATAGCACTCACTTCTACCTATCTTTAACATGTATTATGTTCCCTTAAGCCTCTGGGAACGATTCAATGAAAATGTGTTGCTTGCCTCAGTTCACATTATCTTATGGCAGCCACAAACCTTAGACTATTTTTACACAGATTCTCAGTTTTCCTAGTTGAAATATAAGACTATTAAAATGAGAAGAAACTAATTGAATACAGCAGATCATTTTATGTAAGTGTTTGAAGCTGCCTCAATTTGACTTCTGCACAGTTACTACTTTAAGGAGTAAGCTGAGAACATGAAATTGCATGTCTTCAAACAGTCTAATGACATCTATAATTCCATAATAGTTTGACCAAAATCACTGCCGGATATATAGCACAAAATTAATCTCATACAATGAGGGTATGTTGACATTTTCAGGTCGACCTGGGCTAATGAACTTCTTGCATTATTTGATGTGGAGTTTCCAATTGAATACGATAAATTTGGGGATGAAAATTGTTACTGAAACATCAAAGATATTCCTTTATAAAAGTGAACTCATATCAGACCTACTCAGAAACCCAGTTAATTTATAAGAATGTATAAATCCTACATAGGTGTTAAATGGAGACTAGGAAGGGTGGAGTGAGAGGAGAGTGAATGATAAGAAATTACCTAAGGGGTACAATGTATGTTATTCAGGTAATGGATGCATTAAAGCCCTGATTTTACCACTATGCAATAATCCATAAATTAAAATTATACTTGTACCTCATAAATTTATACAAAAAACAATGTTATAGGCCACGAGCAACATCAGTGAAATAAGTAACAATTTTAAATCCCAAGTTTTTTCAGCATTTCAACTAATATTTATGGAGTTTGCAAATATTGTAATATATTTGTTTAAAAGTTTAGATTAATTTATATAAAAATATATCTTCTATGATAACATTTACTCTCTGAAGATTATGAGTTTAGGAAAGTAAAATATGGATAAGAACAACCATGTGATAAAAATCTGGACTATTAAAAAAATAAGAAAAAATTACAGTACCAAATCTATTTTTCTGGTACAAATAACTTGATTATAATTTACTTCCAACACAGTAAAATAGTAATATAAGGGAAAGATGCTTTACTTTTGAAGTTCAGGCATCTTTATTTAAAGTTCATTAAAATTTCTCATATGCTTCCAGAATGTATTATATTTACAAGTAACCTTGTGCCCAAACGTCTAGTTAAATATTGCTACTGTTTCACTATTTTTTTTCCTTGGGTTTTATTAAAATGACTGTCTTTATCGTTTTTCATAAATATGTGTAATCCTTTCCTGCTAGAGCATTATAGTGTTCATGCAGTTGAACTCAAATGGCAAGCTAGCTTTATACAATAAAGTGTGAATGGAAATGACAAGCTCGCCTTATTCCTGTGAATTGACACCTGCCATTGTTCCAGAGAGAGTACTCTATCTGTGTTCTTGAGTGGAGATGATGAAGATTAGAACTATACCTGAGTTGTGATGAACATGGAAAGTGATTTGGAGAGTTGCACTTTTCTTGGTATGAGCCAGTTACTTGGACATCATGGGCAAATGATTTCTCTGTTCATTTTCTGTCATTTCCAACCCCAGCTGCTGTTTTCCAGATATTTCTCAAGTTTTCTTGTCCTGCTGATGTTATATTTTTTTTCCAGAAACCTGAGCCTGAGAATTTGCTTATGGATTGTATATGATGCCAGGAAATGGAATAGAGGACTGGGAAGAGTGAGAGAAGGAAGAGAAGCCAGGAGGAGAGTATGTTACGAGCTGTGAATAATTGGGACTTGATTCCACTGAGCTCCTTTGAAGTATCTGAGAATTTGACTGCAGAATTGTGAACCTGAAAATCACAGAAAAGAGAATATTTATCTATTGAACCTTCTCTTCATCTTGCATTGGTCAAGAGTTGTCCTACGGGATATTAAGACACTTGCACTTTCAAGTTTGCAGAAGTATGGGAACGAAAGCATCCAAAAAGCCCTGAGGCAGGAAGCAAGCTGAGACAAGGTGTTGGTGATGATGGTACACCTGGATGAAGCTAACTTCAGCAGCAATAGTTGCTGAATGAATTTTTCATTTCATCTAAGTTGCCACATTCATCAGCATAAAATTGTTAATGATATTCTTTTAGAACTTGGAGGGTGGTAGGAGAGAGAGGAGCAGAAAAAAATAACTATTGGATATGAGCCTTAATACCTGGGTTTTGACATAATCTGTACAACAAACCTCCATGAAACAAGTTTACCTATATAACAAACCTTCACATGCACCCCCAAATCTAAAATAAAAGTTGAAGCAACAAAACAAACTAAGAATTTCTATTTCTTCTCTTGCACGCCTGATATTGGCAATGTGTCTTCTCATCATATTTTTCTTGATCCAAGTTTGCAAGAGATAGTTTTGTCAACCTTTTCATATAATTCACTTTTTACTTTGTTAATTTCTTAAATTATATCTCCATTTTCTTTTTTATTTATGTATTCTTTTAGTATTCTTTCCTATGCCTTTTGGTTTGATTTCTTCTGTTTTCCTAAGCTGTGAATCAGGAAGATTCAATTATTTGCTTTCAGCAATTCTACTTCTATAGTATTATAAGAGTGATTATATATATAATAAGTTGATGTATAAAATAATATTTAATATTTAAATAATGTATATATACAAAAGAATTATAGAGCTATTAATTCCATCTAAATGCTTTATTAGCTGTGTCTCACAAATTTTATGTCATGTTTCTATTAATATTCATTTTCAATTCCCCTCATGATTTCTTTTTTGATAAATGTGTTAATTAAAAGGGTGTTGTTTAATGTCCAAATATGTGAGACTTTTCTGATTGTATTGTTTTATTTATTTTTGATTCAATCCCATCATGTTTAAATATTATTAGTACCAGTAAAATACTCTGTATAATTTCGATGTCTTAAAATTTATTGAACCTTTATGTGTCTTTATAGAGTCTACCCTGGTAAATCCGTTACTTGCACCTTGGAATAATATATACTCTGCCCTTGTTGACTGAGGTACTGTATAAACATCAATGAAATCAAAATAGTTGATGATATTTAATGTATCATTTAGACCTTTAAAATGTTGGTGATTTTTCTTTAGTTGTTTTATCCATTGTTGAGAAAGAGGTACTAATGTCTTCAATTATAATTATCAAACTATCTCTACTTTTAATTCTGTCCATTTTTCCTTCATGCCACTGAAAGCTCTGATATATTGAATTCATAGATGTTCATGGTGCTATGCCTTCCTGATGAGTAAACTGATATCATTGTGAAATTTCCCTTTTTATTTTTGGTAATAACTAATTTCTTGAAATGTTTCTTTAAAATGTAACTACTCCGATATTCTTATGCTTAAAGCTTGCATTAAAAATATTTTTCTATTCACTTACTTTCAACCTACATTTTTCTTTAAAATAAAACATACTATTTTTAGATAGCAGAAAACTTGGTGTTGTTTTTCAATTCGTTCTGAAAATACGAATTTTACTTGGATTAATTCATTAACAATTAATGTAACTACTGATATGGTTATGTTGTGGGTGGTTTCCTACGTTTTCTGCTTTTTTCTCTGTCTTAACTTGGTTCTTTTTTCTTTTTTCTTTTCTTTTCTTCTTCTTTTTTTTTTTTGATGGAGTTTTGCTCTGTCTCCTAGGCTGGAGTGCAATGGCAAGATCTCGGCTCACAGCAACCTTCACATCCCGGGTTCAAGTGATTCTCCTGCCTCAGCCTCCCGAGTAGCTGGGATTACAGGCACATGCCACCATGTCCGGCTAATTTTTTGTATCTTTAGTACAGACGGGGTTTCACCATGTTGGCCAGGCTGGTCTCAAATTCCTGACCTCGTGATCCGCCCGCCTCGGCCTCCCAAGGTGCTGGGATTACAGGTGTAAGCCACCACGCCTGGCCAGAAAAACATCCTTTTCATCTACTCAGATAGTTACCGATTCAGATTTTTTTTCCTCTATTTTGAGAATACATCTTTTCTGTGCTATCATTTTCTTTCAGCCTACAGAAATTCCCTTAACATTTCTTGTAGTGCAAATATGCTGGTGATAATGTACCCTTAATTCTTTTATCTGACAATATTTATATTTCACCTTCATTATTGAAAGATGTTTTGCTGAGTATAGAATTCTGGGTTGATAATTTGTGTGTGTGTATATATATACATATATATATGTAGCTTGTATATATATACATATTATATATATTAGAAGATAAAAATGTCTTACAGCATTGAAAAGCTATATGTATATATAGTTCAAAATGTATTTGAAATTAAGTATATGTATATATATATATATATATATATATATATATATATATATATAGCTTTTCAACACTGTAAGACGTTGTTTCTGTCTTCTGTTCGTAATGTTCTGGAGTAATGCATAAAAACATACATACACATCCTTGTGTATGCAATATCTGATTATGCAGAATTCTGAGAAGTTCAAATATATATAGCTTTTCTACACTGTAATACATTGTTTCTATCTTCTCTTCACAAATTCGGGTAAGAAATTAGCTATTAATTGGAATCTTGTCTCCTATATGTAACATGTTGATTTTATCTTGTCACTTTCAGGATATATACTTTATCTTTGGCTTTCAAATATTTGACAGCAATGCACCTAACTTCGAGCTTATTTTCTTTTTTTTTTTCTACTTGATATCCATCAAGCATATTATATCTGCAAATGTATATCTATCATCAAACTTGGAAAATATAAAAGTTTCTTAAATAATTTTTTCTCAATTTTCTTTTTTCTACTATTATAATTACACATTTGTTGCACTGAGATCAAGATAATCAAACAAGCCCCTAAGTCTCTGTTCATCTTTTTAAATTTTTTTCTTACTGTTTTACATCTTATATAATTTTAGTTGATTTATCTTACTTTACTCTGTCATGCTTATTCAGTTATCAATTCCAATCTAGGAAAATTCCTTTACTTTAGAAATTTGATTTTTAGTTCTAGAAAAACTAATTAATTCCTTTTTATTGTTTATTTTTCCCCATTTGGCATACCTATTGTGCCACAGAACCAATTTCCAGGATGAAGCAGAAAACCAGAAATATTTACAAAAGGAACTTTGAGAGAAAAAACAAAATGCATTTTTACAAAGGTGGTTATGTAATATTCATGGATATTTTTGCCATATATTTGGCTATCATAACTTAGGGCAACTTGAATGTATTAGTAAAATATTATGGAAATGCTATGGTACTTTTGTTACTAGGTAACATAGTTCACTAACATAAGTATTGTTAACTCTTGGAAAGTGGCCATGTTATGAGTGTATGCTCAATTATCTAATTTGTAAAGAATCTTAATTAAAAAGGAACTTAGGGGAGTGTTCCATAGATATTTTTAATGCCATCATGGGACTACTGAACTAATTTTACTGCTATCATAGTATTATGGAAAGGTACAGAATTGTAACTAGAAAAGGTAGAAAAGTGTTTATGTAAGTACTTAAGTGATGTTCACATAATGAAACCTCACATACATATTAGACATTAGCAACAGATAAAGTATAGCAATATTTCATGTGTTTCTTAGAAAACAGTGACGTTAAGATTAGGTTGATATATACTTATTGTTAAATTGAAGGATTTTAACTATCAAAATACCTTAATAATAAAAATAATATTGTGATTTGATTGTGTAAAAACATTTTTGGTCTTACGTTAGATAAACTGGTAATGTTCTGGAATAATGCATGAAAACATACATACACATCCTTGTGTCTATACAGAACAGTGCGTACAAACAGCATTTTACCTGATAAGTGATCTCATTTTCCTCAACCTAGAAGTAAGCCACAACACTTCTGTGTAGCCTTCGTAGAATTGTCATAGGTTAAAGCTGCTGCACATTGATCACAGAAGGATATCTCAGATATGTATGCAGTATCTGATTATGCAGAATTCTGAGAGGTTCAAAATATATTTGAAATACAGTATTTAGAAGGAGTGGGATTCTAAAGTGAACTTGTCCACGATTTCAGTTAAGACAGCAAAAATAACACAGTATAACCATACGTACAATAACACAATCATAGCTCAAAAACAAAAATGAGAGCCATAAAGATGAAAAGACAAAATCATTGTAGACAGGAAAGGCTATTCTGTCAATCTAGTTCCCAATTCTTCTTCTTTTCTTTTCTTTTTAAAAAAATATTAAATTGACTAATAAAACATACATTTATTATGTACAACATGTTGTTTTGAAATATATATATATAGTGAAATGGCTAAATTTAGCTAATTAATAAATGAATTACCTCACACACATTTTTGTGGTGAAAATATTTAAAATCTATTCTTTCAGCAATTTTCAAGAATATAATACATTATTATGAACTACAGTCACCATGTTGTACAATAGAAGTTTCTAATTATTTTCTACAAAATTTTATTTTTCTTTACATCATTGAGTTTTACTTTTATTTTCTTTATTTCACTCAACTTTTAAGGATTCCCTACTTTCCTTCTTTGATTTCTGGTCTACAATGCAATAAAGAACATTTTCCCATTAGTACAAAATAAAGATAAATTATGATAATCATTATTATAATAATATATAAGTCAGGCTTCTTCTACAGCAAATAATTAAGATTCATCTTGACTAAATTAATACCCCATCACCAAAAAGTTTTGTTTGTGTTTGTTGGGGAAGCAGTTGATTGATTTCATTAACTTAGAGGATCAGAGAGTCAATTTCAGTTATAGCTCTTTCTAATAACTCAACTGATATCAGAAAATCCCTACTCAGCTCTCCATTTAAAAAAAAAATTTTTTTTGTTAAATTTTATTTTTGTACTAAAACTACCATGAGTTCAATATATTTGTTTTTCCTTTTTTCTTCAAGTTTCATTCAGCATAGGGAAGGTATCAGTACCCATCTCCAGACTTACAAAATAACTGGTCTATGATCTTGGCAAGTCTTTCATCTGTCATTGGAAAATTCATGAAAAACTCTATTTAAACTTGCTTCTGTTACCTGCCTAATCTTCTAACATTTATTGTGACCCTGGTCTCATCATACCCTGCCAAGGCTTCGGTCATGAGCTTAACCCTTATAGAAGGAGTGAGATACTGGACAGGTTCAACCCCACCAAAGGCACATAGAAAGGATGTTCACAGGAAAGGTTTTCTCTGATACCAAAGGAGAGGATGCATGGGATAAAACAAGAGATTTCTACCCTAAATTATGATAATAAAAATATATTCCCTTTTAAAAAATATAAATGAATCCTAAAACTAATGAAGTGAATCATATTTAAAGCAAAATGAAAAGATTGGATTTGCACGTTATTTAATGCTAAGAAAATTACTTTTTTATAAATATGTTCTATGTTCTTGGGTTCAGCATCGAGATGCCTTTGCTGAACAATACTTATTGGTGCCTTAAAGTCCATGAAAAGTTTTTAAACTTAGTTTCAAATTTTAGAATAAACCTTTCCTTACATTCTCTTTTTTCATTTTTTTAACATTTTAGTCCAAAATCAGATGGCCTTTTATATGACAACATCTTCAACTGGCAAAAAAAAAATCATATTTTCATAAGTAGACAATTCAAATTATTCAAAGCAGTATTAATTTTATCTGACATCTTATGTTAGAAAATGTATTAGGATGAATTATAATGTGGTAGAAAGGAAAAAGTTGTCATAATATGCAACAGTATTTTTAATTGGACACTTACAAATGTTTTTAAAAATTATATTAAAATGGAATGTTAGAACAGGCTACATTAAGTTTCAGTAACAAATGACTTCCAAATCTCAGTATTGTAGTTCTATTATTTTTTTCACTTATATAAAGTGTTTGTTCAAGCCATTCTGCAGGGAAACTTTTCTTCATGGGTTGACTTAGCCTTTGACATTGCTTCAATCTTATAGAAACTGCATATTAATATGTAGTTTACCTATTGCCATTTTAGAGAAAGAGAGCACTAGAGAGTTCTAGCAATAAAATTATTATACTCACTTGTCATTTACTTACGTGTAATTAGCCAAGATATTACACTCCCATACCTCCCTTGAAAGAGGTAAGGGTTCTATTCTAATATGACATAAAAGGTGAAGAAAACCAGACTTTTTAAAGCGGATTTGTGTGAGAAATAAAAAGCTTTTTATGTATGTGTGTGTATATATTTATATATATCTTCTATCTCTATATTTTCTTACCAATTTGTGTGTATCTGTGTGTGTATTTATATACAAACACCATTGTAAAATGTATTCTTAATTATATACTACTAGTAGCAGGTATGCTAAAGGCAGTACTACATGTGTTTTCACCTATTAACCATTAATATTGGCCTGAATCTGCTAGTTAGTGTAATTTTCACAAAACAAAATAAATGTTTAAATGTGAATACTTGAAATAAAGACCTACTAGCATTTTTGCAAACACTTGATTTGCATGCCTGGAAATAAGGCAATTAAATGAAAACTTTTAAGAAAGAGTGCATATTCACTAACCGGGACAGTTAAAAATTAATATATTTTGTAGAAACCCTGAGCACTTGTTGCCCCCCACAAAGACAGCCAAAACAATAAATGCAAAAGTACATGCTGATGAAAATAACTAAAGGAAAGCTTACAGTACATAAAACGAGTAACAAAAACCCTGGTGGGCATAGGAAATCAGTATGGCCACATGGAGAATGGAAGAAAACACTTGGACTGCACCACACCATTCCCCAGCCTGGATCAGCTGGGAACCAGGAGAAACCTCTCTTGGGGAAATGTGGGGAAAAGGTAAGCAAAGAGAATCCCAGCAGCCCCCATCAACACCTGGGGAGCCTCCAATCCTCATCACTGGGGATATCTGCAGTCCTCACAGACACTAAGCTTAGCTGAAAGAACTGCTTGAAGTCCACATAACTGTGCTTCCCCCAGAGAAGGAGCTGATCCTGTGACCTGTGTGTCTACCGCACTGTGCCGTCTTGGAACTGGAACTATTTTGTTCTGGGGGGCTAGTGGCCATGGCACCCTTTCATCCCTGAGGCGAAGCTGCCGCCAAACCACCCTTCCTGGTGACTCTACATTCCCAAGCCAAGCTGTGAGCCACTGTTACACATTGCGCCATGGAGCCAAGCAGAGTCGAACTGCTCCACCAACTCCTACCAGTCAGAGCTGCATTCCAGGCCCTCAGATCTGAGCTAAAGCTGTGCATTTCCTCCTGTGCTTTGGCAGAGCTGTTTCATCCACCTCACCCATTTGCTGCTGTACCCTGCGACATTGTGCTGGAGCTGAAGCAATGACTGGCATCCCAAGAAACAATGCCTATGCTGCCCAGAGAATCACAAACCCCAGAACATAACAAAAAAGGAAACTATAGGCCAATATTACTGATGAATACAGATGCAACAAATTCTCAAAAAATACTAGTAAGTTGAATCCAGCAGCATGTTAAAAAGATCATCCACCATGATCCTGAATGACTACTGGGTACATAACGAAATGAAGGCAGAAATAAAGATGTTCTTTGAAACCAACGAGAACAAACACACAACATACCAGTATCTCTGGGACACATTTAAAGCAGTGTGTAGAGGGAAATTTATAGCACTAAATGCCCACAAGAGAAAGCAGGAAAGATCTAAAATTGACACTCTAATATCACAATTAAAAGAACTAGAGAAACAAGAGCAAACACATTCAAAAGCTAGCAGAAGGCAAGAAATAACTAAGATCAGAGCAGAACTGAAGGAAATAGAGACACAAAAAACCCTTCAAAAAATCAATGAATCCAGGAGCTGGTTTTTTGAAAAGATCAACAAAATTGACAGACTGCTAGCAAGACAAATAAGAAAGGAGAGAAGAATCAAATAGACACAATAAAAAATGATAAAGGGGATATCACCACCAATCCCACAGAAATGCTAACTACCATCAGAGAATACTGTAAACACCTCTATGCAAATAAACTAGAAAATCTAGAAGAAATGGATACATTCTTCGACATATACACCCTCCCAAGACTAAACCAGGAAGAAGTTGAATCTCTGAATAGACCAATAATAGGCTCTGAAATTGAGGCAATAAATAATAGCCTACCAACCAAAAAAAGTCCAGGACCAGACGGATTCACAGCCGACTTCTATCAGAGGTACAAGGAGGAGCTGGTACCATTCCTTCTGAAACTATTCCAATTAATAGAAAAAGAGGGAATCCTCCCTAACTCATTTTATGAGGCCAGCATCATCCTGATACCAAAGCCGGGCAGAGACACAACAAAAAAAAGAGAATTTTAGACCAATATCCCTGATGAACATCGATGCAAAAATCCTCAATAAAATACTGGCAAAACGAATCCAGCAGCACATCAAAAAGCTTATCCACCATGATCAAGTGGGCTTCATCCCTGGGATGCAAGGCTGGTTCAACATACAAAAATCAATAAACGTAATCCAGCATATAAACAGAACCAACGACAAAAACCACATGATTATCTCAATAGATGCAGAAAAGGCCTTCGACAAAATTCAACAGCCCTTCATGCTAAAAACTCTCAATAAATTAGGTATTGATGGAATGTATCTCTAAATAATAAGAGCTATTTATGACAAACCCACAGCCAATGACTTACTGAATGGGCAAAACTTGGAAGCATTCCCTTTGAAAACTGGCACAAGACAGTGATGCCCTCTCTCACCACTCCTATTCAACATAGTGTTGGAAGTTCTGGCCAGGGCAATCAGGCAGGAGAAAGAAATAAAGGGCATTCAATTAGGAAAAGAGGAAGTCAAATTGTCCCTGTTTGCAGATGCATGATTGTATATCTAGAAAACCCCATCATCTCAGCCCAGAATCTCCTTAAGCTGATAAGCAACTTCAGCAAAGTCTCAGGATACAAAATCAATGTGCAAAAATCACAAGCATTCTTATACACCAATAACAGACAAACAGAGAGCCAAATCATGAGTGAACTCCCACTCACAATTGCTTCAAAGAGAATAAAATACCTGGGAATCCAGCTTACAAGGGATGTGAAGGACCTCTTCAAGGAGAACTACAAACCACTGCTCAACAAAATAAAAGAGGACACAAACAAATGGAAGAACATTCCAAGCTTATGGATAGGAAGAATCAACATCATGAAAATGGCCATACTGCCCAAGGTAATTTATAGATGTAATGCCATCCCCGTCAAGCTACCAATCACTTTCTTCACAGAATTGGAAAAAACTACTTTAAAGTTCATATGGAACCAAAAAAGCGCCTGCATTGCCAAGTCAATCCTAAGCCAAAAGAACAAAGCAGGAGGCATCACACTACCTGACTTCAAACTATGCTACCAGGCTACAGTAACCAAAATAGCATGGTACTGGTACCAAAACAGAGATATAGATCAATGGAACAGAACAGAGCCCTCAGAAATAATACCACACATCTACAACTGTCTGATCTTTGACAAACCTGACAAAAAATAAGAAATGGGGAAAGGATTCCCTATTTAAAAAATGGTGCTGGGAAAACTGGCTAGCCATATGTAGGAAGCTGAAACGGGATCCCTTCCTTACACCTTATACAAAAATTAATTCAAGATGGATTAAAGACTTAAATGTTAGACCTGAAACCATAAAAACCCTAGAAGAAAACCTAGGCAATACCATTCAGGACATAGGCATGAGCAAGGACTTCATGTCTAAAACACCAAAAGTAATGGCAACAAAAGCCAAAATTGACTAATGGGATCTAATTAAACTAAAGAGCTTCTGCACAGCAAAAGAAACTACCATCAGAGAGAACAGGCAACCTACAGAATGGGAGAAAATTTTTGCAATCTACTCATCTGACAAAGGGCTAATACCCAGAATCTATACAGAACTCAAACAAATATACAAGAAAAAAACAAACAAACCCATCAAAAAGTGGGCGAAGGAGAACAGTATGTTAAATAAAATAAGCCAAGCACAGAAAGATAAACACACCTCTGTTTTACCCATATGTGGAAGCTACAGTGTTGATATAGAAGTAAAGAGCAAAACAGTGATTACTAGAGGCTGGAAAGAGTGTGGGAAGGAGAGATAGTGAGAGATTGGTTAACATACACAAAATTACAGCTTTAAAGGTGGGATAAGTTCTAGTTTTCTATAGCACTGTAGGATGAGTATAATTAACAATAATTTGTTGAATATTTTCAAATATCTAGAAGAACAGATATCGAATGTTCCCAACACAAAGAAATTATAAATGTTTGATATGATGGTTATGCTTATTACCCTAATTTGATCATGTATATGTGCATCAAACTAACACACTGTTTCCGCAAAAAGTACAATTATTATGAGTCAATTTAAAATAATAATAAAAACAGGCCAGGTGCCGTGGCTCATGCCTGTGATGCCAGCACTTTGGAAGGCCAAGGAGGGTGGATCACGTGAGGCCAGGAGTTCGAGATCAGCCCGGCTAACATGGTGAAACCCCATCTCTACTATAAATACAAAAATTAGCTGGGTGTGGTGGCACACGTCTGTAGTCCCAGCTACTCAGGAGGCTGGGGCACGACAATTACTTGAACCCAAGAGGCAGAGGTTGCAGTGAGCCGGGGATCACACCACTGCACTCCAGCCTGGGCAACAGAGTGAGACTCTATTTCAAATAATAATAATAATCATAAACAAAAAAGAAAATGAATGAAAATTAACATATTAAAAAGTAATAAACGTTATTAAAGTAAACCTATATAAATATTTTTCATGCATGAAAACAATAGCCACTCTGAAAATATTCTAAACCTAAAGAAAATATTTTTGTAGTGATTTAATTAAGAATGGATTAATACCAAGGAGTAAATTTTAAAAGCTATAAGAATAAACAAATATACGGTAAGATGTAGGTAGTAAGGATGGGCACAGTGGCTTATGCCTGTAATCCCAGCACTTTGGGAGACTGAGGCGGGAGGATTTCTTGAGTCCAGGACTCAAGAGTCAAGAACACCCTGGCAACATAATGAGACCCCAGCTCTACAAAAAATAAAAAAGCAGCTGGGTATGGTGGTGAGTGCCTGTGGTCCCAGCTACTAGACAGGCTGAGGTGGGAGGATTGCTTGAGCCTGGATGGTTGAGGCTCTGGTAAGATGTAATCACACCACTGCACTGGAGCCTGGACAACAGTAAAATCCTGTCTCAAAAAAAAAAAAAACCAATACAGGTGGTAAATAAAAGTACAAAAATTATAAATTTTGAGCATAACATAAATATATTTAAAAATTATTTGAGAGATTAAGAATAATAACTGGGAAATATTTTGAAAATTATGAACATTAGGGATGACTTTACATATTTGCAGGAAGAAATCCTGTTAGGTGTGTTTACACCTTAATAAGAAAATGCTGTTTTTAAATATATTGGTAGCAATGATCATAACAAGAGGCATTGCTGTTGAAAACTGTCTTTATTAAATTCAGAGTTTTACTTACAGTTAGTCCAAGATATTTTTTTGTAGGGCACTCAGATACTTTAAAAAGAACAGGCAAAGAGATGAATATATGTAAGAAATCTAGATAAAACAAACAAAAAGCATTCAGATCACATACAAGTGACTTAAAGAGGTATTTCAGAGCCAAACAAAAAGCTGGGATCTCCAAATAGTCTCTGGATAGGACCAAAGGGAAATTCCTCTTTGCTACTTGAATAAATTTATGCTTAGGACTCAAGAGACCCCAAGAAAGTATGAGTGGAGGCCTATCCCTAACCCCTGCAGAAGTGGCAACTGATAATCCATGCTGGGTTGTTCTTTCCCTGATCTTAGTCCAATCTGCCCATTCTCCTAATATCTAGCTTGGACGATGCTTGCCCACAGATATCAGTGTGACCTTTAAAAAACATACATAAATGCCATATTTCGTTAAGAATTAGTCTCAAAGGCCTGTCAACAGAAATACAAAGAACACATTTTTGTGATCAGAAAATTGGTCTGATAGTCATAAACTCTTGTATTTTTTTTTTTATTTTGTTTTGTGTATATTTGTTGAGACAGGATCTTGCTGTGTCTCCCAGGCTGGAGTACAGCATTGCAATCATAGTTCACTGCAGCTTCAAACTCCTGGCATCAAATGATCCTCCCATCTTGGCCTCCCAAAGTGCAGGAATTATGAGTGTGAGCCACTGTGCCTGGCCTCATGAATTCTTATTATTTAAATCTATTTAACTTAATCATCACCACACAGGTTTGTGAGAAGAGAAAGCTGGGTGGCTAATGGGTAGGGAAATAGTTGGAAGAGACACAGAGAGATACTGCTGACAGTGATGGGCGCTGGGTAATGAAAAATCTTCTACAGTAACCTTGATCCAAGTCCTAGACCAAAAGTAGCAATAAGGTTCTAGTCTCCTCTTACTTCACGTTACCTCTGTGATTTCAGGAAAAGCAATCATCAATTTCTGGCATTAATTTTCTCACCTTGGGAAAAAAGAGGTAATATTTTGAAATAACGCACGTGGACGTGCTTTCTTGTTTCAAATGCTCCGAGGTTGGGGTTAGTGTTATTATCAAATGTTTATTGAAATCAATCAAAGTTGGCTCCTGCTCCTAGTTTTATAATGGCAATATGATAATCAATAAACCCTAGCCAGACTTAGGTTATTTACAAGCTGTGTGGAAGATTAAAGGATCCAACTATAATGACAGCATTGTTGTGATTATTACCATTATGTCAGCTAAGCAGGCAAAAACATTTTAATTTTACTTAAATGGCTACAATGAGATTAGAAAGGACACATTTTTGAAAAGGATAATATTAGAAATATATAAAAACCACTTTCCTGGAGTTGACTAAAACAAATGTTTAATTGACTCTCCATGATATGAATTATCAGTTCATATACTCCTGTTAAGTCAGTTATGATCTTTTACTGAAGCCAGTCTCCTCTTTAACTTTTTCTTCTCACTAGCTGAGTGATCCTGGATAAAGTCTTTAGCAATATAGACTTCAGCTTCTTTGTCTACACTTTGAATCTGTTGGCTTACATGCCTCTTGTTTTATTATTCTATGATTCTCTCACTCTTTATTTTGCATGGCTAAACTTGGACCAATCACATAGAGAGGAATGACATGGGCCTTTCCAGTAGATCTGATACCCTAAAGGAAGCCACTGACCACCCTTCATGATTGTAGTGCTGCATCTATGATGAAACCATTTTGTAATGAGCTTGGAATTCTTGATCACATTTTCAAAATAATATGTGTATTAGTTCATTTTCACACTGCTATAAAGAAATACCCCAAATTGGGTAATTTATAAAGGAAAGAAGTTTAATTGACTCACAGTTCTGCATGGCTGGAGAAGTCTCAGGAAACTTAAAATCATGACGGATGGCAGCTCTTCACAAGGCAGAAGGAGAGAGAAGTGTGTGACAGCGCAGGAAAAGCTACCATTTATAAAACCATCAGATCTCCTGAGAATTCACTATCATGAGAACAACATGGGGGAAACTGCTCTCATTAATCAATTCCATCTCTCCCTCGATGCATGTGGATTGCATTTCAAGATGGGATTTGGGTGGGGACATGAAGCCTAACCACATCAACATACTTCAATTTTATAATGTCTTATCTTTTGTTAATTACTGTACACATGCAAGAAGTAATTATCAATTCTATGAAAGGCAGGTTTAATCTTTAGGGACAGAAAGCAGATTAGTGTTTATCTACAGCAAAGTGTTCTGAGAAGTGATTGACTAAAAAGGTGCCAAACAAACCTTTCGGAGGTGATGATTGTGTTCTATGTCTTGATTATACTTGTGAGACCACAGGTGTATGCATTTCTTTAATCTCATCACACTATCCATTTGAAATAGGTATATTTCTTTTTATCTTATTCATACCTCAATCAAGTTGATTTAAAGAAGAAATAATACACCTAGGGTTTTTACTATTGTTGTCGTATTATCTTTCTTTTGATCTCTTCTTGGTCACATGATTAATTATAAAAATAAGAAATAGAATTCAATATCTTCATCCATGCCACAGTTGCCTATTAGAGTATGAACATATCCTTCATATATTTATCTACTCCCTCAACTTTTGATTAAAATATTTTGATGTTTAGTTTTTAGGTCAAATTACTTAATGAGCAAATTATCATGAAAATGTGTAAGTCATTTTATCATCTTTGTCTTCTCCATATGTCTATTAAAAATTTAAATATATGCAAACAAATAATGTGCCAGGAGCACACCTGGTATGTTTTAGGTGTTTAATAAATGTTGGTTGAATGAATAAACAAGCATCACTGTCCTGCCTACAGCCACATCCCTACTTTCTTTGACAATACAAATTTGCAAAATTTAAAATGTTGCACCCAGTGATGATAGAGCAAGAATATCTATTAGTAAAGGAAGTTATAATCTGAAACAAAAGCTTTTTATAAAAATAAATTGATTTATAATAAATGTAATGGCTAATAATCCTAATAATCGCCTAACTCCAGAATGCATTTCTGTCAGATGGGCTAACTTTGTTGGCTTTAGTGTCTTATTTATAAATCCATCCCTTGGGATTGTCTTATCTAGTTGTTGCTTTGCATAACATCAATTTCTTTGATGCTTTTCCATTCATGCACCCTCTTAATAGTTATCTCCTGAAATTACATTGGGATCTGGAAATCCCCTTTCAATCTTTCAAAAAATACCCTCAAATTTATTTCTAACTCATAAAAATTAATCTTCCCATTTCTGTGAGAGGATTTATGAATAAGCAGAGATATTTATTTATGTGTAACTACCAGACATTAAACTTTGCTCTGGATTTCAACAGTTTTTATTGTGTCTTTTGTTTTCACAATAATCATTGAGCCCTTTGCTGGCCAAAAGCTCTGATACCCTTAAGGAGAAATGTTTTCCTGTGGTTTTTAATAAAGAGCAGAGAAAATCTTGGTTTATGAAGATTGAGAAGTATATTCACCCTATTTAAAGTTAATTCCAACTTCCTGCCTAACTCCGTTTCAAAGGGATTTAGCTTCAAATCTTAACTTTTTTTAGAAAATATAAATGGAGAATTTAGATAAACAGTAATTGTAAAAATTTTTAAATCACAAATTGAGAGAATTTCTATAATAATACATTTATTGATATAATGTTAGCACTCCATTTAATCTGATGTAAAATAGCAGCAATAGAAAGCATGGCCACTTGGAAATCATTTTTGTGATAATGCATATGCTTCATGTATGGAAATATCTTTCTAAATGGTAATAGGAAACATTTGTTGACTGTTTACCATTATCAAGTACTATTCTTAATGTTTCACATTTGGTCTTAACAATAATCCTACATATTAGATATTATTACAAACTCTATTTCAGAGGTAGCTGAAACCCAAATAAGTCCAAGTAAGTGACCCATTGTGTAACTAGAAGTGATAGAGCTGACATGTTTAATTCCAGACAATCTGAGACCAGAGCCCTTGCTTTTAACCAATATGTGAAATAGCCTCAAAATAATACTAGAAACCTTAAATCATGCATTTAGAATCATCAAATGCATCATCAAAAGCTAGTGGATTGTTTGAGGAAAATTTTCAAAAATTGAAGGAAAGCTGAAAGAGATTTTATTTTTCCCAACAGAGAGACTTTAAAAGATAAGAAAGATAATGCTGTTATTTCTTATTAAAAGGTATATGATCAATTCTCACCAATACCACCAATATCACCAATAGATAATGAGGACTGGAACTCTTTATCTCTAAAAGATGACCTGAAACACTATGGAAAAGGAAGATGCATTACAACACACTATCAAAGCATCATTTTCAGATACACTGAGTCCATCTTCTCATGGACATGATGACATAGGTACCATCATACTGCCCATATCGTGCTACCTCCTCAACTAATTTCCTTTCTCTTTCAGGGACCCTGGCAGTGGCTCCTCCTAGGTTGTTCCTAAGCCCCACATCCCCTGGCACAGCTTCCTTGGAAGAGTTGTCCAGCATCTTTGACACCCAGTGACTACATTGATCGTGCTTCTAAGGCACCCTTGTAGTCAGTCATCGCATTGCTGGGATGCCATAATTAGTGTGAGGAAATAATTATCAGAATCAGACGATCAATTCTATATTTAGGCTTTCATTCCAAGTAGATCTGATGGCTATAGCGCTGTTTGCTAAGAAAATCTCAAAGAATTTGGAACTGAAATAGTGAATTCTTTGGGGCTCAGGTGGAATAGAATTTCTCTCCTGACTCCAAGTGCGTTTGTCACAACAAAAGTGCGGGAGAAGGAAACTACTGTAGAAAAGGCACGCAACACCATCAAAGGCCACCAGTGGTTGCAAAAAGCCGTCTATGCAACTGTGATCTCTGGAAATACCAGCTCAAGGCTTTTTTGTTTGCCTCAATCTGACGTGGCCTCACCTGCCTCCTTTATTTTCAGTTGTGATCTGGATTAGATGACAATTCCAGTGATTGGTTTAGACCTATATAGCTAGCTGGCATTTTCTCAATGTATCAAGGAGTCTGTATGTCTCTCTTCCTACACACCTGCTAGGTCTCAACTTAGCTATCTGCTATAGCTTGTATATTAAAAGAATGCCTGATAGGTCTAGGCCTGGCTTACTCCTTATCTGCTACCTCTAAGGCCCACACAGAAACTGCCCATGTGTTATGTAGTCCCCTTTCCCTCTCAGGTCTTCAAACAGCTACAAAGTATCTCAGCCTTCAGCAGTTCAGATTTCTTCTTCCAGCAAATCTTCTAGAGCACAGCTCAGAGCAGTAGCCCTGCAGAGCTATTTACTCTTCAGTGACAAGGACCTTCTCTTCCTCTTCACTGTAATGATGCATCCTTATGGTTACTCTGTGGGCCTGCATATCACCTAAAATCTGAAACTGCTCCACTTCTAAAATCTTAATCCTCAACATACCAATGTTGGAATACATCTTCTTCTTCCACATTCTTATTTTCATTACATCCCCTTCTTGCGCTTAACTAGATGCTTGTTTCTGTTCCCCCCACATTCACAGAATAAATTGCCAATCCTCTTTCAGCCTTGCTTCCTACTATGTGCCTCTTGGCTACATCTTATGACTTTATACTATAATGACGCTGCCACCACTAATCCTGACTGCTTTCCCTCTGTGGGTCCGACTAATCTGTTTTTAAATCCTCTATGGTTGGGTAAAGCCAACTATTCCACCTTTTTGTTCCAAGACCTAGGCTACTCAGAACTGGTTTAGAACATCAGAAAATGGTGACAATTGACAACGCCGCAAATTCCCAAACTCCAGCTCTGGACTGGCACTTCAATACTGCCCAGAACCCCTTCTATAAGTGCGATCAGCTCTCTCTGCTTTGCCATCTAATAATTTTCTGCTTAGTACAAGAATAGTTTAAAAACTCTTGGATTTCTAAAACAAGGACTATCACAACCAATTCCTACTCAGCCTGTCTAAATCTATAATCAACTACTTTGCAGTAAAACTGATTTTTTTCTCCTACATTATCCATTATAATAAAAGGCAACATAATGTATTTAGTAACCCTTGTGAAACTTCTGGTATAGCCTTCTCCTTTTCTCCATTCAAACAGTCACTAAGCATATGAATTGCACTTCTTTATTATTCCTCCTCTCAGTCTCCTGCCCTGCCAGATTTCTGGCCACCATTGCTTCTGACACGGTCCCAAGGACACTGGCTATCCTCACACTGCTGTCTGATAAATATTCCTACAATGCAAACCAGGCTCAATTATAGGACTGTGCATAATTATGCATAGTACAATCCTCCTGCCCTTTTCCTTTACATAAGATTAAATCTAGACTATCATGCAAACCTCTCCCATCTCCAGCCATTTCTCATCTTGAACACCTCAAGTAGCCTGATTTCCTCACCACTGCCAAAGGCAAAGTGCTACTCTGTGCACTTCTTTCTTTGTTGAAAACACAACCTTAAGTTGTTGCTATTATGCAGATTTTTCTCTATGTCCAAAGTGGACATGTTAAAGTCTTCTAAAATTCTCCATAAGTCACACATTATATGTGTACACTTGCCAGAGAATGTATATGGGTATTTCTTGGGATAACTGAATTTAGCTATTGCTATGAAGAAACATACTTGATATCATCTGCAAAAGAATATATTGCAGTTGTAAGTAATGAATAAAATATGTGGTGAAATCAGTGCACCAACCTAGTGTTTTGAATCATAGTAAAATATTTAGCACTTATCCTGTGCCAACAAGAGTTCAAAATGTTTTATATATATTAACTACTGTTAATCAGCTTAACAATTGTGTGATTTCTACCATTTTATTTTCACAGATGAAGAAACGGCTATATAGAGAGATAAAGAAGCTTGCTCAAGGATACACAGCCAGAAAGCAAAAGAGTTGGAGTTTGAACTTCGACAGTCTAACTCGAGGTTCTTTCTCTGTGTTTAATCAGTCAACCACACTGCCTCTTCAGAAGCACGCATAATGTATGCTCTAAAAAGTAATGTCAATGTATTAGGTGTCAAACAGTAAATGAAATTTCTCAGAATACTGCTCTCTACCATATCAATAGTAGATTTAATACAACCACCAGGCAAATCAAGCTAAGAAACTCAGCCCTGGAGATCAGACCAAACTGGTGGCCAGCCAAGAAATAGACAAAGGAATGTTCAGGGGCAGAGTTTAGGGAGGTTGGAGTGTGTGTTCACAGGGGCAGAGGGAGTAAGGGGTGATGTGCGGTCAAGGTTTACAGGTTAGGGCATGGATCATAGAGGTGATACCAGGGAAGGGAGTACAGGAAATAATCCCATCCAAGTAAGAAATCATCAGATGCATGGTTCCGTTTTTAAGCTGCCAAAATTAAGAAGGTGGGCATGAATTTGCACAGGACTGTGGAAAACAGAAGTTTCTGGGTCTGGCTTGGGATTTTACACAGCTGCATTATGGGGGTATCACTATATGATTTCTAAGCAAAGATCTCTTGGTTTGAGAAGCTTTCATGGACAGAGAGACTGCTCATATCCCCAGAATGGGGCAGGGATAAATGGGAGAGAGATGGCAGAGAAGTTATCACTAATGAAGCGTCCCAGGTATTCTGTTGTATGTCTAGAGGTGAAAATAGAAAGCTCTGCTCCTTAAAAGCTATGAGAACTTAAGAAAGTTCATGACCATTTGTAAGCTAGGGTTATTAAGAGGGTCTGTTTTATATGGATCAATTAAGTAACAAACACCTTTTGAAATATAAGTTGAACACAGCTTTTTTAGAAATTTGTAAACTTTATTTTGATAAGCCAAAACACATATAAATATTCATATTCCTCTCCTCACATTTTTATAAGAATTCAAGCTAGAAAAAATTAACTATGTTGATAGGCTTAGAGAAAAATTAGGTGTCAGTGTCCCACAGAATTCTCTCCGTCTATTAGTTACAATGAATCTTAACAGTTTATTTTTTAATAAGTGGAATATGTTAATCAATTAACTGAGCTAAAGCTATTACCTAATGAGGTAGAAGGGTAAATTAACTGAAATGTGACTGGCATTCTTCAATATAAGAAAGACACTATTAGCCTGGGAATCACGTGGATATTCTGTGGATTCACAGACACATTAGTCCATGTGCCTTCAGTACAGCTTTACATGCAGCTTGTTCTAAAATCTCAAGTTAGCAAGTTTCTGTATTCCTAAAAGGTAATAATTAGAACCAGAGTATCTGGGGAAGTCGCCACACAGCAATAAATATTGGGTCTCTAGAGCCAAGTCTTAACATTTTGTTTTCTTAATAGCTTAAATTATTTATGAACATGTGTTTGAACAATTCTTAAATCCAGTAGCTAAATTGAGTTGCATATAGGCCTAGAAGGGTCTAGGCTAGGGCCGTTCTGTGGAAAATCTGTTAAGTCAGGAAGCAGAAATAATTCTGCTTAATCTTTGATTGTCAACCATAGTGGGGGATGGTAAGAATAATGGGAGACTTTATATAAAGGCAGCTGCTTATAATTGAGGCATTGTCAGCTGACCACAAACATTTGTTTCCACTGAGATATTCCTAATGAGTGCTACTGTTGAAGGCAATGCATTAATATTTATGTGATTATTGTTTTATATCTAAGAAGGGATCAAGAGGGTAATCAAATATTCATGTTACCAGGCAAGCAATGGGCTCACTGCCTGATGAGCATAGAAATCAATACCATGGCACCAGCTTTTGAGAAAATAAAAGCTTTATTGCAAGTGATTGGCAAGGAGACAAGAGGCAACACAAATATGTCTCCCAGTGCTGGGGGCTGGGGCAAATTTTATAGGCAGAGGGTAATGATATGATTGGATCTGGCAATGAGAAATGCTGTGAGGCATGATCGGACTGGATTGTGCCATGAAATGATGCCAGGGCTTGATCTGATTGGATCGTATATCAAGACATGAGGTGTCCACTTATTAATTCAGTCCCCCATTTCTTGGTCTGAGCACTTAGGTTCCACCCATGCTTGCAGGCTTAGATAATCTGGACATGCTCAGGTTGCATAACTTGCAACCTAGGGAATCCATGGCAACTGAAAACTCACCATTTTATTACACAAAGTTGAGTCAGATTAGGCTGGTTCTGTGGTTACAATAATCTACCACAGAGTTTTTTAAGATTTAACTTCAAATATCCTGCATCAGAACCATCTGGAAAACTTGAGAATCATCGCAGAATGTACAAAATGTTTGCTAGTGTAGCCCGGTAATATTCATGTTTTATTCTTTCTGGGCCTCTGCCAATGCTTTCTGAGAATATTCCTGAGAATCATCCACTTTGTAGCTACTCATAAATATGATGTTTGGTGACAGATCGCCTTCACTTCCCCAGTACTTCCAACACTTGTGAGTGCCTTTACTTCACTGTATTATATCTCTTCCTACTCAAAATACACAGAATGCCTTCTGCTTTCCAGACTGAATCCAAACTGATATGCTCAGGTGATAGAGAAAAGACACTGAAATTAAAAATGTGACTTCCGTTTTACTATTGCTAATAATGAAGCGTCCTTTTACTCTTTTATAGTAGGTGATCTCCCACCAGAGTGTACCAACAAGTGGATCGGTCAAGATAAATCATTACAGTGTGTCGAGAAACTATTAGAACACCTATTTAAAGGCAGTCTTAATTTTTCTTAAGTTCTAAAAGCATAAATGAATGTCAATATTTATATGTGTAAGCTGTTAAAAATTACAACAAATACTCTAATGCTTATCAACAACCCTGGTAACTAAAACATCAGCAATATTTCTGAGTTTCTCTTCAAATTCATCTTCTCTTTTCTGCTGTTTGTCTCTTTCCCAAAGTATACATTGGTAATAAAACTGAAATTTTGGTCTTCATTTCTTTACTCCATTTGCAACTTGCTTTTATATTAACTAACACAAGGATTTTCAGATTTAATTTATGTAACTTCTCTAGTAGCTACAGTTCACCCTTTTTTACTACAGAAAAGTTTTGTATTATGAGAATGTAACACAATATGTTAATTTATTTTTCTCCCTGTAATTATTATGATTCTTTTTTCGGTACTTTTGTTCGTTCGTTTGTCTCATTTGTTTTGCCAGTATACACAGTGCCACTGTTATAAGCATTCAATATTTGTTATGTAACTACTGGCAAACATAGGTCAATGTTTCCATATATATTCTCTCAGGAGATTTCTGTCTTGTTGGGTCTTCACATTCTCAGCTTCATTAGATAATGCCAAATTGCTTTTCAAAATATTCCCACTAGTGTAGAGTCTATCGGGTTTGTATGAGTTCCCGTTATTCTACATCCTTGCCAAAGCTTCATGTTTTGGGACTTGTTAATTTTTGCCAATCTGGTGGGTGTAAAATGGTATCTCATTGTGGCTTTAATTGGAATTTCCCTGATTACAAAAGCGGTTAAACTCCTTTTACAGAATTAAGAGCTATTCATCAAAATGCCCGTTTGTGCATATTGCCAATTAGTATGCTGAGTTATTTATCTTTTTCTTACTAATTTGTGGGAGGTTTTCATATGTTCTGGAGAGTAATCCTTTGTTCATTACACATTTGTTGAACCAGTCTGCATTGTTTCTCTTTGCATTTTTTGTATTTATTGCTACACAGAAATTATTAACTTTTTTCTCATTTATTTTTTGACCCTTTAAAAATTAACCCTTTGGGCCGGGCGCGGTGGCTCACGCCTGTAATCCCAGCACTTTGGGAGGCTGAGGCGGGCAGATCACGAGGTCAGGAGATCGAGACCATCCTGGCTAACACGGTGAAACCCCGTCTCTACTAAAAATACAAAAAGTTAGCTGGGCATGGTGGCGGGTGCCTGTAGTCCCAGCTACTCGGGAGGCTGAGGCAGGAGAATGGCGTGAACCCGGGAGGCGGAGCTTGCAGTGAGCCGAGATTGCGCTACCGCACTCCAGCCTGGGCGACAAATGAGACTTTGTCTCAAAAAAAAAAATAAAATAAAATAAAATTAACCCTTTTAATAGAACAAAGGCATAAAATTTTCTCCTGATTTCACTTAAAAATGTTTCATAACTTTGCATTTTTTTGTATAGATCTTGAATTCACATTACAAATGTCAAAATTGGCAGGGAATGTAAAATGAACAGGAAAACTCTTAAAGTACCTAAAATAGTAAATAAATGGTGATAATAAATATGAATCCCGTGTTTAAACTTTTCATGTTATTTTTTGTTTTGAGATTATTAAGAGAATAAATTCAAAATGAAATTACAAGTAATTTTACTTTGAGGTAAAAAATTTACTAATATGGTAATTTTATTGGAATATAGAATACTTGTAGGTCACTGGCATATTCGAAAATATACATTGTGAATTGTGCGGTAATCGAACCTAGTCCTTCTTTGAAACTGAGTGAATGTGCTATAGCTTTAGTAGGAAAACTGATGAGACCTGGTAAAAAGGCACAGCTTTTTATATCTGTTGTATTCTAACTCTTAGGAAATGTTTTTAAAGCATTCAGACAGAGGCAACAGAAAAATCTAGGTTTATTTATTCTGTTTGTTTTTCATGTAAGAATATTTGATCTTCTTACCCGCTTAATTTCACCTGGTTTGTTCAATTACTAGTATATAAACTTGTACCGAACTTTCAGAAATGTAATTTATACAACATTCTTGTGAAAATGTTTACTCTTTATCTTAAAAAATTAAAAATCGAAAGTTTGACTGCATTTGTGTCCAAATTTCTTGAGATTCAAAACATTTTTATTAGTGTTCTAATATGCATACACAGGTAAGTTCTAAATTAAGGCAGTTTAGAGTCTTTTTCCTCATATAAACATTCTATAAAATAAAATGATGGTAAACCATTATTTCACTTTTTATGAACAAAATGAAAGAGAAAATTTCAGATCTCTCTACACTCCATTCTGGACTTCAATGTGCACAGAAAGACATCAAGAGTTAACTTAAGAGGAAGAATAAAATAAATATCTAACGCCCTTTAAAGTGTTATATTTTTACGGCAAGTATCTGGATTTGTTTTTATAAAGTCTTTTAAAATTACTTTTGTGCAAGCTACCATAAAATATAATATTGATATTTTGGAAAATATCGGGGTTTAATTCTAAACTTTATTAAGTTAATATTTATCTGAATAAATTTGGAAAGTAATCTAACTTCTTTCAGCCACAATTAGTTTTCTCAGCTCCTATAGATCACACAGTTATGTGAAAAGCAAATGAAAAAGTACTTTGTAAGCCTTAATATTTTTATATTCCTGTAATATATGATGTGGAAATGAGACAAAACAATGTTATCATTTAGAAGTCCCAGAGGAAACTTCTAGTGAGTCCATTAAATTTATGTTAAATCTATTTTGAAGCTAAATATTATTTATTTTTTTGAACTACATATCTTAAAATTAGAAGTTTCCCAAGAGAGGTTATAGATGAAATTATGGATTTAACACTAGTTAGTTAAGAATGTAATCTTGTTTTAATACTGCAGGCTTTCAGCCAGGATTATACCTCATACATTGCTCGAATATTTTCCTCAAATAATTGAATACTTTGGAATGGAATTTTACATTCACTCTATATGCCAGCCCTCAAGCCTCAACTAAGCTCAACTTGAAAAACAATGCTGTACACATCACCCAAGCAAAAACTTTCTCACATTAATTAAGAGATTCTGATTGGATCCCAGCAATCAACTCATATGGCGCCATATCATCCACATTATTTGTAGAGTAGGCCATGATATTTATTACTGTTGGCCTGGCAGCTGTGTCTTTGAAATTTTGAGGTGGTTACAAATGGAAATGGGCCACATACCCCAAACTTACCTTCTTTCATTACTTCATTTTTTCTGGCACTTGTAGTTGCATTTATGGAATTTATATATTTCATAATACTGTATCCTTAAGCAAGGATTAGCAGCAGCATCAACAATAAATATGACTGAAAAGAAACCCAGGATTTTCTCCAGAACAATAGAATGTTCATTGGTGGTGGTTATATCCAATTCAAATGATAGATTTGTTAGCCTCTTCTTTTGCTTAGATTTGTTTGGCTCAAAAATAGATTCAAAGATAAACAAATTAGGTAGATCAGTATGTTCAGGAATAGTGATTGCCTAAATAACAACTAAAAGTTGTATACTAATTTTGATTATTTCATATCAATATTAATTACTTTAAGATTCATAAGAAAGCAAAGAAAATATAAATATACATGTTAATGATCAGTCTTTTTGTCATTTGATAAAGGAATTAATTTTATTTTGATGTGGTTAAGGATAATGTCAGCCAAAACTAAATCTATAGATTTTATCACATTGAAAAAAATTTAGATGTAAATATGAAAAGAAAATAATATGAAGATAGAAGTATTGCCCTTCAGAGCTTGAAGGAAAGACTTCCTACCATGAAGTCTGTTTATACTAAAATAACTTCTGCCTTTTTATCTGTTTCTCTATGTATTTATTAGAATCTCACCCACATAAAACATGTCTACTGAAAGAGATTGTTTGCAAATTAGTGCCCAAAATGTACTTCCTTGTACATATGCTTTTGGATAATCGCCCAATCCTGCACTGACTTTTTCATTGCCATGTGACATTCTCTTTTGAATGGGACAATAATAAATGAAAAGTGCTTGCATGCAGGGCCTAACTTCTTTTGCTACTGAGAACGTGTCCCAAACCATGTGAACAAGCCCAGGCAAGACTCTTGGAGGGTGAGAGGACACTCAGAGAGGGGGCCCACCTGTCCCCCCATTTCCTCTTAGCCATTCCACCAGTTGGATATAAAGATTAGTTACATGAGCGCAGACTGGGACCATTACCCAGCTGAACTACAGAATCAAAGACAAATATGTGATGATTGTTTTTGCCACTAAGCATTGGAGTATTTTTTAATATGACAAAATGCATTTATCATCATTATATTTTCAATAAAACAGAAAATACAAAAGAAAGCAATTTGTGGTGAGCTTATTAATCTGATCTTTATTCTTACCTTAATATGTATTTCCAAGAACTGAGTTTTGACAAATTCTCACATTTGCACATTTATACACTAATGGAACATGCAGTCTTACATACAACTTTTTTATAGAATGACTTGAACACTACAACTAGCTAAATTAAATTTTTAAAAATGGTTCATGTATAATTCTGAATTAAAATTTTAAAATTAATTTTTAAAAGCCATCTTAATACATTTTATGTACTGAAATTATGTTTATGTTACTATGAAATGGAATCTTTGTTTAGAGCTTTTATCTTTGGATAATCTGTTGTTTGTATCACTCTACCCAAGACAGAATTTGCATGTGATTTTGAATGCCCTATAGGGATGCAAGATTTTTCTAGACTTCTTTGTCAGACTTGCAATGGGGGTGCCTCATTTACTTGGCCCACCTTGCTCAACCACTTGCGGGAGGGAGCACATGAGTGAGCCACTATGGGATCCAGGGGACTGCTTTGGGCATTGGCAGAAGCAAGCTCCATGGGAGCCCTGAGGCAGCACCCAGGTGGGGGTGCCTGTGACACCTGAAGCCCCAGACATGTTACAATGCTCTCTTAGCTCCACTGTCCATGGACAGTGGTGTGTTATCAGCTCAGTGGGCCCCTTGCTTCATCACATGGGGAGGCTGCCCTCCACCAGTGAGGGAAAAGGGCCAGTGTGAAAACCTTTGGGGGGTACCTGCCTTGGGTGGGTCCCAAGCTCTTGTCCAGAGTCCAAGAAGAATGAGGTCACACAGACACTTGAAGGATAGTGGAAGTGGAGAATTTTATTTAGCAATGGAAATGTCTCTCAGCAGAGATGGGAGCTGGACAGGGGATGGGATGAGCAGGTAATCTTTCCCTGAAGTCAAGCTGTCTCTCTTCCAAAATCCAGCCATCCCTCTAAAGTCAAGTTGCCTCTCTACAGTCAAGCCACTTTTCTCTCTTCTACTGACTGAGTCTGGGGTCTTTATAGGCACAGGATGTGGGGCAGGGTGAGCCATAGGTAGTTTTGGAAAAGGCAATATTCTATTGGTAAAAGTACATTATTCAGAAAGAAGCAATCAGGAGAGAGTGGGAAAACAGGGATAGAAGTTCTAACTTTGGGCAGCAGGTTTCAGGCTTTTCAGCTTAAAGGTGGGGTTTCACTGGGGACCCTCCCCTGTCTGCCAAGAATTTCCATGCCTCCTGCCTCTATCAACAGGAAAACATATTCATGAAGTGCAAGAGCTGTTGCCAAGTCTCATGAATATTCTCAAATATATTCTCCTGAAGGAAAAAAATGACTCAAGGGGAAACAATATGAAACAGACTTTATAGAAATTAATATACACTCCAAGCCAACAGAAGGATTACAGATCATGCCTTCAGCCACAGAAAGTACAAGAAGAAGCATCTGAGGGAACAGTGGGCAGAGTAAATGCTGTGGAGTTACAAAAGAAATGTCTATAAGTCAACCCTGCAGGTAATAAAATAGGTTCTGCATAGTGGTATTTGTTTGTCCTTAAGCTCCACTCACCTATGTGTTTAAAATTTGTATATCTGTTTTATATCAATTTATTTTATTCAAGTCCATATCAACATGGATTCTAAAAACTGGCTTCACAGCTATTTCTGCTAACTTCCTGAAAAGCCTGATTTTTGTCTAGAAAACAAATAGAATAAACTCAAGTTTCTCTCCTCTGGTCTTCTCGTATCAATGGCATAGCACTATGTTCAATGTTGTCATAGGGACCACCTCTTACACTCTCACAGTGACCTCTGTTGCAAAAGGGAACCATTATTGTCCTGAATCCCTAAAAACACACCAGGGACAGGGCTGTGCTTTCTAAGAAGATTTGACAAAACCAAGAAAAAAAAAGAAATTAAAAGAAAAAGTAGCTTATCACTATTATTATGTACTCTTAAAATCCAGAGTTCTAGGGTGTACCTCATCATCCCTGATTAGAACCTGGTAGTTTTCTATGTAGTAGTGGCCAACTCAGCCTGACCAACAGGAATGCATTCCTGAAACTCCCTGCTCTTCTTTAATGATAAAAGATTTTATTACTTGTCCAAGTTCAAGTCCCATCCCATTTTCTTCTCAAGATATACATAATTCATGATTAATAATAAAACAATTTCCTTGGAGAATCTCTCCCAACAGAAAATTGGCTGTATCCAAGGCACAGTAAACAAACATAGTAGTTGAAAGTACATTATGCCAAGTTTGTGTTTATTATCTTAATGACACTATAGGTATCTCACCCTCAGTTGGCCTAGATTTTTGATAACCAGAATGGGGCATCTCCTTTACATGATATTTCTCCTAAAGTTAAATAAAAGTAAAATTAGACATAAAAGTCCTTGTTGCTAAGATCTGGTTTTCTTCTACTGTCTACTTTGAGTAAATGCAGAGACTAAGACAAACAAACAAATAGGACTAAAAATATATTGCTAAAAATCCATTTTTGATCTTTATAGTACTTTAAATCTCTATTTGGGAACTCTTTTTTTCAGACAATTTTTTAAAAACAATTATATTATTTTTAAAAAATGGTTTAAAGTTGATCAAGTTATGGTTTATGTTCAATAATAGTTTATAATCAAGTTATTTCACTCAACTTTTATTGGTGAACAGAATACTTAACATTGTCTTATAAAGCCTCTATGTGGGTTCCTATTTTAGTATGTTCTACCTTATATGTGGATGATATTAAGCAACTCTTCTCTCAAAATAAAGGTATACACTCCTCTAAAGACAAACGTTGATACCCTGAAAGCAGAAACAAATTTACCTCTGTCCTAATGGTGGTTTTCTGGCCACAAATCCTACTACAAGTTACCCATAGTAACTTCTAGCAATTCATAGCAATATCCGAGTTGCCAATAGATTATCAGAAGGCACAGTACTGTGAGTCATTCTTCTGGAATGCTAAGACAGAAATGTGAAAAATAAATTTACTAAAAATGAGCTGAGATATTGAAACCCTTCAGGAGAAACAGACAATGGACCTGAGATATCAGGAGCTCTTTTGAAGATGGCCTACCAAAGTTATCAAAAATCAACTTAACTTCAGGAAAGCCATGCAAAAAGGAGAGTTGGGCCTTAAAATGCCCATGTTAAGTAGCTGTTGGATGAGATAAGTGAATATGAAATAATTCAATGCTTACTACCTAGAGGCTTCAGTCCTGCCCTATAGTGATATGACCTTTGAGGGAATTCACTGTGTTAAATTGTCATGCTTACTGATGAGCTCAAAACTGCCTAATAATCTTCTGAGTAGATTGATACCAAGTGTACTTCATGATAGTATTTTGACTCTGGATACCTAGTTGAACTTAAGAAGGCCTTTGGTGATCACTGCAGGCGTCCTCTGATTACAGATGGTATGTAAAGGAATAGGGCTAGATAAAAATTTTAAGGAGGGCCAAAAGACAAGAGAAGGGGACACAGGACTGTATTTTGAGGCACTTTAGAAGTTAGAGGTCAAGGAGAGAAGGAGGAATCAGGAGGAAACTGAAAAAGAAACACCTATTGATGTGGAAATATAATCAAAAGAATGTGGTATACTGAAAACCAAAGGAAAGTTGTATTTTAAAAAGACAGGAGAAATCGCCTGTGTCAAATGTCACCTAATACAATAAAATAGAATATTGCAAGAAAGAGCGTGGTGTAAGGGGGTAGTTATTTTTGGCTGATCTCTGTTCTGATTGGCTAACACCCATGCCACACCCTAAAAGGCAACGTTAGTCCAACTTTTCTGGAATTTGGGCGAGAAGTGCACAGGGAAGTTAGAGTTGGTTTTAAGCCTACTCTACCTTGTCCCAAAGATGTCATGTTGTCAACATCTTCAGTGGCAAGAGTACGTGGAGACAGTGGAAGAATGACTAGGAAGGGAAAGAAAAAAGAAATAGGGCAAGGGATAGTTTAGCTTGTACATACATCAATATTTCATTCCTTTATAAGAAATTACCTAAGGAAATGAAATAGAAGTTTTTCTCTATTTTTGCCTTTCCTAAATACTAAGAATTAAATTCCTTGTTAAAACTAAACTATATCAAAAGAGAAATACATAGAGAATAATAAGTATTTGAGGAGCTCATTGATATTGACACCTATTAATCATCCTAAATATCTAAGGACAATACACAATTGTGTTTTTATGACTGATTAAATTTCAAGGTGATTACTTCAGAATAGATTGTGTGTTGTTGTATTTTTTAAAAATTATATGCTACATTTGGTGCACAGTCATTTCCCATTCTTCATATGGCACATGGCGCTTTCTTTAATGACACATGTGGGCTGGGAAATGTCTCAATGAATGGAAGGTGCAATTCCAGTCATTTAATACACCCTGCTGCCAGTCAGTGCATGTTGCTTTTTGCCATTCACTTAAAAATTCCCTTTTGTTTTATCAACAACTTCACCTCCGCTAAAAACAGGTTGTCAAGAATGACTACACCTGGCATTTTATTCATAAGGAAATTTCACATTACATCATAGTATTTGGAAAGAGAATGTGGAAAGTTGATATTCTCTCTAATCCTTGTGCTTTACTTCACTTTTTTACGTGAAAAGTACTGTTAACAAGTATTTTCATGATTGGCATCAGCAGTCAGGCTGTAAGAAGTTAAGCATCCAGCACATCTCAACTGTGTAGCCATTGATCCAAATGCTCTCCTTTCCCCCTGAAAAAAGTAGGGGTCACAATCTGGTTATGTGGCAGTTATCTTCATGACCAAGCCAATTCATGGTGACAGACTATTCTATTCCATTAATTTCTAACCCAACATGAGGCTGTAGGTGGTGGAAATCAGGTTACATTTTTAGATATACAATAAAACCCATTTTTTAGAGCTAACTTACTCATAATTAGTATTATCTAGATAAGAGCTAGGATGAGAATTTATCTCTACAAAAAAAATTTTTTTTAATTAGCGGGGCACGGTGGTGCACACTTGTAGTCTGAGCTACTCTGAGGGTTGAGGCAAGAGAATCCTTTGAGCCCAGAGGGTTGAGAATCTAGTGAGCCATGATTGATCATACCCCTGCACTCTAGCCTGGGCAACACAGTGAGACCCTGTCTTAAAAAGAAAAACAGACTACCCAATTAATAGCGCAAACAAAATTTCAGGGGTAAGATATCTGTATTTATTCTATCCATATATAATAGAAAATCCATTTGCTCAAGTAAAAATTTTAGTTGTGATCAAATTCAAGATGCTTAAGTCTTCCAGAAAATATCAACTGTAATGTGATCTTAAGGATGAAATGTATTTATTTATTTACTTATTTAATTTTTGAGACAGAGTCTCACTCTGTCACCCAGACTGGAGTGCAATGGCACAATCTCGGCTCACTGCAACTTCTACCTCCCGGGCTAAAGCGATTCTCATGTCTCAGCCTCCCGAGTAGCTGGGATTACAGGCATACTCCACCAGTGCCTGGCTCTAATTTTTTATTTTTAGTAAAGACAGGGTTTCACTATGCTGGCCAGGCTGGTGTCGAACTTCTGACCTCAAATGATCTGCCCCCCTCGGCCTCCCAAAGTGCTAGGATTACAGACATGAGCCACTGCGCCTGGCCAAGAATAAAATTTAAAGAGCAAATCAAAACCAAACAGTGTGATTATGCAGGTTATCATGAGTAATATTTGGGGCACACTTTCTAGGAAGAAATCAGTAGCGAAATAGATTCTTAGTAATTGAATCTAATTACTCAGATAAATTTATCACACACTTGTAAATCACTGAGAAGCAATAGGAATTGGCTGAAGACTCTAGACTTGGAATTAGGAAGCTTGGCTTCAGACCTGAAGATTTTCTGGATTATTTTTTGACCTTGATAAAGTACTCATAACATCTCAAGCCTTTTTGTAAAGAGAGGAGTAGTTTTCATGATCATTAACCTTTTTGGATTGTGAAAATTTCTTAGTCTAGGATGAAAGCTAATGACCCATTTACCCAGAAAAACACAAGAAAGTACAAACCCAAGGTTTAAGGATACTCAAGGCAACCAAAAACAACACTGCCAGTTAGTTTTTCTGTGCATATACATTTATTTGTGTATGTTCTACAAAATATATTTTATATGTATAGTTTTGTACCTTTCTATATGTTCCATTTACAGTTCTGTAACTTTTTTTCTTTCATAATGAATGGGTATTGAAATTTGTTAATTTACATTTCTGCCTCAAATGAGAGGCTCATATAATTTTTCTTTGTTAGCTTGTTGATAAGGTAGATCATATTGATCGATTTTCAAAAGTTGAACTAGCCTTCCACACCTGAAATAAATCATATTTGATTTTGATGCAAAATTATTTTTATACATTTGTTGGATTTAGTCTGATAGTATATTATTGAGAATTTTGACCTCTACATTCATGAAAAGTATTGATCAGTATTTTTCTTTGCTTACAATTATCTATTTGTTTTTTGGTATTAGGTTAATTGTGGTTTCATAGAATAAATAGGAAATGTTATTCCTCCTATTTTCTGGAAGATTGTAGAAAATTGGTATGATTGCATTGTTACATGTTTGATAGAATTAACCAGTGAACCAACAGGCCTGGTGCTTTCTTTTTTCAAAGGTTATTAATTATATATTTAACCCTTTTTATATTTATAGGACAATTTAGAGTATTTATTTCTCTTTCTTATAGTTTTTGTCCTTCAAGGAATAGGTCCATTCCATCAAAGTTATGAAATTGGTGGGTGAACACCTATCAGTAGTATTGCTTTATTTTTGTATTACTTTCCATGGATCAGTAGTGATGACCATGCCCTCATTTCTGATATTGGTAAGTTGTATCTTTCTTTTTTTCTTGGTTAGCCTGGCTAGATATTTACAAATTTTCTTGATCTTTTCCATGAATCAGATTTTGTTTCATTAATTTTCTCTATTGTTATCCTGTTTCAATTATATATTTTTCTTCTGTAATTCTTATTATATCGTGTATTTTCTTGCATCAGGGTTAGTCTTTTCCTCTTTTTACAGTTTTTAAAAGTTTAAACATAGGTTATTTATTTTAGATCTTTCTTTTTTAGCATATTTATTTCATGCTAGAAATTTTCCAATAACCATCACTTATTTTTCATTATATTTTATAAATTTTGATGTTATATTTTTAGTTTCATTTAGTTTTAACTATTTTTTATTTCTTTTGAGATCTTTTCTTGGCTCAAGATTTATTTAGCAGTTCTATTTTTTAACATCAAAATATTTGAGAATTTTCAGGTCTGTGATTGCTTCCTTGCTGAATTCCATGTAATCTGAAAACATACTTTGTATAATTTCTTATATTTTAAATTTCAGAAGGTGTGTTTTATTACCCTACATATTGTCTATCTTGGTAAATGTTCCATGTGAAATGGAAAAGAATGTTTATTTTAATGTTGGGTAGAATAGTCTTTAAATGTCAATCGGGTCAGCTTACTGATAGCGTTACTCAGGTCAACTATATTTTTACTTGTGTTTTGCCTACTTGATCCTATTAATTATAACACGTCATGTTGAATTCTTCATGTGCAATAATTGTTTTGCCTTTTTTACCTTTCAATTCTATCCGCATTGTTTCGTGTATGTTGACACTCTTTTTAGAGGTATACGTATTTAAGATTGTTGTCTTTTTGAAAAATGGACATTTTTGCAATTATGTAATGTCTCTCCTTATTGCTGATAGTTTTTCCTGTTCTGAAGTCAGCTGTCCGATATGCAGCTATCTACTGCAGCTTTCTACTGATTATTTTTAACACAGGATATCTTTGTTTATACTTTACTCTTAATCTGGTTGAATGTTTATTTTTAAAATGGGGTTTCTCATTAACAACATATAGTTCATTGGGTCTTGAGTTGTTATTTTAATCCACTCTCACAATCTCTGTTGTTTAATTGGCGCATTTATTCATATTTAAGGTGCTTATTGATATAGAAGGATTAACAGATAACATGTCTGTATGCTAATATGTTTATATTTTTTTCTATTCCATTGTATTTGTTCTATGTTTCTCTTTTCCTTGTTTATCTGCCTTCTCTACTTTTAATTGAATATTTTCTATAATTCAATTCTTCTGATTTTTTTATTCTTAGTATATCAATTATATTTCATTGTTTAATAATTGTGTGCTTTTCAAGAACCTATGATATTTATTTTTAACATTACACATAACTACACTTCATGGAAATGTAACCTTTATGACATTTCTGTCATTTATTGAATTTTACTTGGCATAGTCACACAAAACATTGTTACTATTATTGCTTAAAATACCTGTCTTTTAGATCAATTAAAATTAAGAAAAAATACGGTTTTTGGGAGGCCGAGGCGGGCGGGTCACGAGATCAGGAGATCGAGACCACGGTGAAACCCTGTCTCTACTAAAAATACAAGAAAAATTAGCCATGCTCGGTGGCGGCTGCCTGTAGTCCCAGTTACTCGGGGGGCTGAGGCAGGAGAATGACGTGAACCCGGGAGGCGGAGCTTGCAGTGAGCCGAGATCACGCCACTGCACTCCAGCCTGGGCGACAGAGCAAGACTCTGTCTCAAAAAAAAAAAAAATACGGTTTTTATTCTACTTTCATTTACCCTTCCAACACCTTTTTTTATGTAGATCTAAGTTTCTGACATAAATTAATTTTTTTTCTGCCTGAAGAACTTCAAATGTTTCCTGAGGACAGGTCTGCTGAAAAAGATTTCCTCCATTTTTATTTCCCTAGAATAGTCTTTACTTATTCTCGCTTTTGGAAAATAATTTTGGTAGATATATTTTTCTGTGTTTGGTTCTTTGCATGGTTTATGACAAAAAATGTGCTGTAATTTTTATCCTTATTTCTTCATATGTAAGTTGGATTTCTCTGCACCTCTTCTCTCTGTGTTTCTTTCAAGAGTTTCTTATTTTCTTCTTTGAATAAGAAATGTGTAGGAATAATTTTTGTGGTTATTAATCTTGCTTAATATTCTTAAAGCTTCCAAGAACTATTTTTTGTGTCTATTATTAATTTTGGAAAGTTGTCAGGCATTAATACTTCAAATAATTATTCTGGTATTCCCTGGTATTCCAGTTGTGTATATATGTCTTTTGATATTAGTGTACTCTTTGGAGCTCTTATTTTTCTGTTTTAATTCATTCTTTTCCATTTCCTATTTCCTGTTTCCCTTTTAGTTTGGGAAGTTTTTTTGTTGTTGTTGTTGTTTTTTCTTTTGTTTTTTTGAACCTACCATCAAGTTTGATCTATCATGAATTGAAACTATTTTTTATTCCCTGCTTTTATTTTTTTATTACTCTTTTGAGTTTTTCTCCCTCTCTCTCTCTCTCTCTGCTTATATTATGCATTTGTGCTTGTTGGTTGTCTATTTTTTCCATTAGAGTCTTAAGAAAATTATGATAGTAACTTAAAAATCCCTGCCTGGAAACTGATAATGCCAATATCTGAATCTGGGTCTAGTGATTCTTTTGTCTATTTTCCCTGTTTATTGTGGTTTTTAAAAAATATTTGTTTGGTTTTGCCTTTCAGTATGCCTTGTGTTTTTTTCTTGTTGTGGTTGTGGCTGTTATGAGGTTGAAAGTCATACATGCTGTATTGGATAATACTAAATGAGGTAACTAGGCCTTTATTGTGAGAGTCATGTTAATCTGGCTAGAAGTTAGTTTGTGTTTATTATTTGTTATATGTATTAGTTCCAATGACTTCAAATTCCCCCTTTTGACCTTGGGCTTCTCTATATATCTCTCTCAGAGAGATTCTGTATTTTTTAGTTCTTTAAATAAACAGGATTTTTAATAGATTTAATAATTTAGATTAATATTTTAAATTTAATAAATAGATTCTTTAAATAAATAGATTAAATAAATAGATTCTTTAAATAAATAGATTAAATAAATAGATTTTTAAAGCTTCCTGTAGTCATCCTTTTCTTTCAAGGTTTTTGGTCAACCTTTTTATTCCCATCTGGTATTATTCCCCAGGCATCTATATTGTTAAACAATTGCTGCTAATTGTTTTCAGCAATCACCCAGGGACAGGGATTTTCTTATTGGATGAACTCCATTGAATGAGCTTTTTTTCCCCCTATTTCTACTGAATGAGTTCTTTTAATATTGAATGAGCTCTTGTCATCACTAAGTGAAATAATCACAAACCCTGTGAATGGAACTCTTCGGGGAGTTGCCAGGTAAAATAGTGACAATTACCTGATGATGGGGCTTTTTGACAAACTCCATTCCTACTATACCTACCCTCATAGCTGTTAAGTTGCAGTTCTTCACAACTACCATGATTTAAAAGCTGTTGGTTTTTAAGACAACAACAAAGCTGGTGAGTGGAGAATGGAAATAAAGCATGTTAAAAAACAAACAAACAAACAAACAAAATTGTTCTTACCAAATTTTAACCATTTTGCTTGAATGAATATTCCTCAGCTAGTATAAGCCTCTAGTTAAGTGTTCTAAAACAGTTGATTTTGGCCATTTTGGCCAATGTTCCCTCACTGTTTGTGTAGACGATTATATTTTTGGAGTTTCTAACTCCACAATTCGAAAAGTTTCACTCTGTATTGTTCTATAAGTCAGTTCTCACATTGCTATAAAGGAATGCCTCAGACTGAGTAATTTATAAAGAAATAAGGTTCAATTGACTCATGGGTTCACAGGCTGTACAGGAAGCAAGGCTGGGGAGGCCTCGGGAAGCCTCCCTGAGAACCTAGTCATGACAGAAGGTGAAGGGTAAGCAGTCCTGTCTTACATGACCAGAGCAAGAAGAAGAGAGACAGGGGGTGGTGCCACACACTTTTAAACAATCAAATCTCATAAGCACTCATTCACTATCATGAGAGCAGCAGTAGGCGGATATCCACTCCCATGATTCAGTCACCTCTCACTTGATTACACCTCCAACATTGGGGATTATAATTTGACATGAGATTTTACACAGCATCCTAAACAGCCATCTAAATAATGAGATACATATATGTATATACATATATCTCATCATTTTGAGCTGCAAACTTTTACTGGAGGCAATAGAAATACTAAATGTGAATAAAATATGTGTAATGCTCAAAGGACTTTGCTTCAAAACATCATGTTGTAAACATCACGTTATTTATGTAATTATGTATAAGAATTTTGGAATACAAACAATATTATTTTTATAGCAGTAAGTACAATAGTTTGTGGCACTTTTCTGTTGCTTTAGCTTTTCATAATTTCTTTTTGCGATCGTTTACAATGCCCATTCCCTAAGACACCCTTGAAAAACGTATCTATACACTGAGCAAATATTCCAGAAAATATAAACACATCAAGTTGTCACAGGGTGAAGCTCAAAATTGGGGCTCAGCCTGGAAGATCACGTGGGTTTTTGGCACAGGAAGGAATTCAAGAGGGAGCCAACAATAAAGTGAAATCAAGTTTATTATGAAAGTAAAGCAATAAAACGTTGGCTGTTCCATAGATCAAGCAGCCCCAAAGGCTGCTAGTTGTCTATTTTATGGTTATTTCTTCATTATACACTAAACAAGGAGTGGATTATTCATTGGTTTTCCAGGAAAGGGGCTAGTGGCCAGAACAGAGGGTTCCTCCTCCTTTCAGACCATATGGAATAACTTTTGAACACTTCCAAGGCATTTGTAAACAGTCATGGTACTGGTGGAAGTGCCTTTTAGCGTGCTATTACATTATAATTAGCGTATAACAAGCAGGTAGGACAATCAGTGGTCACTTTTCTTGTCATCTTTGTTTTGGTGGGTTTTGGCTGGCTTCTTTAAAGCATCCTGTTTATCTGTGGGATCTTTGTGACCTGTAGCTTGCAAGAACAGCCCTGCCCAGAACTCCTAACTCAAAGTTATGAAAATGGCAAAATGTCCTTTAATGAGTGTATGTAATTACTAAAGCAATGCTATTAAGTACCAAGTGACTGCTTTTCAGCAAATGACCTTCACAATATGTACATTGAAGAAATATTCAAGTTTTAGCACTTTAATACTTGCAATATGTGCTTACTTTTAATTAAAGAAGAAATAAGTCATTGATGTCAGATAGCTGATACAAAGCCTGTGATACAATCTCAAACACTGTGTTAGATGATGTGTGAAACACACAACGATGCATTTTTCATCTGAAAGATGAATCCTAGCCTTGTACTAGTGATTCACAAAAATTCAAGCCCCCTTAACCATTTGGTGTCTTCCCAGACACAGGACTTAGAATCCTAACTGTAGTACATATCAAATCTGTTAGAAAGTAGATAAATTCAACACACAGAGAATATAACATTTAATGAAATTAACAAGTGAGGAAATACTTATTTAAAGGGTATGCTAATGCCATTACTTCATATTTTAGGTTTTCATGGAAATTTCCAAAGAAATTCATCCTGATAGATTTACTAGACAGCTTATCATACTATGTAATCATAGACTCCTGAGAATTATCTTATTTTCCAAAACATTGTTTGATCATATATCCTTAATTTCTAGAATCACAAGTGGAGGGAGGTGTAAGGGCAGATGTTCCCTTGAAAAGCAAATTGAAAAAGAAAAGAGTAATTGCAAAAGGATTCCTTGGCATTTGTCTTGAGAATTTTCTTTAGAATAACACTCATCTTCAAGTCAATGCATGGAATTTCCTTCCAGTGTAGGGAAAAATTTGAAAAAATGAGAGGGACCGTTGTAATTTTCACTATAACTGGGTGGTAGTATGTGGGTGTTAATTAATTATTTGTTTTTACACCTAGTGAGTCACCTCTTATTAAGGAATAAAGAGTTCATAAAACTTTCTCATCAGTGCTAATTTGTTACCAATAAATAACTTAATGAAGTGGATAAATATTATTTAAATTTTGTTATATCCCACCTACAAAGGTAGTAAGACTAAAAACGTGATGCTTCTCCTTTATTTCTAGCCATTGTAATTTTTTCAAAATTTTTCAACAAATAATTATGTTTTAATTTCCTATTGCTTTTAAAAATCAATCCAAAAAGATTAGACTGGCTCAATTATATGAATACCACCTTCATTCCAGCAACTTGTAGGGTTAGCAATAAGACTCACTACAGGTGTAATCTATGACCTAGTAATTTAATATACATTTTGGACAATCACGCAGAGGTGTCACTTACCTTTACGAGCACATTAATTGGGCATATAGAAAAAGCTGTAAAATAAACAGCTTTTCATTGTTTTTACTTGCCAGTTTTTTTTCAGAATTTTCCAGTATATAATTTCTGATTGAGTAATTACATTTTTCTTTCATGTCCATGTCACCAGGGGCTCCAGTGAATCCATGCTGGAGCTTCAGTTTGCTCTCCTGGGCGTTGTCTTTAGGCATAAAGTAACCTGAGTAGATTACCGAGGCAGAAAATGGTCCTGATGTTGGCTTTCTCTCTGCCTCTTGTCTGTACAAATAATTTCTCTTCTGTCTAAGCAGTTTAGCACACATGTAGCTCTCTATTCTATTGCTCCACTAAAGTTGCAGCACTTTGCATGTGAGTGTGTATGATGATGCTGGGGAAAATGAGGAGAGGCATGCTATTCTGAAATAACGTTTCAATAGAAATAAGGTATCCTAATGAGAAAGGAAGGATTCATAAATCCTTCATGACTTTAAAAGCTTATTGCTTTTAAAAATCAATCCAAAAGGATTAGACTGGCTCAATTACATGAATACCACCCTCATTCCAGAAACTTGTAAATGTAGCAGTAAGACCTACTGCAGAAGTAATGCTGATAAAGAAAGTATCCTAATGGGAAAGGAAGGATTCATATGGCTACCTTGTGAACAGGTGCCTACTTTGATTTCCTTCAAAGTGCAAAAATCAGGAACTCACCGTTTAGAAGTCTGGCTTCAAACTATTCCCCTTTTAGATAAGTAAAAGTCACAAAATCATAAAAATATGACAATAGACCACAGTTATGTAATTTTCATATACATATTCATCCCTCAAAGAGACCGTAATTAACCTTTTAGCTCTTCTTTCTCTGACCATAGAGAGATAACAATGTTTTATTTTATCATTGTCTACCAGCAGTTTAATATTTCCATTGTCCCATAGGTCTGTTACCATCCAACCATCCCCATCACTTGTTCCTTTATACCGCTACAGCTGAGACCGCTGCTAGCCTTTCTCGCCTGGAGCAATAACTAACATTTGGTGGCCTTCCAATGCTCTTCCCTGGCCCACTATTTGTCAGCCAGTTTTCCTTACTAGGAGAACTGGGCAGACCTTATTGGAGATAGTGAGAACAGCAGAGAGAAAACCTTTCGAATAAAATTAGACAATTGATTCTGCTTCTTTAAGTCTTTTGGAGTACTTTGCTTTTTTCTTTCTTCTACAGATGCCTAAGGGAGAAAAAAAAAGGGAAAGCCCGAAAGAAATCTCTGGTTAACTGGAGAATCCAGGAAATATGTGTCATTTCGAAACTCAATTTCACATCAGACCAAGGGTTGGTAGTGACACATCCTGCTAATAAAACCATCCAGACAAGTCCTCACAAGCTAGTAGTGTGTTTTTTGATTTCTGCGGTGACCTCACTTAGAGGAGATGCCGTTGGTTTGGTGGATATTACTGAAAATGAACAGGGGACACTTATGTACCCGAAGAAGTGAAAACAAAAACATTCTGATGAAACTGTTTTGAATTTTTTGTGCCTAAATTTTCAACTAATTTTTTTCTACCATGATCAACTTGAGGAATCCTGTTCCTTTGATATCAGTTAGTGTTACGAAGGCATCGAATTCACTGGAGTACAGGAAAGGGTTATTGTCATTGTTTGTAGGTGTTGGGGGATGGGTATGCTGCTGGGGGACATGAGAGTTCAGAGATATTGCAAAAAACAGAAATTATATTTAATAACACAAAAGGTATTAGTCTCTAAAATAAAAATAAAGACATAGACTATACTTTTATAATTATATTAATTCATATTTTATAAACTAACTTGGTAGTTCTATTTTTTAACTGAGTTAATGACATTTTAAAACACTTTTTTGTGAAAAAAATAATTTTGTTTGAATTATCAGCAGTTTCTAGATGTGAGGATTTGATTTTAATTTACTTATCAATATTTATGAAGTTAGAAATATTGAAAGAAAAGTGTGAAAATAATTAGACTAACAAAAGCTTAAACATCAAACAAAAGTTAAAAAATGAAGTTATTTCTGACAACTACGTGATTAACATACAACTGCTGAATTATGTAAATTATATTGCAAATATTTTAATTTATTTAATAATTCTCATGACATGCTGATTGCCTACATATTTGTGTTCATATAACAACCACATTTATTCACTACTTTTTAAAAGCATATTATATAATGTTTTTATAATTTTAATAGAAGGAGTGTTAAAATAACACTTCAATCACATCTTCCTCTTATACAGATAAAATGGCACTTTTTTAAATAAAAATGCGTCATTAAATCATTTTTTCCACCCAAAGAACACAAATAGCAAATATCTCAATTATAAAGAAAAAAAGTCTTCTGAGATCTTTCCCGATTTAGAAGTCTACTATTCTGAATTGGCTAAAATAAAAGCAATGACTTTACATAGTTGAACCCACTCCCCCCCTTAAAACTGAAATGTGTTAAGAGAGTGGTGAATAAAAATAACTGAGCTGACAGATTACATCATCTAATTTACACCCACACAACCACTAGCTCCTTTATTTCAAATAAAGCTCCTTTGAGTCTTGATGGTAGAGTCACATAATCTCAGGTCTGCACGGCATTCCCATTTACGGTGTTTCTCCACCAGGGAAAATTGGTGAAACTCAAAGTTCCCAGGATGATGCTGGGAAGAACTTAGAGATAAAACATGCACTGCCTAAGAGGAGTGGAATGTGAATGGAGATGAGGCTGTAGACCTAGGCAGGGATCCGACCTAAGGACCCCGGTGTCAGGCAAAGATTCTATCCTGCAGAAACTGAGAATCATCAGAGAATTTTACCCAGAAGAGAAACACAATAACATGTGCCCTTTATAAACCTCATTCCAAGCAAGAGTGACACACATTAATACCTCTAACAGACTATTTATTTAAAGAAATTTTTAAGAAAAATAAAATAACTTTAAAACCAGAAAATTTTTATGAAGCTCTCGTCCGTCCTTCCTTCCTTCCTTCCTTCCTCCCTCCCTCCCTTCCTTCCTCTCTCTTTCCTTTCCTTTTCTTTCTTTCTCTTTTCCTTCCTTCCTTCCTTCTTGCTTTCTTGCTTTCTTGTCTTTCTCTCCTTCCTTCCTTCCTTCCTCCCTCCCTCCCTTCCTCTCTCCCTCCCTCCCTTCCTCTCTCTTTTTTTTCTTTCTTTCTTTCTCTTTTCCTTCCTTCTTTCCTTCTTGCTTTCTTGTCTTTCTTTCTTGCCTGCCTTCCTCTCTCCCTCTTTCTTTCTTTCTTTTCTTTCTTTCCCTTTCTTTTTCCTTTCTTCTCTTTCTCTCCTTCTCCTCTCCTTCTCTCGCTCTTCCTTTCCTGTTCTTTCTTTCTTTGCTTTCTCTCTCTTTCTCTTCTTCCCCAAAGTTACAATTGTGATTGTAGACACCTTAAAATTTCCAACTGAAAATCTTGTATTTTTTTTAGCTACTTAGTTTTGAAAGCCATAAAGCATTTTTCTTTCTAATCAATTTATTGAATATATATTAACACATTGAAAATATATCTTTGGCCTATTATTGCTTAACCATATAGAAATACTTTATAATTCATGTGTGGTGTGTAATTTTGTTTTTGTTTATGTGTGGTTTTGCCAGTGTTCCCAAATCCCCCAGCCAATGTGCTTACCTGTGAGTTCAAGAAGAATTTTTTTAGTGTACAATTTTTTGCTTATCATCCTAATGCAAATAGTTAAAAAGTGGAGAAACTGTGTTGAAATAGGTATATATTATTTTAAATATATATGAAGTTTGATGAAATGAACATTAATTTTACATTAAAAAATTTTATTAATTAACTCATTTATTCTATTAATATTTCTGAAGAGCCTATACTCCGGTAGTTCCAGAAATTTTGTTACTTAAGTGAACAAAACAAGATTCATGCCCTTCTGGAGATTACATTAAAGCAGAAAGTTACATTTAAGACAGTTATAAATGAGTATATTTTGCCTTGCTGAAGGGAAAATATTGTAAAGCAAGGCAGAGGAGAGGAGAGAAAAGAAATCAGAGAAGGTTAAGGAGAATTGAGGAGATTGTAGAGAAGTGAGGAACACAACTTCTTATTGATTTTTAATTTTAATTTTAATGAATTTATTTTTTATTTCCAACTTTTATTTTAAGTTTGGGGTACATGTGCAGGTGTGTTACATAGGTGGACATGTGCCATGGCTTTGCCGTGCAGATTATCCCATCACCTAGATGTTAAGCCCAGCATCCATTAACTATTTTTCCTGATACTCTTCTTCCACTCACCCTGACCCTCTGATAGGCCCAGTGTGTGTTGTTGACTCTTACATGTCCATGTGTTCTCATCATTCAGCTGTCACTTATAAGTGAGAACATGCAGTATTTGGTTTTCTGTTTCTGCATTAGTTTGCTGAGGATAATGGTTTCCAGCTCCATCCATGTTCCTGCAAAGGACATAATCTCATTCTTTCTTATGGCTGCATAGTATTCCATGGTGTATATGTGCAACATTTTCTTTATCTAGTCTATCATTGATGGGCAGTTAGGTTGATTCCATGCCTTTGCTATTGAAGATTATAACTTTAAATAGAGCCATCAGAGTAAGTTTCACTAAGAAATGTAAATCTGGACAAAAGCATGAAGAAGATGAAGGAGTTAGGCAGGGAGACATCTAGAAGTATATTCCTGGCAGAGTGACCATGGTGTTCCTTGCACGTTCCAGGAATAGCATGAGGACATCAACATGGTTATTCGTTGTATCCAGTCATATTCAGCTGTACTTAGACATCTTATAGTAAATAAGAGCTGAGTTAAATGAATGTTGTGACTTTGCAAGTAAGTTCGATAATGGGAGAGAAGAACAAGGATAACACAAAGAATTTATTATAACAATTGTCCATGGAGTTTAGGCTGGAAGCAAAGAGAAAAAAGGGATACTGAGGCAATAAGTGAAGGTGAAAAGATTGTAGAATCAATAGATCACAGATAATAGTAGGGTTGAAAAACTCTTAAAGTTGAGTCATGAGAGGGAATGTCTGAAAAATACAGAAGAGAGCCAGATACATAAAACTAGGATAATGATGAAGTTGTAGTTATTGGTATCTTGGTGCCAAGGCCTGGGGCAGCACCGTCCAATAGAAATATAATGTCAGACACACATGTATTCAAACTGTTTTAGTATCTATCTTTAAAAAAAAATAAAAAGAAACACTAAATTTTGTTTATTAACATATTTTACTTAATTCAGGATAGATAAAATATTACTACTACAATTTGCAATCAGAATAAACTTAATAAGGTATTTCCTATTATTATTATTATCATTATGATTATTCATTATTATTTTGGAAGCCAGTGTGTATTTTATACTTACAGCACGTCTCAGTTCTGATTGCCACATTTAAAGTGAACAATAGGCAAATGTAGCTAAAAATGGCTAATATACTGAACAGTGAGGTCTGGATATGATCATGAAAATGGATGGTTGAGCTTGTTGTTGTTACTGCAAGAAAAAAACAAACAGAATTTGAAGGCAAACTTGTTGAAATGATCATTTTTGTAGCTACTCAGATCACTAATAATTAAGAGTGATGGAGAGAGACAAGCCACAAACTAAATCACTGAGAAACCCAAAAGAACAACCTTGATGGATGACAATGACGGAAGAGGTACTGAACTCATGTCATCTGGTGACATAAGAGTCAAGGTTGAGAGTCTTTAGGGAACAAAAAGGGAGAGGTCTGGACATAGAATTGAGGAGCAGAGAACACCTACATCAACTCCAGACCGACTAGGTCTGTGGAAGAGGAAGAAGCCACAAGTTGAGGGCTGTAGGGAAAATGCTAAGGTGGGAACAGGCTTCCTGCACCTCAAAAGGTAAAGAGATTATTAGCAGGAGAGGAGTGAGGGAAGAGAAGGGAACAGGACACATGCAGAGCGTTATAATGCTTACAGTGTGAAGGTAAAGGGTGGCTTGGGAATTGGGAGGCCTAAGGAAAACACAAGATTGAGTCTTGAAAACAGTACCGGAGGGTTTTGGTGAAACCCTCAGTGTGGGGTTGGGCATAGGAAGGCATGGCCAACTCACACTTCTTTTTCTTAAACAGCTTTACCAAGGTATAATTTATATATGGTACAATTCATCCATTTAAAGTGTACAATTCAATGGGTTTTTGTATATTCACAAAATTGTGCAACCATTACCACAACCTAATTTTTGAACATTTTAATCACCCAAAAAAGAAACCCTCAACCTATTTACAGTCACTTCCCATTGCCCTTCCCCATCTCCCCATTTCCAACCCTAATCTATCTTTTGTTCCTATAGATTTGCCCTTTCTGCACACATCTTATTAAATGGAATCACACAGCATTAGTAATTTGTATTGGTTTCATTCACTTAGCATGTTTTCAAGGTTTGTAGCATGTATCAGAAGTTCATTTTCTAATTACCAAATAATAATCAGTTTTATGGATGTAATATACTTTCATTTTCCATTGATAGGTCAAAGTTGTTTCCTGAATAGCCCTTTGCACTATTATGAACCATGGTGAAATGGACATTTGTGCACAGATTTTCTTGTGGATTTAAGTTTTTAATTTTGTGTGTGAGGGGGCATATATCTAGGACTGGAATTGCTGGGTCATGTGGTAACTCTGTGTTAAACATTCTGCAGAACTGCCAATCTGCACTCCAATGTGACCACTCATTTTACATTCCCACCAGCAATGTATGAAGGTCCAGCACTCACTCCTCCCTGACCCCTGCTAATGAAGGCAAAAATGCCCAGAAAGCCATGTCTTAACTCATATTGTGGCTCCCCTCATGATCACTGAAATTGACAACCTAGGCATGATCTTCACCGCAATGCCTGAGTTTACTTTTGATCCTTACAGGGAGGAAGAGGGCTGATATCAAGTGCAAGAGCTCATCTTGTCTCCTATGAATGAGGATGAGACTTCAGAGCAGCCCATTGTAACACAGCAGATGCCTACCCTACTTTCAAAGCCCATTAATGCGGGCCAGGCAACACAGGTTTGTAATAAATAAACACTTCAAATATTTACAGTAACTTTGCAAAGATAGATATGTCTAATCCTGCTTTATAGAAAAGGAATATGGGGTTTAAGATGTTTTGAACAATTTGCCCAATGTCACACTGATTGTAAGCACTGGTTAATTCTACAATCATTTGTACAATGCAAATCAGCACAAACATCACCTTGAAAGCAGGGTTGCAGTTTATAAGACCTGAATAGTCCTCAATAGCTTTAATTGTTTGTGTTTAGGAGTTATTCTAAGAATTATGGTTTTAATTGGCCCACGCAAGTGAAAAATGTGGAAAAGCATTCTACTAAGGTATTGCTAAGTGCTATTAAATAAGGATGACTTAAATAATGGGAATAAGATAAATGTATTATATTCTTAGTCATAGTGAGGAACCATATTTCAAATGACTTCTTTTGGTAAGTGATTATTTAATGCGGTTTTACATAATGACATAAGAAAGAGAGTTATAGGATTAATAGCAAAAATAAGTGTGAAAATGATTTCTAAATTGTAATTCATCTTTCTTCAAAAGGCTATAAATTAAATTAGTGTGGAATCCTTATCTAATATTAATCTTTACTTTGAAGATTGGATAACAGCTGCTTGGGTAACAGGTGCACCAAAATCTCAGAAATCACCACTAAATAACTTATCCATGTAACCAAAATAATATTAATCTTTACTTTGAAGGTAAACTGCATTGTTCTCCTTAATGTATAAAAAGGGTTCTAAATATGAAAAATGTTAACTCTAGGCCAGGCACGGTGGCTTACACCTGTAATCCCAGCACTTTGGGAGGCCGAGGCGGGTGGATCAAGAGGTCAAGAGTTGGAGAGTTTCCTGGCCAACATGGGGAAACCCCGTCTCTACTAAAAATACAAAAATAAGCTGGGCGTGGTGGCATGTGCCTGCAGTCCCAGCTACTTGGGAGGTTGAGGCAGGAGAATCACTTGAACCCAGGAGGCAGAGGTTGCAGTGAGCCGAGATCATGCCATCGAACTCCAGCCTGGCGACAGAGCGAGACTCCGTCTAAAAAGAAAAATGTTAACTCTGTATGCATTATGTTTCATAAGTCTTGGAAAAGTTGTTTCATTTTCACTTAAAAGGAGCTACTCAAAACATTAGAAATAACTTTTTAAATAGCTTAAAATAAGGTATTGAATATGTAAATAATGCACATTGATACAATATCATGCAAAGCTGCTACAGGTTATAATGTAGAATTGTATTAAATGACAGGAAACTTGTCAACAATAAGCTATTAAGTGAAAAGTAGAAGCAGGTTACACAATGCCTGATTCTAAGTTTGAGAAAGACAAACTGATAAATAGAGGCATCTTGATCTAAAATACATCTTAACAAAATGCACCAACATCTTAGAATAGTTCCCTTCGAATATTGGAATGAAGCCTGCTTAGTATTTTTTTCCTTTTTGTAGCTCAGTAATTTCTGTTTTCAACAATAAAGTAGATATTACTTTTGTAATGATAAAATAATTTTTAAAAGATCTGAGATCCCAAATTTTGCCATATGCTAGTCAGTAGTTTCTGTTTATTCTTCTACTGTTACAACAATACTTTGCTTTGTACAGTTAATATTAGAGGGCAAAAACTATCTGTAAAAAAATTTTCTTCACCTGTATCAATGTTTAATGAGTAAAATTAAACAAAATTGGAATTGATAAAATGTATTTTTTTATTTTACAAAAATATAGAACGTAGTTTTTAAATGAATGATATATCTTGAGTTCATGGTTATAATACAAAATGACTTATTTTTATCGACCATCCGGTTTGTAAAAAATGAATTGCACCACAGTTTTATAGCGAGAGCAATACGCTTCTTTCTCTTGAAGAAAAATGAGCGGTGACACACTTTTGTGATCCAAGCCTGCCCCCTGGTGACCAACTGGTCACCACGAGGCTGCAGACTATGAGGCAGGCAGCGCCCTCTTTAAAGCTGTTCAGAAGTAACCTCGAAAAGAAAACGTGGCATTACTGGAGGTACATTTCCCTGTAATGCCCCAGGCATCTCCATCAGTGTCTCAACATCATCAAGTGCGGGAAAGATAGCATTAAAAAGTTATAAAATAAAAAAGTCATTTTCGTACTGTCTTGACGTGCACACCGTGATGTTGAGACAGACACTGATGGAGAAGCATAAGAATGATGTAATGGTCTTTGCAGACTCAGGGAACAAGAGTGGGAGGGGGGTGAGGGATAAAAGACTGCACATTGGGTACAGTGTACACTGCTTGGGTAACAGGTGCACCAAAATCTCAGAAATCACCACTAAATAACTTATCCATGTAACCAAAAACCACCTTACCCCACAAAACCATGGAAATAAAAATTAAAATTAAAAAGTAATATCTCGAGGTATAACAGGAATGTACAAACTGAAACGACAGGGTTAATTCTCAACACATTCTTCTGCTCTTTCCTAAAGGGAAAAAAATAACACAGATGTGGCAAATTTGAAGGAGGATCTCTAATAGGAAATAATCTGATGAAATTTATTCACCAGGTGCTGAGAAAATTGTATTTAAGCATCCATGTTAAAGTCTAACGGATCATGAACACTAAGTGAAATATATAAAGTATCAGTCTATTTCTAATATGAATCTACACTTTTTTGTCTCTAATTCTGAGAGAAAGAATAATTAGAAGGGGAATTCAAAGAGGAAACACGAAGAGAGCTTCAAGAGTAAGAGCTGCTTTGCCAGAAAGCAGTGACACAGTCATCAGTCCTTTTCTTTGGGGAAAGTACAGTCACCAATGCTACCTGTTATTTTGTTAAAACAAGACTGCACTTTTCTCCCTCTATAAAAGGCAGTACTGATCCTGGCATCATAATGAAGCCATAAGGCCATTTGGTAAAATGTGATGCTTCCAGGGTCTCCATTTAGGTGGTTCAAAATTGGACTCAAAAACACCACCACCACCCTAAGGGGACGAAAGAAACAATAACTGGTCCACATTGACATCACTTCTGTCTTTTACAGTGGCTTTAAATGTATGTATGAATGTCAACATTCTTGATATAATTTTATCTTTTTCTTAGACATGGAAACCAGAGTCTTAAATTGCGTTACAAAGTTCTTCAACCACTATTACTATTACTTTAAAAAAAATATGCCATAGGAAACTTGAGGTCAGGTGAGACAGTTAATCATTAAGATTTGATTTGGGACTCTTAAAAGTCTTTAATGAAAGGCCTGGGTGTTCATAATATATCAAAAATTTGGAGAAGCAAGATCTGAAGTTAGAACATCAGAAAACCAGAATTAGAATCATGAGAAAACCTCCATGAAATTTTTCCTTCATTGTCTTGAGAATTTTAGCACTTGTCGTTGTGGAAATGCCACACTTTGGCAGGTCAAGGTGGGCGAATCACTTGAGCCCAGGAGTTTGAGACTAGCCTGGGGAACATGGTGAAATCTTGTCTCTACAAAAAGTAGAAAAAAAGTTAGCTAGGTGCAGTAGTGCACGTCTGTGTTCCCAACTACTCGGGAGGCTGAGGTCGGAGGATCACTTGAGCCTGGGAGGTCAAGGCTGCAGTGAGCCGAGATCGAACCACTGCACTCCAGCCTGGGCCACCAGAGTGAGACCTGTCTTAAAAAAAAAATTAAAATGCCATATAACTACTGCTTATACCCAGGACCTTTATTAGTGAGATCAACAAAATATCTTATTTGTTACTACAGTTCACACACAGGATCTTTATAAACTACACATTATGCTAAAAAAAGAGACTAAACCAACAGTTTATGTAAAATCAAGCGGTATGTAGGATATAAATGGATTTTGACATTGACAGCATTGAAAATAAGAAGCAATTCAATGAATGTTAGGATTAAAAGGAATACACATTTTTCAGCCCTCATTCTTTAATTTACATATAAAGAAATAGGCCCTCAAAATGTGGCCAATTTCCAGTCATGTAGACAGACACAGAGAAAAATGAAATGAATATTCAGATGTAAACCCTCCTTCATCTGCACCCATTCTGTTCTCATCTCCTTCCTCTATCTGTACACTGAACCTATCCTTTCTCTAGGTCGTACGTGTCTTGATTTTTCCCCCTCCTTTACCTTGTACAAGATTCTTTTCCATCAGCATTTGAATATATCCAAGTCTCTGTATCTAAAACGAAAATGAAATGGTCTCTCTGTCCAACACACACACACTCTCTTCCAGGCACTGCCCTACCTTCCTGACCTCTTTGCTGCCAAGTATCTTGAAAAAAAAGTCCCACGTGCTAGTCTTGATGGTTTCACCTCCTACCTGCCTCATTATAATAAAATATGTACCCTTCCGCATGGCTTCTCCCTAGAGCTCACCAATGACTGGTGACCTACTGAATCCGGAAGAAGGGTTTCAGTTGTTCACTCCCTTCTCATACCATCAATATCCAACATTATTGGACTATTAGCTGTGCCCTTTCAAAGCACTCATCCTTTTACTTTCAGCCTCTCTGTCTTTTTGCGGGTTTGTCTTTGTTTTTTGCTGTTGTTTTGTTGGTTTGTTTGTTATTTGTCTTACTGGCTACTCATTTTCCATCTCATTCTCCTTCTAACATAGAACATTAACAGCTAGGTTTTTCAAGGCTTGGCCCTGGGCTCCCTTTTCTTCTTCTTCTAAGTTCTCTGTCTGGCAAGCTCAATTGTACACATGGCTTTTATTACAAACCACATACTAGTAATTTCCAAGTTCACATCCACCTCTCAGACCTCTCCTCCGAGCACCAGGCATGTTACTCAAACTGCTCAGTTGACATCTCCACTTTTAATAGCTATCTTTCACGGAAAATCCGTTAATAGAGTCACATTGTTTTATGGTTAAGGAACAGAACCTTTCCATATGGCCTGCAAGGCCGTGCATAATTTGGGGCCCTAACCTCAGAGGACTTACTATGCCCTAGGATTACTCCATGCCCCACTTAAATTAGCTTTCTTTTACCATATTTCTTTCATTCAGAAGAACTCTGCTATCTGTTCCCATGTGCTAAAAACCTCTTTTCTTTATCTCCCATTCTCTTTTCTCCAAGGTAAATTCCTACTTTAGTTCTCATTCTAATGTCACATTTTTAGGAAAGCTTTGTTAGACTCATCAGACAGAGTTATAAACTATTGGGTAACTACTCTTCCTAGCACCTATTATAGCTTTAGTTACATGTTTATTTGTTTGATCAGTGTCTCCATTAGTCTGTAAGTACCATGAAGGTAGAGACTATTTTCTTCTTATACATCATTGTGACCAAACAGTAAACAGGAGGTCTCACACTCAAGAAATACTTACTGAATACATTAAAATGGAGTTTTATCTTTTATTATTCAGATGTGAATATTTGACACAGATATGTAGGTCCTGGTAAAAAAGGCATTGGTGATGGCTCAGATTCTCATGGACTCCAGGCCAACAAACTGTTAGTTATATTCTTAGCTGATAGAGAGAAGTGCTTGGCTCATGGCATGAGTTCAATAACTTGCTAAATGATTAACAAGAGAAGGTAGTAATCACAGACAAAATAGGCTATTTAATTTATCTTGTTCCATAAAAATGTTCCATAAAATTTTAGGGATTATAAAAGATTCAACAAGTAAGTGTGGCTATTTCAGACAAGAAAGAAACAAAAAAAAATGTGTTGGCAAGAACATAGAGAAATCGGAACCCTCGTTCGTTGGTGATGGGAATGTAAAATGATGCAACCACTGTAGGAAACAGTATGATGCTCTCTCAGTCAGTTAAACAGAGAATTACCATATGATCCAGCAATTCTACTTCTAAGTATACGCCTCAAAGAATTGAAAACACATCCCCCGCGCCACCCGCCCCTCCACAGAGAGTGGAATATTATTCATCCTCGAAAAGGAATGGAAAGCTCCCATTTATACATTTATTTATTTCAGAGTGTATTGTAGATTCCTATTTCATTCAAGAGGGTGTAATTAAGATACCATGAATTTCCCCAGATTTGGCCAGTGGGAGCCCCTTCAAGCTGGGCTCTGTGCCTTTATAACACATCTCCACCATTCTTTGAGTACTTCATTTATCTTCATGCCTTCTTGTACTTTTTTCTTCATGCCTTGTACATTTCTTCATGTCTTCTTGTACATTTTTCCTCATGGCTTCATCTAGGTTTTAAGCCCCACATGCATTAGCTATATGTCCTAATGCTCTCCCTCCCCTCTCCCCACCTCTGACTGGCCCTGGTGTGTGTTGTTCTTCTCCCTGTGTGCATTATGTTCTTATTGTTCAACTCCCACTTATGAGTGAGAACATGCAATTGGTTTTCTGTTTCTGTGTTAGTTTGCTGAGGCTGATGGCTTCCAGCTTCATCCATGTCCCCACAGAGGACAGGATCTCATTCCTTTTTATGGCTGCATAGTATTCCATAGTGTATATGTGCCACGTTTTCTTTATTCTGTCTATCATTGATGGGCATTTGGTTTGGTTCCAAGTCTTTGCTATTGTAAATAGTGCTGGAATAAACTTATGTGTGCATGTGTCCTTATAGTAGAATGATTTACATTCCTTTGGGTATATACCCAGCAATGGGATTGCTGGGTCAAATGGTATTTCTGGCTCTAGATTCTTAAGGAATCACCATGCTGTCTTCCACAATGGTTGAACTAATTTACATTTCCATCAACAGTAGAAAAGTGTTCCAATTTCTCCACAGCCTCACCAGCGTCTATTGTTTCTTGACTTTTAAAAATCACCATTCTGACTGGCGTGGGATGGTATCTTGAGGTTTTCCTTGGCATTTCTCTAATGATAAATTATGTTGAGCTTTTTAAAATATGTTTGTTGGCTGCATAAATGTCTTCTTTTGAGAAGTGTCTGTTCATATCCTTTGTCCACTTTTTGATGGGTTTGTTTGTTTTTTGTTGTAAATTTGTTTAAGTTCCTTGTAGTTTATGGATATTAGACCTTTGTCAGATGGGTAGATTGCAAAATTTTTCTCCCATTCTGTAGGTTACCTGTTCATTCTAAGAGTTTCTTTTGCTGTGAAGAAGCTCTTTGGTTAGATCCCATTTGTCAATTTTGGCTTTTGTTGCAATTGCTTTTGGCATTTTCATCATGAAATCTTTGCCCTTGCCTATGTCCTGAATGGTATTGCCTAAGATTTCTTCTAGGGTTTTTAGGGTTTGGGGTTTTACATTTAAGTCTTTAATCCATCTTGAGTTAATTTTTGTATAACATTTAAGGAAGGGGTCCAGTTTCAGTTTTCTGCATATAGCTAGCCACTTTTCCCAGGACCATTTATTAAATAGGGAATCCTTTCCTCATTGCTGGTTTTTGTCAGGTTTGTCAAAGATCAGATGGTTGTAGATGAGTGGTGTTATTTCTGAGGTCTCTGTTCTGTTCCATTTGTCTATATGTTTGTTTTGGTACCAGTATCATGCTGCTTTGGTTACTGTAGCCTTGTAGTATAGTATAAAGTCAGGTAGTGTGATGCAGTGGTTTGTAGTTCTCCTTGAAAAGGTCCTTCACATCCCTTGTTAGCTGTATTCCTAGGTATTTTGGTCTCTATGTAGCAATTGTGAATGAGATTTTATTCATTACTTTGCTCTCTGCTTGTCTATTGTTTGTGTATAAGAATGCTTGAGATTTTTGCACATTGATTTGGATAATTTTTAACATGAAACGATGTTGAATTTAATCAAAGGCCTTAGCTGCATCTATTGAGATAATCATATGGTTTTTGTCATTGATTCTGTTTATGTGATGAATTATGTTTATTGATTTGCATATGTTGAATCAGCCTTGCATTCCAGGGATGAAGCCAACTTGATTGTGGTGGATAAACTTTTTGATATGATGCTGGATTCGGTTTGCCAGTATTTTATTGAGGATATTTGCATTGATGTTCATCAGGGATATAGGCCTAAAGTTTTCTTTGATTATTGTGTCTCTGCCCTTGTATTTGCCTCAATGTTTTCTTATAACAATTTCATGGTTTGAGGTCTTAGACTTAAGTTTTTAATCCATTTTAATTGGATTATGGTATATGGTGAGAGATAGGGATCAAGTTTCATTCATCTGCATATGGATATTCAGTTTTCCCTGCACAATTTATTGAAGAAGCTGTCCTTTCTCCAGTACATGCTCTTGGGAACTTGTCAAAAATGAGTTCCCTGTAGGTGTGCGGATTTGTTTCTGGGTTCTCTAATCTGTTCCATATAGGTCTATGTGTCTGTTTTTATGCCAGTGCCATGTTGTTTTGGTTATTATAGCTCTGTAGTAGAATTAAAAGACAGGTAACGTGATTCCTACAGTTTTGTTCTTTTTGCTTAGACTGTCTTTGGCTATTCTGGGTCTTTTGCGGTTCCATAAATTTTAGGATTGTTTTTTCTATTTCTGTGAAGAATGTCACTGGTATTTTGATAGAAATTGCACTTAATCTGTAGATTGCTTTGAAAAGTATGAACATTTTTACAATATTGATCCTTCCAATTAATGAATATGGAATATTTCTCCATTTTTTGGTGTACTCTTCTATTTATTTCATAAGCATTTTATAGTTTACATATAGAGATCTTTCACTTGTTTGATTAAGTTAATTGCTAGGCATTTAATTTTTTGTGAGGTTATTGTAAATGGGATTACATTTTTTATTTCTCTTTTTCAGACTGTTCACACTGGCATATAGAAATGCTAATGATTTCTGTATGTTCATTTTTTATTCTGAAACTTTACTGAATTTATCAGTTCTAATAGTTTTCTTGTGTAGCTTTTGGATTTTTCTAAATATAAGATTATGCCATCTTCAAACCAGGATAATTTGACTTTTTCCTTTTCAATTTTGATGCCCTTTATATTTTTTCTTGTCTGATTGCTCTAGCTAATATTTCCAGTGCTATGTTGAATAACAGTGGTGAAAGTGGTCATCCCTGTCATGTTCCGGATCTTAGAAGAAAGGCTTTCAGTTTTACCCCATTCTATATGATACCATCTTTGGGTCTGTCATAAATGGCTTTTTTTTATGTTGAGGTATGCTCCTTCTATACCCTCTGTTTTGAGGGGTTTTATCATGAAGGGATGTTGAATTTTATTAAATGCTTTTTGTCAGCATCAAGTGAAATGCTCATACAGTTTTTATCCTTCATTCTGTTGATATGATGTAACACATTTATTGATGTGCATATCTCGAACCATCCTTGAATCCCACTTCATCATAATGAATAATCTTTCTAATGTATTGTTAAATTTGGTTTGCTGGTATTTTTGAGGATTTTTGCATCAATACTTGTCAGAAGCATTGTTAGCATGTAGTTTTCTTTGGTGATGTGTCTTTGTCTGGTTTTGGTATCAGGTTAATACTGGCCTCATACAATGAGTTTGGAAGTGTTCCCTCCTCTATTTTTCAGAATAGTTTGAGTAGAATTGGTATTAGTTTGTCTTTAAATGTCTGCTAGAATTAAACAGTGAATCCCTCAGGTCCCGGGCTTTTCCTTACCAAGAGACTTTTTATTATAGCTTTAATTTTGCTACTTGTTATTGGTCTGTTCAGAATTTTTATTTCTTTCTGGTTCAATCTTGGTAGATTGTATTTGTCTAGGAATTTGTCTATTTCTTCTAGATATTCCAATTTATTTGCATGTAGTTGCTCATAGTAGGCACTAATGATCCTTTGAAATTCTGCAATATCAGTTGTAATGTCTCCTTTTTCATTCCTGATTTTATTATTTGGATATTTTGTCTTTTTTTCTTAGCCTGGTTAAAGATTTGTCAAGTTTGTTTAACATGTAAAAACACCCAACTTTTTGTTTCATTGATTCTTTGTATTTTTTTATTTTAATTTCATTTATTTTTGCTCTACTCTTTATTATTTCTACTTTTCTCTTAATTTTTTGTTTGGTTTGCTCTTGCTTTCCTAGTTCTTTAGGGTGCATTGTAGGATTCTTTATTTGAAGTTATTCTCCTTTTCTGAGGTAGGCACTTATTGCTATAAACTTCCATCTGAGTGCTGCTTTTGCTGTATCCCATAGGTTTTGGTATGTTGTTTTTCCGTATTCATTTGTTTCAAGATTTTTTTTAAATTTCCTTCTTAACTTCTTTATTGACCCACTGGTCATTCAGGAGCATATTGTTTAATTTCCGTGAATTTGTAGAGTTTTCAGAATTCCTCCTGTTATTAATCTCTAGTTTTATTCCATTGTTGTTAGATAAGATGCTTGCTATTATTTCATTTTTTGCATGTTTTAAGACTTGTTATGTGACCTTACATATAGTCTATCCTTGAGAATAATCCATGTGCTGAGGAAAAGAATGTGTATTCTGCAACTGTTGGATGAAATGTTCTGTAAATATCTACTAGATCCATTTGGTCTACAGTGCAGATTCAGTTCTATGTTTCTTTGTTGATTTTCTGTCTGGAAGATCTGTTCAATGCTAAAAGTGGGGTGTTCAAATCTCCAGCTATTATTGTATTGAGGCCTATCTTTCTCTTTATCTCTAATAATATTTGCTTTTATATTATATCAGGATGCTCCAGTGTTGGGGACATATATATTAAAAACTGTTATATCTCCTTGCTGAATTGACTTATCATTATGTAGTGAACTCATTTATTTCTTCTTATAGTTTTGGTCTTGAAATCTATTTGTCTGATATAAGTATAATGACTCCTCCCCTTTTTGGTTTCCATTGTCATGGAATATCTGTTTTCATCCCTTTGTTTTCAGTCTATGTGTATCTTTATAAGTGAAATATGTTGCTTGTAGGCATCAGATTTATGGGGCTTTTCATCCATTCAGCCAGTCTATGTCTTGATTGGAGTGTTTTGTCCATTTATATTCAATGTAATTATTGATAAGTAAAGACTTACTCCTGTCATTTTGTTATTTGTTTTCAGGTTGTTTTGTGGTTTTCTCTTCCTTCCTTCTTTCCTGCATGTCTTTCTAGAGTGAAGGTGATTTTTTCCAGTGATATTTGGTTTCTTGCTTTTCAATTTTTGAAGATTCATTGTATGATTTTTGATTTGAGGTTACCATGAGGCTTGCAAATACTATCTTATAACCCATGATTTTAACTTGATAACAACTTAACACTGTTTGCATAAACAAATAAACAAAAACTAATAAAAATACTACATCTTAATTTTGTCTCCAGACTTTTAAACATTTTCTGGTTTCTATTTATATCTTATCTTTCTGTGTATGTCTGGAAAGGTTGTTGTATTTATTAGTTTTGACTGGCTCATCATTTGGTCTTTCTACTTAAGAATAGTTTACACACTACAGTTACAGTGGTATAATAGTCTGTGGTTTTTTTGTGTGTGTACTTACTGTTATCAGTGAGTTTCATACCTTCAAGTGATTTCTTATATCTCATTACCTTCTTTTTTCTTTCTGATTAAAGTACTCTCTTTAGCATTTCTTGTAGAACAGGTATGGTGTTGATGAAATCCCTCAGCTTTTGTTTGGAGAAGTATTTCTCTTTAATGTTTTAAGGATATGGCAAAGTATTTTGAGGCAACTTAATGAAAAATAAAATCGTGACTAATATATAGAAAATTTTTACTTCCTTTTAAAGCCTTCTTAATACACTCAAGTCAAATTTAGACACTTGATGACTGACTTTCAGATTTCCATTTTGGTTCTCCATGTACCTCTGCTGTGAATAAGAAAATAACAATCCTATAATCCCCCAGTATTCTCCTTTATCTTATTTGAATCCTTAAATCACCAAGAAAAAGAGTACCTTTAAATGACTTCCTCTTCAGTGTAAAAGAGGTAAATGTGGATAATGTTTGTTTTTTTTTTTTAGTTTTTTTAAATTTATTTATTATTATTATACTTTAAGTTTTAGGGTACATGTGCACAATGTGCAGGTTAGTTACATATGTATACATGTGCCATGCTGGTGCGCTGCACCCACTAACTCGTCATCTAGCATTAGGTATATCTCCCAATGCTATCCCTCCCCCCTCCCCCCACCCCACAACAGTCCCCAGAGTGTGATGTTCCCCTTCCTGTGTCCATGTGTTGTTCTCATTGTTCAGTTCCCACCTATGAGTGAGAATATGCGGTGTTTGGTTTTTTGTTCTTGCGATAGTTTACTGAGAATGATGATTTCCAATTTCATCCAATGTCCCATGGGCAAGGACTTCATGTCTAAAACACCAAAAGCAATGGCAACAAAAGCCAAAATTGACAAATGGGATCTAATTAAACTAAAGAGCTTCTGCACAGCAAAAGAAACCACCATCAGAGTGAACAGGCAACCTACAACATGGGAGAAAATTTTCGCAACCTACTCATCTGACAAAGGGCTAATATCCAGAATCTACAATGAACTCAAACAAATTTACAAGAAAAAAACAAACAACCCCATGAAGAAGTGGGCAAAGGACATGAACAGACACTTCTCAAAAGAAGACATTTATGCAGCCAAAAAACACATGAAAAAATGCTCACCATCACTGGCCATCAGATAAATGCAAATCAAAACCACAGTGAGATACCATCTCACACCAGTTAGAATGGCTATCATTAAAAAGTCAGGAAACAACAGGTGCTGGAGAGGATGTGGAGAAATAGGAACATTTTTACACTGTTGGTGGGACTGTAAACTAGTTCAACCATTGTGGAAGTCAGTGTGGCGATTCCTCAGGGATCTAGAACTAGAAATACCATTTGACCCAGCCATCCCATTACTGGGTATATACCCAATGGACTATAAATCATGCTGCTATAAAGACACATGCACACGTATGTTTATTGCGGCATTATTCACAAGAGCAAAGACTTGGAACCAACCCAAATGTCCAACAATGATAGACTGGATTAAGAAAATGTGGCACATATACATCATGGAATACTATGCAGCCATAAAAAATGGATGATGTTATTTTTGAAATGGAGACATTGATTTCACAACTTAAGTGTCACATGCAGGGAACAGAGCATGAGTATTTATTTGTCCTTGTCCATACAGCCAGCAGTGCTGACAGCCCCCTCTCTTCTGGTGTAACAACGGGAGCCAACACCTAGGTGGATTCCTAGAGGGATGCAGTTGGCAATGACATTGTTCAGACACAGAATAGTGAAATGAGTGTTACAGCAACAGAAGCATTTCAGGCCATGGTGGTGTGACCTTCAAAGTTTGCCCGGAAATAGAAACTTCTCTATTATGCTTTAGTAAACACTTTATATTCTATCTTTGATTTAGCTTGCCAAACTAAGAAAATGCTTGATCTGTTTAACATTTTACATTATACTGTTGATAGAATGATAAATAGGCTAAATTTTAACAAAATAGCATATGCTCATTGTTGAGGTTATTTTACATGCATGCTCTTAGTTTTCTTAATGAGCCCCTATGCCTCATGAGAGTAAATTAACCATTATTTGTATTTCCTCTGGATGCTCAGAGACTTAAATGTGATTCATCCAGGGAAGAGCTTACTTTTTTTTTTTCAAGTATAGCATAAATGAGGTGAGGTAAAGGGTAGGTTATTGAATTGAAAATATAATTAATGTTACTGTCTCTACATCTCAGTGATAAAGCAGAGAGACATGAGCTTCAATGGATACGAATGTGTCACTATGTCAGTATTTGAGAAAATCTACCTTCTATCACACCAGGTGAATGTTTGCCTGACTAAATGTTCACAGAAACGTAACATCTGAAAAAGGAAATTTTAAAAAATCCCAAAGTAAGTTTGGCTCTGAAAGCTATAGATTTCCTAGAAAATATATGGTCACAGACTAGATCAATGGGGACAAGTTCATTAGATGTTTTCTGATAACATCTGTGGTGTTCAGAAGAGTTGAATATGCTCTGGCTTGCTGGGGATGGCAGCGAATTTGTATACCAGGGTATAAAAAGATGGCTGAGCAAGCTAGCAGGAACAGAAATGAATAATACATGCAGTTGCCAATGATACCCAAAAAGTTACAGTTATGAAAAGTGGCCTTCGCTTCTCTTAATTGTAAATGATGTTACAAAATAGTGTTGGGCGAACATGTAAAAGCTATGGGACTTGAGATGATACAATTTGTTTAAAAATCTGCTAGGCATGTGAGTCACAGTTTACTATTTGGGTGTGTCAAAATAATAGATTTTCTTTATTTCTAGATGTACATTTAATTTCTGACTCGAGGCCACTACCTTCCTAGTATGAACTCCCTAAACGAATTCACTGTGAATCTTCCATTTGTGCTTTTCTAAGTATCCTGCAATTAAACCAGAATTATTAGTCAGCATCAGCCTGGCTCACATCTCCATGTGACTCTGTCCTACTCCTCTTCTCAGTCCTGACCTAGCCCTCGAGGTTCATAGGTCTGTAGTCTGCCAAAAGAAAGGACAAGTTACCCTAGGTGGTTGTCACCCATTGGTGGTGGAAAGGGAGGGGACTGTTTCTTGTTCTCCTTTGCTGTTTGGCAGTGACATTAACTGGAACTGGCATGTTTGTACACATTTGGTTCACTGGCAACTCCCTGGCATTGCCTCTGAGGTTCCAGGCTCTTTGTAGAAGTTGCAGTTGCATCATAAACAACCTTATATTCTTATTGATGTAAAACAGAACATTTTTTTTTTTCCTCACGAATGTGCTAGGTTAGCTGGGGCCACACAGCTACAAGAGGCTTGGTAAGTTCAGGTCTACTACAGGGCGGGCAAAAGGCCCAGAAGCTAAGTGGAGTTTGCTCTTCTCATGGTGGTTGGCAGAAATCCAGGAGGAGAATAAGAAATGAATTGTGCCCCATAAATTCTTCTTACTGCCTAATCTCACTTTTTCCCATATGTCAATCTCCAAAACAATCACATGTACAAGACCAACTTAAATGGTTTGGGGAATTATACATTATCACCTGGTGAAAGATGGCAAAGGTAGGGGTGAAGAAGTAGACACACAATACAAGGTAAAGGTTATATTTAACCAATCTCTGTCTGCCAAGTCCACTTTCAAATTCAAAACTAATGGAAACAAGACTCAAAAAGATGGAAGATCAGAATATAGTATCCCAGTACTTTGGGAGGCCAAGGCAGGTGGATCACCTGAGGTCAGGAGTTCGAGAACAGCCTGGCCAACATGATGAAACCCTGTCTCTACTAAAAATAATAATAATAAAAAATAGCCTCATGTGGTGGCAGGCACCTGTAATCTCAGCTACTCAGGGGGCTGAGGCAGGAGAGTCACTTGAACCTGAGAGTCGGAGGTTGCAGTGAGCTGAGGTCATGCCATTGCACTCCAGCCTGGGCAACAGGAGCGAGACTCCATCTCTCTCTCTCTCTCTCTCTCTCTCTCTATATATATATATATATATACACACACACACACACACACACATATCTTATCTCTCTATGTGTATATATATATATCTGACTGAATTTTTATATATATATCTTATATCTCTCTCTCTCTATATATATATATATCTATGTTTGTATAGATATATCTTTTCTTACAGGTAAGACTGATTGGGAAAATAAACATGATTCTGTAGGCAAAACTGGAATTTCAAATACCCAACTCCTTGACTGTTACTTACCCACTGTATTATTCAGGGTTCTTCAGAGAGACAGAACTAATAGATATCCAGATGATTGATTGATAGATAGATATATAGATAGATGGATAGATAATAGATGATAGATAGATAGATATAGATAGATAGATAGATATAGATGATAGATAGATAGATAGATAGATAGATAGATAATAGATGATAGATAGATATAAGAGAGGAAATTTGCTCCGTGAATTGGCTCATGTGACTAGGGAAGCTGAGAAGTCCCACGATGGCCTATCTGTAAGCTGGAGAACCAGGAAAGCCAATAGTACAGCTCAGACCAAGTCCAAAGACCTCAGAACCAGGGATGCCTAAGGTTCAACTTTTAGCATGAGGCTGAAGGCCTGAGAACTTGGTGCAGGGAAAGGTGCTGGTGTAAGGCCCCAAGTCCAAAGATTAGAAAACCTGGAATTTGGATGTTCAAGAGCAGCAGAATGTTGTTCTCAGCTGAATGATGCTCTTCAGCTACAGAAGAGAGAGACAAAGTAAATTCACCATCTGTCTGCCTTTTTGTTTTATCTGGGCCCTCAGCCAATTGGATGGTGCCTGCTTACATTGAGGGTGGATCTTCCTTACTCAGTCAACCAATTCAAACCAGTCGCTTCTTGAAACATCCTCACAGACATAGCCAGAAATAATGTTTTATTAAATATTTGGGTATCCTTTAATTTAGTAAAGTTGATAACTAAAATTAACAATCACACCTATCCAGAAATTCAGTCAGCAATTGTAACCTTTCTGTAATGAGGAAGAAAATACCAGACAGGCATCTCTAAAACAAAAGGAACCCTGAATAGAATGACCCATGCTCACAGACAATCTCTAACTCCCAATCTCACCACAAGACACTATTAGGATGCACTTTGCCCTTGGGAAAGAGAAGCGAGAGGTAGGAAGAAGTTATATGTATTCTTAGCAGAATTTTCTTCCCTGAGGAATATAGACATTTTCATCCCACTTTAGAATTATGGAAGAAAGATACTATGGTGTTCTAACAAACCACTCTTCTGATTCCTGTTGCAGCTTCCACGCTGCTTCTCTGGTTGCAAGCATTTTCGTCCTGCCTTGGAGAGCCTCTCAATTCCACCTCAGCTTAATTTGTGTTTTTCCTGGGTCCCTCTCCTCTCTCAATTGGCCAACATAATTAAAGTGAAGATTCTCCACTACCAGTGAACCATGTGAGAAGGGAAGGAGGATTGTATACAACCATATATTTTCTGGTGTGGAACACCAGGCCATTAATCCAAACAATTCCCAAAATGACCATGAGTGGTGGTGAGGCAACGACTTAAATTTTTTTTTTTTTTTTTTTTTTTTTTTGAGAGGGAGTCTCACTCTGTCACCCAGGCTGGAGTGCAGTGGCATGATCTCGGCTCACTGCAACCTCCGCCTCCCGGGTTCAAGTAGTTCTCCTGCCTCAGCCTCCCGAGTAGCTGGGACTACAGGCATGCACCACCATGCCCAGTTAGTTTTTGTATTTTTAGTGGACACAGGGTTTCACTATGCTGGCCAGGCTGGTCTCGAACTCCTGACCTCGTGATCCACCCTCCTCAGCCTCCCAAAGTGCTGGGATTACAGGCATGAACCACCGCGACCAGCCAGCATCAACTTACTTTGAATCTGACATCCCTCAGACAACAGAGCAGGCTTTTCCAAGAGTCTCATTTGTTTGCCTCCCTCTACTCCTGCAGGTTTTATTCCAGGGTTGTGGAATAAAACTTGATTCCTATTTCTTTTCTTTCTCAATTCGGTCATCTCCCCCATGCTACTCTTATCTCCTCTTATGTGTTTGTACCACTAGGCAACTCTGTATCGCTCATACCCAGATTGGTATGTCTTCAATTTAGGATTTAATATCTGAAAGTTTCACATTTAGAGCAATATTTATAGTTTCTTTGTTGTGGCCAAAAGTGAAAAAGTAGAAATACAGTACAGAGAAGTAGATAAAAAATAATTTCCCAATAATAAAGCACTTACAATCCTACTACACAGAAACCATATATACTTCACTCATTCATATATTTTTTCATTTGTCACATGTTCCAAGACCTTCTTCTGTATTTAAAGTTCTCTTGTAAACATTGAATATTGCACTGTGATCACTATAGGAATGTATGTCATCCTCATATACTTATAATTTATTGAGATACTGATTTCTATAGATTTTCCTTTGTTTTCAATTAAACATGTTTTCAAATGAAGAGTATCAGACTTTTCCTGACTTTTGGCTATTTTAAACTAGTAAATTTAAGCTAAATTTCTTTTAAGATTACATAAGATCTTTAAAACAACAACAAAACACAAGATATACAAGTCTCATTGTTGTGCTCTTTTTTGGTCCAGTGAGCATTCAACATATATAAAATAGTGTAGAATACTAATATGTTAATGTATTTTGTTCCTGGCAAATTTACCAAATAATTCTATGTAGTTCTGAATCATTGTTGTTTCATTTTATAATTTTTTGAAAATTCAGCTTTCATTTGTCTTCCACAGCTGCGTCACATCCTAAGCATATCTCATATCCAGAATTTTTTTTGCTAATTCATTAGATTTTACTTTTCACCAAAGAAAAATAATGGGGTTACTTTAGGATATAAACCCACTGATTTTGGTATCAATTAATAATATATGAAATCTAATTTTGAAAGTATTTTCTCTGCTTTTTTCTTGATTTAAAATTACATTGTTTAAGGGCATCAAAAATTATATTCAACAAATATTTGTCATCAAGCTACATGTTTACTACATTTTGAATTATTTTCAATAGGCATTTTCAGCCTAGGCTTTTCTTTATTCAACTTATCCCTCATTACCCATCTCTCCAAGCTGTAGACATTGACATCCTGCCTGGCACTTGACAATTTCCAAATCTGGGAGTTGGACTTTGTTTCCTGCTTCCTCAACAACTGGCTAGGATTAAGCCCACCCAGTTGATAAAACATTCACCAGGAAGACAACAAACATACTGCATGGCTTGTCAAACCACTTTGGAATTTATCATATTATTTTTTAAAACTTTAAATTTTTTATTTTATGTATTTATTGATTTTTGAGATGGAGTCTCCCGCTGTTGCCCAGGCTGGAGTGCAGTGGCATGATCTCGGCTCACTGCAACCTCTGCCTCCTGGGTTCAAGCAATTCTCCTGCCTCAGCCTCCTGAGTAGCTGCGACTACAGGCACGCACTGCCACGCCCGACTAATTTTTTTTGGTATTTTTACTAGAGATGAGGTTTCACTGCACTCCAGCCTGGGTGACAGAGTGAGACTCTGTCTCAAATAAATAAATAAATAATAAATACTGATGTCCTTACATCAGCCAAGGGTAGCAATATTGGTAACTTTTAATTAAAACAGAAAACCATTTTTATTTTCAGGCAAAGCATGAGCCCAGTAGTAGAGCTACTAAACCTAATCAGCAACATCTCTCATGTCCTTTCACAAAACACGCTTTAAAAATCTTGACCCACAACATTTTATTCCCCTGCAGAAACTATGCATTTGTAACTGATATGGCTTGGATGTTTTGTCCCCCCACTCCAAATCTTTTGTTGAAATGTGACCTCCAATGCTGAAGGTGGAGCCTGGTAGGAGGTGTTTGCGTCATGGAGATGGATCCCTCATGGATGGCTTGGTGCTGTCCTCACAGCAGTGAGTGAGTTCTCACTCTGTGAGTTCATTTGAGACATGGTTGTTTAATAGAAACTGGTAGCTCCACCTTTTTCCTCTTGCCCACTCTCTTGCCATGTGATACACCTGCTTCCCCTTTGCCTTCCATCATGATCATAACCTCACCAGAAGCAGATGCTGGCACTATGCTTAATGTACAGCCTGCAGAATCACGAGCCAATTAAAACTCTTTTCTTTATGAATTAATTACCCAGTCTCAGGTATTCCATTAGAACAATGCAAATAAACTAACACAGAAAATTGGTACTGAAGAGTGGGACGTTGCTATAAAGATTCCTGAAATTGCGGAAACAGCTTTAAAACTGGGTGACATGCGGAGGTTGGAATATCGGAGGGCTCAGAGGAAAACGGGAAGATGAGAGAAAGTTTAGAACTTCTCAGAGACTGAATAGTAGTGACCAAAACGTTGATAGAAATATGGACAGTAAAGGTCAGGCTCAAAAGTTTTCAGATGAAAATGAAGAAGTCATTGGGAACTGGAGTAAAGAACACCCATGTTATGCCCAAGCAAAGAACTTGGCTGCATTGTGTCCATGGCTTAGGGGTTTGTAGAAAGGTAAACTTAACAGTGATGACCTAGGGTAAATGGTGGAAAAATCTGTAAACAGCACATCATTGCTGTAGCAATGATGTGCTGTAGCTGCTTCGAACAGCCTATGATCAAATACAGGAGCAAGGAAATGCCTTAAAGTTGGAACTTGTAATTAAAAGGGAAGCAGAGCATTAAAAGTTTGGGAAATTTGCAGCCTGGTTTGGCCATATGGTAGAAAGGGAGAAAACATTTTTAGGAGAGGAATACAAGAAGGGCGTGGAGAAACCACTTGCTAGAGAGGTTTGTGTGACTAAATGGGAGTCAACTGCTAATAGTCAAGACAATGGGAAAAAGGCCTCAAAGGCATTTCAGACATCTCTGGGTCAGCCCCCTCCCATTACAGGCCCTAAGGCCTAGCAGAACAGAATGGCTTCCTGGGCCAGGGCCAGGGACTTGCTAACCTTCACAACTTTGGAACACGGCTCTCTGTATCCCTGCTGCTTCAGCTCCCGCCTGACTCAAAGGACTGAGCCAATGCCCCAGAGGGTGCAAACCATAAGCCGTGGTGGCTTCCATGTGGTGTTAAGTCTGCCGGCACAACAGAATGCAAGAATGAAGGAAGCTTGGAAGCTTCCACCTAGATTTCAGAGGATGTATTGGAAAGCTTGGATGCCAAGATAGAAACCTGCCACAGAGGCAATGCCCCTGTAGAAAGGCTGTACTAGGGAAATTCCAAGGATAAAGGTGGAATTGGAGCCCATACAGTCCCCACCAAGGCACTGCCTAGTGGAACAATGGGATGGGGGCTGCTGTCCCATAGACCTAAGAATAATAGAGCCACTGGAAACTTCCATATGTGCCTAGAGAAGCCACAGGCACTGGACTCCAACCTGCGAGAGCAGCTACAGGTGCTGCACCTTGCAAAGCCACAGGGGCAAAAATGCCTAACATCTTGGGAGTCCACCCCTTGCAACAATGTGCCCAGGATGTGGGACACAGAGTTAAGGAAATAATTTTGGAGCTTTAAAGATTTAATGACGGCTCTGCTGGGTTTCAGAAATGTGTGGGGCCTGTTGTCCTTTTCTTTTGGCTGACTTCTCCCTTTTGGCGTGACAATGCTTACTCAATTCCTGCACCGCCATTGCATCTCGAAGTAAATAATTAATTTCTTTTTTTATTTTTTATTTTACAAGCTCATAGGTGAAAGAAACTTGCCTTGAGTCCCCAATGAGACTTTGAATTTTGGACTTTTGAGTGATGCTGGAATGAGCTGAGGCTTTTAAAGACTATTGGGAAGGGATGATTGTATTTTGCAATGTGAGATGAACATAAGATTTGGGGTCCCAGAGATGGAATAATATGGCTAGTATATTTTGTCCTCTCTAAATCTCATGTTGAAATGTAATCTCCAAAGTTAGTGGTGGGGCCTGTGGAAGGTGTTTGGGTCATGGGGACAAATCCCTCGTGAATGGCTTGGTGCCATCCTTGAAGTAATATGTAAGCTCTCAATTTGAGTTCAAGTGAGATCTGGTTGTATAAAAGAGCCTGGCACCTTCTTCTCCTCTCTCTTCCTCTCTCTCATCATGTGATATATCTGCTCCCCATTTGCCTTCCATCAATTGTAAGCTTCCTGAGGCCCTCACCAGAAGCAGATATTGGCACTATGTTTCATGTACAGACTGCAGAATCATGAGCCAAATAAACCTCTTTTCTTTATCAATTACCCAGTCTCAGGTATTCCTTTACAGTGATGAAAACAGACTAATCTAGTTACTGAAAACCTCTATGAATGAAGACTTTGCCCACATTTTCACTATGTATCCCAGATTTTCTAGAAGGTATTTCCGAATATAATTGCAAAAGCAAACATATAGTAGTGGTTCTGATTGCAGAAATTTTAGAGTAGCTTGTATCAGACTATCCATTAGAAAGAGAATAAATAAACTAAATTCCAGCACTGACAGCAGAGTAAAAACCTGTCTCCAATACATAAATAAGTCGATAAATAAATAAGTAACAAATAAGCTTTGAACAAATAGAGTTAAAAAAAGTTTGAAGACATTGGAGACTAGACACAAATGAGCAAATCCTGGATGGAGTTTGGCCCTTGAAAAGGAGAATGGCAAGGATGAGATCTCATTTGTACATCTTTTCCCTCTTAGGGGGAAAAAAAGACAAAAATAAAAGTATTGGAAACAGTAAATGAGAGAATACACAAAATTTACAAAGGAACAAATACATAAATAATTGCTAATGTCACATTAAAAAAATGAAAATAAGAAGAAAAGGAATCTTATCTTTAAATTCCTTAAAATAAAAACAAAAATTTTAAATCAGCATGCTGCATCAAGTCAAAAATAACTTATTTGGTTAAATAAATATATATTTTAGGTAAACGAAAGCTGAGAAGATATATTTCTCAAGTTCTGTACTATAAGAAATGCTAAAATAAATACTTCAGAATAAAGTGAAATGACTATAGACAGTGACAGAGATTCACAGGAAGAAATAAAGACCACTAAAAATAAGAGCTTTCTTTTAATTTCTTTAAAAGAAAATTGACAATTTAATGCAAAAAATATAAGGTTGAATTATAAAATTTATAAGTAGATTTAAAATGTATGGCACCAATAATGTTACTGAATTCATATGGGTCTGCAGCAACCTTAGTTTTTTCCTCTTCAGGAAAAACAAATTGACCAAAGAGGCAGAAGGAGAAACCAGAGCAAATTTTAGAGCAAGAGTGAAAGTTTATCAGAAGTCTTTGGAACAGGAATGGAAGGAAGTAAAGTACACTTGGAAGAGGAACAAGTGGGTGACATGAGAGATAAAGTGCACGGTTTGACCTTTGGACTTGGGATTTTATACATTAGCATACTTCCAGGATCTCGCATCCCTTCTCTCCTGATTCTTCCCTTGGGGTGGGCTGTCACATGTGCAGTGAACTGCCAGCACTTGGGAGGGGAGCATGCACAGTGTGTTTACTGGACCTGTACACATGCTCAATTGAGGTGTTCTCCCCTTACCAGCCAAATGTCCCTTGGTGGTAATATACCAGTTAAACTCTTCCATTTTACCTCTTAGTGCACATGCCCAAGCCCACTCACTCAACTCCTGAGATCTTATTAGAAAGCTGCTTATCACCAGTTTCAGGTGTTTCTGTTTCTTGGGAGACTGCCTTTCCCTGGCACTGGCTGTGACCATTTGTTATTTAGAGAGATGGTTTACTAACCACCTGACCATCACCTGATGGATGCCTGACATTCCTAGAGTGGGAGTGCTCTCCTACCCTTCTTGTGTGTGACTAGCTACCTACTGTAACAACTTCCCTTTCAAGAGTCCAAGACCTCAATTCTTTGGAGAAAAATGGATGAAGGTCAGTCTTCTGTAACTGCTTCCTTCTCACAGAGGGGCAATGGTGGTTCTGTGGGTCTTGGCCTTTGGCTAGTTGCCAGGGAAGGGTTTGCTTTGTGAGCTGGTGAAAGCAGTATCCAGCCAGGTCCAAAGGAGACACAGGCAGGATTTTACTTCTGTCATGTCTCACTGATGGGCAGTCTAGGGGTCTCCTGCAGGAGGGTGACTCTTAAATATTGAGAGGATGGTATCCCTCAATAATGATCATCTAGAGCTTGATGGCCTGAAGGCAAGAGAAGACAAATCAGGTTATTAGATTTAGCAGAATGTTAAAATGAAGTAAGGGGGTGATGACAGCTGACACACCCAGGTAGCTGGTGGCTATAGTCATAACTGCTAAGAATTGGGCGTGTGGGGGTGCTAGCCAATTCCAATATGTGCCAAGAATTGCAATACTGAAGCAGATTTTTTCATTACCCATCCCTTTTGTTTCTTCTGAGCTGCAGCCAGAGATCACTACTAGTTGGTTCACTGGAGTAAGTAGGGTGAGTCTAAATTGCAGACAAAAACTCAAAAACAACTGATGAGGCTAGAACTTAATCACAGGTGTACCATAGTTCTTCAAACATAATTTTTCTCTCTCCAGATCTTATTTTTATGAAAAATAAATCCTGATAGGACTGATGTGCTTGCAAAATAAGTTCTAGTCTTATTACACTTGGCCAGATTATTTGCATGAATCACAGCAAGAATAATCATTTTCCAGAAAGTGACATTTTTTACTTATGTCAGGAACCCTGTACAGGGACTGTGTAGACAAGGTGTGAGGCCAGTTTTCCCAAGGGGTTTTATTGTCTCTATAAGTCAAATTTGGTTCCTTAAAGAAATGCACATTATTTCAGTCAAAGCCTTGATAAAATAACCAGTGTCTCTAATTGTGTCCTGTTGCAAAAGAAAATAGATTCATATTGCATTTATGCAAATAACTGTATTGCCATGAGTTAAGAATATTCACAAATAGTTTTCAAATTCAGGAGAAATCAGGTAGGAAGAAAAAACATTATGCTTCAAATTATGTTGATAGTAGTATAATTTATTTACTCAATTCTTTAAAAGCTGTAAATAATGCAAAAGAAAATTTTCTTGTCTTTTAAAAACGAAGGATTAACAACATTTTAAGCAAAAACTCATAAAAGAATTATTTTAGTCTTCTACTAGTTTAGTCCATGTTCTGCTTGATATTCATGAACATTTTAGCTCTCCATATCTCTAATGACACAATCTTTGAAGTGATCAAAAACCTGTGTTTTAGAACACCTGTTAGAGTATTACAGCTGTTTATAAAACCTCCTTCTAAAAATAATCAAAACAAGACAACTAATGTTCGTGGATGACAAAACATCTTAGGGCAGGCACAGTCAAAGATACAATTGACAAGGAAATTTGTTAACTTGGTGGTACACAATAATTTAACATAATAATTATAATTATTCCTGATAGCATATATTAACTTATATCAGAGTCATAGGAATTTTGCATAATTTTGGAACACACATACCAATAACACATTTATAAAAATATAGGCCAATGAAATCCAAATGTTACCTTTGCATTAGTGTGCTATTGATGTCAAACCCAACTCAATAAAACCTTAATAGGCAAATCTGTTCAATTTTAATCAGCCTGATCATAAGGTAAGATTCTCATGAACATTTTATAAGCCTTTACAATTTTCTGTTAAAGAGCAGAACAATACTCTAAGAAAATTGTGTTGTGTTTTTATTCCAATGTTTAATTTACAGATAAGCTGAATAATACCCTTTTAATTTTAGCTAATATGTTCACTCACACAATTTCTTTTACATGATTAATTTTTCACAAACATTCCACAACTTACTTAAACTTTTAACTTTATCTAATCTAACTTTAAACAACACCTTAACCCTCTAAAATAAGCAATAGAAATAGAGCTATTATAGAGAAAGATGAATTCAGAAGTTGGGTAAATATTAAGCAGGTACCTGTCTTGGTAAATACATTTTTGCCCCAAAGAGGTGTGAATATTTTCTTTGGAGGCAGGAGGTGCCATGTGCCTCATTACCTGACATGATTTGGAGGAGAGTTGCTAGAGAAGATTAGCACAGAGTAGTCAGCTCTTGAACCCAAAAGGGAAAATTATAATTTTACTTGCTGCCTCCATAGTTGTCCTTGTTCTCTTGATGACAATGTCTGAACTGGGAGCTGGCTGAAGCAGAGAGCCCTTTCAGTTCAAGGTCACCAGGGTTGGGATTCTGTCCTGGGGCCCTTAAGCCCTCAGAGAAGTTCCATTTCAGTGGTTGAGCTTGTGGCACAGAGGACAAGCCATGTGGGTCTTTTTCCTATTTATCTCACTGACAGTTTACCTTCCAGTGGCCTGGCTTCCAGCACCAATGGCAATTACCTGGAGGAATGTCCTTAGGACAACCTGGAGGGAGATTGAGAGCTTGTAAGGTAGCCAATACTTGATCTTGCCTTTTGTCCCTGCATTTTTCCTTTTTCTTAACCCTGTTCTCCTTATTCTACTCTTGGTTATACAAGACTGAGAAAGCTAATCTGAGGACCTCCTGCACAGGGTCACTGGGTTCTATGACTGACTTTTGTAATTTCCTCCCAGTTAATACTTAGGCCAAACAAGATTACAAAGTAAAACTATTTTTTTGTTTTAAGGTTTGGGGAAATCAAACTTTTCCCCCCTTTGGGGGATGCATCTGTGGGGCATGTCCTATAGTATGAAGACATAATTACCCATCTGTGAAGAGAGAACAGAAAAGAGAAAAAGAAAAAAGGAATAACAAGGTCTTCCCTCTACTTTCCTATTATCCTGAATGGGGCATCCCCCAATGTCCTTAGGCATGAACTGGTATAACTGTGTACCTTTGGTCCCATCTCATCACAACTACTCACTTAAGAATATGTACCCCTAACCTTCCCTTTATCTCTGTTCTAATGGTAATCTGTTAGCCTGGGACCACCTTTCCTCTCTGTCCTATGGGTCTCTTGTACCTGTGGCCTTGGGCCAGCCTATATCCTTATTTCCATGACCTTATAGTGACACTTTCTTGGAATATTCCAGCAAAAAAAAAAGATACTCTCTTTTCTCAGCTTTCCATTTCCCATGTTCTTTAAGTAGAAGAGAAGCCTGTTTTTCAGCTAACTGCCCAAAGGGGAGTTATGGACTTTCCTCCATTCTCCCTTCAAATATGACCTTGAGGGTCTTGATGCATGTTGTGAAGAATGCAGAAGTAATTAGAGAAATGGAGGATACAGAAGGAAGTGGTAGGAAGCAAGAGGAATAATCATGGAAAGCCTTAATACGCTTGTAAATATAGCAGCCCTTGAATTCAAGAGAGCAATGTTTATTTTCCCTCTTGATATAAATTAAGAACCTTTGGAAGACTTAGCGCTTGGGGGAAGAACTCACAATTGGCAAAAGAAGAATTCTCCCTCCTTCCAAATGGGTGCTAACTCAAAAAAAGTAAGTAGGTGGGATCCTTAAAGGATCAGAGTGAGGCCCTATGCAGTTAGACAAACTGCTTCAAAAGCCACTGAAAACTCGACTCTGAGGTATAACAGGAACAAAAAGTATATGGTAAGTCATAAGGAGCTGGCAGAGCTGGGGTTCCAAGTAGTGTCTGTCCTGGAAATGTGTCAGCAGACAAGGGAAGGGTTTGTGGTCATCTGAGCTAGTAGGGTAAACACAAGTATAAATCTCAGGGTATTTCTGCAAGGCAGCCTGTGTCTTTGCTGCCAGACAAATGCAGCAAGAGCCATGGGTGCACAAATAACAGGGTGTGTTTAAAAATTCATGTGGCATGTGAAGTGAAAGCAAAGAGGCAGACTTGCCTCCAAAGCAGATAGTCCTGTGGGTGTGCAAGGCCATTTCAGAATACATGCAGAGAAAACAGGAGAATATGCTGTTTGCGTTTTTGGAAAGAGCTGATTTTAGTTGAAAAGGTAGAGGAAACCCTAGACATTGCACGGTTTTAGGCTTTAGCCCTACCTTTCTCACAAGCCTCCTGTCCAGGAGGGCCATTAGCATCTCAGATCTACTCAGTGTAAACCCCAAGGTTATTCCCACCTCTGCAAGCTGCCAGTCAGGGTCAGCTGAGAGATCAGCCTGGTGGGTGTGTGTGAGCAGAGTCACTTATGGCCAAGAGGAATTGTTCTGGGGGTTTGTTAGTAAGCAGGAGAAAGAAGGGGAGAAGAAAACTGTGTATGGGTGTTGAACACCTCCCACCGAAGCAAGTGAGGAATAAAGATCTCTTACCATTGAAGACCATGTCGAAGTCATGGAAACAAAATATGTTAATGGCCAAACGTATTAGAGACCCATGGCACCAAAGTATGTTAGCAGTGGAAGGTATCTGAGTCACATGGCACAAAAATATGTTCCCAGCAAAACATATCTGTGTCACGGCACCAAAGTATGTCACCAGCAGTAAATCCTTATGGGTCTACAGCAACCTCAATTCTTGCCTCTTCAGAAGAAATAATTCAAACAAGGAGGTATAAGGCAGAAGGAGAGATACAGACAAGTTTTAGAGCAGGAGTGAAAGTTTATTAGAAAGCTTTAGAACAGGAATGAAAGAAAGTAAAGTACACTTGGAAGAGGGCCAAGTGGGCGACTGGCGGGATCAAGTGTGTGGTTTGTCCTTTTGACTTGGAGTTTGATATGTTGACATGCTTCCTGGTTCTTGAGTCTCTTCTCCCTGATTCTTCCCTAGGGGTGGGCTGCCCGCATGTGCAGGGGCCTGCCAGCACTTGGGAGGTGAGCAGGCACAGCATGTTTATTGTATATGCATGCATGCTCACTTGAGGTGTCCTTCCCTAACCAGCCAAATATCCCTAGAAGGACATATACCAGTTAAACTCCACAATTTTGCCTCTTAGTGTGCATATTTGAGCCCAGTCACCCAGCTCCTGAGATCTTATTGGGAAGCTGCTGATCACCAGTCTCAGGTGTTTCTGCTTATTGGAAGACTGCCTTTCCCCGGCACTGGCTATAACCAATTATTATTTTAGAGAAACAGTATAACAGCTCCCTGACCTTCACTTGATGGTCCCCTGACATTCCTGTTTGGGACAGGGGGAAGGGGCTCTCCTACCCTGCTCATATCTAACTACCCACTTGTAAGAGCAATACAAAGAATAGATATATGGTCTTATATATACATCTTACGTACAATATCATTTCAAGCTTCTCACACTTCAAATTAAATGCTGCCATATTAACTCTAAGTAGCTTACAGTAAGTGAAAGATGCCTACTGTAATCCCTATAGTAAGCACTACAATTCACAAAATGGCATAGCCAAAAAGTCAATGGTAGAAGTAAAATGTAACACTGAAAGATTAACATAACCCAGAAGAAGGCAGAAAAGGAAGAACAGCAAAACAAAATCGGAAGAAATGAAAACACAATTACAGAAAATTAGCTAATGGAGATTAGAAAAATTACAAATGTAACCCAACTATACTAATTATTACATTAGCTGTTGTTATATTGTCAGATTTAATAAAATAATCAAGATCCAAACATCCTCTTTAAAAGATATGTATATTTAACATAAAGAAACAGGTAGACTAAAACAAGCAAGACCAAAAGACCTCTTTTGTTTTTTTAACTTTGTTTTAGGTTCAGGATATTTGCAGCAAATATCCTCTTTAAAGATATGTATATTTAATATAGGGCACAAATAGACTAAAACATAAAACATGGAAAAAGATATACTATCTAAAATGTAAAAATGTAAATTGTATGAATACTGTAATATCAAAGTATGCTCCAGTACAATAAACATTACCTGAAATAAAGCGCAGCATTTCATTAAGACATAACAATCATACATGTTTGCATACTTAATTAACAGAGCTTCAAAATACAGCCATGTACTGCATAAAGTTGTTTCTGTTTTGCATACATAACGGTGGTCCCATAGCATTATAATGGAGCTCAAAAATTTATAGCCGTTGTAATGCAGTGTGATGCATTACTCACGTGCCTGTAGTGGTGCTGATGTAAATATACCTACTTTATGATGTCAAAATGTTGTAGTAACTAAGTTGAATTTATGATTGAAGAAAAATATTTTTGATAAGTTTAGTGTAGCTGAAGTGTACAATGTGTATCTAGTCTACAGTAGAGTGCAGTGATGTGTTCGGCCTTCACATTCACTCACTAGTGCTTCATTGACTCACCCAGAGCAACTTCCAATCGTGCAAGCTCCGTTCAAGGTAAGTGCCCTATACAAGTGTACCAGTTTTTATCTTTTATACTTTATTTTTACCATACCTTTTCTCTGTTTACTTATGTTTAGATGTGCAAATATTTAACATTGTGTTATAATTGCCTACAGTATTCAGCACAGAAGCCTGCTGAGGTTTGTAACCAAGGAACAGAAGTCATACCATCTAGGCTAAGTGTGTAGTAGGCTATAGACTTGTGTAAGTGCATTCTATGATGTTCACACAATGACAAAATCACCTAACAACGCATTGCTCATACTGTATTTCTGTGGTTAAACGATGCATGACAGTATGTAAAACGAAAACAAAAAAAGTAAAGGAAAAAATGGACAATTACAGGTTTTAATATTGAATTATCACTGACTGATAGATTAGTTAGACACAAGACCAGGAAAGATACATAGGATCTAAAACACACTATCAATGACCTTTTTCTAATTGACGTTTGTAGAACACTGAAGAATATGTCACAGTTACGAAACTTCAGAAAATGCATTATTTTCAGTTGCATATTAAACGTTCACCAAGACAGAATATATGCTGGCCCAAAATAAATCTCAAGAAATGTCAAAAATTGAAGTCATATAAGAATATTTATTCACAGCCATAAAATTAAATTTGATACTATAACATTAAACTAGACAGAATTGTTCAAATGTTTGGAAAAATAATTAATCAAGAAAGAAATCACAAGAAAACAATTTAGAATCTCATTATAATGATAACAACACGTATCAACATTTGTGAAATGCAGGTAACATTGTGCTTAAAGGGCAATTCATAGCCGTAAATATTTTAAGAAAATAAGAAAGGTTAACATCAGTGATATAATTTTCCATCTTAAGCAACTAGAAAAAGATAAGCAATTTATATACAGAGTAAATAGAAGGAAAGAAATTATAAAGATATGAGAAATTAAGTAGAGAATAGATAAAAATGTTTAGATTAATAAATTGATAAACCCCTAGCAAGACTGATTAAGAAAAAAAACTTATTTATTATCAGAAATAATAAAAGGTATTACAATATGCAAATATTCATGAAAAACTCTATTCCAACAAACTTAAAGATTTTGATATGGACAAATTTTTGGAAAAATACAACATAGTAAAACTGACATAAAAAATAGAATGTCTGAATAGCTCTATACCTATTAACTAAACTGAAATTGTTATTAAAAAGCCTTTCTCCAAAGAAAAATACAAGACAATACATTGGTGAAGTATATAAAATATATGAGTATTAAATAATACTAGTACTAAGCAAAATCTAAAACATTATCTGGTTGTTCTTATCATAAAAAGCAGGAAAAAGAAGAAGAAGAGGTGAAGGAAGAGGAAAAGGAGGTGGAGGAGTAGAAGGAGTTAATGATGCAGAAAAAGAAAATTCAATTTTTAAAAACTCAATCCAATTTACATTTTTACTCCCCTAAATTATGATTCTATTTCTATCCTTTCATTCAACATGAAACTCATTTTCTACCGTGGCCCTTGCAATTTGTGTTAAATCCTGAACAAACTAATGAAACTAATTTCTTGAGAGCACACAGATTTACCTTCTTTCTCTTCTATTTGCACAAGTTCTTTTCTCTTCCAGGACTTTTATTTCTTATCTGAATGGTTTCTGCTTAGCTACAAATTTCCAAGATTATAGTGTTTCCATGAAATTTTAAGTGAAGAGGATACTAGGATAAAGCTCAAAAGAGATGGTAGGCTTAGAAAGGCTTTGCAATTGATATTAAAAGAACAATTGAGTAGTAATTGTCCCCATGCTTGGGTGAAGTTTTTGGCTTTTTATCTTTACCAAATTATTGCCTCCCTCTGCCACAATAAGTAAGGAACATTTAATTTAAAAAGCAAAATTTAAATAGTAGTACTACAATAAACTCATCAATATTAACTAATTGTTTTGAACATTTACTTAACTGAACAAGATCTTTACTATAGATTGTAATAGCTATGTTTAAGAAAAGTATCTCCTAACATTAATCAAAAGATTAAAATGACTTGTTATATTTGTTACAATATAATTCTCAACTCTGGAATTTTCTATCAATAGAAAGTTCATTCTGCAAAATTATTTGTATTTTATTTATTATTTATTTATTATTATTATTATTATTTGAGACTGAGTCTCACTCTCTCACCCAGACTGGAGTGCAGTGGTGCCATCTTGTCTCACTGCAATCTCCGCCTCCCGAATTCAAGCAATTCTCAAGCCTTAGCTTCCCTGGTAGCTGGGATTACAGGCACCCGCCACCATGCACGGTTAATTTTTGTATTTTTAGTAGAGAGGGGGTTTCACCAATGTGGCCAGGCTGGTCTCGAACTCCTGACCTCAAGTGATCCACCAGTCTCGGCCTCCCAAAGTGCTGGGATTACAGGTATGAGCCACTGTGCCCGGCCTGCAAAACTATTTTTAATGTCATTGTAGAAGTAGCACCTTATTCATGCTAAGGAATATAGCTATACAGACATGACATGTAACTTCCAAGCTTGATTCGTGAGATTTCAAAGAAATTTAGAAAAAGTCTTCTATCTACCATATGTGCATATTCTGAGCTTCAGTGTTTTTTTTCAGTAGTATGTTTGCCAAAGGGGTCCATTATTTTCTCCCTCAGACAATGAAATATTTAGACTTATGGCTCAGTTTTGCAAGTGAAATGCTCAAGGGAACATGGACTGGGAGAGAACAAATGAAATAATTTAATATTTACAGCACATTATTTTTGCAATAATTATTTTGGAGTCACCGATTCAATATTATCCTTTTTTATCTTGTTATTTATGCATGTAATTTTATTTTATTTATTTTTTTTTTTGAGACAGAGTCTGGTTCTGTCACCCAGGCAGAAGTGCAGTGGCACAATCTCAGCTCTATGTATGTGATTTATAATAATATATCATGATTAAAAACATGTTTCAAACGTTTATTTTACAAAAGCTAGTTTTATATGCTTCCTTTGAAGTTAACATAATTGCCTTATCGCCAGTTAAGTCAATATCCTCAGATTTAATAAAAAGTTGTCAGAACATGTCCTTAAGATTTTAGTAGTTACAAAAAGTGGTATGCATGTAATAATATTATAAATTTTCCTTTGGCACAATTTCTATTTTTTAATATGCTGTAATAAATAACATATTTGTGTTATTTTCCATAAAACCAGGATAAAACACAATCAAATTATGAGTATGAACTGAGAATCAATGAACTTCAGGAGATATTAATAGCCACATGTGCTGATTTTAGCTAATTCTATGGACTGTTACTATATACAATAAGATGTACTACATTTCTGAAAGACTATGCTATAGCTACAACTTGAATTCTCCCAGTGAAAGATATTTCATGAAATCATGAAGAATTCTTTACACTGTTACTTTGTAAGCTCTAATTTTAGAAGGATCCTCTTATAAAGAACCAATTTCTACCTTCCTTTTCATTTTAACTGATGGCTGGCAGTGCTATTGTCAGCAATTATGCAGCCCTTTAGTATTAGCTTCTTCATTCTAAGTGACAGCTCAAACAACATTAAAAACCATCATCTCTTTCCATAACTGCCTTGAGCTCACCAACACTTTCACACATTTATCACAGCCACCTGTTCATGAAACACAACATTTAGTTTTTTTCCTTCAGTGTATAGTGTGTTTGTAGTTCTTTTAGCTAATCTGAATATGCTATTTCCCTTGCCCTGATTTTATGCCATCATGATTATCTCATAAAAGACTTTTTCTGTGCCAGTTGTATCATGGTCCTACAATCAATTAACAGAATGTCAAAAAAGTAACTTCATTTCTTTGTATTCCTAAATAGTCTCCTGATATAAAACAGGAAATTAAATGACCAAGTTATATTTCTTTTTCTGCTAAAATATATAAAGCAAAGCAGGGAGACAATGACTTGACTGAACTGTCTCAAACTTTGTGCTCTTTTTATGTACACAAATACAAAAAATAAATAAATACATTGTACATTTAGGAAATTTTAGAAACTATACACTAGAAAAGAAAACATGGCACATATACACCATGGAATACTATGCAGCCATAAAAAAGGATGAGTTCATGTCCTTTGCAGGGACATGGATGAAGTTGGAAACCATCATTCTCAGCAAACTAACACAAGAACAGAAAACCAAACACCGCATGTTCTCACTCATAAGTGAGAGTTGAACAATGAGAACACATGGACACAGGGAGGGAAACATCACACACCGGGGCCTGTTGGGGGATGGGGGCTAGGGGAGGGATAGCATTAGGAAAAATACCTAATGTAGATGATGGGTTGATGGGTGCAGGAAACCACCATGGCACGTGTATACCTATGTAAAAAACCTGCATGTTCTGCACGTGTATTCTAGAACTTAAAGTATAATAAATAAATTTAAAAATAGAATTTTAAATGTTCACTATAGAACTTGTTCTAAACATTCAATGATGTGCTTTACTGGACGATAAAATATCGGTAACTCAAATAGGCAAATTTTCATTACCAAACTGGTAGTGTGGACAAGCCACCATAATCCATTTTAAGTTGATCTTTATAGTAAATTTGCTCAGAAAAATTAGATATACACAAATATGTCAACAGAAAAATTGATAAAAGGTTTAAAGAGATAAAAATAAATAAATGCAATAAATTATTTGGTCAACTTGAAGTCAGTTTGAATGACAATAAGCACTAAATTTGCATATCATTATGAAAAATATTAGACAATTCGTTTTCTGTTACTGATGATTTACTGTAGTGTGATCTGTAATGAATAACTTCCTTCTGAATAGTAATTTGGCAGGCTTAAATACCTTTGAAATATTCATAGACTTAGAAACAGTAATTTGCCTCACCATGAATTTATTCTATGGGCTAATGAAATGTACCCACAAATATTTCTTTCTAGGTGTCTTCATTACGTTATTATTTGTAAAAATACTGTGTATCTCCTGAATGGTCAAAATAAGGGATAATTAAAATGTTCAATGTGTTTATTTCATGCAGTGGATTGTACATATTCATTATACTCTACTTTCCTGAGCAATATTTCATACATTAAATAATCTCATAATTCATTTTTGATGGGAAAATTATGGGACAGAGTAGGGCTTATATAATATTATAAAGAGTTTTAATTTTTTGTATTGCCAAAACCAGGGGAAGATACACCAAAATACTAATTTCAATGTAAGTATTATTTTTAATTTCAATATATTTGCCCCAAGAGAGGGTGAAAATTCCCAGGGACATTACAAAGATAAAGGTAAGGCTAGAATAAGTAATATGTTAGGGATTTTATTGTATTTCCCCAAATGTATGTGTTGTAGTCCTAACCCTCACTACTTCAGAAAGTGACTGTCTTTGGAGATAGGGTCTTCAAAGAGGTAAAGTTATATTAACAATGAGGTCATTAAGGTGGGCCCTACTCCTTATGACTGATGTTTTTATGAGGGGAGAAAATTAGGACAGAGACACATATTAGAGAGGAAAGACTGTGAAAACACAGAGAGAAGGCCATTTACAAGCCAAGGGGAGAGACTCCAGGAGGGAATAACCCTGCTAACACCTTGAGTTCAGACTTCAAGCCACAAGAACTTGAGAAAATAAACTTCTGTTGTTTATGTCCCTCAGTCTTTGGTACTTTGCTATGGCAACCTTGGCAGAGTCATATAGAACATAGTCACTAAGTAAGAAGATAAGAATGACTGGAATTTGCTAATAATGCAAACTATAAGGTCTATATGAAAGCAGAACTATCATTCACAAAACTGGGAGGACTTCACCATTACCCATTTTTCAAGACTTAATCTTTTTTCTTTCTCAGTCTTGTGACTGCTTCTCTTCCATTTGGCCTGATTGTTCTTTTGCAATGTCTCTCCTTCTTCAAAAGTTTGAGGTTTGAATATGCAACAGCTGATTCTGGACACCAAGGGTTTTTAAAATCTTGATGATGAAAAAACCAGAAAGCCTTACCACTCTGAGCTTATAAACTGCGTTTGAGATTTTTGAGGTTGACGCTTGAATTTACCTTCAGAGAAGGCAAGTTTATAGTGTTCAGATAATCACTTTAATGGGCTTTCAATTATGAAATGTTCAAGCAAAGTTCCCAATCTGGGATGCTGACTCTCCAGACACCCTGGCTCCAATAAACTAAACTATGCTACCAAATGATATAAGAGACTGACTCTTCATTCATTGTGTCTGTATATCAAGATCCCACTTAGAAATGTTTCTTTTCTAAATATGGTTTTAGACTGCACTTTTTCTAATTATATTTATTATTTCTTGGCAAATGCATTTTGTTTGTGGTCTGGTTCAAGCATTTGAACAAAGGATATTAAGAGCAAAGATGCTGTGTTATATGTGGATTCATGCTCTCTGAGAGACCATAAAGAAGAACCAACTGGGATTTCTGAATTCTACTCCACAATCTACAATTCAAGATTCATGCCTGCTGTTATTTTTATATGGAATAACTCAGACATGGACAAATGTGGTGACATAGAATTCATATGTTCAGATAGATTATGCTCATGAAGCCTAAGGCAGATCCAGCCTCTGTATGCAGAGAACATGGTTTTCTATAAGTGTGCTGGAATTCTCAAGTCCAGTCGTCTAGGAAAGCATACTGTCCTGGGGAGGAAATGAACACTAGGGAGGAACTTAGACTTGACAAGGGAGGTGTACAATTTTCTCTTCCCCCTGGAGAGTTCGGGTACTGAGTTTCAGGTGGGAGAGACTCAAAAATATGCCCTGGGGAACAATAAGATGGCTTTTGTAATAAAGAGAGCCCAAACTGGGTCATAGAAGGGCTTGTGTAGCACAGGGCGGACATAATTTGCCCTTGTTCCAAGTTGTCTATGTGGTAGTTCTGTTTCCATAGGCTCATATTTACTGAGTTACACTCCTGATTCTAGAAAGGGGATTGTGCTGTCAAATAGTATTATATGCACCTAATTGCCAAAGTCCATCCATGAACAGATTTTCCTGAATAATTGAACAGAGACCACTGACCATAAGAGACAATATGAATTGGAGAACACATGTAATGAAATCAGATTCTAGTTTGGTTTTGAAGTATAAATATATTTTTAACCTTGAACTAAGAATCTTGTACTATCTATACTTCCATTCCTAAATAAGTGTCTTGAATAAGATGATCTTTACAGTCAACTATCAGCAGCTAAATTTTCTGGTTTAGTACATCTCACTGAAATATCCGAGTCATCATTTTTGAACCTCAGATATTGCAGTGAGTTGTAAATGTTAAGAGAGGATCATATAGTTTTAATTCTGGGTCTAATTAAAACTATATGATCCTCTCTTAACATTTGCAACTCAGTACAATATCTGAGGTTCAATGTAAGATTAGGAGTTTTCAGTACTTACGGACCTCAGGGGGTACACTTCATGCCTAAAATCCACGTACGCAAAGGTCAGGGAGCACAGGCAAAAGGAGAGAGAGTGTGGGGCAACTAGCAGTCTAGATGGGGGAATGGGGTGTGGGTCACCTTAAGTTTGAATGCAGGATCTGAATGGTCCATTAAAAGGAAGTGGTGGGAAATTGGGAAGCCCAGTCCACCAGGCAGGAGAGATGTCTCTAAGTTCCTATCTCTGGACACCTGCTCAAGCGATTTGAGTGTAGTATAGAACTGAAAACTTTGTCAAGGGTGACTGAGTCCTGTCTCTGTTACAAGAAGGCTAAATAAACTTGCATTTAAAACAGATGCTGAGGCAATATAATATTATGAGCTTTCACTACAACTAGGTATAACTTAGGTACTAAAGTGACTGAAAGTATTGGTGCAAGTTCTAAAACTGAGCACTACTTCTTTGTGGTCACCATTGAAGTCATGTTGGTCTTAACACCAGGAACCCGAAAAAATGGAATTCCAAACCTTCATTTTAAAAGTAGGGGAATCAGGTCAATGGCGTGTTTTTCTTGACACCCATGGTTCTAAAGGACCCCGTTACCTCCTGGACCTTCCTAATCAGCAGTAATGTTAAAAAGTTGCAAAGAGATCGTCTGTGCATCATATCTGCCTTCCAACCTTGAGTGAAATCCCATGATTGATTAGGTAACTAATTCTCTCCTAGTGCCAAAGCTTCAAAGAAGCCTCAGAAAGAGTTTTACTTTTCTAACTTCTCCAAATGAAAGATGCAGTGCAGGTTGAGGGCCAATCCAAATATCAACAACAAACCAAAAAAATCAAAACATTCATAATCAGCATTGTTTTAATCAAAGAAAACACTTCAGAAAAAAAAAGTCACAAAACAACATTCTTCAAATCAAAATATTTGATTTAATGAAAATATTAGTGACAAGAAACATTCAAAGAATGTGAAGTTCACTCAACTGAAATAGTTTACAATGTCTTTTGGCTTTTTTACTAGCTTTAGAGAGACTGAATTTTTTATAAAAAATAACTCTAGGAACAAATCTCAATTTCTTATTAAGTTACCTGTCATATTGATCCAAAATCTGTAAAGATATTGAGGAGTTGGCTTTTTTAAATATTAAAAAAAGAGGATTCCATGGAAATTTTTCCCTTTAAAGTTTATAACAATTGTCTATGTTTTGTCATTAATTTATTTATTACTTGAAAATATTAAAACACTTTTATGATGTATTAGTCTGGTCTCATGCTGCTAATAAAAACATACCCAAGACTGGGTAATTTATAAAAGAAAGAGGTTTAAAAGAATCACAGTTCCATATGGCTGGGGAGGCCTCACAAAAATGGTGGAAAGTGAAGGAAGAGCAAAGGCATGTCTTACATGACAGACAAGAGGGTCATGTGCAGGGGAACTCCCTTTTATAAAACCATTAAATCTCATGAGACTTATTCACTATCAGGAGAACAGCATGGGGAAAACCTGGCCCCATGATTCAATTACCCCCTACTGGGTCCCTCCCATGATATGTGGGGATTATTACATTCAAGGTGAGATTTGGGTGGGGTCACAGAGCCAAACCATGTTATATGAATTAAAGGAAATTCTTTCTGGTTTTCCAATGTAGTTAGCCCTCCATATATGTGAGGATTTGTTCTAGGACCACTGAATATTCCCAAATTTGTGGATGCTCAAGTCCCTTAGTTGGCCCTTCATATCTGCAGTTTCTGCCTCCAAGGATTCAACCAACAGCAGATGAAACATGCAGTAATTCATGACATATTTTCAAACACAGAAGCTCTAGAAAACTAAATTTTTGTTAATTGAAACTGAGAATGTAGAAGGCCGACTTAATTTATTTGCTTTACGAAACATTAGTATATTGTTAGTGATTTAAATCAGTTTCCTGCAAATCTTTCAGGTGAGTAACACAGTTTCATTGCTGAATACTCTTACGTGCTACATTTTAAGAGCCTCTTGTGTTATACATTTTGTGTTAGTCCATTTTGGATTGCTTTAAAGGAATATCTGAGACTGAATACTTTATAAAGAAAAGAGGTTTATTTTGGCTCAGGATTCTGCAGGCTATACATGCATGGTTCCAGCATCTGTACCTATTCTGGTGAAACCTCAGACAGCTTTTACTCATGGCAGAAGGTAAAGGGGGACCCAATGTGTCACACTGAGAGAGAGCAAGAGAAAAGGAGGTGCCAGTCTCTTTTTAACAACCAACTCTTTTGTGAGCTAATAGAGTGAGAACTCACTCATTACCACAAGGATGGCACCAAGCCCTTCATGAGGGATCTGTCCCAATGACCCAAACACCTCCCACTGGGTCCCACTTTCAACACTCAGGTTCACATTTCAACATATTTGGTGGGGACAAACATCCAAACTACATCACTTTTGATGATCCATCATAAAATCTTATATATACATATTTAAATATAATCATATCTTAAATATCAGTATATGCTCTGAAATTTTGACAGAATGTTATGTATTTGTTTCTTTTGAAATTACTATTTGAACTATAAGTGAGTTCCATTTAATTTGTTTGGTATTTACTTCCCCAAGATTATCATATAATCTCGAGAGTTCATGTAGAATCAAATACAATCTCATTTTTAAATACTATAAATCCATTTTTACTTTTAGCTTCATAATTAACCAATTTCTTATGTTATAAATATAGATATTTAATTAAAGTTGTGTTCATTTCAATCTTCTGATGGTGTGTAATCAATTGGGGCTTGTTTTGTTTTGTTTTTGATCATCTCAAGTATTCCTGTAGGCTCCTGAAAAGCGTTATGGAGCTGTTCACTAAGGTTACGGTGCCAACCAAAACAGCCTGATTTTAAAAGTGGTTTGAAATGCCTAGCCCCTGAGAATGCTTCCCAGCACACATGGCTGCTGGTGTCTTCGTTTTCCTCTTCATTTTGTCTTTTTCCCACCCAGAGAATAAATATATTAGTTATGCCTGTATTATGGTCCATAGTTTGCATACATTAATCATCTTGTATAACCATCTCTCCCCAAAAGATAGTGTATTACATATTGTATTCATATTCCAGGGATGCTGTCACAAAGTATCACAAATGATGTGGCCAAAACAACAGAAATTTATTATCTCACATTTCTGTAGGCTAAAAGTCTGAAATCAAAATATCTGAAGAGCTGGTTCCTTCTGAAGGCTGTGAGAATCTTTTCCATGCTTCTCACCAGCTTAGCTTCCAGTGGCTTGCTGGCAATCTTTAGCATCTTGGCTTTTGCTGTATCACCCTGATCTCTGCCTTCACCTTCACATGGTGTTCTCCCTGTGTTTATGTGCCTGTGTCCAAGTCTTCCTTTTCCAGGACATCAGTTATGTTGGACTAGAGACCCACCCTACTACAGTATGATTTCATCTTAACTAATTGCATCTGCAACGACTATTTTCAAATAAGGTCACATTCTGAAGTAATGGGAGTTAGGACTTCAGCATACAAATTTTAAGAGGGATACAATTCAACCCCCAGCACATACATTGGATTCTCATTTTTTAAAATTAATGGCCTCTGTACAATGAATGTTTATTTCAATCTAGTAACTCAGGAAAAAGGCCTCTTTCAATGTCAGTATTAGCAATAGGTAGCATAAAATAACCAGTGTACTCTGTTTGGCATCCTTTGCTAAGATTTTTCTCCTCAAGCCAATATCTTGTGTCTGGTGGATTTGGGAGGCAGAAGGGATACAATATCTCATCTTCTTTTGTACCAAAGCGTATTCATATTTCTGCTTGTTTTATTCTATATTTTTCATGCTCTTTGACATTAGAACATTATTTCTTCTTCTTCTTCTTTTTTTTTTTTTTTTCTGTGTCTTGTTCTTTCTCTGAAGCTTTTCCACCACTAGGAATGTTGTACATTAACATGGGAAAGCCCAAATTAAAGGAAGCTAGTGGTTTGGCAGTTTAAAATAGTTTAGAAATAGTTTTGCTAAAATTTATTTCCACTGTCATGTTTTAACTTGTTTTAATAGACTGAATATATCATTTTATTAGTTGTAGAGCAGCCTGTGAATATTTACCTGTCGGTTAGGTGCATCTATTACAGGGAACACAGAGGAGAGATTCTTTAACTTTAGGGCGCTGTTCATTTGCTGAGAGTGGGTTGGTTAAAACCCAAGTTTGGCTCACGTTAGTGGAAAGTCACTCAGTGGTAAGAGGGGGAGAAGGGTGTTCCTATTTCCTTATCTGTGTAATGAGTATTTAGTTTCCGTGGTCATTGTAAGCTCACATCGATAACAATTCTGTTGTACCAGAGTTCTACTTTTTATCCAGCCTTCTGGCAGCTGTCCTTTCATTTTGCTTTCTTAAATGGCACATTGACATGCTGATTTTGGTTTTGGGTGGGCCTAGGTTAAAATGGGAGCTTGGTAACTCTATCACTTGTGTTGCTTAAAACTTTTGCAGTTTCAATTTCCTCAAGCACCAAGTGGAGATACTAGGATTTATCCTACCATTTTATAGCAGGGAGGATTAAAACTAAGTAAGATGGCATATGGAAAATATAAAGAGCGGTGCCTAATTTCCACTTATTTGAGAAAAATAATTCATCTTGAGATATTTGATAATTTCTTTCTTTCTCATTAAAATTTGGCTATTTTGCCATATTTTATCGTGTATTAGTATTGTTTTAATTTTTGTGAGTACATATAAGGTATACATATTTATGGGGTTCATGAGACATTCTGGTCAGGCATGAAATGCATAGTAATCATATCATGGAAAATTGGATATCCATCCCCTCAGGCATTTATCCTTTGTGTTACAAACAATTCAGTTATACTCTTTTAGTCATTTTCAAACGCACATTTAAAAGATTACTGACTATAGTCCCCTATTGTACTATGAAATACCAGGTCTTACTCAATCTTTCTAACTATTTTTTGTACCCATTAACCATTCCATCTCCCCCAACTTCTGCATTACCCTAACCAGCTTCTGGTAAACATTTTTCTGTAATCTATCTCCATGAATTCAATTGTTTTGATATTTAGCACACACAAATAAATGATAACATGGGATGTTTGTCTTTCTGTGTCTGGCTTATTTCACTTAACATGATGATCTCGAGTTCCATCCCTGTTGTAACAGATGACAGGATCTCATTCCTTTTTATGGATAAATAGTACTCCACTGTGTATATGTACCACATTTTCTTTATCCATTCATCTGTTGATGGACACTTAGGTTGCTTCCAAATCTTGGCTATCATGAACAGTATTGTAACAAACATGGGAGTGCAGACATCTCTTCAATATAATCATTTTCTTTCTTGTGGGTACATCCCCAGCAGTGGGACTGCTGGATCATATGTTGGCTCTACTTTTAGGTTTTATGAGGAACCTCCAAACTCTTCTCCACAGTGGTTGTACAACTTACATTTCCACCAACAGTGTATTAGGGTTTCCTTTCCCCCTTATCCTCACCTGCATTTGTTATTGCCTGACTTATGTATAAGAGCCATTTTAACTATGGTGAGCTGATATCCCATTGTAGTTTTGATCTGCATTTCTCTGATGATCAATGATGTTGAACATTTTTTATATGCCTGTTTTCCATTTGTAGGTCTTCTTTTGAGAAATGTCTATTCAAACCTTTTTTTCCATTTTTTAATCAAATTATTAGCTTTTTTTCTATAGAGTAGTTTGAGCTCCTTATATATTCTAGTTATCAATCGCTTGCCAAGTGGGTAGTTTGCAAAGGTTTTCTCCAGTTATGTGGATTGTCTCTTCACATTGTTGATTGTTTCCTTTGCAGTGCAGAAGCTTTTTAACTTGATGTGATCCCATTTGTCCATTTTGGCTCTGATTGCCTGTGCTTGTAGGGTATTGCTCAAGAAATTTTGGCCCAGGACAATGTGTTGGAGAGTTTCCCCATTTTTTTTTTTTTGTAGTAGTTTCATAGTTTGAGGTCTTGGACTTAAATCTTTAATGCACTTATATTTGATTTTTAAATAAGGCAAGAGATAAAAATCAAGTTTCATTCTACTGCATATGGATATTCAGTTTTCCCTGCACCATTCGTTGAAGAGGCTGTCTTTTTCCCAATATATGTTCTTGGCTCCTTTGTCACAAATGAGTTTACTGTAGATGTGTGGATTTATTTCTCAGTTCTCTGTTGTGTTCCAATTGGTCTATGTGTCTGTTTTATGCCAGTACCATGCTGCTTTCATTACGATAGCTCTGTAGCAGAATTTGAAGTCAGGTAATGTGATTCCTCCAGTTTTGTTCTTTTCACTCAGGATAACTTTGGCTATTCTGTGTCTCTCATGATTCCATGTAAATTTCAGAATTTTTAAAACAATTTATGCAGAATATCATTGGTGTTTTGAGGGGGTTGCATTGAATGTGTAGATTGCTATAGGTAGTATGCACATTTTAACAATATGGATTCTTCCAACCCATGAACGTGAAATCTCTCTCCATTTTTTTGTGTGTCCTCTTTAATTTCTTTACTCACTATTTCATTGCTTTCATTGTAGAGATTTTCACTTGTTTAGTTAAGCTAATTCCTAAGTATTTAATTTTATTTTGGCTATTTTAAATGAGATTACTTTTATATTTCTTTTTCAGATTGTTCCCTGCTGTCATATAGAAATGCTACTAATTTTTGTATGTTGATTTTTTTATCCTGCAACATTACTAAATTTATCAGTTGTAGTCATTTATTTGTGGAGTCTTCAGGTTTTTCCAAAAATAAGATTATATCATCAGCAAGTAAGGATAGTTTGACTTCTTCCTTTCTAATTTGGATGCCCTTTATTTCTTTCTCTTGTTTGGTTGCTCTAGCTAAGACTTTCAGTACTACGTTGAATAATAGTGATGAAAGTGGGCATAGTCGTCGGGTTCCAGATCCTAGAGGAAAGAATTTCAGTTCTTCCCCATTCAGCATGATAATTCTTGTGTTTGTTTTAGATTTCCAATCCAAGTTCCGTTCACAGTGTGGAATTTTTTCTTCTGTTATGCTATTGATTATCATTTTTGATGTGTATTCTGTTTCTATCTTTTAAATTACTTATTGTTTGCAGATTATTTCTTTGTGATATATTTTTCTATATAGCAAATGGTCTCCTTTGTTTCAATTATTTTCTTCTGCTCTGTGACAGGATGTGTCTAGTCTTTCTTCTATTTAATTTGTGTTTTTCTCAATGTTATTTGCTCTATGTATTGCTTCTGAAGGTGATTTTATTGGGCATGCTTGGTTGACTTTCTGGCAGCTATTCCACTACCCCCCATTATGTAGTAGCCATAAGGTTTGTATATTTGATTGATTCTTCTTTTAGTTCCAGGGATGGAATCCGAGTGATCGCTAAGGCAATTCATATATTTTACCCACCTTAGGATAACTGGTTTAGGATTGGACAAACAATCTCAGCTGCTTCAATCAGACTCACTGTAAGTAGTGAAATGGAAAACTCTTTCCTCTTCCGGGCACTGTTAAAGATTTTTTTTTTTCATGTAAACTATGCAACTACTTCAGTTATTTTACTTGGAGAAAACTTAAGCTGAGAACAAATTCTACTTGACAAGGTGAGAAATACTGAGAGAGAAATTGGGAAACCAAACAGAAGCCCTGATCAAGCCTTCCTTGAAGTACAACTTAACTGAAATTTCCAGTCAAAGTATTTTCTTCATAAGGTCAATTACTTTGAATTAGATTTTATTCATTTAAAACTTGCAACGTTTTAACCTATTCACTTTTCTGTGCTGTCTCTACCATTTATTTCCACTGACTTCTTGTCTTTATATGTTATAATTATAATATATTCTTTTATCTAAGTAAAAACAGATGATAGTCATTTCCTAAATCTAAACATTTCCTATGAAAAATCTTTGGGATAAAATTGCACATTTCCTTTCACTCTTTTATAGCATTTTCATAATTGTGTAATATTTCAACCATTTTCTTTTTATTCATATTTACAAAAGGTTAACAAGAGGTTTTTATCATGCTTGCTCATGGCAAGGGGCCTCTACTCGGCCCACTGCACTCAACCCTTTGCAAAAGGGAGCACGTGAGCAAGTGAGTATGGGATCTGGCCAGCCGTTCCAGGTACTGACACAGTATCATGCTCTGTGCAGGGCCCGTGGCCAGACCAGGAGTGTCACCCTGAGGGGAACATGGTGGCTCCCAAGTGAGGATGCCCATGACCCCAAAGCCCCAGAGCGGGTGTTACAGTTCTCTATTAGTTCCACTGTTCGTGGATAGTGGTGTGTTGGCAGCTCAGTTGGCCCCTTGCCTTGTCACATGGGGTGACTGATCTCTGCTGGCAAAAGCAAAGGGCTGGTGTGACAGTGTTTCTCAGTACCTGTGCTATGTGGGTTCTGAGCTATTGTCTGGCATCCAAGAAGAATGAGGTCACATGGACGGTTGAAGGATGGTGAAGGTGGAGAATTTTACTGAACAATTAAAATGGCTCTCAGTGGAGAGGGTTGCTGGAGAGGAGACTGGAAGGGCAGGTAGTCTTCCCCATAGTTAAGTTGTCTCTTCCCTGAAGTAGGGTTGTTTCCCCATCTACTGACTGAGTCTGGGGTCTTTATAGGCACAGTCTGGGGAGTGCATGCTGATTGGTTTGTGAGTATGCAAAATAGGTTAAAGCAAACACACCACTCAAAGGTGGGCATAACAGTGTAGAAAACCAATTAGGAAAGAGTAGGTATATGTAAAATAGGTAAAGGGTGGGAATCAATCAGAGAAAAGCACGCCAAATGGGAGAACAAGTTCTAAATCTGGTCTGAGGATTAAACTTGTAGCTTGGCTTTCAGGCTTTGGCTTGGAGGTGGGCTGTTGCTGTGTACTCGCCCCTATCTGCCTAGGCACTTGGCTGCCTCCTGTCACTGTCAATGGGTTACAATTATGCCATTTTCCACTTGATTCTTGGACTACTTTTGAAATTGTATGTTTTCATATCTTTGGGGTTTGTTGCCTTTTATTTGCTTTGAAGGATAAAAATATTTTAAGACTTTTCTATTTATTATTTGTATCCCTTAATTATAGAAAGTCTCTGTTGATATTGATTCTTTGTCTTTCAAGTGTTGTAAATTTTTTCTTCACTTATGTTTTCAACTGAAATTGTATTAGTTAACTTTTTTTGCATATTGTAATGTTTTTCTTAAATTTGTAACTTTATAACATATTTTACTTTGTCGACTAGAATTTATAGCTAGAGTTTATTTGTCATAACTGGGTACTTCTTTTTGTATTAAATAAGGCTTTTATTCTAAAGCCACTTCAAATACAAAGGAATAAAACTATTCTTATTGAAATAATTTATAAATGTTATATTCACTGAGAAGTCAAATGCAATAATGATTGTGAATTCAATGCCACATGTGATGTTTTACTTGTGTTCTCTACAAAAAGCTCAGTTTTTTTATACATGTAAATATGGATTATTCAAGTGCTATAAAAGTCACTTGCTTTTGTGTACTCTCGAGTCATTAAAGTTTTTAAGAGTATTTAAAATCCTTTACCTTCTTCACTTTAGATGATTATAAAATTTAAACTTTTAGAAGTAAGGTTTGGTTAGGCAACCCAAAAATTTCAATGGCTTCACAAGACAAATGGTTATTTTTTGCTAGAGCAGTAGTCGAACAGACATCTGATTATTGGCATTAGACAGCTCTCCTGGGCATCTTTTCTCCCAGTGGCAATTTAGGGTTTGAGCCTCTTTGATCCTTTGGCTGACTTGTTCTTTGTCTGTGTAGTCCTTTCATTCAGATGGAAGATGGGAAAACACAATGCTATAGACTTTGGAATATTGTATGGGCTCGTAATCAGCGTACTGAATTTCAAGCCATTCCTTGGCCACTCAATGGCCACTACTAAATCACACAACCCACCCAACTGGAGAATTAAATCAAATATCTGGAGCAATTTAATGTGCATGCATTCGTGGCCACAAAAATGAAGATACAAATAAGTAGGTGATTAATTTTTATTAAAATCTGATGATTTTCTATAGAAATAAATTCAAATCTATTAAGTATATAACTTCAGGCTAGTGTCATAATGCATTCAATTTTTGTCTGCAAAATCTGCTCGTGCACATCTTTGTTCAAAGAACCACTTGCTACTTAGTGACCTTAACTGAAACATTAATTGTTTTGTGTGCCCAAATTTAATAGAACCTGGCTATCAGGGATGATGTCACAAAGAACATTGTTATTGAAATGCCAGGAGTTTGTTCTAGGTCCTGCTGTTCACTAAACAAAAAGCCAATCACTGAGACAATGAGTATTGCCAGGGAAGAAGCCTTTAATTGGGTGCTGCGGCCTGGGAGATGGGAGATCAGTCTCCAATCCATCTCCCTGGCCAACTAAAATTAGGGATTTATGTGACAGGAAGAAAAGTAACCATGTATAGGAAAACAGGAATTAGGGAGGGGTAATGAAGCAGAGTTCATCAATAGGAAGCAGATGGTTGGTTAGTTAATAATGGCAGGCGAGGGATATAACATCTCATTGTCCAGCTGTGTTGATCTGGTAAGTTTCAATTCCTTGATGCTATCTGGGAGGTTTGGTGGCTGGTTTCTTGATAAAGAAACTCACATAAGACAAATGTAACTTTCTCAAGTTTCAAGATGGGACAGTAAATTTCTATGTTTATTCAAAAGAAACCATAAACACCAGTTCTATGGGACAATTGGGTAGGTTTCACCATGACTCATGGAAATTAGTATTAGAGACATTTTGAATATTAGTCACAATAAAATAGTAGTTAATATTTAAGAAGCTGTGCTAAATTCTTTACATTCAATCAAATTGTTTAAGATATAAAATATCTGTACATTTATATCCATATACATAATTATATTTCTATCCATCTATCTACCTATGAAGATAAATGAATAAAGTGATCATATCCTTTTATTTTAGTCTCTGATCATCCTAACACAATCTACCCATTAAACTCAATCTGATTCCCAACCTCTGCCGACTTGTTTATCCTCAGCTGAACCATTGGACTCTCATTTATAGGCTTAGTTCTCTTTCATCCTTATGACAAATGCTCTGGCCATTCAGTAGTAAGATGAGGAGCTCAAATTTACCCCTTGATATTTACAATAATGTTGCCTTAACTTTGTGCTATATTCTAATTCTGCACTAATGCCTATTCCTAGAAATATGGGCTGGACTTCACACCTCACTTCAGTTGACTGGTATTCTGTTTTACACTTTGAGTCTCAGTCCTGGTTTATAACCTCCCTGCTTTTTATTTTATTCTAAACAAGGGGTGACATCTTACTATTTCTGGGTTCCTCTTAGTACTAATTCCCTAATCCTATACTTCCATCTGATGGCTAGGACCTTGACACCCTATGATAATCATTTCTGCTATGATCTTCCTATGTCAAAACGCAACTTAAAGTTGTCATGGTTCATCAGACTAGTGTTTCCCTAAATTGGACCTTACTGATGCCTACTAAAGTCAGCTACCCTGAGAGCTACTTGTGGTCTTAAATTTCTAACTAATAAACTATATCAGGCTCTTGTCCTTCAGGCCTTTCCCTAATCCCAGGTCCTGCCTAATTCTAAACTTTTTCACCCACCATTTTACTCAGTTCTCCTCTTCTTGCTAGGGCCATATGCAGGATTGTGCCAGGTCTCAGGTAAAAATTTTGTGTGTGTGTGTGTGTGTGTGTGTGTATGTGTGCATATTCATGTGTGCATATCTATGAGCATGTGTGTATGTGTTTACTATGTTTGATAATGAACCATTATGCAAGAGACATTAATTTTGTTGCTTTGGCTCACTTCATATATTTATTTTAATTGCATGCTCACTTGAAACAGCTTAACTTTCTTTGGTTGATTTTTAAATTAAATTATATTTTATTGGTTGCAATCACTGTTATCTTCCCTTGTTTGTTTATGGTATTAATGTCGGGCCTTCAAAGAACTGTGGAAATACTAATTATAGTTTGAGCATGCAGATTGGGCCATCCATGCAATTGTTTATTTCCTCAAACATTAATTTACTACTGTGTAGAAAGGTGCCAAAATATTCTGAACCCAGACTAAATGGCTGCATAGCATCTTGTGGGCTTCACTTTGGAAAGCACGGCAGGATCAAAGAGCCAAAATATCTGATTTCTTTCATGTGTTATAGCTCATCTCTAATGACAGAGTGGAGACTTGTCAATATTGCTTCTATTGCCCATTTTGAGTGAACTGATCAAACATTTCAGGCTCAATATGGTCCTGCTAGAGATCTTACTCTAGGAATGCTAGAAGAATAAACATTACACTTCTGAAAATTTTACAAATGTTTGTCAAAGATTTTGTGCTAAAACTGAGGATATACTTACTTGTTTTTGGTTTACTGCTCAGTATAATTATTATTTATAATTTATATCTTCATATCACCTGTTTGGTAAAACTCCAAGCATGTGTCTCTAACCTTTGTCAAATAAAACTGAACTTTCCCCACTTTCACTTAACAAAATAAATCTACATGATCTCTGTTTATGTCTTTAACCCTAGATCCTACTACACTATTCTCTTCATCTCTATTGTTTCTTTCTTTTTTATTTTATTTTATTTTTGAGAGAGAGTTTTGCTCTGTTGCCCAGGCTGGAGTGCAATGGTGCGATCTCAGCTCATTGCAACCTCCACCTCCCAGGTTCAAGCAATTCTCCTGCCTCAGCATCCTGAGTAGCTGGAATTACAGGAGCCCCCCACTATGCCTTGATATATATATATTTTTTGTATTTTTAGTAGACACAGGGTTTTACCACGTTGGCCAGGCTGATCTCTAACTCCTGACCTAAGGTGATCCGCCTGCCTTGCCTCCCAAAGTGGTGGGATTACAGGTGTGAGCCACTGCGCCTGGACTCTGTATTGTTTCTTGATTGTCTCTCTTGAATACTCTCCCTCACAGAATAGGAACAACTGTTTTGGACCCCTCCTCTTAGATATCTCTTCTTGTTTTAATTGCTCATTTTATTAAAAAATAGTTTTAGTCAACATTCTCATTATAATTTTCAATAATACATACTTGGGTTTTAAAATGTTGTTATACATCTTCCACAGTAGACCAAAACGCTCATAAGAGCAAGTCCGTTGGTAGAGCAAGTCCATTTTTTAATCACATAATCACTCTATCCTGAATAATATCAGCATATAATTATATACCAGTGTCTTAAACAGTAGAATATCTGAGCATATTTTAGATATAATAAACGTATTCCTCAGCCAGAGTCCACCTAAAGATAAAAGTACCCAAATTCCTTCCTTCCCTCCACTATCTACTCATGTCCCTGTAACTATTCCTGTCTTCCACATGACCCTCCATGATAAACTATTAAGACTTCCAATCAATCGCTGAAATCACCTGCTGGTAACGTTCACTGGCTGAACCCAACCAGATGCCAGAGAACAAGAGAGCGACTGATTTACCTTTTTTTTTTTTTTTTTTTTTTTTTTTTGCATTTTTCAGTGCTTTATTTACATCACACACAATAAGTTGTGTATATTTCTCAGAGAGAAAAGTCATGGTGAGTTAGACGATACTTCTCAAATTTTGATGTGAACAATAAACTAGATTAATTTGTCCTGCAGAGATTTTTTTCAGGAGATCTGGAATAAAGTCTGAGTTTCTAAATTTCTAGCAAGCTTACCAATAACACCATGTTTTGGGCTCAAGAAGAATATTGTGCCAAACATCGAATAAGTGGAAGAGCCTGGGTTTTTCCCAGTTTTTCTGACCCGTAAACAAAGACGAGAGCCTTCATTTCCAAAGACAGATATGTGCAAAGAAAATTTAAGTAGGAAGGGAAGCTTCCAGATTAAAGGTGACAGTTTATGCACATTATCTGGTAAATCTCCCTAAGATACTTAATAAAGAAGAGAAAAACAATTAACCCTATAATAGAAAAATCTGTCAGAAAGCTCTATGGCTGAGTAAATTTAACATCAACTGTACTAGGACAAATCTTTATCATGTGCTGATTTACACAGAAAAACACAACATCACTGCTCTGATATTGGTCCCCCAAAAAGTAAATTATAAACTAAATTTAATTATAAAGAAACATCAGTTCTATGCAAAGTTCAAAATACAGATGTCTCCCGTGTTCTGTAAATTGTTTAACTTTTATTTTAAGTTCAAAGGTACATATGCAGGATGTACAGGTATTTTACATAGGTAAACCTGTGTCATGGTGGTTGGTTGCAAAGATTATTTCATCACCCAGGCATTACACCTAGTATCCATTAGTAATTTTTCCCCCTTCTCTCCCTCCTCCCATCCTCTGCCCTCCGATATGCCCCAGTGTGTGTTATTCCCCTGTATGTGTCCATGTGTTCTCATCATTTAGCTCCCACTTATAACTGAGAACGGCAGTATTTGGTATTCTGTTTCTGCATTAGTTTGCTATGGATAATGGCTTCCAGCTCCATCCATGTTCCTGTAAACGACATTATCTCATCATATTTTATGGCTGCATAGTAGTCCGTGGTACCATATTTTCTTTATCCAGTCTATCATTGATGGGTATTTGGATTGATTGATGTCTTTGTTATTGTGAATAATGCTACAATAAACATATGTGTGCATGAGTCTTTATAATAGAACAATTTGTATTCCTTTGGGTATCTACTCAACAATGGGATTGTTGGGTTGAATGGTAGTTCAGTCTTTAAGGACTCACCACACTCTTCCACAATGATTGAACTAATTTACACTCCCACCAACAGTGTAAAACAATTCCTTTTTCTCCACAACCTAACCAGCATCTGTTATTCTTTGACTTTTTAAATAATAGCCATTCTTTTGTGAGATAGTATCTCATTGTGATTTTGATTTGCATTTCTCTAATGATCAGTTATTTTGAGCTTTTCTCATGATTGTTTGCCGCATGTGGATCTTTTTTTGAGAAATGTCTGTTTATGTCCCTTGCCCTCATTTTAATGGAATTGTTTTTTTTCTTCCTTGTAAATTGGTTTAAATTCCTTATAGGTGCTGGATATTAGACCTTCGTCAGACACATAGACCAGTGGAACAGAATAGAGAACCCAGAAATTAGATCACTCATCTTCAACCATCCAATCTTCGACAAACCTGACAAAAAGCAATGGGGAAAGGACTCCCTGTTCAATAAATGGTGCTGGGAGAAATGGCTGGCCATATTGTGTCTAGAATTTATTCCTTCCAGTGGGTTCTTGGTCTCGCTGGCTTCAAGAATGGAGCCGCAGACCTTTGCAGTGAGTGTTACAGCTCATAAAGGTGTTGCAGACCCAAAGAGTGAGCAGCAGCAAGATTTACTGTGAAGAGCGAAAGAACAAAGCTTCCACAGCATGGAAGGGCACTTTCCGCTGCTGGCTCAGGTGGCCAGCTTTTATTCCCTTATTTGGCCCCACCCACATCCTGCTGACTGGTCCATTTTACAGAGCCCTGATTGGTCCATTTTACAGAGTGCTGATTGGTGTGTTTACAATCCTTTATCTAGACACTGAGCACTGATTGGTGCGTTTTTACAGAGGGCTGATCAGTGCGTTTATTTTCCTTTAGCTAGACACAGAGCGCTGATTGGTGCGTTTTTACAGAGTGCTGATTGGTGCATTGACAATCCTTTAGCTAGACACAGAGTGCTGATTGGTGCATTTTTACAGAGTGCTGATTGGTGCATTTACAATCCTTGAGCTAGACACAGAGCGCTGATTGCGTTTACAATCCTCTAGCTAGATAGAAAAGTTCTCCAAGTCCCCACTTGACCCAGGAAGTCCAGCTGGCTTCACTTCTCAATATGTAGAAAATTGAAACTGGACCCCTTCCTTACACCACATACAAATATTAAATCAAAAGAGATTAAAAACCTAAATGTAAAACTCAAAACTAAGAAAACCTTGAAAGACAGCTGAGGCAATACCATTCGGGACATAGGCCATGAGCAAAGATTTCATGAGAAAAATGCCAAAGGCAACTGCAAGAAAACAAAAAATTGACAAATGGGACCTAACTAAACTGAAGAACTCTGCACAGCAAAAGAAACTGTCTGCAGAGTAAACAGACCACCTACAGAATGGGAGAAAATGTTTGCACTGATTTACTTTCACAAAGTCAGTTTGTGAAAGAAAAAGAGAACAAGTGGAATTTGAAAGGCAATGGCTAATTTCTTATGCATCAGTGAAGACATTGGAATCCAATAGAGTTGAGTGCAAAGGTGAGCACACTGCTTTCTTGCTGTGTAACTTTGAATAATTAACATAAACGTTTAAGTAGATTTTCTTATACCAGTACTCATCACTTAGGATTGTGATCAGGATGGAAGTATTATGGTCTAAAAGTTCCACATACAACAATACCTGGCATATAATATTTAACAAGTGATAATATACTTATCTTCTCATTTGAATGAATAACTTTTAACCTTGAAATATAAAGGAATTTGCTAGGTCACACTGACTAATTACAAAGGTTAAATTGATTAAAGTTTCTGTACTTAGGTTTGCCTGATAAAATATTTAAAAACTATGTATTTTGGTTTAATAAGCCTGGCTACTGTAGCTGTACTTCAGAGAATTTTATAAAATGTTTCAGAAAGAAGAATGAATTTTTATGTTACCAAATCCATACATACAACACTAGGCACTGGGTGACTGCCTCCATCACAATGCTTAGAATATATTATCCCATAATCAGAGTTCTTTTATATAAGGATGATAGGAAAATAATTGACAAATGCATTTAAATCAATCTAAAAATGTTGGAGGAATAAGAATTCACTAAGTTTATATCAATGCTTATAGAATGAAAATCAACCATTATAAAAGCATTTATTTGTTGTATCTTTTATTTTAAAAGCAATTCATTATAGCTAGACCTAACTAATAAGCAAACTATGTTGCAACTAGGATCAGAATCAACATTGAGCCTAGTCAGTGAAAAGGCACATGAAAATTAAATTTATCAAGAAAAAGTTTGCTTTGCAATGTACTACATAACTGTGTTCAACTTAGAAAATCATTTGTAAGAAACAGCAGATATTTGCCTCGACTTCAGAATATGATCCTTAAAAATGAAATCTGAAACATTTTACATTGCATCCTTGATTTCTGAAATAAATATAATTCAGGATACAACTGTCTTCCCATAAGAATTACTTTCTTAACTTTAACCATAAATTAAAGTGACCAAAGATTGTATGAATCGTATAGCATCGAGATAATGAATAAAATCTTCAACTCTAAGTTGCAAGAAGATGCAAAATATTTTTTTTCCTCTAAGGAGAAGCTGATCACTTACCTTCTGGCTTCTTCTTAATATATTCACATATATTAATTAGCATCAATTTTGAAAATCAAAGTAAATATTTATTTACTATGTGGATGATGGGAATATGAAAACCACAAAGGCTCACCATTACTCTGGCCAATATTCTTATAGTCAATAAACATATTTCCTTGAGAAAACTACAATGGTTACCCCTATTCAAGGAGGAACTATAGAATTTTGAGATATAATGGAAGTTGTAGAGTAGTATTTCATTGAGTAAAGATCTCTTCAAGGGGCAATAATAAGAGAAGCTTATAACATACAAAATAATGATGATGTAGCAACTGAGAAAACTCCTTTAATACTCTGATATTTCTTCCCCCCTTCCTCCCTGCTGCTCTTCTCATTTCTTCATTTTTCATGCATCATTCTTACATTCTCCTTCTGCATCTGCCTTCTTTTCTCTTCCTCTGTGGTTCTGCATGATGTTTCTATTTTCCCTCTTTATATGGCTTACGTATGTTTTGGATGTCTCTTCTTTCTGTTCACATCACGTGTATTTGATTTTCAAAGCCAAATCCAAATAGTAGTATCCTTTTTCTTCTAAATTGAAATAGTGCTTACATGTCCTGACCATTTCAACCCACCTTTTACATTATCATATACCTATCAGAGGCATATATCAGGCTCTCCATCAACTTAGACATTTTTGTGTATACATTCTACAGCTATAGGTATGCAAACACTTCAAAAATATAACTAATCATTGAATTCTGCACAACCCTTAAGCACTTATATTGATTAAAATAAATTTTTGAATAAACAGTTTTGTTCCGAACTACAATTTACAAGTTTCAGAGATTGCAATTAATTTTGCAATTAAATTACTCTTGATTTACACTTACTTTTATTATTTATTACATTGATACATTAGGCTTGCACACATTTATGGGGTACATATGAAATTTTGTTACATGTGTAGAATATGTAATGACCAAGGCAGGATATTTAGGGTATCCATCAGTCTTAGTATTTACAATTGCTATGTTTTTGAAAGATTTCATGTCCTCTCTTCTTGGTATTTTGAAACATACAATTCACTGTTCATGTATAAACTATAGTCAGGGTATTTACTTGCCTGTGTGTACTTGTCTGGTTTTTGTATCAGGATAACGCTGACCTCAGAGAATAAGCTAGAAAGAATTTTCTCCTCTTCAGTTTTTTGTAATAGTTTGAGTATAATTGGTATTGATTTTTATACGTTTGGTAGAATTTGACAGTGAAGCCATCTGCTTGGGGCTTTTCTTTCTTGGGAGACTTTTTATTACTGATTCAATCTTGCTACTTGTTATTGGTCTGTTCAGCTTTTCTATTTCTTCTTGAATCAATCTGAGTAGGTTGTGTATGTACTGGAATTTATCCATTTGCTCTGGGTTGTTCAGTCTTTTTTAACACGTAGTTATTCATAACAGTCTCCAGTGATCTTTTGCATTTCTGTGGTATCAGTTGTAATGTCCCGGTTAGTATTTCTGATTTTGTTTATTTGGGTCTTATATCTTTTTTGATTGGTTAGTCTAGCTAGCAGTTCATTGATTTTATCTCTTTTAAAAGTCAACTTTTTATTGCACTGATCTTTTGTATTGGTTTTTTAGTCTTTATTTCATTTAGTTCTGCTCTGATCTTTATTATGTCTTTCCTTCTACTAATTGTGGTTTTGGTTTTTTCTTCCTTTTTTAGTTTCCTGAGGTGCATTGTTAGATTGTTTATTTGAAATCTTCCTACTTTTTGATGTAGGCATTTATTGCTATAAACTTCACTCTTAGCACTGTTTTTGCTGTATGCTATAGGTTTGGGCATACTGGGTTTCCATTTTTTATATGCTTTAAGAATTTTTTAAAAAAATTTTCATCTTAATTTCTTCTTTGACCCAACGGTTGTTTAAAGCATGTTTAGTTTCCATGTATCTGTATAGTTTTCAATGTTCCTCTTGGCATTGATTTCTAGTTTTATTCCAATGTGGTTTGAGAAAATACTTGATATGATTTTGATTTTTTAAAGTTTGTTGATACTTTTATGTGGTCTAACATATGGTTTATTCTGGAGAATATTCCATATGCTGATGAGAGGAATGTGTATTCTGCGGTTATTGGCTAAAATGTTTTTGAAATGTCTGTTAGGTCTATTTGGTCTATAGTACTGTTTAAGTCTGATGTTTTCTTGTTAATTTTTGTCTAAGTTATTTGTTTAATGCTGGGAGTCTGGTATTGAAGTTCCCAATTATTATTGTATCAGACTCTAGCTCTCCCTTTAGATAGGAATATTTGCTTTATTTATCTGAGTGCTTCAGTGCCAGTTGCATATATGTTTAAGACTGTTATAGCCCCTTGTGGAATGAATCGCTTTATCATTATATAATAACCTTTTTGTTTATTTTTACTGTTTTTAGCTTAAAGTCTGTTTTATTTGATATAAGTATAGCCTCTCTGATATGGTTTGGCTCTGTGTCCCCACCCAAATATCATCATGAATTGTAATTCTTATAATCCTGAAGTGATGTGGGAGGGACCCAGTGGAAGGTAATTTAATCATGGGGGCCGGTTACCCTCATACTGTTCTCATGATAGTGAGTTCTCACAATACCTGATGATTTTACAAGGGGCTTTTTCCCCTTTGGTTTGGCACTTTTCCTTCCTGCATCCATGTGAAACAGGATGTGTTCACTTCCCTTTCCACCATGATGGTAAGTTTCCTGAGGCCTCCCCAGCCCTGCAGAACTGTGAGTCAATTAAACCTCTTTTCTTTCTAAATTACCCAGTCTTGGGCAGTTCTTTATAGCAGTGTGAGAATGGATTAATGCACTCTCCGTTCATATTAATAGCCTTGTGCCTTAACTACTATTACTCTACATCATGGACCCTATGGTTCTGCCATGCCCCCGTGAGGAACTAGGGCAACATAGATGAGCTGTGCAACTCTATTGTTTTTCTTTACTCACTCTCTCTTTACACATGTATTCTATGCAATTCTTGTTTCCTGGTTTAGTAATAAATCAAATTTCAAGTGAAATAAGTCTAATTATTAGTCATGCCAGCTGGCAGACCCAAACATTCTTTGACTGAGTCCAGACCAGCCCTTTGCAATTCATTTTAACTAATAGCACTGCTTCATGTTCTATTTGTTTTATATTACAACTAATAATATCTATGTTCATTGGCTTTTAATTTTATTATAAGGAACCTCATAATTTAGAAATAATTTGAGAAAAATACTAAGAAGCATATCTCCAGGACTAATATTTTGCAAAAGACCAATCCTGTAACTACAACTCTCTATCAGACTTTCCTACTTTCATGTCCAACGTAAGTTAGAAAATAGACTCACATTCAAAATTGTCCTGTATGTTTCTATTCCTTTTCTTCCTCCAGCTTCATATTTTTTTCTCAACATTTTAAATTTTAGGTACTTAAATTCTCCCTCATCTTTGATCACCATAGAATTTTATAAAGTTGGTGGATCATAGAGATAATATAGTCCAAGCTGAAGTCCATAAATATCCTGCATTTACATATTGAATTTTTAGCTTTACAATGTCTACATTAATAACAGATTCTATAGTTTGCTTTTCCATTCCAGTTCTGCTACTATCATAAGAAAATGGCTTTATTTCCTCATACATACCTATTATTGTAATGACCTCTAATTAATGAAGCTTCTCGTTTCCCTTTTAGTGATGAGAATAAAGTGATATTAATATTTTCCTCATGTATGTTTGTTATATGGCTTATCAATTTTTACAAACTTAAATTTAAAATTATCTTAAAAGAATTGCTGGTATGCAATCTTGTTTCTTATATGGGAATATGAAGTGATGATTATGAAGGACCTAGCTGGAAACATTCATTAGTTGACATGTAAAATATAATTTGAATACTTAGTAGAACAAGGTTTTAGTTAGCTGGCCGCAGCTCACCAGGAGTATAAAGTTATTGCTGTGGTCTGAATGTTTGTATCCCTTCAAAATTTCTATGTTAAAACCTAATCACCAATGTGATGGTGCTAAGGAGCAGCACCTTTGGAAGGTGATGGGGTTATGTAGAGAAAGTCCCCATTAATGAGACTATGGTCCTTATCAAAGAGAACCCAGGCACTGCCTTTTCTTTTTCACTATTTAAAGACATGGGGAGAAGGCACTATCTATGCACCAGAAAGAGGGCCCTCCCCAGACACCGAATCTGCTTACACCTTGGTCTTAGACTTCCAAGCTTTCAGAACTATGAGAAATAGATTTTTGTTGTTATAAGCCACCCAGTCTATGGCATTTTGTTATAGCAACCCAAATAGACTAAAGTAGTTATTATAAAATAGGTTGTAAGATAAATATGAATGTGATACAGAGTGGAGTACCCCATTAACAAAATCCAGGCAATAAACAGGAGTGAAATATGTTATTGGAAAGAGAACATTAGATAAACAGGCAAAGGCTGAACATGAAAAGAGTCTGAGTTTGTTCACTAGCATGTCAATTAGAAGTGCAGTAGGAAAATTGTTTAAAATCATGCCAACAATATAACCAACCAGTAACTACAAGCAAGTCCTCCTCATTATTTCATTCAGTCTTGCTTATTCCAAAGAATCTTGGGTCTGCCGTCTGCTCTCATCAAGTACATTTGCTTCCAGACTTGAGAGTCTTAGAATTTGTAATGCAGCCTACCATGGCAGCCTGAAAGTTTTCTAAGCCATATCATTATGAAAGTCTGTGCCCAAAGAGTCTGTTTTATTAAGCACAATTACTGGGCAACTAAATAATTTCTAACTAGTCTGAGCAGTGTAACATTGATTACTAAGAATAATTTTAATCTTATTTACTTTTGCTTCTAATTCTTCTATGCTATGTGATGGTTCAAGTTTGTGACCATGTGAATGAACATGTTAAATTTGTCACACTAAGGTATAATGGGGTGTGTGCTTAAAGGAAATTGTTTTAGGTGTTCTTGTGTAGACTATACACTTTTGTGCTTATTTGTTCCTCTTCCATGAAATATATTTGTCAAGTGGGAAGAAAATTCCAATTTACATAAAACTTCATTAAGCCTGGGACTCTAACTCAATAATAAATACGGAACTGAACTGAGTACTTTACTCTAGATGATTAGTTATTAAGCATTAGCACATATCAGATCCATCTGGAGGGCTCGTTAAAATACAAACTGCTGAGATTCATCCTCAGAGTTTTTGATTCAGTAGGTCTTGACATGCAATTTTGCATTTCTCTTAAGTTTACACAGTAAAGCTAAAATTGCTGGTTCAAGGCCCACACTTTTATAACTGTTGCACTTTTTGCCTTTTATAATATCCAAGTGGCCTCTTGATGCAATGATAGAGGCAGGAGTCTGAGAAATTCTAGGCAGACAGGGGCAGGTCCCTGGCAAAATCCCATCCCTGAGTCAAAAAGCCTGAAACCCAATGGCCCGAAGTGAGAACTTCCATCCCTGTGTACCCGCTCTCTCCCGATTGGTTCTTTCTGAATAGCATATTTTTACCAATTGAATGTTGCTTTTTCCATAACCACCTACAGCCCACCCTGCCCCAATTCTGTGCCTATAAAGACCTCAGGCTCAGCCAGCAGAGAGGAAAAGTGGCTGGATGTTGAGAGAGGCAGTTTGACTCCAGAGATGGCAGCTGGATGTCGGAAAGCAGCAACTTGACTTCACAAGAGAGAGGCAGAGGTGACTTAATATCAGAGGAGAGCAACCTGCCCTTCCCATCCCCTTTCCATCTCCCCTCTTGCTGAGAGCCGCTCTCGTCACGCAATAAAATTCACCACATTCACCATCCTTCAATTTATATTTGCGACCTCATTCCTCTTGGGCACCGGACAAGAATTTGGGATGCACCAAGTGTGGACACCCACAAAGGCTGTCACAGTGGCCCTTTGCCATTGCCAGCAGAGGGCAGCTGCCCCATGCAATAAGCCAAAGGGCTGGCTGAGCTGATAACACACTGCTTTCTGTGGACGGCGGCGGAGCTAAAAGAGTATTGTAACATGCCCTCTGGGGCCTTGGGGAACCCCACCTGGATCCTGCCAAGAGGCCTGCATGAAGTTTGCTCCTGCCAGCACTAAAGCAGCCAGTTTTTTCCTGCACTCACTCACCTGCACACTTCCTCCTGCGATGGGTGGGACACAGTCAACCTGAGTGAGCAGAGTTTGCTCATGCAGGCACCTAAATTGCTGGCAAGTTCCTGAGCTCATTCGCTTCAATTCCCGTACTCATTTGCATGGGTGCTCCCTCCCACAAGGGGTTGAACAGGACAGGTTGAGTAAATGGTGCACCCCTCTTTTGAGTCCCACCAAGGGTCAAGAAAATATCCTGCATCACTTTGTCAACTTATGCCACTTAAAGGACATGCTGCCTACTTTAGACTTATTTACAAGTTTGCATAATTTTTAGACATAGACAACGCCGTTTATCTCTGCAATTACTATCAATTCTAACCTAGGAAGCACCAAGTTAATGGCAATAAAAAAAAAAAGAATAAACAACTGTTTCCAGCAACAAGGTGACTGTACCAGTAATTAATTTATTGCCTTCCAGAGGCAAATTCACTATTGCCTGTTCTGAGAAAAAGAATCTGGGCCCTTCAAATAGCTGCCAGAATGTAAAAACTTGCCAGCAGATGGTGGTGGAGAGATGCTGGAGGTGGAAGGGATTTCATCCCAGGTCTGGTATGCTCCCTCATCAGGCTCTCACAGTGGAACACACCTTCTCCAACACCTGGCTCCTGTTCAGCAGCACCCAGAGACCATCAGCTTCCTTTTGCACTCCTTTCAGATAATTTAGCAGTTGAGTCTCTCTGGAAAAATCAATAGCTTTCCATGACACCCCAGAGGATGAATCTCCTGCCTGCCCAAAAGGCATATTTTCAGCAATTTCTTCCAGTACAGCCCCACTGCAACTACTCTGCCACCCAGTGAGAGCCACATTCTCTTTTCTTTTTTTTCTTTTTTTTAATTTTTGATTTCCAACTTTTAAGCTCAAGGGAACATGTTCAGGATATAGAGTGTGCAGTTTGGTACATAGGTAAACATGTGCCTTGTGGTTTGCTGCACAGATCATCCCATCACCTAGGTATTAAGCCCAGCATCCATTAGCTGTTCTTCCTGATGCTCTCCCTCCTCCCATGCCCCACCCTCCAACAGGCCCTAGTCTGTGTTGTTCTCTCCCCGGCAATTCCTCAAAGACTTAGAGGCAGAAATACCATTTGACCCAGCAATCCCATTATTGGGTATATACCCAAAGGAATATAAATCATTCAATCAGGAACATATACGCATGTGTACGTTCACTGCAGCACTATTCACAATAGCAAAGACATGGAATCAACCTAAATGTCCATCAATGATAGACTGGATAAAGAAAATATGGTACATACACACCATGGAATACTATGCAGTCACAAAAAGGAATGAGATCATGTCTTTTGTAGGGACATGGATGGGGCTGGAAGTCATTATCCTCAGAAAACTAATGCAGGAACAGAAAAACCAAACAGTGCATGTTCTCACTTATATGTGGGAGCTGAGTGTTGAGAACACATGGACACATGGTAGTGAGCCACATTCTTACCCTTTCCAATAAGGCTTGAATCTCATCTTGGTAGGGAGGGAGCAGTCTTACTGGATGCTGTATTTCAGCACCAGGGATTGGAGAACACTCCCTCACTTTTGCATCAGCTAATCCTGTACTCTATAAAATTCTTTTCATTTATTACAATCCTATTCCTCCATACACAAATCTCCTGTTAAAATTAATAACTTTTATATCAAACTTCCTCTGTTCACATTACTGTGTTGGTTTCTCCCTCCTGATTGGATCACAACTGATACAATTGGGTTAAATACTTTTTCATAAAATAAATTATTAAATCCATTCCTTTAGTGTGTAAGTATTTAGAGTTTACAAATTACTGAGATTTAATTCTACAAATTATACATATTTACAATCTAGGTGAAGGCACTCAAGAGATATTTAAACATTTCCCCTCTAAGACATCAGTTTAAAGAAAGACAGAAAGAAAGAAAGAAAGAAAGAAAGAAAGAAAGAAAGAAAGAAAGAAAGAAAGAAAGAAAGAAAACCCTTTGCTAGCACAAAACAGTCCCCAAAACCTTACTGTTGGGGTTGAGAAACTGATACCTCCTATGGCACTTTGGAATGCTGAGTACTTTGAATCAAAGGAGTTGAAAGACCATAGAAGCAACTTCAGAACCAATGTCACTCTGACCTCCTGCTCTTCTGTCTCTTACCCTCTTTCTCCTGCAATAGTGCAAGGAGGGGCTCTCCCTGAACTTTCCTTATCTGTCTAAAGATTGGCCCTCTAGAAAGAATACACTTGTCATGAGTGTTTTTCCTGGGAATCTCATCAGCCAGGGAAAAGTAAAAGTATCACAGGGGAGGAAACTGAAAGTTGACAACATGCCCAGGCAGATTTTATCACAGACTATCGCCTCTTTTTCTGAGACTGTTTATTACCTGAAAGACCTTTTGTTTGCATAACAAGACAACCTTTGTTCACCCTGCATTTTCTCCCCTCACTCTCCCATAACTTGTGTCACCACCAACCCTAGAATCCCCAGGCCTGTATTCCTTTCTTCAGCTCAAGATGTTATATATGTTTCAATCATCTGCCCCCTTTTCAAGTCTCATATTTTGTGGGACTCCTATGTGTATGCAAATAATTAAAATGTTTTTTTCTCCTGTTAGTAATTATCAAACCTTCAGAGGATAAAGAAAGTTTCCTTTCTCTATATTAATAATCTCTAGTCCCAACATTCCATTCCTCATTCCCCAGCATTCACACACACATTTCCATGCTGCTTTTCAACAAAAAGTTTTATTTCCTGCAGTGTAGCAAAATAACATGATTCTAAGTTCTCTTTTATAAAATCTGTTAGCTATTATAATTCCTTCACTCACTTTCCCCTTTGTAATAAATTTTTCCCCATCCATTAAAATAATATGGGCTTAGTAGAATGCTTAAAAAATAAAGATCCACATGAAAAATTTAAAGTCATGTATAAACATATAATTTAGTGATAATTAGTGTTAACATTTTGGCTCATTTTCTCTTTGCCTTTGTAAAATTACATTAGTCTTGGATTTGTTTCTTTTCCTACCCCTATCACAAAAGATGCTCCTCTTCATCCATGGTTACTATTTTAGTGTGCCCTAAAGGATATCACAGCTGATATGTCAGGCTACAGTTGTAACTTCCCTAAAATTATGACCTTCTTCTATCGTTGATGTTGTCACCACGTGGTAATGAAATCTTAGGATATTATAAATAGTTTGGTATTTGATTCTCATATTTAATAATGAATCTAGAGATTTCAGGGAAGAAATAAAGTTGATATTGTTTGGATATTTGTTCCCTTTAAATGTCATCTTGAAATTTGATCCTCAGTGTTGGAGGTGGAGCTTAGTGAAAGGCATCTAGGTCATGCAGCACTCCTAGCACCTCCAAGGTCTGCTTTTTCAAAAGAGTCTGGAGCCTCCCTTTATTCACTTTTTCCTTCTCTCTCACCGTGTGTTGGTTTCTCTCCTTTCCCTTCTGCCATGAGTGAAAACTTTCTGAAGCCCTCATCAGAAGCAGATGCTGGTACCATGCTTGCACAGCCTGCACGAGTGTAAGCCAAATAAACCTCTTTTCTTTATAAATTCCTCAGCCTCATAGTATTCCTTTACAGCTATGCAAATGGACTAAGACAAGAGTTGATCCCCTTCAACCACACAGAAAAAGACTTCCACTTTGTTGAATTTGCTTCATTTACAAACAAAACTCTAATAATAATAGTATACAGAGAATTAAAGAATACAATTGATCATATGCACTGACTTAGAAAAGGAATGCACATGGGATGGCAAAATAGAGAAGGCTTCTTGTGAGTGTGTGGGGGAGGCAGGATAGGGTTATCTGGGTCTTTAAAAAAACACTTGACTTAAGCAGAGAGGGCTATGAGAGGGCTTAATAAAAGTACAGAGGTAGAAATACAGAAGAGGTATAAAAATAACAAATAGTCTTATGTGATTACAACTTGACATATGTAATTTAGCGGAAGCATTTTCTACTTCTGAAACAAATTATGATTAACACTTCCTGTAATAGGTTTATAATTATGTAAACCTATTTAAATCAATCATTTGCACAACAAAATGAATGAATTAATTTGTTGCAGCTGTGTTTACTGAGGCACACATGTAAAGCAATTTTAAATGCTGTCAAGTAACAATGATTTCGTTTCATGACTCACACTAAGTGAGAAATTCTGATTTTTTTAAGACAAAGTTTAAAAAATCAAAAACTTAAAACTCCTGGAACTAAAAGCATAGAAGAAAAGCTTCATGACATAGGACATGACAATGTGTTCTCACATATGACACCAAAGCACAGGGAAAGAAAGCAAAAGTAGAAAAGGGACTATATCAAACTCAAAAACTTTTGTGCATTGAAGGACACACCTAACAGCCTGAAAAGGCAACCTATGGAGTAGGAGAAAATATTTGCAAATCATATATATCTATACATATATATGGATATGATAGTAAATTGTTATACAGAAAATATAAAAAGAACTTCTATAACTCAATAACAAAAATCAAATAACTTATTTTTTTAAATGGGCTAAGGACTTGAATAGATATTTCTCCAAAAGTAATACGCAAATGGACCACAGTCATATAAAACAAATATTTGACATCATAAATAATTAGGGAAATGCAAGTTAAAATCACAAGATATCATCTTACATTCACTAGTATGACTGCTATCAAAAAAATGAAACAAAACAGAAAATAACAAATGTTAGTGAGAATGTGGAGAAATTGGAACCCTAGTACACTGTTGGCGGGATTGTGCAACCACTATGCAAAAATTATAAAAAATTAAAAATAGAACTACCATATTACCCAACAATTCCACATCTGGGATTTTAACCAATACTTTTAACCAAAAGTATTGAAAGAAGAGTCTCAAAGAGATATTTGAACACTCATGTTTATAGAAGCACTATTTAAAACACCAACAAGTAGAAGCAGCCCAAATATCCATTGACAAGTGAATGGATGAAGGAAATGTAGTATATACACATACAATGGAATATTATTCACCCCTAAAAAGGAAATCTTGTCACATACTACAGCAGGGATAAGCCTGAATGATATGCTAAATAAATAAGCCAGTCACAATAAGACAAATACTGTATGATTCAACTTCTATAAAATGGTGATTACTAGGGACTGAGGTGAAAAAGTTCTAGATATATGTATTACAACAAGTTGAATATACTTAAAACTACTGAATTGCACTCTTAAAATGATTAAAATGAAGAAAATACATGTTTTTAACTACAATTTAATTTTTTTTAAATCACAAATTTAGTGATAGGTATGTGGCTTTATAGATGTTTTAATCCAAACTTCACATTTTAACAATAAAAGTACTAGGACCTTAGAAGATGGGTGACTGGTTTCAGATTATCCAGTCAAGATGAAAATTTATGCCTTCCAAATTACCACATCTTAGGTGTCTTCATCTGCTAGCTTAATCCCAGGTTGTTCCTGGACTATCTCTACATCAAGCAGTGAAAGCTTAACTCCCTTCATGTTTTACGATGGATAAATATGTGAGGTGAAAATCAAGAGGCTAGCATTGACCCAATGTACATCATCTATCAAGGAGACAATGTTCGTTTGTTCTTTGATGAATCTCTAAGACAACATTGTCATGATTTTGTTTTCATCACACATTTGCATTAGGTATTCTCATTGCTTAAAGTCTCCTGGCCACATTTCTAAATGTAAACATTCAGATAATCCGGGTCATTATAACCTTCAGTATAAAATCCAAGATTTAAAGAATACAAACACTTCTCGGTATATACATCTGGTATGTGCAACACACACACACATACACACACACACACACAATGACTGATAGGCCAGCTCTTCACTTTAACTTTATTTAATGTCAGTTTCTATAAATTGGTTAGGAAATGCTAGTAGAGTGAGATAAAGGAAATTAAAATTGTAGGTATCATTTCCACAAAGCAGGTGCCACTCTCAAAGCTTTGCTATTCCTTGATCCACCCGGTCAAGGACACTGACATTATGTGGTAAAGGGAGAAAACGTCAGGGCTTGATTGGAGGGGAGGAAAGTAGAAGACAGAGTGGAATCAGGTAGGTGTTAGAGATAAAAATGGTCAAAAAGAACTAGGGAGCTCAAACGAAATCAGATTCATACTGCAGAGTAAATACTTGCTTTGGAGTCTCTTATTGTGCACTGAATATCGTAGTGCAGGCCGCTATAACAGAGGTCATAGACTGGGTGTCTTAAAAACAGCAGAATTTTATTTCTCATAGGTCTGGAGCATGGAAGTCCAAGATCAGGCTGCCAGCATGGCCATGTTCTCCTCCATGGTTAAGGGTCTCTTCTGGGCTGCAGACTGCCATCTTCAAATCTTGTATCTTCACATGGCAGAAAAAAAGATCAAGAAAGGTCTCTGGGATCGCTTTTATAAAGGCATTGATCCCATTAATGAAGGTTCCACTCTTATGACCTGATGACCTCCTCAAAGCCTCACATCGTAATAACATCACATTGGGGTTACGATCTCATCATATGAATTTGCAGGGGAGGGACAAAAACATTATACCTATAATAATGGATATATGCCAGACAGAGTGCTAATAGCTGGTGTTACTGAAATTAAAAAGACTACTAAGTCCATAGGATATGGAAGAGTAAAGAATTCTAGATCATTTTGGGGTCCCTGTTAGTTTTTTATATGCAGACAAATATTAGAAACAACAAAAAATAGTAGTGCATGTGAGACTACAAAGATGGACAGGACAAGTTAGGAGAGCTTTACATTTTAACATTAGAAATTGAGAGAGAATATCTTCTTTATTATGAAATAATTTGGAAATTACAATTTTAGTGAGCAAAGTATTTACAAGAAGGATAGTTTATGAGACAATTATCATTGAGAAAGGGAAGTATAACATCAATTCAACAGCTACTGGAGCCATGGAGTCTACACAGGAGGCAAAAGAGCTGCAGCAAAGGCCTCAGAGCAAAATAGAAACAGTCTCTCAAATGGATGAAAACAATCTAGCAAATTTTCACAAGGGTAATCAGTAGATGCTCCTTGCCAAGAGAAGGGATCTTTACCATGATGCAGAAGCTCTGCTGTACTGCACATGATAACCCAGCATCAGTTTTACTAAATTTGTTTGTTCCTGGACTCAATAGAAGCTGAAGAATCATGAGTCACCAAGTCAGTGGTAGAAATGGAGGTAGCAGGATAGTGTCTCAAATGAACTTCTAGAACCATTATTCATAAATGATATACAATCCGGAATTGCTCTGCTATCTTTAAGATGAACAAAGTAAACTCCATGTTCACCACTATTGCAACAATTCATTATTTCAAATATTTGAGTGCTCTATTAATGAAGGTTCTCCACAAAGGCAGGACAAGTAAAATTAGCAGATGATATAGATATAGATATATACATACAGATAGATATAGATATAGATAGATGCACAAAAAATTGTTTTTTTAGAGGAATTAGCTTATATGATTATGGAGGTTGAGAAGTCCCATGACAGGACATTTGCAAGCTGAAGGTTTTGGGATGCTAGTAGTACAACTCAGTTCAAGTCTGAAAGCCTCAGATCCAGAGGAGCTGGTGGTATAATTCCCCATTAGAGGGTGAAGGCCTGAGAATTCAGGGGGCCACTGGAGTAACTCCTAAGGCCCAAAGGCTAGAGGGGCTGGCGTTCTGATGTAGAGGCAGGAGAAGAAGTCTCCCAGCTCCAGGAGAAAAACAATCACCCTTCTTCCTTTTCTGTTCCATGTGGGCCCTCAACATTTTGGATGGTGCTGCCCACATTGAGGGCAGGTCTTCCCCACTCAGTCCACTCCCTCACATGCCAATCTCCTAGGAACACCCTCAGACACACCCAGAAATAATACTTTACCAGTTCTCTAGTTGACATGTAACATTAACCACCTTGAGAACCCAACACCTATTTACACCTATTTAAGTAGCAATGGGTTATCGCAGCACGAGGCTACTATTGAAGTTGTTCATGACTATGTCCGTTTATGAAGTAATTTAAAAGATTTTTTCAGTTACTTCCATTAATCGCAGCCCACATAAACTTTGTTAACATTATTAATTACTAAGAATGTTTTCCTCATGTATTATTGGTACATTATAGAAAATGTAAACATCCCCCTAGGTAGAAGCCATCTATTTTGTTAGTGGTGAGAAGATTATATTAATAATTCTTTTTTTAAATTTATTTCTTACATTTTAAGTTCTGGGATACATGTGCAGAATGTGCAGGATTGTTATATAGGCATACACATACAATGGTGGTTTGCTGCACCCATCAACTTATCATCTACATTAGGTATTTCTCTTAATGTTGTCCCTCCCCTAGCCCTCTACCCCCTGACAGGCCCCACTATGTAATACTCCCCTCCCTGTGTCCATGTGTTCTCATTGTTCAACTCCCACTTATGAGTGAGAACATGTGGTGTTTGGTTTTCTGTTCTTGCGTTAGTTTGCTGAGAATGATGGTTCCCAGCATCATCCGTGTTCCTGCAAAGGACATGAACTCATCTTTTTATGTCTTCATAGTATTCCATGGTGTATATGTGCCACATTTTCTTCATTCAGTCTATCATTGATAGGCATTTGGGTTAGTTCCAAGTCTTTGCTATTGTGACAGTGCTGCAATAAACATACATGTGCATGTGTCTTTATAGTAGAATAATTGATAATCCTTTGGGTATACAACCAGTAATGGGATTGTTGGGTCAAATGGTATTTCTGGTTCTAGATCCCAGAGGAATCACCAGACTGTATTTCACAATGATTGGACTAATTTGCACTCCCACCAACAGTGTAAAAGCATTCCTATTTCTCCACATCCTCTCTAGCATCTGTTGTTTGCTGACTTTTTAATGATCGCCATTCTAACTGGCGTGAGATGGTATCTCATTGTGGTTTTGGTTTGCATTTCTGTAATGACCAGTGATGATGAAATTTTCCATATGTTTGTTGGCCACATAAATGTCTTCTTTTGAGAAGTGTCTGTTAATATCCTTCACCCACTTTCTGATGGGGTCGTTTGTTTTTTTTCTTGTAAATCTGTTTAAGTTCTTTGTAGATTCTGGATGTTAGCCCTTCGACAGACGGATAGATTTCAATAATTTTCTCCCATTCTATAGGTTGCCTGTTCATTCTGACGATAGTTTCTTTTGCTGTGCAGAAGCTCTTTAGTTTAATTAGATCCCATTTGTCAATTTTTGGCTTCTGTTGCCATTGCTTTGGTTTTTTAGTCATGCAACTTCAGCAAAGTCTCAGGATACAAAATCAATGTGCAAAAATCACAAGCATTCCTGTACACCAATAATAGACAAACAGAGAGCCAAATCATGAGTGAACTCCCATTCACAATTGCTACAAAGAGAATACAACTTACGAGGGATGTGAAGGACCTCTTCAAGGAGAACTACAAACCATTGCACAAGGAAATAAGAGAGGACACAAACAAACAGAAAAACATTCCATGCTCATGGATAGGAAGAATCAATATTGTGAAAATGGCCATACTGCCCAAAGTAATTTATAGATTCAATGTTATCCCCATCAAACTACCATTGACTTTCTTCACAGAATTAGAAAAAACTACTTTAAATTTTATATGGAACCAAAAAAGAGTCTGTATAGCCAAGACAATCCTAAACAAAAAGAACAAAGCTGGAGGCATCGTGCTACCTGACTTCAAACTGTACTACAAGGCTACAGTAACAAAAACAGCATGGTACTGGTACCAAAACAGATATACGGACCAATGGAACAGAATAGAGGCCTCAGAAATAACGCCACACATTGCAACCATCTGATCTTTGACAAACCTGACAAAAACAAGCAATGGGGAAAAGATTCCCTATTTAATAAATGGTATTGGGAAAACTGGCTAGCCATATGTAGAAATCTGAAACTGGACCCCTTCTTCATACCTTATATAAAAATTAACTCAAGATGGATTAAAGACTTAAACGTAAGATGTAAAACCATAAAAACCCTAGAAGGAAACCTAGGCAATACCATTCAGGACATAGGCATGGGCAAAGACTTCATAATTCTTTAATTCATATATTAATTCATATATTAATATAATTCTTTAATGCCTACATAACAATCCTGTACATTCTGCACATGTATCCCAGAACTTAAAATATAATAAATAAATTTTAAAAAAGAATTATTAATATAATCTTCTCACCACTAACAAAATAGATGGCTTCTACCTAGGGGGATGTTTACATTTTCTATTATGTATCGTACCAATAATACATGAGAAAAACATTTATAGTGACTTCTTTATTCCCTAGGCATTTTAATAGTCTGTATATGGAGTTGTAAAAAAAAAAAAAAAAAAAAAAAAACCTAAGCCATAGTCTGCTCTTGACTAGGCCACAGAATAGTTGGCAAGACAAATGTGTAAAGAGATATGCATAATGCATTGCTGTAGACTTAATAAAATGTGGGGCAACAGTTGATGGAAAACAAAAGAGGGAAGTACCTTGGGAGCCAGAAAAGGCTACACAGAGGAAGTGACACTTTAACTTGGTTTTGGTAGAACTTTCTAAAGGTTGAGAAAAAGTAGAAGGACAGTACAGAGACAAGACTCAGGCCAGGTACAAAACCGGGAAAGGTTCTCGGGAGTGAAAAGTCTGGCTGTGTGAGCTTCAGGCAGCCTGAGAACTTTCCATTTCATGCACAGGAAGAAAAGCAAAATTTCCAGTGAATTAACACAAAGTTTCTTTTGATTTCTTATAATGAGATAAAAGTTATAATTACACTATACCTATACCAAGCAATGTTTTTTCTCTCTTTCTCTCTCTCTCTCTTTTTCTTTTCTTTGAATCTTGTGACCAGAAGTCTGGAACACAGAGTCTATACAGAAAAAAATTTCACTGAAGCAGCTGGGTTTCAATGCTTGGTACTAAATTTCCCTAGTCTTACAATACTGTTGAACATAAATTTGGGCCTCTCCAATATTGGCAAAAGCACATTTCATGATGGGTGTAGACCTGTAGATGTGGGAGGATGGTATTTACCTATATCGCCTTTCCATCAAGTACATTGAATGTTGGAGACCATTTAATAATTTGGCAAGTTAGAGTCGAGGACAAGTAAAAAGACAGCACCAGAAGTCTTTGCATATTGTTATGACTAAACAATATGATACTTTTCTTACCTTTTCCTTCAAAGCTACGCATATAAATAAAAGCAATTTCTGCATTAATAAGCCAGCCCACAATAACTGGAAATACCAATAGAAAAATTGTACACATGCTATAAAATTGAAGAAGGAACCATTAAAATTCCTCCAAAAAGCAAGATACTGATATGCACAGTTTTAATGTTTTACAGTCTGATATTAATATCTGCAGAAATTATACAAACAATCTTTTGGTAATAATTGACATTATAAATAGCAATATTCTCATAATCTATAATGCTCTTTATGTATCAAAAATATAGATATAATTTCATTTTTATATAGCAACGCAACTTTTTAATCTTTATTCAGTCTCAGTTTAGCATATTGTAAAATATAATGCTACAAAACTTCCCAAGATTTATATAGTTCCTTTGCAAAGAGAACATTAAAATCACCAGATCGAACATGAAACCATCAAGAAAACACCATTTTCTAATCAGCTTCATAGTATTAGGAGAATTCCTTGGGATAACCTTGGCCCCAATTTTACCTTTTCATCTTTGTAAGAGGATACCCAGCAGCATTTACAGATATTCACAAGTAAACAAGTGTTTATCTAATTGACCATGTTTCCAGCTACAATTCCATCTTCATTGAAAGAGAAAAAACCTCTTCCTGAGTGTCAAACCCTCCTTTGGCTCAGCATTTCTTGGAAATTAGAACAGACAGTTTGAGATCATGTGTAATGACATAAGACAATAGAACTCTGTCATTTAAAAATCTGACCCACGGGATGACAATCTTTGAATACTGCTTTGGAGATTTATTTTCTCATTAGAATCTGCTTTATTTTTATAATTTCCTACAGGAACCATTCAGGACCGTACAAGGTTCAAAAGGAAGGGCAAAAAAAGAAATTCTTTTGGAGTTTTCTCCTGTGAAAGTATCTCTATGACACCATGGTTATTTTAAGGGACAAATTGTAATTGTAGAGAAGAACAAGGTCATATTGAATTAAAGTAAATTATTCTGAAACAATTTCAGCATATGATAAAATGGTTTTGAAGAAATATTCTCATCTGTACGTTAATGAAAAACATTTAAAAAATCTAGAACCCACATTGTGTGAGCATGTCTATTGACAGAAGGAAATTAAAAAGAAAATGAAGGCTTGTGAATTAGAAAATAATAATCTGAGTGATTAGAGTTTTATACCCTCAAGCAGTATTCAAACACAAGTAAATCAAATCTGATGTAGGTAAGAAGTTTTAGGACAGATGGTAAAAATGAGATCACACCGAATGTCCATGGAAATGTTGGAATTACGAATTCTTGCCTCTTTTAGTTCCAAAGGGCCAGTTTTCGGGGATGGAAGCGAACATATATTCATGAAAATCTTCAAACAGGCCATGTTTCTGTCTTAAAAGCTCCAGAATAAAAGATCTTTGTGTGTGTGTGTGTGTGTGTGTGTGTTTTTTAGAATAATATGAGTCCAAGGTAGGAAGGAACATATTGTTTCATGTAACAATAAGAATGGAAATTGATTTGTTTCTCACTTCCTGAATTTTCCTGAACTCATCTTTATCTAGTCATCTGACTCATTTCCTTGCCTAAATTAGAATGAAACTTGAACATTATTTATAATTTTATTCAGGCTAAAATTAATTCTGTGGAAAGGTCAAGTTTCCTATGACACATTCCTCTTTCTTTGAGCTGGAAGTTGCTATAGTCGCATCGCTTCTCCTGAAGGAAATTAGACCAGATTGGCCTATCACATTTTCTTCTGTGGAGAAGCTTAACATGCTTAATGCAGAAAAAGTTTAGGAAGATTTAAAAAGAAATGCTAAGTGTAAATTGCAAAGTCATAAATACTATTAATAAATCAATACAAATTGAAATTGATAAAAAATGTTATCCAAACAGCTTGATAACAAAAGTATCAAATCTAATACTCCAAAGCAAATATTTCCCTTTAAAAATCATAGTATTGATATTCAGAAGAGACCTGAATATTTTTTTTGACCACAGTAAGAGCAGAGATACAATTGTAGTGGTAGAGACAGAAAATTCTTATTGATGTTTTTCTGTTAAAAAGATCCTGAAATCTAAAATCTGTTCTGATCTTATTATTGCCACATTGCAAAAACTGTAATATGTAAAAGATACTCACTCCTAAATTGTTAAATTGAAAATAGCAACACCATTACAAATTAGCTGGGTCAGAGACTAAGCTTGGAGTGCTCCATAAGTTGACTTGGCAACTTTCATCTCCTGAATTGAGAAACTAATCTGTGTCATTTAAGAAATTGCTTGGGAATATTTGTTCAGCAATAATCCCCTCCTGGTTGCCACACACTCCCCAAAATGCCATGATTTTATGTATAATGAGAGGCTGAAATGATCCAAGAATCTTGGATTTGTCCCAACACCTAGTGAGCTTGGCCTGAAACATAAGAATGTTGGATCAGAAAAGAACCTCAAAATTGCAACTGAATGTCATCTTGACTTCTCTGTAGCAAGGAGATAATTGTTAGGCAATGTCAAAGAAATTAAAATAAAGCAAATAAAATATTAATGCTAAATATATAATTGACTGATTATTTATAAATATCTTCCAGATTCATTATGGCATAAAGAACATATAGCCTTCCCATTTGGAATATATGACATTGTAGGATAGAGAGATAATATAAGGAAACAGAATACTGGAAGAATAGTGGTGATATCATCAGAAAGGGTAAAATTTGACATGGTAAATAGTTTGGAAGATAAATATAATTTATTCAATTTAGATTTAGTGAGCTCATGCTAATAAAGAGGCATTTTAGTGGAATATTCCATAGGTAAGTGGAATTACCAAACTACAGCTTCAGGGAGTTTGGAAGTAGAGATATACCTTTAAAATCTTGAAGACAGATGTAGTTAGTTTTGCCATGCATCTCTTTAGGGGATAGAAAGTAAACCAGTGAAGGACTAGGCAAACCTCTGGAAGCAGCAGAATTGTGAGCTTATAGAAGTTGAATAAGCAGAGTGTGATTTCATAGAGCCTAAGGAGCTCACAAAAGATAAATTCTGTAACTGTGTCTCCTGAGTTTGAAGCAGGTTTAAGACCATAGGATTTGAGAAGAACCACGTTGAATTTTGTTAGTGTGATTTCCACTGAATGTTGTGAGTAGCAACCAGACTTCAAGGCATTAAAGAGGAAATAAATGTTGCCAAAATGACTAACAGAAATACACCACTAATATGAGATATTCTATAAGAAAACATAGCTGGGGAAAGATAATTCTGCTTTTAAAAAAGTATTTACTTGTTTTATTGTTTTTTGATGTAGAAGAAATCTCAACTTCTTTACAGACAGGGATAAAAAATCTATTTTCAGTATAGATTTGAGAATGTGTCGGCTAAAGAAGCAACAATTTAATGAACAACAAATATTAGGCAATGTCTTATTTCTTCTCCAGAAAAAAACAATTCTTCTATTCCCCGTGTTTTACAGGGGTGGGGGTCTTTATGCTTGCCAGTTTCTGTAGCCAGATAGCTATTCTTCCCCTGTTATTCATTAATATGCTCTGTCCTACAATCTAAATGATTCACATACTGTTCATTATAGCTAGCCTGTTCTTCATTGCTCTAAATTTCAAGGATATTTGACCACTTTCCTCATGTACCTTTAGTATTTCCTTGACTCTGTGCTTAAGGAGGCACTATCTCATCTTTTAAAATGCTTTTAACTCTTGTGTTTCCTCTAAAATTTTTGTTTCTGTGAAATAGCATCTTCCTTAAAAAGTGTCTTTTATCTTTTCTGATAGAATTCTATATCAGTTGATTTTGCTATATTTTTTTTGGTTATTGAAAATACTAAAAAGGACAGATTGTAATACAACAGAACATAATACTTGCACGTAACTTAGTAAAGCCAGTTACAGGGAGGCAAGATTAAAGTGATAGCAATGTTTAGCCATTTTAATGCAAGGGTTAAAATGTTTGCATTCAAATCAGTGAAGAACTTTACTTTCTTTCTTAAAATTTTGAAACACACAGCTCAAGGTTTTATTTCCTGACAAGTGTTTCTGTCATTCTATGCCATTGCTTAATTCTTTGTCATTAGTTGAGATCAGAGCCATATGCTTTGAAACCAAATAATCAAGTGGCAGGGTTCAAATTCTGTTTTGAAAGCTGTCACCTGATGTGAAATTTGGGGTAACATTTTTAACCTAATTATAAAGCAAAGCCAGATTCTATAAAAGGAAAAAGAAGAGGTAATGATAGAGGACATTAATAGATTATATAATAATTACACGATAATATATATGATATAATAATCTTATATAATCATTCACTAATGTCCATATGTACTAGGTATGTAATCCACTACTATTCTTGAGGTACTGGGCCCTGTGATTTTGATGCTCATTTTTTCTTCCTACTTCACTGGAGAGAGAGAGGTGATCAGCTGGAATTTCCTCATAAGATGCTCATAGTGTGTGTACCTACGTGTATATATATTTTTTATATTATATATATGTGTGTGTGTGTATATATATATACACATATGTACACACTGAGAATATATATATATTTTATATTATACATGTGTGTATATATATACACATATGTACACAAACCATAGTATATATATGCATTATAGGCTATCAGCAGTTAAGTTTGGGGCTAATATATATACATAGTATCTAGATATAGTGCATATATATTCTATGTATAGTGTGTGTGTATATGTCTGTGTACATACATATATATGTGTATATATGTACTATGTATAGTATATATAGTATATATGTGTAAAAGTGCATATATATACATTCTGTGTGTATATATACTAAATATAGTATATACATATGTATGTACATATACAAATACATATATACACAGTACAGTATATAAGTAAGTATATATGTATAAAAATACATACACAGTATACATACAAATATATTGTATTGCATGAGTCCACTTGTATGTGGATTTTCTTCCTTCTCTGTCATCCCTGAGAGAGAAAGATCAACCCTTCCTCTTCCTGCTCTTCCTTAACCTAATCAACATGAAGACTATAAGAATGAAAACCTTTATGATGATTCATTTCTACTTAATAAATAGCAAATATATTTTTCTTCCTTTTTATTTTCTAAATAACATTTTCTTTTCTCTAGCTTACTTTATTGTAAAAGTACGCTATAGAAAACATAATTTACAAAATATGTGTTAATTGTGTATGTTATTGTATTGATAAGACTTCTGGTTAATAGTAGGCTATCAGTAGTTAAGTTTGGGGATATCAAAAGTTATACACAAATCTTCCACTACATGTGTGGGAGTGTTGACACCCCCAACCCTGCATTGCTCATGGGTTAATATCTTAGAATGTTTGTGTTGCTCTAAGGAAATATCTGAAACTGGGTAACTTATATTTCAAGAAATGTTAAAGGCTGGGCGCAATGGCTCACGCCTGTTATCCCAGCACTTTGGGAAGCCCAGGTGGGAGTATCATGAGCTCAGGAGATCGAGACCATCATGGCCAACATGGTGAAACCCCGTCTGTACTAAAAAATACAAAAAAAAGTTAGCCAGGCATGGGGGTGGGCGCCTGTCGTCCCCACTACTCGGGAGGCTGAGGCAGGAGAATGGTGTGAACCCAGCAGGCGGAGCTTGCAGTGAGCCAAGATCGCGCCACTGCACTCCAGCCTGGGCAACACGGTGAGACTCCATCTCAAGAAAAAAAAAAAAAAAAGAAAGAAAGAAATGCTAAAATAAGTCCTTCAGAGAACATGGCTCATAATTCTGCTGGCTGAAACGTTGATAATTTATCTGGTGAGAGCCTCAGGCTGCTTTCACTCATGGCAGAAGGCAAAGGGGAGCCAGCACGTGCAGAGATCACACGGTAAGAGAAGCAAGGGAGAAGGAGATTCCGTGGTCTTTTTAATAACCAGCTGCTCTCATGAGAACTCATTAAGTGAGAACTCAGTCACTTCCTTCCACCTGAAGGAAGTATTAACCTATTCATAAGTGATCTTTCCCCATGACCCAAGTACTTCCCATTAGAACTCACCTCCAACATTGAGATTAAATGTCAACATGAGGTTTGGGGAACAAACATCCAACCTCTAGCAGTCAACTCTACATATCTTAACTTGGAGAGAAAACAAACTAGGGAGGGCGGCGCAAGATGGCTGAATAGAAGCTTATATCATTCGTCACCCCCACAAGAATACCAAATTGTTACAACTAAATGTGCACAAAAGCACCAACACAAGAACCAAAAATCAGGTGAGCAATCACAGGACTTGATTTTAACTTCACTGAAAGAGACATGAAGAAGTCAGGAAAGACAGTCATGAAGTGTCAATTCCACTCCACTTCATCCCCAGATTCTCAGCAGCCTCGGAGCACAGAGAATCTGTGCACTTGGGAGAGAGAGATAGTGCAGTGATTGTGAGGCTTTGCATTGAACTCAGTGCTACCCTGTCATAGCAGAAAGCAGAACCGGGCTGTACTAAGCTGACATGCACACACAGAGGAAGCATTTGGAACAGCTCTGGCCAGAGGGGAGTTGCCCATCTCAGAGGTCAGAACTTGAGTTCCACCAAAAAGCCTCACCGTCATTGATTGGCTAGTGAGCTCTGGGGCTCTAAGTAAACTTGAGGCACAGTCTAGGCCACGAAGACTGCAATTTTTGGCAAGTGCTAGTGCTGAGTTGGGCTCAGAGCCAGTGGACTGGGGGAGAGTCATGTGATCTACTGAGACACGAGCCAAGGCAGCTAAGGGAGTGCTTGCCCCACTCCTTCCACCCTTGCAGCAGCCACGTGGCACAGAGAAATCTGTGCACGTGGGTAAGCGAGAGCACAGTGCCTGGGGGACTATACTTTGAACTTAGGGCTGCCTTAGAATGGCGAAGACCTGGCAAGATTCATCACCTGCTTACTAAAGAGCACCTGGCCCCTAAATAATTAACAGAGGTAACCAGGTCTGGGGCTCTGAGACATGCTGGCTTCAAGTGTGACCCAGCACACTTTCAGCTGCGGTGGCTACAGTGCAAGTCTCCTTCTGTTTGAGAAAAGCAGGGGAAAAAGAGGACTCCGTCATCCACCTTAGATACCAGCTTGGCCACAGCGGGGTAGATCACCAAGTAGGATCTTGGGATCCCTGAGTCAAGGCTCAGGCTCTTGGTAATCATTGCTGGACCTCTTATGGAATAGAGGGGAGCCCACTGCCCTGAAGTTTGAGCCCCAGGCCTGGGAGCTTTGACCACGAGCTGACAGAAGAGTCCCTGGACTTTGAGTGAACCTCAGTGGTGGCCTGGCAGAAAGCCCCATGGGCTGGTGGTGGTAGTGGCCATAAGGAGAGGATCCTCTGCTTGTGTAAAGGGAAAAGAAAAGTGGGAAAAACTTTTTCTGGAGGTTTTCATGCCAGTTTAGCCACAGTAGAATAAAACACTAGGTACATTTCTAAGGCTTTTTTATTTTAATTTCTGGCTCCCAGACACCATCTCTGGACCCACTCAGGGGTTAGGAAAATTCATCATCCTGAATGGGGGGAAACCAACCTGGCTGACTTTGCCACCTGTTGAAAATAGGGCCCCAGAGCCCCCATGTGACCTTAAATGGTAGCCAGGGAGTGGTTACATACAGTGAGACCCAGTGCTGTGCTGGCTTCAGGTCTGAACCAGCTCAGTCTCGGTGGTGACACCACAGAGGTTCTCATGTTCTGCTATCCCCAGTTCCAGGAGGCTCAGTGTAGAGTAAGGGAAAAGAACAAGAGTCTCTGCCTGATAATCCAGAGAATTCTTCCGGATTTTATCCAAGACAAGCAAGGCAGTACTTCTATGCATCTGCAAGAACCGCAGCATTATTGGGTTTGGGACCCAAGTCCCTTAGAATATCTGGAAAGCCTTCCCAGGAAAGACAGTTACAAACAAGCCCAGACTGCAAAAACTACAATGAATACCTAACTCTTCAATGTCCAGACAATGACAAACATCTACAAGCACCAACACCATACAGGAAAGCAGGACCTCAGCAAATGAGGTCATAGGTTCATTGCCCCCTCTGTTAACCTGTTATTTACCTGGTATGGAAATAGGGTGCTGCTGAGCAGAAATGAGCAGTGGGAACACTTCTTTCCCCTCGGAAAACAGGAGAAAGAAGTGCTAACAGCATCTGGGGTAAACTGCACTAAAAACCTTGCTCTAGGCTGGTTGCGGTGGCTCACGCCTGTAATCCCAGCACTTTGGGAAGACGTTTACAACCTTTAAAACAGAGGTTTCAGGCCAGGCATGGTGGCTTATGCCTATAATCCTAGCACTTTGGGAAGCCGAAGTGGGCGGATCACGAGGTCAGGAGATCGAGACCATCCTGACTAACACGGTGAAACCCCATCTCTACTAAAAATACAAAAAATTAGCTGGGTGTGGTGGCACGTGCCTATAGTCCTAATTATTCAGGAGGCTAAGGCAGGAGAATTGCTTGAGCCTGGGAGGTGAAGGTTTCAGTAGGCCGAGATTGCACCACTGCACTCCAGCCTGGGCGACAGAGTGATACTCCATCTCAATAAAAACAAAACAAAATAAAACAGAGGTATCAAAATAGCTACGTTGAGGAAACTCAGAGAAATTCAACATAACATAGAGAAGAAATTCAGAATTCTGGCAGATAACTTTAGCAAGGATATTGAAATTATTACGAAGAATTGAGCAGAAATTCTAGAGATGAAAATGCATTTGACATAATGAAGAATGCATCAAAGTCACTTAATAGCAGAACTGATGAAGCAGAAAAAGGAATTAGTGATCTTGAAAACAGGCTATTTGAAAATACAGTGAGAAAAGACAAAAGAAAAAGATGAAAAACAGTAAAGTTCACATAGAAGATCTAGAAAATAGCCTTAAAAGGGCAAACCTAAGAATGACTGGCCATAAAGAGGAGGTAGAAAAAGAGATATGGGCAGAAAGCTTATTGAGAGGGATAATATCAGATAACTTCCCAAACCTAGAGAAAGATATCAATATCGATGTAAGAGATACCAAGCAGATTTAACCCAAAGAAGACTACCTGAAGGCATTTAATAATCAAACTCCCAGACCTCAAAGATAAAGAAAGGACCGTAAAAGCAGCAAGAGAAAAGAAACAAATAACATACAATGGTGGTCCAAAGTCCATTTGGCAGCAGGCTTTTCACTGGAAACTTATGGCATGATATATTTAAAGTGCTAAAGGGAAAAACTTTTATCTTTGAAAAGTACAACCAGTGAAAATATCCTTTAAACATTAAGAAGAAATAAAGATCTTCTCAGACAATCAGCAGCTGAGGGATTTCATCACCACCAGACACTGCCCATAAGAACTGCTAAAGGGAGTACTTCAATCTGAAAGAAATGAGCATTCATGAACAATAAGAAATAATCTGAAGATAATATACAAAAAATACTCCACGGAATATTATAGCACTATAATTGTGGTGTGTAAAATAACTTTATCTTTTGTTTTGTTTGTTTTGTTTTTGAGACAGATTCTCACTCACTCTGTTGCCCAGGCTGGAGTGCAGTGACGCACCTCGCTCGCTGTAACCTCTGCCTCCCAGCTTCAAAGTATTATCCTGCCTAAGCCTCCCTAGTAGCTGGGATTACAGGCCTGTGCCACCATGCCCAGCTAATTTTTGTATTTTTATTAGAGACAGGGTTTAATCATGTTGGCCTGGCAGGTCTCGAACCCCTGACCTCAAGTGATCCACCCACCTCAGCCTCCCAAAGTGCTAGGATTACAGGCATGAGCTGCCATGCCTGGCCTGTAAAATGACCTTATCTTAAGTAGAAGACTAATAATAAACCAATTAAAAATAATAGCTGCACAACTTTTTGAGATATACACAGTACAGTAAGACATATAGAGAAACAACAAAAAGTTAAAACGCAAGCATACAAAGTTAAAGTGTAGGGTTTATATTAATTTTCCTTCGGTTTATTTCTTTTATGCCATCAGTGTTAAGTTGTCAATTTAAAATAATGGGTTATAAGATAGTATTCACAAGGCTCATGGTAACCTCAAATTGAAAACATATAACAGACACACCAAAAATAAAAAGCAAGAAATTAAAGGATACCATCAGAGAAAATCACCTTCACTAAAAGGAAGATGGGAAGGAAGAAAAGAAGAAAGAGAAGGTCACAGAGCAACCAGAAAATAAATAACAAAATGGCAGAAGTAAATCCTTACTTATCAAGAATAACATTGAATGTAAATGAACTAAAATCTCAAATCAAAAGACATAGAGTAGCTAAATGGGTAAGAAAAAAAAAAAAGCAATGCCCAATGATCTGTTGCATACAAGAAACACACTTCACTTATACAGATACACATAGACTGAAAATAAAGGGATGGAAAAAGATATGCCATGCCAATGGAAACCAAAGAAGAGCAGGAGTAGCTCTATGTATATTAGATGAAATAGATTTCAAGACAAAAATGTAGGAAGAGACAAAGAAGGTCATTATATAATGATACATAGGTAATTCAACAAGAGGATATAACTATTTTAAATATATATATGCACCTAACGCTGGAGATCCACACATATAAAGCAAATATTATTATAATTAAAGAGAGTAACAGATCTCACTACAATAATAGCTAGAGATATCAATACCCCACTTTCAGCATTTGACAGATCTTCTAGACTGAAAATCAACAAAGAAACATTGGACTTAATCTGTACTATGAACAAATGAACTTAATAGACATTAACAGGACATTTCAGCCAATGGCTGCAGAATACACATTCTTTTCCTCAGCACATGAATTATTGTCAAGGAGAGATCATATATTAGGTCAATAAACAAGTCTTAAAATATTTGAAAAAAAAAAATGAAATAATACCAAGCATCTTCTCTGACCACAATGGAATAAAACTAGAAATGAATAACAAGGGGAATTTTAAAAACTATATATAAACAGTGGAAATTAAACAATATGCTCCTGAATGACTAGTGGGTCAATGAAGAAATTAAGAAGAAAATTGAAAAATTTCTGGGAACAAATGACAATGGGAACACAACATACCAAAACCTACGGGAAAAAGTGAAAGCAGTACTAAGAGGGAAATGTATTGCTAGTTATAACTGCTTACATCAAAAAAGAAAAAAAAAATCAAATAACCTAACAATGAGTTTTAAAGAACTAGAAAAGCAAGAGCAAACCAAACACCAAATTAGTAGAATCAATGAAATAATAAAGACGAGAGCAGAAACAAACATATTTGAAATAAAAAACAATACAAAATTTAATGAAGTGAAAAGTTGTTTTTTGAAAATATAAATAAAACTGGCAAATCTTTAGTCAGACTAATTAAGAAAAAGAGAGAGAGAGAGAGAAGACCCAAATAAATAAAATCAGAGATGAAGAAGGGGGCATTATAACTGACATTGCAAAAAGTCAAAGGAACATTAGTGGCTACTGTTAGCAACTTTGTGCAAACAAATTAAAAAACCTAGATGAAATAGATAAATTCCTAGAAACATGCAACCTACCAGGATCAAGCCATGAAGAAATTCAGAACCTGAGCAGACCAAGAACAAGTAATGAGATTGAAGCCATAATAAAAAAGCTCCCAGTAAAGAAAAGGCCAGGATCTGATACCTTCACTGCTGTATTCTACAAAAGATTTAAATAACTAATACCAATGCTACCCAAGCTGTTCCAAAAAATAGAGGGTGAAGGAACACTTCCAGTATTTCTTATTCTACAAGGCCACTATTATCCTGATACGAAAGCCAGACAAGGACATATTAAGAAAAAAAATTACAAGCCAATATCACTGATGAATATAGATGTAAATATCATCAGCATAATACTAGCAAACTAACTTAAACAGTACATTTAAAAGGTCATCCATCATGACCAGTGAGATTTATCCCAGGGATGCTAAGATGGTTCAACATACACAAATCAATCAATGTGATACATCATATCAATAGATGGAAGAACAAAAAGCATATGATAATTTCAACTGATGCTGAAAAGCCATTTGATAAAATTCAACATTCCTTCATGATAAAAAAAAAAAACTTTAAAAACTGGGTATAGAAGGATCATATTTCAACATAATTAAAGCCATATATGATGGAACGACAGCTAGTACCATTCTGAATGGTGAAAAACTGAAAGCCTTTTCTCTAAGATCTGTAACATGATAAGGATGCTAACTGTCACCATTGTTATTCAATGTAGTATTGGAAGTCCTAGCTAGAGCAATCAAACAAGAGAAATAAATAAAGGACATCCAAATTGAACTGCAAGAAGTCAAATTATCCTTATTTGCAGATGATATTATCTTACATTTGGAAAAACCTAGAGACTCCACCAAAAATCTATTAGAATTGATAAACATATTCAGTAAAGTTGCAGAGTACAAAATCAATATACAAATGTCAGTGACATTTTTATATGCCAACAATGAACAATCAGAAAAAGAAATGAAGAAAGTAATCTCATTTACAATAGATACAAATAAAATAAAAGACCTAGGTATTAACCAAAGAAGTGAAAGATCTCTATAATCAAAATTACAGAACACTGATGAAAACAATTGAAGAGGACACAAAAAGGGAGGTATTCTCTGTTTATAGATTGCAAGAATCAATATCATTAAAATGTCCATATTACAAAGCAATATACAGATTCAATTCAAATTCCTATCAAAATATAAATGACATTCTTCAAAGACATAGAAAAAAATGGTAAAATTTATATGGAAACTCAAAAGACCCAAGATATCAAAAGCTATCCTGAGCAAACAGAACAAAACTGGAGGAATCACATTACCTGACTCCAAATTCTACTACAGAGCTATAGTAACCAAAACAGCATGGCGTTAACATAAAAACAGACACACAGGTGAATGGAACAGAAGAGAGAACCCAGAAACAAATCCATACACCTATGGTGAATTCATTTTTAATAAATGTGCCAAGAACATTCATTGGAGAAAAGACAGTCTCTTCAATAAATGGTGCTGGGAAAACTGGGTATGCATATGTAGAAAAATGAAATTTGACCTCTATCACTTGCCATGTACAAAGAACAAGTCAAAATGGATTAAAGACTTAAAAGTGAGACCTCAAACTATGAAACTACTACAATAAATCATTGGAGGAAATATCCAGGACATTGGTCTGGGCCAAAATTTCTTGAGAAATACCCCACAATCACAGGCAACGAAAGCAAAAATGGACAAATGGGATCACATTCAGTTAAAAAACATTCTGCATTGCAAAGAAAAACGTCAACAAAGTGAAGAGCTAACCCGCAGAATGGGAAAAAATATTTGCAAATTATCCATCTGACAAAAGACTAATAAGCAGAATATATAAGTAGCTCAAATAACTCTCTAGGAAAACCTAATAATCCCATTAAAGCTTATTTCTTGCATATTTAATGATAAATTTAACTTACATGAACAAATAAAGTTTAAACCTTGCTTAATAATATGGTAGTAATGATAGTAACATATTTGTGAGATAAAATTCTATTTATTTTTGTTTTTATCTGATAATGTAACATTGTATCCCTATCAGGCATGAAATACTCTGATAATTTTTCATCAGACTCCAGATAGTACCTGTAGTTCTAACCCTGACCTACAAGACTGCAAGACTGTAGTCCCAGGCAACCTCTCAGATCTCTACGCTCCCTCATTCAATGCTGGCCACACAGGTCTTCGTGTCAGACCAGCCTCCACGCTGAGGCCCATCATAGGTTTCAATTCCTCAGCCAGAAAAATCATCCTTCAGAATCAATTACACAGTTCCCTCTCTTCCTGAGTACTCTAATTCTCCCCTGACCTTTGCTGAAACTTTCCCTAAAATTTATCCCATCCTTCTCTACTCTCTGTTTTATGTCAGCATAGTTGCTGTAGCATTCCATTCTCACACTGCTATGAAGAACTACCTGAGCCTGGGTAACTTAAAATGAAAAGAGGTTTAATTGGCTCATGGTTTCACAGGCTGTACAGGAAGCATGGCTGGGGAGGCCTCAGGAAACCTTCAAACATGGCAGAAGACAAAGGGAGACCAGCACATCCTACAGAGCTGGAGCAGGAGGAAGAGGGCAAAGTAGGAGGTGCTACACAGTTTTAAACAACAAGATCTCATGAGAACTCACTATATCAAGAACACCAAGGGGAATATCCACCCTGGTAATCCAATTACCTCCCACCAGGCCCCTCCACCGACATTGGAGATTACAATTTAACATAATATTTGGCAGGGACAGAAATCCAAACCATAACAGTGGCTCATCACTAACTGTTCATATTCTATGTTTATTTTTACTCTTTCTCCTAGTCACTGAAATGCAACACACACACACACACACACACACACACACACACAAACACAATCTTTAAAATCAGCTTCAAATCAGAACTCTAACTGTCCAGTGAGAAAAATGAAATACACAAATTAGTATCATCTCAGCATCACTCTACCACGTTGATTACACTGAGATTGTTTTCTTTTCCTCTTGTCTTCTTCTCTTCTCGTCTTTCTTTTTTTCTGTGGGACCACTGTCTTCCCTTAGCTTCTGTTACAATTCTTTTAGGACTCTGTGAGTGCTTCTTTGGCACCGTTAAATCTTGGGATCTATGTTCAAAAGGGTCCAGAATCTAATAATATTACACCATTTTTCCTGCTAACATTCTGGTACAAACCACTATCATCTGTCAGCTGAATAACATTACCTTAAGCATTTTTCCTTCTGCAATCTACGCAAACTACAGTCTATCTCAACAGAACAGGCAATGTAAACTTTTATAAATATAAGTCAGCTCAGGTAACTGTTTGGCTCAGAATGGCTTCCCTGTTCACTCAAATTAAGAGCCCAAATCCTTGCTACGACCTGTGTACTTGGCCTAAGTCACTGTTTATTCTCAGATCTCATCTGCTTTTCTCCTACTTGCTCTGTCCACTATAAACACACATTTCCAGGTATTCTTCAGTCTAAGGCTTCTGAACCTACTGTTTTTTTCTCCCCCCAATCTTCACATTGTTAGATGTCACACCTGCTTCAGAACTTTTCTCAAGTATTACCTTCTCAGCCAGGGTTTCCCTAACCCTTATTTTAAAAATTATAACCTCTCCTCTCCTCCTGACACTAAGTACTCTATTCCCTTTTCCTGCTTTATTTTTCTTTCTCACATATACCACCTTCTAACATTTACTGTATCTTACCTTTTTATAAGAGGTAAGCTTCATAAGGTAAATTTGTGTTGTTTATAGTTCTAGTACCAGGACATACAACAAAGCCTGGAATATAGGAAGTGTTCAATAAATACTTTTTGGATAAATGAATGAACAAATAAATGAATACCCAGAAACAAGGAAATTGAAGACATAAGAGGAAAAGCCCTCTATTAAATAAAAGTTTGAACTGTACCCAAATAAATCATACATTTATTGGTGGGAAAATTGGTTGCTTTATAATTAAGTTTAATATATCCTGTGTATTATAATCACAATTTTATTTGAAATGGTATTTTAATTTAACTCAAGTTGTTGTAAGCTAAATGGCTCATGTGCTCCTCATTAGGAGATGAAATTTCATCAGTTTTCTCAAAAGTTTTGCTTTCCTTACCTGATCCACTTAGTAATCAGTTAGGCAATTAAGACAATTAATTGAGAAGTGGGTAAAAAAATACTAACAATATGACTTTTGTGTGCGTGTGTGTGTGTGTGTGTGGTAGAAAATCCTGATTATTGACAATGGAAAACTACCTAGAAAATTAGGAAAAATCTATCTAGGCATTTACATAACAGAAAGTCATGTCCTTTTTCAAGCCAGTACTTTACAAGGAATACCTTAAATTTATCCAAACTCATACAGTCCCAAACTAAAAGTCATGACTCAGGGTTCTAGTGCTGACTCTACTATCGAGGTGGCTGATATAGTTTGTATGTTTGTCATCTCCAGCTTTCCTGTTGAGATGTGATCCCCAGTGTTGGAGGTGGGACCTAGTGGGAGGTGTTTTTGTCATGGGGGTGGATATGCCATGAATGGCTTGGTATTGTCCCTTAGTAATGAGTAAATTCTCCCTCTATCAATTTCCATGAGATCTTGTGGTTAAGAGAGAGGCACCTTCTTCCCCTTTTTTGCTGTCTCTCAGTATGTTACAAGCAAGCTTCGCTTGGCTTCCACTATGAGTAAATGCTTCCTGAGGTCCTGACCAGAATCAGATGTTGGTGCCATGCTTCTTGTACAGCCTGCAAAACCATAAGCCAAATAAACCTCTTTTTCGTTATAAATTACCCAGCCTCAGGTATTTCTTCATAGCAAAGGGAAATGAACTAATACAGTGGCCATAGCCAAGTATATTGATCAGATTCCATTTAACTATTAATAAATTGTTTGACCAATAAATTATCAGATATATACCATGGGCCAGTAAATGGATATCTTGCTATAGATTGGGCATTCTATACACTTAATTAAGCAAGGACCATGCTCTTCATATGATAAATTCCTACACTCAATGTTTAGTCCCCTTGGGCAAAATGAGATACAGAATATAAGCTGTAATAGGAAGAACTACATGGTATATGTTCACATGGACTTTGGAGTCAGGTGAGTCATACTGTTTGTCCCAACTTACTCTCTTTTAATTGTGCAATAGGAAAGTCCCTTTATATTTTTTTGCAGAAAATTTTGTTATGTTTAAATGTGAATAATTGTATCTATTTCATATTAGTCTTTTACATAATAAATATATGCAGAACACTTATAGTGCCAGAGAAAATAAATACCCAATGTATGGTATAGCTACAGCCCTGATCCCATTCCTCCTGAGACCTCCCAAAAGGGATCTCCAGCCATCTAATCCAGGCACATTCAGGTCAGCAACAGATCAGTACCCCTCTGGGACAGAGAGCTTCCAGAGGAAGGAGTAGGCTGCCATATTTGCCATTTCACAGCCTTCACTGGTGATACCTCCAGGTAGGGAAAAATTCGAGGCAACTAGGCTCTGGAGTGGACCTTCAGCAAACCATAGCAGCCTTATAGAAGAGTGGCCTGACTGTTAAAAGAAAAACAAACAAACAGAAAACAAAAACAGCATCAACAAAAAATACTCCACAAAAACCCTATTCAAAGGTCAGTAACCTCAAAGATCAAAGGTAAGTAAGTCCACAAAGATGAGAAAGAATCAACACAAAACAACAAAAACTCAAAAAGCCAGAATGCCTTTTATCCTCTAAATGCCTACAACACCTCTTCAGCAAAAATACAGAATTGGGCAGAGGCTGAGATAGCTGAATTGACAGAATTAGGCTTCTGAAGGTGGGTAATAACAAAGTTCACTGAGCTAAAGGAGCATGTTGTAATCCAATACAAAGAAGCTAAGAATCATAATAAAACAATACAGGAGCAGATAGCCATAATAGCCAGTTTAAAGAGGGACATAACCAACCTGATGGAGATGAAAAACACAACATGGGAAATTCACAATTCAATCACAAGTATCAATAGCAGATTAGAACAAGCAGAGGAAAGAATCTCAGAGCTTGAAGACCATCTTTCTGAAATAAGGCAGGCAGACAAGAATAAAGGAAAAAAGAATGAAAAGGAATAAACGAAACTTCTGAGATACATGGAATTATGTAAAACGACTGAACCTATGACTGATTGGGGTACCTGAAAGAGAGGGAAAGAACAGAACCAAGTGGGAAAACATACTTCAAAATATCATCCAGAAGAACTTCCCCAACCTGGCAAGACAGGCTAACATTCAAATTCACGAAATCCAAAGAACCCCAGTAAGATACTCCATGAGAAGATCAACCCCAAGAGACATAATCTTCAGATTCTCCAAGGTCGAAATGAAAGAAAAGGTATTACAGGCAGCCAGAGAGAAAGAACAGGTCACCTATAAAGGGAAGCTCATCAGACTAACAGCGGACCTCTCAGCAGAAACCCTATGAGCCAGAAGAGAATGGGGGCCAATATTCAACATTCTTTAAAAAAAAAATGTCCAAATCAGAATTCATATCCAGCCAACCTAAGATGCATAAATGAAGAAAAAAATAAGATCCTTTACAGGCAAGCAAATACTGAGGGAACTTGTCACCATCAAGCCTGCCTTGTAAGAGCTCCTGAAGGAAGCACAAAATATGGAAAGGAAAAACCATTACCAGCCACTAAAAAACACACTGAAGCACACAGACCACTGACACTATGAAGCAACCACATAAACAAGTCTGCAAAATAACCAGCTAGCATCATGATGACAAGATCAAACTCACACATAACAATATTAACCTTAAATGGGCTGAATGCTCCAATTTAAAGACACTGAATGGCAAGCTGGATAAAGAGCCAGACCCATGGGTATGCTGTCTTCAAAAGACCCATCTCATGTGCAAAGACACACATGGGCTCAAAATAAAGGGATAGAAGCAAATTAACCAAGCAAATGGAAAACAGAAAAAAAGTAGGAGTTGCAGTCCTAGTTTCTAACAAAACAGACTTTAAACCAACAAAGATCAAAAAAGACAAAGAACGGCATTAAATAATGGTAAAGGCTTCAATTCAACAAGAAGAGCTAACTATCATAAATATATGTGCACCTAATACAGGAACATGCCGATTCACAAAGCAAGTTATTAGAGACATACAAGAGACTTAGATTTCCACAAAATAATAGTGGGAGACTTTAACACCCCACTGACAATATTAGACAGATCATTGAGAGACAGAATTAACAAGTCATTCAGGACCTGAACTAAATTCTGGATCAAGTGGATCTGATAGATATCTACAGAACTCTCCACCGCAAAACAACAGAATATACATGCTTCTCATTGCCACATATCACTTACTCTAAAATTGAACACATAGTAGGAAGTAAAATATGCTTCAGAAAAAGCAAAGGAACTGAAATAATAACAAACAGTCTCTCAGACCACAGCACAATCAAATTATAACTCAAGATTAAGAAATTCACCCAAAACCACATGACAACATGGAAAGAGAACAACCTGCTCCTGAATGACCCTTGGGTAAATAATGACATTAAGGCAGAAATCAAGAAGTTATTTGAAACTAATGATAACAATAATACAACATACCTGTATTAGTCAGGGTTCTCTAGAGGGGCAGAGCTAATAGGATTAATGTATATATAAAGGTGAGTTTATTAAGGAACATTGACTCACATGATCACAAGGTGAGGTCCCACAATAGGCTGTCTGTAAGCTGAGAATCAAGGAAGCCAGTCTGAGTCCCAAAGGTGAAGAACTTTGAGTCTCATGTTCGAAGACAGGAAGCATCCACACAGGAGAAAGATGAAGGCCAGAAGATTAAACCAGTCTAGTCTTTTCATGTTATTCTGCCTGCTTTTATTCTGGCCACACTGACAGCTGATTACACTGTGCCCACCCAGATTGAGGGTGGGTCTGTCTTTCCAAGTCCACTGACTTAAATGTTAAACTCCTTTGGCAACATCCTCAGAGACACATCCAGGAACAATACTTTGCCTCTTTCAATCCAATCAAGTTAACACTCAATATTAACCATCACTGTACCAGAATCTCTGGGATGCAGCTAAAGCAGTGTTAAAAGGGAAATTTACAGCACTAAATGCCTACATCAAAAAGCTAGAATGATCTCAAGTTAACAACCTAACATCACAACTAAAAACACTAGAGCCCAGATGTGATGGCTCACACCTGCAATCTCAGCACTTCGGGAGGCCAAGGCGGGTGGATCATCTGAGGTCAGAAGTTCGAGACCAGCCTGACCAACATGGTGAAAGCTCATCTCTAGTAAAAATACAAAATTAGCTGGGTGTGGTGGCCCATGCCTGTAATCTCAGCTACTTGGGGGGCCGAGGCAGGAGAATTGCTTGAACCCACGAGGCGGAGGTTGCAATGAGCTGAGATCATGCCATTGCACTCCAGCCTGGGCAACAAGAGCAAAACTCCATCTCAAAAACAAAGCAAAACAAAAAAATAAAACAAACAAACAAACACTAGAGTACCAAGAGCAAACAAACCTCAAAGCTAGCGGAAGACAAGAAATAACCAGTATCAGAGCTGAATTAAAGGAGATAGAGACACACAAAAAATAACATAAAAAATCAACAAATGCAGGAGTGGCTTTTCAAAAAAGTTAATAAACTAGATACACCACTAGCTAGACTAATAAAGTAGAAAAGAGAAAATAATTAAATAAACACAATAATAAATGATAAGGGGTCTATTACCACTGACTCCAGAGAAATACAAATAACCATCAGAAAATACTATAAACACCTCTTTGCAAATAAACTAGAAAATCTAGAAGAAATAGAAAAATTCCTGGACACATTCACCCTCTGAAGATCGAGCCAGGAAGAAACTGAATTCCTGAATTGATCAATAACAAGTTCTGAAATTGAAGCCATAATAAGTAGACGAACCAAAAAAGCCTAGGATGAGACTGATGCACAGCTGAATTCACCAGTGGCACAAAGAAGAGCTGGTACCTTGTATACTGAAACTATTTCAAAAAATTGAAAAGGAGGGACTCCTGTCTAACTCATTCTATAAGGCCAACATCATCCTGATACCAAAGCCTGTCAGAGACACAAGAAAAAAAAAGAAAACTTCTGGCCAGTATCCCTGATGAACATCAATGCAAAAATCCTCAAAAAAATACTGGTAAACCAAATCCAGAAGTACATCAAAGAGCTTATCCACTATGATCAAGTTGGCTTTATCCCCAGGATGCAAGATTGGTTCAACATATGCAAATCAATAAATGTGATTCATCACATAAACAGAACTAAAGATTAAAAACTACATTATTATCTCAATAGATGCAGAAGAGGGCTTTGAAAAATTCAACACTCCTTCATGTTAAAAACTCTCAATAAACTAGATATTAAAGGAATATACCTCAAAATAATAAGAGCCATATATGACAAACCCACAGCCAATATCATACCAAATGAGCAAAAGCAGGAAGCATTTCCCTTAAAAACTGGCACAAGAGAAGGATGCCCTCTCTCTCCACTTCTATTTTACATAGTATTGGAAGTTCTGGCCAGAGCAATCATGCAAGAGAAAGAAATAAAGGGAATTCATTTAGGAAGAGAGGAAGTCAAACTGTCTCTCTTTGCAGATGACATGATCCTATATGTAGAAAATCCCATTGTCTTAGCCCAAAAGCTTCTTAAGCTGATAAGCAACATCAGCAAAGTCTCGGGATACAAAATCAATTTGCAAAAATTGTTAGCATTTCTATACACCAACAACAGGCAAGCAGAGAGCCAAATCATGAATGAACTCCCATTCACAATTACCACAAAGAGAATAAAATACCTAGGAATACAACTAAGAAGAGAAGTGAAGGAACTTTTCAATGAGAACTATAAACCATTGCTCAAAGAAATCAGAGAAGACACAAACAAATGGAAAAATATTCCATGCTCATGGATAGGAAGAATAAATATCGTGAAAATGGCCACACTGTCCAAAGTAATTTATAGATTAAATGCTATTTCCATTAAACTACAATTGACATTCTTCACAGAATTAGAAAAAAAAATTTGTAAAATTTGTACGGAACCATAGAAGAGCCCAAATAGCCAAGACAATCTTAAGCAAAAAGAACAAAGCTAGAAACATCCTGCTATCCAACTTCAAACTATACTACTAGGCTACAGTAACCAAAACAGCATAGTACTGGTACAAGAAAAGACACATAGACCAATGAAACAGCAATGGGGAAACAATTTCTTATTTGATAAATGGTGCTGAGAGAACTGGCTAGCCATATGCAGAAAATTGAAACTGGACCGCTTCCTTACACCATATGAACTAAAGATGATTAAAGACTTAAATATAAAACTCAAAAGTATAAAAACCCTGAAGAAGATCTAGACCATACCATTCAGAGCATAGGCACGGGCAAAGATTTCACGATGAAAACTCCACAAGAAATTGCAACAAATGCAAAAATTGACAAATGGGATCTAATTAAACTAAAGACCATCCACACAGCAAAAGAAACTATCATCAGGGTGAACAGACAACCTACAGAATGAGAGAAAATTTTTGTAATCTGTCTATCTGACAAAGGTCTAATATACAGAGTCTACAGGAAACTTAAACAAATGTACAAGAAAAAAACAAACAAACCCATTAAAAAGTGGGCAAATGATATGGACAGACATACATGTGGCCAACAAACATATGAAAAAAAGCTCAACATCACTGACCATTAGAGATATGCAAATCAAAACCACAGGGAGATACCATCTCACACAAGTTAGAATGGCCATTATTAAAAGTCAAGAAACAACAGACGCTGGCAAGGTTGCAGAGGAAAAGGAACACTTTTACACTGATGGTAGGAGCACACATTAGTTCAAACCATTGTGGAAGATAGTGTGGCAATTCCTTAAAGTCCTAGATGCAGAAATACCATTTGACCCAGCAATCCCATTATTGGGTATATACCCAAAGGGATATAAATCATTGTATTATAAAGACACAGGCACATGTATGTCCATTGAGCACTATTCACAATAGCAAAGACATGGAATCAACCTAAATGCCCATCAATGATAGACTCGATAAAGAAAATGTGGTACAATGCACCGTGGAACACTTTGCAGCCATAAAAAGAATGAGATAAAGAGATCATATTCTTTGCATGAACATGCATGGTGTTGGAAGCCATTATCCTCAAAAAACTAACGCAGGAACAGAAAACCAAACTTTGTATGTTTGCACTTATAAGTGCGAGCTGAATGATGAGAACACACAGACACATGGGTGGTGGGGACAACACACACTGGGGCCTGTCAGAGGGTGGGAATGGGGGTAGGGAGAGCATCAGGAAGAATAGCTAATGGATGCTGGTCTTAACACCTAGGTGATGGAATGAACTGTGCGGCAAATCACCAAGGCACACCTACACCTATGTAACAAACCTGCACATCCTGCACATGCACCCCTGAACTTAAAATAATAGTTGAAAAAGTATATATATATATATATATATATATATATATATGGAATAGTCATTATTATATTGATTATATATTATATTGTCCTAATCAAATATAGGTAGAGATACAGATAGTACAGGCTTAAAACAGCACAAATATATTTCTTGAATTTTCCTAAAATATCAAATTTCCTGTCCATAGTATTATTTTTATGATCGGAAGTCTAGGCCAAAACTGATTGTTTTTAACCATATAGGTCCTAGTAAATACACATTTTTTAAAAAATCTGTACTCTCCTACAATCCCAGTTGCCTCCAGACACTTAGGTTATATGATCTGGAGCAATTATCCCATAAGCTGTAGTAAATTATCACACTTAAACATGAAAAGTTCAACTCCTCTAGGGAATGGTGTATGTATAACCTGGTCTTTGGAAGTTTCCCATTCAATTTAGCACTAAGCTAGTTCTCTAGCTTCTAGTACATTATGAAAACACTGCATGAGTTACGTAACACATCCTTTGATTATTTGTAGTTAAAAAAATTCTTCAACACTTTATTCAAACCAGGTCACAAGTCTCATTATTCTGGCCAAACTCCAAATTAAATAATGACATTCTCTTCTACATATCAACCCTTCTTTCACAGAAGAGAAAAATAGTAACTTCAATCCACAGTCTCACGGGATTTTAGAAAGCAATTATATGTCCAAATACAAGTCAAAAGTAGAAACTAGATTCACAACCCAAAAACATCTCACAAGGTAAGGAATAACTATGTGTGCAAATAGAGGAGCAAATCGCATTTGGAACTTTAATTAACCACATGATCTGAGAGCTGGCATTCAGAAGTTATTAAAGGAAAGGAATATATAATATAAGGAGTTTCCAAAAGAGTGTCTTATGTCATGGAAAGGTGTTAAGGACTCTTATTCAAAGGATTTTTCCATTGACTAAAGGGAAAGGTTTGCCCTGAGTAATGTGCTCATGACGAGAAATTTAATAACAAGGATGAAACCGTTTTACCAGGAATGATTCAGGAATACAATGCCTTAGGTACTTAAGTAGTTGTAATTGATACCAACCAAAAATGACCACATTTCCTCACATATGTCTTTAGTTACATGCCACATTTCTGATGAAAACAAGGTTGCTAGCTGGTCCCTAATGGTGTCATTTTTTGTGTCATTAACTTAATTTGCTTTTTATTAAGTTCTAGTCCTGATCAATTATAATAGATTCTAGGAAACAACTCAAATAATGTTTCTGGTAAATAAAATGCTCCCATCACTAAATAAGAATGACTAATGATACAACAAAAAAGGAAATGCCTCAGACTCTTACGGAAACAAATTATCCTCCTTTTCTCCTTGAATAAGTTTGTATCTACTCTTTTAGGGGACAAGTATATGGAAAAAGTCAATAAACAGAAACCGTCGGAACTTGCCTAATGACATTACCAACATGTTCAAAAAAAGTAGATTCTTGAGAATTTTATAATAAAACGTAACAGATTTATTATTCCATTTTTACTCTTTACAAAACAGGTGCACTAACCACAATTGGCTTTAATAATGAAAGTATTTCAAATATCGTATTCAACAATGAAATCACAACTCCCATAAACCGTGCTTTCAATCCCTGGTGCTTCTTTAAACTCTGAAGAACTTTAAAATTTGAAAATAAAAAATAAATAAAATGAATTTTTCGTTTTAAAATTTTAAAACAACTTAAAAAAATTCCAATACCTGGAATATAAAGTTAGAATATGGAAATAAAGGCCTGGCCATCAGCTAGTTTTTAAAACTCCTGAGTGTGCATGTTAGATTGAGAACTACTGCTCTAAGGAATGTTTTACATTTCAAATATTCAGACAGAGGCCAAGTTCCTGTTCTAACAATTTAATTAATTGTTATGAAATGGTGAGGGGGTTCACACTCTTGAATACTACTTTGTGAACAAGGATCTCTCCCACACCTTCCCAGTGACAGTTGCTAATAACGTCTTTGAAGTTAAGTCTGCATGAAAGGGCAATGTAAAAATCCTTTTTATAACTGGAAATGAATCAGACAAGCTTCTCAGCTACTCCCTAACCAAATTCCAGTAAATCTTATATTATTTGGCCCATTTTCCCTAACTCCTGTTGCGATTTAATTCTGCTTCAGTCCTATCCAAATTACCACTCTCAAAAGATTTTGCTTAGCAAATAACTTTTTAAGCTATATTATCAGTTCTTGTCAAAATTGCATGTTGGAGCCTGGAAAATATCATTTTAATACTAAAAATCCCTCTAGTAACTCAATTACTTCGGGATTTTGTCATGTGTGTGAAAAGAGTATTTAGTTCCAAAAATAGAGAGACTTCTAAGGTAGGGCAATTTTGTTAGGTGGTTTTTTTTTTTCTTTTTCTTTTTTAGGTGAGTATTTTAATTTAAAGTTCAAAACAAGTTCAGCAGATTAGAATCCCAGATTTTTTTTAGTGGGGGTATTATCCTCATTTTATTATTAAAGGGTGAAATTAAGCCATAGAATTTCTTCTTAGGAAGCTCCCTCCTAGGTAATGCAGCTGTCAAGCTATGGACAAACCATTTCACGTGGTTATTTCTTTAACAGTATAAAGTACACAAGTGATTCAGCTGGGGCTTTATTCTTGCCTGCGTTTCTAGAATGCTTCTAACCTAAGGCAGCATTTAAGGTGTTTTATCCCAACATCTGGAAGTCATCATCTAAACACTCATACCATTACCCCATGTCTAATCTTTTGTTCTGCTCCTTCATTTGTTTATGTAACAATTGCTTTTTAAGCATTTCTGCATGGCTGGCATTTAGGATACAATGAGAACAAAAACACAACAGGAAAAATATCTGTCTCCACAGAGCTTGCATTCTTATGGGATAGACTGAAAATAAACACTGTAAGTTTCGGATACCAAATTATAAATGCTAAATGGAAAGTAGAATCAGTGAAGGGTGTAAAAAATTTTGGAGATAGACGTGAGTTTCACATGGTAGTATTATATTTCAATGGGCGCTCACTGTAAAGGTGAAATTTAGGTAATGAATTTAGAGGCCAGGCATGGTGGCTCATGCCTGTAATCCCAGCATTTTGGGAGGCCGAGGTGGGTGGATCACCTGAGGTCTGGAGTTCGAGACCAGCCTGGCCAACATGGTGAAACCCGTCTCTACTAAAAATACAAAAATTAGCTGGGCATGGGGGCATGCGCCTGTAATCCCAGCTACTCAGGAGGCTGAGGCAGGACAATCCTTTGAACCCGGGAGGCAGAGTTCGCAGTGAGCTGAGATCCCACTACTGCACTCCAATCTCAGTGACAGAACAAGACTGTCTCAAAACAAAACAAAACAAAACAAACAAACAAACAAACAAAACTTAAAGAGAATCGTAGGAAAAAAAACTGCACATGGTAGAGGAATAGTAAATGGATTTGAGGGAAAGCTATAAGGCCAGTGTTGCAAGAGATAAGTGCAGAGAGAAGTGGGGACGGATCTTGGAGGAACTTCTGGCTCAAAGTAAGAAATTTGCATGACAGGATAAATTCAATTGATTGTTTGATAGTGGAGAAAGATGCTCTGATTTATGGTTTAGTAAGATCACTTTAGCTAATACATTAAGAAGAGAAAGTAGTGGTCATGTGCCTAAGTAGACAGAAGAGTTAGGGAGATAGGAATACGAGGGCTGAGACGTGGTGTGTGTGTGTGTGTGTGTGTGTGTGTGTGTGTGTGTGTGTGTGTGTGTGTGAATAAATTGTTTCAAGAAGGTGTTTATAAAAAGTTTAATATAAATTCAGGAAACTGCCCAAATCATAAATGCTCAACCAGGAAGATTTTCCAAAGTGAATATAATATATGTGTATATCAATCACCCAGAACCAAAAACTGTTACCAGCATCACCAAAACCTCTTCAGGCTTTTCTGTCAGTATCCCTACCCCACACTTCTGGCAAATATGACCATTTTCTTGACTTTTTATGTTATTATATTAGTTTTGAATGTTTTCAAAATTTATGCAAATGAAAGAATACTCTACTAAATAGTTTTGTGTCTGGGATTTTTTTTTCTCAAATTATGTTTGGAGAGTATCTTTCTTATTCTATGAAATAATAGTTGGTTAAGGCAGTCATCATAATCTTTCAAAAGATTTATGTAATTAATGTTTGCTTATTACTCTTGTATCCAGTAGAAAGCTAACCTTACTAATTCTAATAATCTCTAGGTTGTTTTAGATTTTCTAGTTAAAACTGTATTTGCCTATAAAAGTGACAGCTTTTTTCTGTTTTCCATGTTTCTAACTTTATTTTTCTTTCTTCCTTGCCTTTTATAGGGCTTTCAATACAATATTGTAAACAAGTTATTAAAGCAGACATCCTAGGATCATTTCTAATTTGATAAAGTTTACAATATTTCCATAGTAAGTATGATATTTGTACTTTCTTCTTTTCTTTTTTTTTCTTTTTTTTTTTTTTTTTTTGAGACGGAGTCTCGCTCTGTAGCCAGGCTGGAGTGCAGTGGCGCGATCTTCGCTCACTGCAACCTCTGCCTCCCGGGTTCAAGCAATTCTCCTGCCTCAGCCTCCAGAGTAGCTGGGACTACAGGCGCGCACCACCATGCCCAGCTAATGTTTGTATTATTCGTAGAGATGGAGTTTCATCATATTGGCCAGGCTGGTCTCAAACTCCTGATCTTGGGATCCGCCCACCTCGGCCTCCCAAAGTGCTGGTATTACAAGCGTGAGCCACCGCGCCCAGTCATTATTTGTACTTTTTTCTTAGATAGAGTCTTGCTCTTTTGCCCAGGCTGGAGTGCAGTGGTGCCATCATAACTCACTGCAGCTTCATTGCCCTAGCCCCAAGTGATCCTCCCACATGAGCCTCCTGAGTAGCCGGGACAACAGGCATGCACCACCTCACCTGGGTAATTTTTTTTGTTTTCTTGTTTAGTTTTTTGTAGAGAGGGAGTTTCATGTTGTCCAGGCTGGTCTCAAACTTCTGGGCTCAAGCAATCCTTGGGATTACAGACATGAACCACTGTCCCTGGCCTATACTAGTTTATTTTTAAATACCATACGTCAAATTAAAAATGTTCTCTTCTATTCTAAGTTTATGAGGTTTACAATAAATAGAATAAAATTTTATTGAGTATTTTTCTGCTGTTTTACTCATTCTCTTGCCACTTTTGGTAAGTTATGGTTTTCTAGGCACCTCCTTATTTCATCTAAAATTTCAAATTTATTTACATAATTTTATTGGCATAAATAACCTTTATGGAATATCCAACTATTATAAAATAAGTCTTTGTATATAGACTTGTGTTCTTGAGTAGGCTTCCTGGATATTCATGGGTAAATTACTATATAACTCAAGATTCTGCATATGGTTCTGCAGGCTGAGCATTGTACAAACCTAGGGAATGGTATTAACTATGGACTGTGTTGTGTGTGGTGGTGCTGGAATGGGGCTACCAGTTTTGATGGACAGGGTTAAGGTAAAAACTGCCCTTGCTCATGCACATCATGCCCACAGGTGCATAAGGGCACTGCTGGGGCTAGGTACTCTCCACAGTAGGTAGGATAAGCAGAATGTGTTCCAGTGGGGTCATCCTCTGCAGCTTCTTCACCATGAGTGGATGGGCAAATTCCAGGCTATGGGCCGGCTTAATTATTTCAAACCTGGGTGGAAGGTATGATGCTCCATCACAGTCTCCAACCCATTTATTGCCAGAGAGACCAACAGAATGCAGGGTGTAAATATCATGAATACATCTTCCAGCATGACACTCATTTGGTATTGATTATTTATTTGTAAATACCACAGTATGTATTTATTATTTGTAAACACCTCTATATCCTGGAGAGAAACGCCTGTGAGTGGTAGGTTTCCACTACCAAACTTCACCTGGCATTTCATATGATAAAACTAGCACTCTAAAAACACAGTGTTATTCCTTTGACACACTATAATATTTAAAAATTGCTTACAAGGAAGCTAATCAAAAGAAAGATGTTCACGATGACTAAATGTGGTATGCCAATAAACATACTGTAAGAAGGTGTTTGGAAAAATAGGAGAAAGGGATTGAAGTTGTTTCTGCAAAATGTGAGCATATTAAGTAATCGTTTTATACAGAAAATGATTTACAAGCAATGCTAGTTGTGTAAAGTTTGCAAAATGTTTCCACTTTATAACTGTCACCAAACAAGGGGGGAAGTTTCCTTTAAGTAAGAATTTGAATAGCTTTTTGACTTTAAAATTGAGAGTTCAGCAAAGGTATGTTTCTTTATGAAATCAGCAGACAATTATTGATCATCAACTGTGACGGAGAACACAACATTTGAAGTTTCTTGCTCTTCTACGATCTAGATGCTTTAGTTGACTGCAAAAGCCAACATAACAGCTGTTTTGTTTTTATTTCATTATTCACTGTGACCACTTCCAGAAGCATTAGCATGGCCAAAGTAAAATCGGAAAATCCCACTCTGGGAACGTGAAGATGGATGAAAAGGGATGACTTGGGTCATCCCGTTTTTACGTTTAAGCACGTCAAAAATTTATTCCTATGACGTTCTGCAAAATACCTGCCCAGTACCCTCTGAACTATAAAGGTCATCAGAAACAACAAAAATCTTAGAAACTGTCACAGCCAAGGGGATCCTAAGGAGATATGACAACTAAGTATAATGTACTTTTCTGGATGAGATCCTGGAGCAGAAAAAAACAATGACTTAGGTAAAAACCGGAGAAATTATTCTGAATCAAATATGGGCTATAGTTACAAATAATGAATCAATATTGGTTCATTAATTATCATGAATGTAAATACTAATTTGTTAATAAAAGGGGAAACTGAGAGTGAGGGATATGAGAATTCTCTGAAATATATCATAACCTTTCTGTAAATTTAAATTGATTTTAAAATTAAAAGCTTTTTTAAAAACAATAATTTATAAATGTGTTTTCACTGAAAAAAAGCTAAGTTTTTTTTTCTCAGCTTGTGCAACTTTATTATACATTTGTTTAATGCACTATCTGACTGCGATGATATATCTACCATATGGTCTCTCATTTTGTATATAGTATTTATAGAGCAATTCGTGGCTGTACAGTGAGATGTTTGGTTAGGATAATGTCTAAGATTAATCAGTAATTCTGATTAAGCCTCTACCATGTGCAACAAAGTACATTCTAGATGCTTTGGTAAATACCCAGGTAAATGAGAAATGAATCTTTCTTTTTTGCTTTGGAGATGGAGTCTCACTGTCACCCAGGCTTGATTGCAATCATGCGACCTCGGCTCACTGCAACCTCCAACTCTGGGGTTCAAGCGATTCTCCTGCCTCAGCCTCCTGAGTAGATGGGATTACAGGCACACGCCACCATGCCTAGTTAATTTTTGTATTTTTAGTAGAGGCAGGGTTTCACCACGTTGGCCAAGCTGGCCTTGAATTCCCGACCTCAGGTAATCCACCTGCCTCAGCCTCCCCAAAGTGTTGGGATTACAGGCGTGAGCCACCGTGCTTGGCCATAAATCTTACTTTAATCTAGAAGAGAACATAAGATACACACAAGCATCTATAATACAGTACGAGAAGTAATAAGACTGTAGAGGATGTTGCTGTGTGTCATCCCGATCTTGCCTTTAGGGCAGAGGCATTTATTTCTCCAGCTTGCTGGCTTGTCATATGGGTTACTTTTTAGAGCCCAGTGAGCTTGGATTTGACAAGACATGTCCTCAAAAAAAAAAAAAGAGATAGAACAAATTATTGCATCTCACGCTTCCGAGCACTAAGAAAGCAGATTTTGAGGCATCTTTGAGTTCTGGAGGAGCCGTATGACACACTTGAGAATACCGCTCTAAGTATTTTATAGACAGCAGTGGAAGGCTGACAGCTTTGAGTGGACCAGAGCAGGAAAAGGCTCTGCAGTTTGTGGTGAGCAAGGGGCCCTGGAAACCTGTCATATAATCTGGCAGTTTCAATCTGGCAGTTTCAATTATTCTGGAAATAAGAAAGATGCCTTGTGAAGAGAGAAAAATATAGGCTTCTAGCATTCTATAAGAAGACAATATACAGTAGAAAACTAGGCACCATTTGAAAAGCATCTTTTGTTATGCCACTGGTATATGTAGAGACCAAAAGGCCACGTATACCAAGTGTCCGTGAAATCAGAGCCACCCAGTATGAGGTGTGTATTATTACACTAATCGTGTCATGAGACTGAACAGACCCAGTAGCAATTCTTCATGGGATGAAAGTGGTACTCCCAAGATCAGGCAGAAGCGGGGCTGGAAGAGTCATAAGTAAGCTGCAGGGAGAGGTATTCCAAACTCCTATCTCACCAATGAGCTCACACGTGCAGACCTCAACAATTAAAAATAAAAACGATCCAGGGCAGAGCCTTTTCTCTTAAACATGTCTTAAGACTTACATGTGTAGGTATATCTGCATATCCTAAATGTTAATTATACCATTTTATATGTTTTTATGCTTAAGCTAACAACTATTTTGCTATTTAATATATAGATTTCCTCTACCCCTCATATAGTGTGCTGTGAATATTTCAAAAAACAATGTTTATTTTCTTTTTCATAAAGTTTCTACTAAAATTTCTCTTAGAAATTATTTTGGAGACATCGTTGCACTTGGCCGAAGTTAACAGTCATTGAAATGAAGATTCAGATATTTCTAGGAACCGCCTCCCAACACCTTCATTTTCCTGTCTCCACGTTAGTGACAGATTATGTCCAATGTAGGTGAAACACACATTATACTAAGCAGAAACAAAATACGTTTTTAGAGTGAAAGAGAAACCTTAATCTTGTAAAATATACATTGAAAAAAAAAGAATAAGTTTGTACTGCTTAGGACAAAAAAGCTGCATTAGTTATTTTTTTTCCATTTAGCGTTTTAATTGACAGATGACAGGTTGTATATTTTTATAGTGTTCACATGATGTTTTGCTATAACCCTCAGTTATTTTAACAAGGAAAATTAGTATAAGTGCTCTTCATTAGGTAGTAAAGAACTGGAAAGGTAAAAATTTCAAAAGTATTCCAGAGATAGCAACTGTTGAAAGAAGCCATCGCCCTTAGGGCTGGGTTGGGGGAGGCAAAAAGAAGCACTTAAAATTATTAAAACTTAGAAATTTGAGGAAAGAGTCCCAGGGAACTGGAAGTCAGACCTCTTTGAGAAAGGGACATCGTTAGGCTGGTGGTGCATGTGCCTCCAAGAGGAAACAATGAAGAGTGACTGTGAATGCTGGAAAGACCCACAAACGTTGCACTGGAACAAACAGTGACTGTCAGGGTGAACAAATGTTCCTGGAGTGATGCTAATCGGAACAGGATGCAAAAATTGAAACAGAAAACAAATAAGAATGAGCATCTCTAGTTGCTCCTCCTCCAGCCGTCCCTCTCCATTCTCTTTCTCTAGTGACCCCTACTGGCCGATTTCAACAGGGACCCCACCAAGGCTGAAATAAGATTCAGCAAGTAAATAAGGTTCAGCAAGTACATAAAACTCAGGTTCAGTATCCCAAAGCAGAGCATAGAAGAGAGGATTTGCAAAGGTAACTTTTACATACATTCACAAATAAGTAGCAAACAAAGAAAAGAGCTCCTATATACAGATACCTTGAAGGGCGGAAGATGTAAACTAAAAGAAAAATTATGATGCCTCTGGAAACAAAGCTGCTATCAATACTCCTTTTATGTCTTTTTTTCATTTAGTAATTTTTGTGGTCTCATATTTTACAGGTAAGTATTTGATCCATTTTGAAATGACTGAAATGGCTAGTCACGTGCCCCAACATCATTTATATAATGATATATTCTCTCCCCACTATTTTAAATGTTGTCTTTACTACATACTAAATATCTGCTTTTTATTCTGGCCAATCTATTTCCTTTTATTTTTAACTGGTTTATACCTGTACTATTGTAACTCATTTTAATTATCATAGCTTTGTAGTATAATATATTGCCTACTCATACCTTATTATTACTTTTATTTTTAAAAAATTTATCTTGCATGTTTATGTTTCTAAATAAATGTTAATGGTATTTTCTCAAACTCTAGAAGGAAATATGTTTACTGGTGGCTCATTTGTGATTATGCCAAATTCACAGAATAATTTACTCATTGTTATCTTTATCATCGTGAATCATCGATCTCAGAGGTCTCTCTTTTGCCTTGCTCAAGTATTACTTTATAAGTTTAATATATTCAATAAGTATTTAAAATTCTTGGTTATTGTGATACTTTTCTTCCATTATATTATCTAGCCAATTACTTTTTGCAGAATGAAGAGCTTATCTTTTAATATTAAATCTTGTCCCTTTGATTTTGTGGGATTATGTTATTCATATTTTCAGTTGACCACCATTGGTTCTAGGAAAAAAAAAATACATAGACAAATAATAATAATTTGATTCTTCAAACTTCCACTTATTTATTTATTTATTTATTTATTTATTTATTTAAAATTGTGGTAAAATACACATAACATAAAACTTACCAGCTTAACCAATTTTAAGTTTTAAGTAGTGCTAAGCACATTCACACTGCTGTTCAGCCAACCTCCAGAACCCTTTTCATCTTGCAAAACTAAAACTGCTCACTAAACAATAAATTTCCATGACCCCTACCCTCTAGTCTCTGTTAATACCTGGCCTTTCAAACCTTCCTATGATAACTGCATTTTGTTTGTTTGATGTATTGAGTAGTACTTCAATAATGACATAAAATAATAGTTGTTACATTGATAATTCTTTTTCTTTTTTACCACCATCAATGGGAATGTGTCAAGTTATTAGCAAAATTAACTTGACAGAAAAGAAATTTGTTGAAAGAATATTGATTAGCTCACAAAATTACTGAGAACTCTGGTGGTGAACATACTGAGAAAACAGGCAGGAATCAGAGAGGTCAGGCAAATTGGTGCCACAGAGTCAATTCAGGGAAGGACATTATCACCACCACAGCCAAACCTGGATATTGTAGCTCATCTCATTCCAACTCTTGGCCCAGGCTCTGGTCCTTGGTCACTGCATTCCATCTCTGCATTCCATGCACTACATGGCCATGTTAGTCTCTGTGAACTGGGAATTGTTTCCCTGTCATTGTTGGCTAGGCAGGGCTTCTGCGTAATCCAACTCTATTTTAAATCTGGGTCAGATTTGTTTAATTGGCCATGCTTAACTGCAAAGAGTAGTGTGTGTAAATTTGTGTGTGTGTGTGTGTGTGTGTGTGTTCAGAAACGAGTACCTCTTTTGTTTTGCTTAGTTTTCTTATTTGATTTTGTTTTGTATTTGGCTTCCACAGTGAAAGTCAATCTTTGGCATCCAGGGAAATATATGAAATGGGGAGTTCCTTCTTGAATTTAGGAGGGGGTTCAGATGCTAAGAAGAAACAAAAACAATGTTTCAATTCATAGAAATTCTAGTCTTTTACTCTTAGGCTTGGATCAGTTCTAGGTAACCTCTCTAAATTTGGCCCAAATTTTCTTATACTTGATAATTACAACATAATGTAAGAAATTTGGGAGTTTTCCTAGACGCTAAATCGGAATGGGTTTTCTTTTTTTCCTCTATGCTTTAGGTTTTTAAAAATGAGTTTTAGAGAGAGAGAAAATTAAATATACTTTTGTTCCACTAATACTTATTGCAATCATCCTGATTATTGTTACAGAAGTTAAAAGAGTAATTTTAAAAGTCTTTTGTGTGAGTAACAGTGTGAGTAAGTAAAAGTCTTTTGATAGAATAAAAAAGTGTTTAAGAACATTTGTATTAACCAGGGTTCTCCAGAGAAACAGGACCAATAGGGTGTGTGCCTGTGTGTTTCTCTCATATATGAAAGAGAGAGAGAGAGGAAGGCAGGCAGAGAGGGAGGGAGAGAGAGAGAGAGAGGGAGGGAAAGAGAGAGAGAGAGAGAGAGAGAGAAAGAGAGAATGATTGAGATTTACAGATATTTGCTCACCTGACTATGGGAGCTGACAAGTTCAAAATCTATTGCTATCTTGAGTCCTTAGGTAATCTAAAGACAGAATTCCTGCCTCTCCAAGAGAACTCGGTGTTTTTTTTTTCAAGACCTTCAACTATTGGTTGGATGAGACCCACACTTCTGAGGGTAATTTGCTTTACTCAAAGTCCAGTCATTTAAATATTAATCATATCTAAGAAAATGCCTTCACAACAGCATCCAAACTGGCATTTGGCTAAACAACTGGGCACCACAGTTTACTCAATGGGACACATAAACATAAGCACCATGGAATGTAATGACATGTCTTGCCATGAAAACTGATAAAATCCCCAATAAAAACATACTAGACAGTAAAAATGAGGCAATATCTTAGAGAGTTTTGTTGTCACAAGTGGTCAAGGGGATTGGAAAGGCACTGTAAAAAATGCAAAATATGTTATCATCTTCCATAATATACCAATTTGGATGAGAAAGTTAATATACATAATAGGGTTGAAAACTTCCCTTATTTTTTGACTTAAATGTCCATGTTGACTTACTTAGTCTGTAAGTCCCACGAGAGAATAAAAAAAATGCTTATTTTTTTAAACACCAACAATCTCTGACAACAATGAACAGCATGGAGTAGAGACTGAAATACTGTGTTTATCCATTTAAGTAAGCATATAAACAACATGTGCTGTTAGATGAAGAAAATCACCTCGTATCAGGAATCAGAATGCAAAGTGACAAAATGTTTATACTCTAGAAAAGAGATTTTACGAGTACATCACATAACTGAGCAGTGGGACGGTCAGAACACCATCTGTATGAGGAATGAAAAGAATTACAGAAAATGACAAGTGACTAAACACTATAAAGATAACAGATAACAGCACTGTTCTAAGACCTACCTCCAAACCCTTGGAAAATAGAAACCTAGTTTCTATTGCGGTCCTAGTTTCTCAGGAATGAGCCATTGCAGAGATGATGGGAGTTCCTGGGAACAGGATTGTACTTGTAATCATTGATGCTGACCTAGTATATGTACTATGGACTCCCCGCCCACTTTTACATACTTTTTTTTCTCATCCCTACCTCCTTAATTCTAATCTTCATTTGACCATTCCTCCATCCTAAATATCACTAATAAAAACAATGAGAAAAAAACTGAAGTTATCACTTATTTCGCCTGCAGATATCATCCAAATTCTTTTTGAGTAACTATTTCCTGTATTCATATTTTGTCTACTCACTTTATTCCTCAAAATTTTTCAAACTAATATATCTACTGTTTTATCTCAGGTTCTTAGCCTCAACTATTCAGTAGCATTCAATCTATTAAACTGTCTTTAAATTATCCCTGCTTCTATAATCATCCCATTGGTGGAAACATTTATTTTCCATAATTCACTTAGAAAGCTCAGCATAGATTTGTCCTCTCATTCGGCATTTTCTTTCATTTTCTTTGGTTAAATGTGCACCTCCAGTGGAGAACATATACAGGTACTGCGATGGTATTTAACTATATGCACCAACTTGGCTAAGTTGTGGTGCCTAATTGTTTAGTGAAACACTAACCCAGATGTTGCTGTGAAAGCAGTTGGTGGATATGAACGACATTTATAATCAGTTAAATAAAGATTTCCCTCAATAATAAGGATGGACCTCATCTAATCAGTTGAAGACATAAAAGGCAAAAAGTGAGGTTTCCTGGAGGAGAAGGGATTCTGTCTTAAGACTGTAGCATATAAAATCCTGCCTGGGTTTCCAGCCTGCAGGCCTACCTTATGGATTTTGAACATGCCACCCCTCCCTCAATTGCATGAGCCCATTCCTTAAAATAAATATCTCTCTATACATAGCAAAAGTGACCATTTATCTGGAAAGCCCTGACTGACACAACTGCTAATCTATAGCTGTTGTTTCCATCGCGTTATAACAAATAACTACCAAATCCCATATTTCTCATCTATATGCAGACCAGCTTGAATGTGGATGATCTGGTCAGGCTTTGGCTGGGCTGTTCTGCTTCAGGCTGTGGCAATGGACACCTCTGCTTTTCTCTGTAGGTCTAGGGGTCAGCTTGATCTCTCACACTTCATATACTGGACTAGTAGCCAGGATGGCAGAGATTTAACACAACAAGCATAAGACACAAGGCCTCGTAAAATCTAGGCTGAAAACTGACACACTATTACAATGACTCACATGCCGTTGGCCAAAACAACTGACGGTGCTATCTCGAGAAAAATAAGCAAGTTCTGCCTACAATAAGCCTGTGTTTTGGATACTGAGGAGAGAGGAGTGAGGAGTGAGGACCAATTGCCCAGTCTATGGCAGAGAAATAAGATCACTGTCTTGAGGGGCCAGTAGGCCTGGATTTGATTGCCAGTTTTATGTAGTAACATTGATGAAAAAAATGGGGATGACATCTACCTAATTTGATTCTTGTGAAGATTCATGAGATAGCAAATGTAATTTATTTGCTACATGGTAGCTCAATTAAAAACTCAATGCTTATGAATACGGAAATTTTAGAATACAATAATATACTGATAGCCAGATGCATATCATAATTTAATAAATAATAACTTCAAAGAAATCTGTTTAGCCAAATACTTAAAATGTATTACCTTAGTCACTTTTAATATTATACATATAAAGTCGGGTGCAGTGGCTCATGCCTGTAATCCCAGCAATTTGGGAGGCCGAGGCTGGGGGATCATGAGGTTAGGAGTTCGAGACCAGTCTGGCCAACATGGTGAAACTCCGTCTCTACTACAAATGCAGAAATCAGCTGGGCGTGGTGGTGGGCGCCTATAATTCCAGCTACTTGGGATGCTGAGGCAGGAGAATCATTTGAACCCAAGAGGCAGAGGTTGCAGTGAGCCGAGATAGCGCCACTGCACTCCAGCCTGCGTGACAGGGTGAGACTCCGTCTCAAACAAACAAAAATTATACATATAAAATATGTTTTCATGATTTTGGTTATTAAAAGGTATAATCAGTACCACAATATTACACAATTTTATAAGCCCATTTTTTAAAAATCCAAGTCAATAAACTTTTGGCTTTAAGTAGTGTGAGTTGGCAAAATCTACATTCACAACACTATCACTTTGAGATTTGTGTCACTCATTCTGAAGACCCGTAGAAATATAAATTAACCACCCAGGACAAGAGGTTGACTGTTAATTTTTCTAATTTAATGTTCAGGTTTGTTTCTGGCCAGGGGTACGATCAAATTAGGATGTGACAAAGACCCCTTCCTTCACCAAAGTTTTTTTGATCTCCTCTAAGCCCTCTTCTCCACTAGGCCTGTTTGGCCTCTAGAGTCCCATTTTAGTGAGAATCCTGCTAAGTCAGCTTAGAGAGAATTTCCCATCCTTGATATCTGATTACCCTGATTTGCCTTCAGCAAGAATCCTGTTATGTCAGTTTAACAAGAATTACTGCCACCTTTGATGCCTCCTCTTAGTAATTTTATATCCATCACTTTCCCCCAGCCTGAACATTGGCTATAAATCCTAACTTGTCTTTGCTGTATTTGGAATTGGGCTCAGTTCTATACTGAGGTCTCTTTTCCCATATTGCTATGGTACTTGAATAATCTGTTTTAATTGCCTTAACTACTATCCAGCTCTAGCTTTCTTTAAATAGATAGGTACTCAATGCAGCAAATCCTGTCATCAGAGAAAAAGAAAAAACTGGGGATGCAAATCCAGCAGGCCTTGTATTTGTAGCCCCAGAAAGGACTCAAGAAGCATAAACCAGGATTAATAATGCAATGTTATGAGATTCTGTAAACATAAAGCTACCCCAAGTTTGCAGCTGCCCTTAGTGGTTTAATCTCTGACTATTTCCAAGATGGGATTGTCATTAAATTACAACCGTTGAGACAACATGAGTTCTTTTGTACTTCTTTGGGGGTGGTCAAGAGAGAGGAAACTGAAGACATAGTTTGTCACTCCATAGCCAGTCATTATGGGAGAAAAGCAGAGAGACAGGAATAGGTTTAAGCAGATAAAAGGAGAACGAAGAGTAGGCTATCCCCCTGGTGCCCTTGGAAAGGAAAATCTATTCAGTAAGGGACCTGACATGGATCTTACAACAAGCTAAGGGATATAAGCAAATATCTTTCCTGAAAAGATGATACTATTGCATATGTATTGCTATCCACACTTCCGCAAGTTTTAGCCAGTGAACCAATACAATTGTAGCCAGTGAACCAATTAAATGCATACAAATTTTCTCTGCTCCTTCTAGCCTTATAGGGTAGGAATTCTTTCCACCAGTGAATAGATGAAATTATGTAGCCTCCATAAAATTCAGTAGTTTGCTGCATCCATCATGCTAGAAAAGTTGCTAAGCAACACTGAGTAATTTCAGGGCTTCTCTCATGACTCCTTGCAGCCTCCTCCCCCAGGAAAAATATATAAAGCTAAAATATATCCTAATTAGGCTGCAGCAGTTGTTTTTCTCCTGGGCTATCTCCCCATGCTCCTGAACAAGGGCAGGAGGAGACAATTCAGGTGGGCTCATAACCTCTATCCAGCATCAGCCAGAGGGGTGCCACTGAGACATGGAGTTTCTAAATAAGAGAAAAAATGTTTTAAAATAAGGAGCCTAACTCAGCAATAAAAAGAGCTGAACTATTGATTCACCTAACATCTTAGACGGATCTCAAGCAACTACACTGACTGAAAAGTTAGCTTTAAAAAGTTACATAGGGTGTAATTCCATTTCTGTAACAGTGTTGAAATAACAAAATGATAGAAATGGAAGACAGATTAGTGGTTGTTAGAAGTTAGAAGGTTGGGGTGGTAGGGATGTGAATGTGACTACATAAAAGTCAGTACAGGTTAAAAGGGTCCCATATCTTTATTGTGGGAGTAATCACACGGATCTACAAATGTGATTAAAGCACATAAGGCTAAACACACACACACACACACACACACACACACACACACACAAATGAATGCATGCAAACCCAGTGATATCTGAATAAGATCTATGACTGTCAGTTTCTTGATTGTAATATTGTACTCAACATAGGATATGACCATTGTTTGAAACAGAGTCACTGGTCTAGAGATCTCTCTGTATGATTTCTTACAACTGCATGTGAATCCACAATTACATAAAAGGTTAAAAAAAAATATCACGGCCGGGCGCGGTGGCTCACGCCTGTGATCCCAGCACTTTGGGAGGCCGAGGCGGGCAGATTACGAGGTCAGGAGATCGAGACCATCTTGGCTAACATGGTGAAACCCCGTCTCTACTAAAAATACAAAAAATTAGCCAGGCGTGGTGGTGGGTGCCTGTATTCCCAGCTACTCTGGAGGCTGAGGCAGGAGAATGGCATGAACCCAGGAGGCGGAGCTTGCAGTGAGCCGAGATTGCACTGCTGCACTTCAGCCTGGGCAACAGAGCGAGACTCTGTCTTAAAAAAAAAAAAAAATCACTGGCCCAGAGCAAAGCTAGAGTCAATATGCTTGACAGCGTTCTGTCCTTGGGCCTTTCCTTAGTAAACATTTATAACTAAAGTGAATGAATATTTCGAAGACAAACTCATGTAGTTTGGCATACAGTACTAACAGAATTAGCATTCAAGATTCACCATTATCACAGAGTAGACAAAAATTGCCTGAACACATTAAGGTAGCTTCTATTTATTGAGGTCATGTTGGGCCAGGCAAATGTTCTTGGTATGTGGGTGTCATCTCAACTGCTCATTTCCAAAATCTTGCAAAGGAGTTGCTATCATCAATCTCTATATATGCCAGGAAACTGATTTCTTAGGCAGTATTTTCCCCCAAAGTCCAAATACCAAGGAGTATATTAACCCTCATTCCACATATAGGCTTCTGTTATTCCACCGGTTATTTCTATTTAACTACTTTGTACTTAGTTAAAAAATAACTAGTTCTGCAAAGAAGGATAAAAAGGAGCTGACAGAAATAGATTCACAAACATGCACGCATGCATGAATGCATGCACACACACACACACATACATTTCTTAATTGGAATTTTTTGCTTACCAGAAATTTGGGTGCTAGCTAAAGATACAAAAATGATACTAGATTTTACTAAAAGTAGCAAATGCATATGATAATGGGTATTTGTGTACAACATTCTGTGTTAATAAAGACATTGATATTCTCTATTCATTGAATCTCATTTGAAGATTAACTCTAGGCATTACATATTTTAAGATGATATTTACAAGTAGGAGTATAAAAAGAAGAATATGCTCAGGATGATCTTCTTGAAGGTAGTCTCTTTCCATTTCTGAAATCCCAGGCTCTCTAGCACAGGGCCTGAGACACACATGAGGTTTCACAAAGATTTGTTGTAGAAGAAACAATGCTTAGTGTCGACCAGGATTCAGTAAACTTTTTGTGTTAGTTTGTTCTCCTGCTACTAATAAGGACATACCTGAGACTGGGTAATTTATAGAGGAAAAAGGTTTAATTGACTCACAGTTCCACATGGTTGAAAAGGCCTCACAATCATGGCGGAAGGCGAAGGAGGAGCAAAGTCACATCTTACGTGGATGGAGGCAGGCAAAAAGAGAGCTTGTGCAGAGAAACTCCTGTTTTTAAACCTATCCATTTTCCTGTGACCCATTCACCATCACGAGAACAGTGCAGGAAAGACCTGCCCCCATGATTCAACTACCTTCCACCGGATCCTTCCCACGACACATAGGAACTACGGGAGCTACAATTCAAGATGAGACTTGGGTGGGGACACAGCCAAACCATACCCCCCCTTTTTTTTTTTAATGTAAAGGGACAGAGAGCAAATACTTTAGGTTTTGTGGGTCATAGTTGTTTGTGTTGCAACTACTCAACTCTTCCACATAACAGGAAACCAGTCAGAGGCAATGTGTAAACCAAAGGGCATGTGGTGTTTCTATACAATGTTATTTATAAAATGAGGCAGCTAGTCATACATGGCCCCCAGGCAGTACCATGCCCATCCCTTGTATAAAACAAAAATAACTAATTAAAGATATGATTTCTTTATTCCTTACTGGCAGCTTTCTGAAAGGTAATGTGGCCGTTTGTTGAGAAGTCAGAGGACAACATAACTAAATTAGAAAAATTTACAGAAGAGCAGGTATTTTTATCCTTTAGACAAGAAACATTATCTTACAGACATGAATGATATTTTCAGCAATTAGATCATCACTAGTGGTTCTAGTTGCCTCAAGACAGAGCTTTACTTATTGTTTGGTATATTCAAGTAATGGTAGATAGGATGTCAATCTACAGGTGTAATATTGTGCATATGGTTAAATATGAATCCAGATTCGGATATGTGGGTCCTGCTTTGAGCCTGAGAGTCTAACAAGCTCCCAGGTGATTCCCATACTGCTAGTCTGGGGCCAAGCTTTGAATAGCAAGAATTTAGCCCTGTGAAATAAATTCTTACTTTCTGAGATTTTAAAATAAATTTCTAAACTTAAGAATCTATTTGCAAATTATAGCTATAAAGTGCTTGGCATTAGGGTCCTCCCCAAATCTTGTCTTTTTTTCTTTCATTTTAGGAAATTATTTATATGATCGTTTACCTCTAAATTTTATCTGATTTAAAATAAGCTTGATTTCTCTAGTGCCAAAATACATCCTTATTCAGTATTTTACTATAGTGAAATAAAGTGCATTTAGATGGAGTAAATATTTTATGTATTAATATTTTAGAAGAAACACAAGATATCTTCACTTGTATCACATATATTTTATAATTACTTTCGTAATAACACAGACAACAAAAAAAAAGTGTTGAGAGCTGAGTATAAGCTGGTGACTCTCCCACATAATCTTACATTTATCTCACTCTTGCATTTTGCAGATCTAGGAATAGTGGCACAGAAAAGTTTACAAGTTCCTTAAGTAGGAGAGCCAAGATTTGTTTCAGAGCCTAACACTGCTGTAAACACTTTTCACACTAAATCATATGGCTAATATTAACAATAAATAATACAGCAACAGCAGATGAATGAGGATCCTGTATGTAGCCTAAAAATCTGTGAGTTTAAATATAAAAACCTGGCTCATCTCCATTATGTTAACTGAATAAAAATATAAGACAACTGTGCTTTCTGACTGCAAGGGGAAATCTCAAAGAAATTTTGTGCAAAGCCTCTGGTTATGAGGAAAAGAGAGAGGGGAAAAGGAAAAAGAGAGGAAGGCTGGAAAGAGCAAAAGTCCTCAGCTCTAGGTTGGAGAAAAACAAATGGTGACCAGAGTCAGTCCACGCGGCTCTGCAGATCCTGCGTCTTGCTTGGAGAAGCCATTAGAACGCAGCCCCCGGCAGGGAACCACGCCCAGCCTCCAGGCCACTGTAAAACAGCAGCGCCTTTTTCCACGAGAAGAATAGGCCAGTGTCTGTGCCACAAGCACTTTACCACATGCTCATTTTGGTTGAGAAAGCAGTGTTGAGGGGGAAAAAAAAAAAAAGCCAGAGTCATAGATTTTTCCTTACTTTTTTTCTAAGGCAAACAGAACACTTCCCCCACTCTGAATAAGCCTGAATAAATGACATGTGCGAAATGACATCTTTCTTTACTTGGAAAAAAGAATAAACCGACTTTTTTTTTAATATGTGTATGGACCTCAACGTTATCTCAGCAGATAACAATAATACCTGAATAACGTTGAAAATGTTTTTCATGAGAAATCATCTATCAGATGTTAAAAGAAACCATGACAAATAGAGGGATTGCCTGACTGGAGCATATATATACACACACATATACACACACACACACACACACACATATACACACACACACACACACACACATACACACACACACATATATACACACACACATACACACACACATATGTATATGCATATACATATACACATATGCATATATTTCCATATATGCATATACATATAAAATACAACTCATGATAATTTACTTGACTCTGTGCCTATAAATTTTGCTTACACAGCTGGGTGATGTCAGTTTATTACAGGATTAAATGTTTATTCTTAGTGGTTGATGTATTCCTCACTGCGGACTATAGGCAAAGTCAAAAATATTCCCCAAGACAGGGGAGGAAAGTCTTCTTGAGGCCAGAGCAGGACATCAGGACATCAGGGGACCATGCATCCAATACTCAGATGCAACATAACTACCTTTGGAAAACGGCAAGACCAAAACCCTTTCAATCAAGGCAGATTCAGGAAATTTCTGTGGGTGTGATGAGTAGATGAAAATTTAATTTGCTCAAAATCCTGGGTACCATTGTTCAAAATACAATGAACATTTATATATCATGGAATGCCATTTATTTTTTCCCTCAGTGATTCAGTAGGGTTTCAAAACCATCGATGTATCCTTAGAAGGCTGGATTATCATTGCACACACTATAGAACAATCTAGATTAGGGGGAACATCTGGATACATTGATGTTTATGTCTGTTTTAGGGTTATTTCAAGTACAACATTTTTTTGTGAGATATATATATATATATAGTCTGCCCTCCATATCTGTGGGTTCTGCATCCTTAGATTCAACCAACTGTGGATCAAAACTAAAAAAAAAAATTCCACAAATTTTCAAAAAACAAGAAAACCACACAATGAAGTGATGTGTAGGCCCTGAATTAGATATTATAAGAAATATAGAATGTATTATATATATAAAGACACGTTTTCTTCTGTTTCCCAGGCTGAAGAGCAGTGGCCCCATCACAGCTCACTGCAGCCTCAACCTCCTGGGCTAAAGGGATCCTCATGTTTCAGCCTCCAGAGTAGCTGGGACCTCAGGTGTGTGCTACCACGCCAGGCTAATTTTTTAAATTTTTTGAAGAGACAGAGTATCATCATGTTGTCCAGGTTAGTTATATAAGGAACTTGAACATCTGCAGATGTTCATATCTACAGCAGGTCCTGGAACCAATCCCCCATGGACATCAAGGATGACTCTATGTGCATATGTGTGTATACATATCTGAGTGTATATGTGTGCATGTGTATGTGTATACATATACAAACAAACACACATATACAGGCACACACACGTATACATGAGCTCACACATGAAAATACATAGTCATTTATATTTAACAATCTAAACCTTACCAAGTTAAAACATGGTAGATTTTCAAAGACATTATGTATGAAATACTCTCCTGTTAGCGAATTTACAAACATCTTTCTATACTCTCCACTACGGGTTTATCATTTCATCCCAACATGACTAGAAGCATTTCCCACAGATCAAGTGAGATAGCTGAGCAAACAGCAGATTGTATTGCTAGCAGCCTCTTGCAGAAGTGTCTTTCCTTCTTTTTTTTTTTTTTCAGTCGGCCTCATACTGTCTTTATTAGGTATTATGATTGTTTGAAGAGACAGCATCTCTGGGAGGTAAGTAGGATTAGAAAAGATAATAGTTCTTTAAAGGGAATCAACACCCTTGTAAAAATATACATGTATCTATCTCTTTCAGACAACATAAATGTCATTTAATTATTATTCCATGATGGTAAATCATTTAGTAAACAGATAATCATAGTTGAGTATTCTAGGTTTGAAGAAGAATCTTTCTGATCAGAACAAGGGCCCAGCTTTTTAAGCAGTGCTCATTAAAGCCACTTCCCAAGGTAGCCACTTCGAAGCATTTATTACTCTACTGTCCCTTGAAACATTTATTACTCTACTCTCCCTTGTGATGTGTGCTACAAGATGGCAGCTCCCACAACTGCATTCTGAGGACTTAGAAGATATATACCCAGACGTGCTTAGAGTGATTTTAACCACTGGTTTTATCATCAGGAGAATTTTCTTGGATGTACTGGGTTTTATAGGACATCAAGAAGCTCCTCCTTGATCCTGCACTATTTTGTTGAACCAAATAAGACTGATCCTTTTTCCCTAAAAATGGCCAATAAATATAAATTCATCTAATATACCTATATATTTTAAACCTTTTGTAGCTTGCCTGAAATCCCATCAACTAAAGCTTGATTTAGTAACTCTTACTCCTTTTGAAACTACAAATACAAACTTGCCTGTAACGTTTCTCATTCGGGGTGAAGTCATTTAATCAGAATCCCTTTCCCCCGCAGCCTCTGTTTCTACTTTAATGAGGCAGTAGTTTTCTCTCATGCTTTCGATTTCTTCAGAATGGAACACTTGAATAATGAAAACTCCTCCATGAGATAGAATAATAAGGAATATGAGTAGCTAAAAGGGCAGATTTGATATTGAAAGTTCCAGGTGGAAGACAGGGTGAAGGGGATGCAACTTAGAGGTCATGGCGTCCAGGATACACAGTGGAATTGCTTCCCACCCTTGCCAGGGAGGCTGCAGACCTTAGGAGATGAGAGTGTAGATTCTGGAACTACACTGCCTGGGAGGAAACATCAATTCTGCCATTTACTAATTAGCTTCCCAACTCCTCTGTGTCTCAGTTCTGTCCTCTATAACTGAGGTCACTGTGAGAGATTCAGGGAGTTATATATGTAAAGCAATTAGAACAGAACCTGGCATGGACAATGTGCTATACAAATGTTTGCTGTCAGCATTTCCCTGATCTCCATGCCGTGGTTTCAACAGGGTGCTTATTACCCAGGCCACCATAAAACCTCCAGTCTTAGTATGTCATATACAGGTCCTTTCAACAGTATAAGTAAATGCCAGGAAACTGGAGATAAGCCCTCAGTGAAGAAACTGGCCTTATATTGTGAGAGAAGTTGGGTAGTGTTATGGCAAAGTTGCTAGGATGCCTTGACAAACACAACAATTTGAAAATCCCCAGCTAAGACTCTCTTTGTCAGGGAAACATGGAGCTTTCCTAGAAACACACTCCCAGTTATGATTTCTGAGTTGAGAAATCATACAGCTGGGAATTATTTTCCTGTACTTTTTTAATAGAAATGTGTTTTGTATCTATTGAGAAGACTATGTTTTTCTATAGTAGCATATTACCACCAAGGGGCATCTGTCGTGCCTCCAAACATACTTTATTGTATAGAAATACAAAATCCACCATTTAATCATTACTTACTTAAAAACCAGAAGGCAATTAGCTGGGCGTGGTGGCAGGCACCCGTAATCCCAGCTACTCAGGAGGCTGAGACAGGAGAATGGTGTGAATCCAGGAGGGGGAGCTTGCAGTGAGCTGAGATCACGCCACTGCACTCCGGCCTGGGCGACAGAGCAAGACTCCGTCTCAAAAAAAAAAAAAAAAATTAAATTAAAAAATAAATAAAAATAATAAAAAAAAGAAGGCAAAATTTTGGTGGCTCAATTCATGTTCTCTTTCTTTTACCCAATGAATATAATAATATGTGACAAGCGAGACAAAACAAACACATAGACCAACAATGTTTCCCAGTTTGTTGAGATCTTGTTTTCTTTAAACTCTATTCTAAAAGTCTAGAATCTCAAAGTCTTTGAGCATCCTGGCTACCGCTTTTTTGCTGACCCAGCTTTACAAATACTAAAGCTCATAATATTACCTAGTAGAAAATTCAGTCCTAGAATCACATTATATTTTTAGAAATTGTTACACATTACCACCTGTTCTTGAACAATTAAAGGTACCCATGTTATTTTCCTGTCTCTTATTAGAGTAGCCCATCATTCTGTCCTCTTACAGGTTTCATTTCTCTCAGCATTGTAAATTTAGTGCAACATCGAAGAAAATCTAGTCCTCGAATTCACTTGTCAATGTTAACCTGCCATGAGTGAAATATAAACGCCAGTGTTATTTCAAGTGGATTCTATTTGACAGACTGTTGGGAGTAACAGATGCTTTAGAACTGGCTACTATGAATTCTCTGTATACTGACAGATTAGATTGCAGGGAAGAAAAAAAAAATCACATGAGCTTCATCTCATGTGTAGCAAAACAAGCCAAGTTCTAGGCCAGAGAAAAACAACACTAGCCCTTAACCTTTGCTTGATGAATCTCTCTCTCTCTTTCTTTTTAAAATGAATACCTGGAATAAATTCATCTCCATAAGTTGTCCTACAGAACTTCCAAAACAAATCAACTAAGTTGATTTAAAAGAAAAAAATATGACACTATTATTTAATAGTCAAAACAACCCACTCTCCTGCAGTCTAATGCTTTTATTTGTCAAAGCACCGTTGTTTGTATTTTTATGAGTTTGGTTTCTAAGCTTTTTGAAAGCACATATTCTAGGGCTTTGTAAACAGTCACATTTTCAGAAAGCATATTCTTTTTTACTTTTGGGCTATATATCCAAACACATAAAATTATTATTTATTTCTGTGGTAAGAACACCTTAATGTTTAACCAAGGGACTCTTAAACAGTGTAACCAGTGAAAAATCCTGGATTTGTTTTAATAAATTGACTTTTACGAAACCTAGTTTTCCTTGAGTCCTTGGCATGACAACATTCCTTTAGAATTACTTAGCCCAGCTGTGCAGTGGGTGAAGCAAAGGGCAGAGTTACCTAATAGGAAAAATCCATTGTACATACGCTAAGGTGTTAGCCCTCTTGAATTCCCTACTTCATGAAATTCAAGAAAATGAAAAGAACTTGTCCAAAGGAAAAAAAAACTTGACTTACACTTAAGCTCAAGCTGCTTTTCGAAGCCTAAATGGGAGGCATCGGGATCCATTAGAGAGTTCTAGATGAAATGCCAGAAGCCCTGGGTTCTAATCTTGGCTGTTTGTCTTTAGCCAAGTCATTTGACCTTACTGGACCCCAGATTCCCGTCTATAAAATGAAGAGTGTAATATTTGTCTTTTCTACTCTACAAAGTTATTGTGAGGATAAAATAGGAAAACAGATGTGAAGCTTCCCCCAGAGAAATATATAAAACAGTACAGATATTAATACCGATTCTCTTTGGCCCTTATACTGGTCAAACTTGTTCAAACCCCACCTTATTCTCCTGAAATAGAAGAGGTTCTTTCGCTAAGATTAGAAACTCTCCAAGTTAATGATTCATTCTTAGGTATTATACATAAGATGTAACACAAGTTTTGGAACAGTAGAAATAAAACAAAACACCAGTTATTATATCAAAATTTCAGGAGAAATTTCTCTCTCTCTCTTCCTCACTAGGAAGTCTACTCATTGTTTTCAATCCTCATACAAATATATACACTTGAATATTTTCTTGTACACATGCCTAGCCCAACACCAGCATGCCCACATCTCCCCACCCCACATTCACATTCTTCTTTTCCAAAAGCCCAAATTTATCTCGCTCTCCTTTGCTTTAATTTGTTATCTTCCACCAGTTACTCTAAGTTCCTCCATTTATCCCAAGCCTTAACCAAAATTCTTTGACACCACAGGGCTCATACATTTAAAAAGCTGTTTCTGGTTTTGATTTTCTGTTGTTGTTGTTGACCTCAAAAAGAAAAAACACCCACAAAATGTGCTCCCATCAATTGGTGTGTATGTTATTTTGAGGAATCATAGTTTTATTTATTTATTTATTTATTTATTTATTTATTTATTTACTTACTTATTTTTGAGACGAGAGTCTTGCTCTGTCACCCAGTGGCACTATCTTCGCTCACTGCAAGCTCCGCCTCCCGGGTTCACGCCATTCTCCTGCCTCATCCTCCCGAGTAGCTGGGACTACAGGCACCCGCCACCACGCCCGGCTAATTTTTTCTATTTTTTGGTAGAGACGGGGTTTCACCGTGTTAGCCAGGATGGTCGCGATCTCCTGACCTCGTGATCCGCCCACCTCGGCCTCCCAAAGTGCTGGGATTACAGGAGTGAGCCACTGCACCCGGCCTCATAGTTTTAAAATTGAACAAAAAAAGACACTTTAAAGATTGTAAGGGTCTGATTGCCTCAACACCATAACTTAATTAAAAATATTACTGTTGAATCTTATTTGGTTAATTTGTCTGAGACAACTGGACCTGTTGTTTACATGAACTGTCAGGAAGTATTAAATCAGCCAACTAGTTGCTGCCTAAGACAGCTATGGGAAGCCTGGTTTGCATCAAAAGGTCAACAGGAAGAAACTTATGGAGAATAACATGTTATCTGAAGAAGAGAGTGGTATCATTTGCTGCTCTGTGGCTATTCTCTATGCCACATGATGTCAAGGCTTCAACATACTTTAAAGTATACATAGAATTTTTTCTAAACTTAGAAATTCCATAATGTTGGCTATGGATTTGTCATAGATGACACCTATTATTTTGAGGTATGTTTCTTCAATGCCTAGATTGTTGAGAGTTTTTATCATGACGGGTAAATAGGAAGCATTCCCCTGGAGAACTGAAAGAAGAGAAGGATGCCCACTCTCACCACTCCTATTCAACATTGTAAAAAAGTCCTAGGAAGAGCAATCAGGCAATAGAAAGAAATAAAAGACACGGAAATAATAAACAAGGAAGAAGTAAAAGTACCTCTTTCCACTGACTATATGATTCTATAGCTAGAAAAACCTAAAGTTGCTGTCAGAACATTCCTAGAACTGAAAAATGACTTCAGTAAAATTTCAGAACACAAAATCAACGCAAAAAATTCATAGTATTTCTCTATACCAATATTGTTTAAGCTGAGTGAAATCCAGAACACAATCTCATTTACAATAGCCACAAACAAATGAAATATCTAAGAATACAGCTAACAAAGGAGGTAAAAGGTCTCTACAAACAGAATTATAAAATACTGATGAAAGAAACCATAGATGACACAATAAATGCAAAATATTTCATGGTCATGGATTGGAAGAATCAATATTATTAAAATGACCATACTACCCCAAACAATCTACAGATTCAACACTACTTCTATCAAACTACCAATGTGACTTTTAAGAGAATTAAAAAATAATTCTAAAATTCATATGGAACGGTAACAACAACAAAAAGCAAATAGCCAAAGAAATCCCAGGCAAAAGAACAAAGCCAGCGCTATCACACTACCTGACTTCAAACTGAACTATAAGTCTACGAGAACCAAAACAGTATGGTACTAACACACAAAAAAACAGACATATAGACCCATACAAGAGAATAGAGAACTCAGAAATAAAGCCACACACCTACAACTATTTGATCTTTGTCAAAGTCAACAAAACAAGTGATGGGAAAAATACTTCCTATTCAATAAATGGTGCTGGGATAGCTGGCTAGCTATATGCAGAAGAATGAACCATAACCTTTCACCATGTACAAATACTAACTCAAGATGGATTAAAGATTTAAATGTAAGACCTCAAATTATAAAATTCCTAAAAAAAAAGTAGGAAATACCCTTCTTGGCATTGGCCTTGGCAAAGAATTTCTGGTCATGTCTTCAAAAGTAATTGCAATAAAAACAAATGCAGACAAGTGGGACCTAATTAAACTAAAGCACTTCTGCACAGCAAAGGAAAGTATAAATAGAGTAAATAGGAACCCACAGAATTGGAGAAAATATTCAAAACTATGCACCTGCAAATGTCTAATATCCAGAATCTACAAGCAACTAAAAAAAAAACAAGCAAAAAACAAATAACTTTATTAAACAATAGGCAAAGGATATGAATAGACACTTCTCAAAAGATGACATACAAGTGGCCACTAACATATGAAAAAATGCCCCACATCTCTATTCATCAGGGAAATGCAAATCAAAACCACAATGAGATGCCATGTCAACCAGTCAGAATAGTTATTATTAAAAACTAAAATATGACAAATGCTAGTTAGGTTGTAGAGAAAAATGAACATTTATACATTGTTGGTGGAAATGTAAGCTAATTCAGCCACTGTGGAAAGCAGTTTGGAGATTTCTTAAAGAACTTAAAACATCCATTTGACTCAGCAATGTCATTACTCAGTATATACCAAAGAAAAGTAGATCATTCTACCAAAAAGACACTTGCATTGACATGCTCATCAAAGCACTATTCACAATAGCAAAGATATGGAATCAACTTAGGTGCGCATCAATGGTGTATTGGATAAGGACAATGTGGTGCATATACAGCATGGAGTACTAGGTCATTATATGAAAGAAAGGAATCATCATTTACAGCAACATGGATGCAGCTGGAGACCTCTATCCTAGGTGACTTAATATGGGATTAGAAAAACAAGTACCGTATGCTTTCACTTTAAGTGGGAGTGAAGCATTGAGTACACATGGACATAAAGATGGCAACAATAGGCACTGGAGACTACTGGCGGGGGAGGAAGTGGGGTGTGGTTTGAAAACTCTCTATTGGGTATGATGCTCACTACTGGGTGGTGGAATCCATGCCACAAACTCAGCATCATGCAATTTACCCATGTGGCAAACCTGTACATGTACCCCCTGAATCTAGAATAAATGTTGAAATTAAAAAAAAATAAATTCCATAATGATTCCAGCATTATGTCACTATCCTTCTAAAAGCATGCTGCAAATTTCCAATCATTTCTGAATTAAACTCTCCAAGAAAATTGTCCTGTAAAATTTCTTTTATTCTGTTATACACATACACACACATTTTTATCTTTTAGATATTTTAAAGAAAACATTTCATAAATGTATTTTAATGTAGACCAGGATATTTGTACAATAACTGTACACTTGGAATTCGTACTGTCAGAAAAAGAAGTTATTTTTGAGTGAGTACTTCTTCAACCCATTCTCTTTCATTTTCATGGTATATAAAAGCTTTTTCTTTATGTTAAAATGTTTTATGAAGTATATGTCTCTTAAGATACTGTACAATTCTCATTACCCTGACCATTGTACCAGTCATAAAATGTGATCTTGAGAAGTTCCTTAAACCCTCTGTGATTCCTCTTTTGTTGCTGTTTTGTTTGTAATTGTCTGGGGTCTACACCCCAGACAGATAGGTACTACAAAAGCACCTATCTCATAGGTTACCTGTAAGTTTGTCATGAGATGCTACAAATAAGCGTTTAAAAATGTTCCAAGCATCAAATCACTTTACAGTATAAGTTAGTTGATTTTATCAATGAGTTTAGACCCCCTTCATACCTGGCACAACACACACAGCAAACCATCCATCAATAGTTTCCGAACAACTCAATGTGTTATCATATGTATGCTATGACTCATAAATAAACTACTTCTTTGAAAGTTTCTCAAAAAAGATATTGCCTAAGTAATATAAAGGCATAGATAGATAGATAGATAGATGACAGCTAGCTAGAAAATGTTTGTGTTTTCAGTGTCTATCGCCATGAGAAAAGCTGTGGATAATGAAAACAAGGCAGGAAGAGACATCTGTATCTTACAATTCAAGTAACATACAGTCAGTCTCTCATAACATGCTGACATAGCTTAAATATTTTCTCACCCATATTTCACGTTGAGATGTAATCCCCAATGTTGAAGGTGGGACCTGGGGGGAGATGTTTGGGTCATGGGAGCCTATCCCTCATGGATTGATGCTGTCCTTGCGATAGTGACTGAGTTCTTGCGAAATCTGGTCGTTTAAAAGTGTGTGGCAGCTCCCTCCGAACTCTCTCCCTCTCTCACTTGTGCTTTCACCATGCTATGTGCCTACTCCCACTTCATTTTCCACCATGAGTAAACGCTCCCTGAGGCCTCCCCAGAAGCCAAGTGATGTCAACGCCATGCTTGTACACTTGCAGAACCAAGAGCCAATAAAGCCTCTTTTCTTTACAAATTACCCACTGTCTGAGGTATTCTTTTTTTTTTTTTTTTTTTCTGAGATGGAGTCTTGCTCTGGCTGGAGTGCAGTGGTGTGATCTTGGCTCACTGCAACCTAGGCCTCCCAGGTTCAAGTAATTCTCCCACCTCAGCCTCCCGAGTAGCTGGGATTACAGGTACATGCCACCATGCCCAGCTAATTTTTGTACATTTTTAGCAGAGACAGGGTTTCACCATATGTTGGCCAGGCTGGTCTCGAACTCCTGACCTTGTGATCTGCCTGCCTCGGCCTCCCAAAATGCTAGGATTACAGGTGTTAGCCACTGTGCCCAGCCCTGAGGTATTCTTTATAGTGATGCAAGAATGGCCTAATTCTCATGTCATTCTCATAGCAGTTTTTATATTACTCAAATTAGCCTTACATGCTTTTCAGCATCTCACTTTTTCTTTTTAGGAAGATTTAGTTGAGTGTGCCAGATATTGTCTGTTGGTATAGAGACCATTCTGACCTTTCTGTGCTCTTCTCAGTATCACACGTGTTGGAAGATTGAAAATTGTATTTCCCCCAGACTCCCTGGCAAAATGAAAGTTAGCTGGGTTGGGCTTGTGGGAAATACTTGCAAGATATTAAAAGTGGGAGGGAGGGGCCGGGCACAGTGCCTCAGGACTGTAATCCCAGCACTTTGGGAGGCTGAGGCAGATGGATCACCTGAGGTCAGGGGTTCGAGACCAGCCTGGCCAACATTGTGAAACCTCGTCTCTACTAAAAATACAAAAATTAGCCAGGTGTGGTGGTGGGTGTTTGTAGTCCCAGCTACTTGAGAAGCTGAGGCATGAGAATTGCTTGAACCCAGGAGGCTGAGGTTGCAGTGAGCCAAGATTCCGCCACTGTACTCCAGCCTGGGCGACCCTGTCTCAGAAAAAAAAAAAGAAAAGAAAGGAAGTGGGAGGGAGGGAGACAAAATTCTAACTCTAGCAGGGAAGCAGGTGGGGACTGTGAGTACCAGCATCATCAGCAGTTCCAGCAGTGGCAAGCAGGGGTGATCCCCGCTCAGCAGCAGTGGCGGTGCTTTCAACAGTTTAAGTGGAAGTGCCTTTAGTCCAGTGACAAGGGACTGTGGGCTTCATCCGAGGATGGGAGCAGCTTCTAACACTGGGTCAAATTCTTTCTACTCTTTGTTCTTACAACCCTTCTAACATCTTACTAACCAATTCCCTATACAAAATATCTTTCTGTTCAAAATCTCCAGACTGGTGCTTGCTAACCTGACTAACTGATATCTTAATTAAATAGTCATTTGTTTAAAAAAAAATAGCAGAGCTTTAATTTCATTTATATTTATTTGTCAAAAAATGAGCATTAAAATTATTTTGAATATGAATGAAATTTTTAACCATAGTGGAAAAATAAGTTTCAGTTTTGAAAGGAAAACTTCTCATTTTCCATTCAACTGTATTTTATTTTGTTTTAAAAAATAAATATTAAATAAGTATTGCTTTTATCAATTTAAGTGACATCAATTGACATGTGTTCCCTTAAACAAATTTGCCTATTTTAAATGCCAACACCTTTTCTCTCCTGACCATCTCTAAAAGTAAGTAATCATTTCTCCCTTCTTCATGGTCCCACTCTACGTATTTTTTCTCTTTTTCTTGCGCATAATGCTTTTCCCCCTGATTTTTAACATCTTTTTATCAACATACTCAATTCACTCTTAACCTGAAAATATACTTCGTTATCCCACTTCCTATCAAAATTTTAATGCTTTTCTCTTCTCCAGTCTGTGTTACAATGAAAGAAAAAGAACTTATGCTCTTAATCTTGCCCTTGCATATCCCATCTTGTGTGTTTATTCCTCAATACCTTTCACAGTGTTTTTGAAATCACTGGCTTCAGACTTCCGTCGTGAGCCCAGCTACTTGATCAGTATCTCCGATCAGGGAGCCTCAGAGCATGTGTTGTTAACAAGTCCTCCAGGTGATTCTTATAATAATGACTACATTGTGAGAAACTTGAAACGTAAATTCTGCCCCAACCTCCTGACTGTCATTGCATCTCCCAGATTACTAACCAGATTTTGACAGATTTTCAGGTTTCATACTTGCCTGACGGACATGTTTTTTTGTTGTTGTTGTTGTTTTTGACAGAGAGTCTCGCTCTGTCGCCCAGGCTGGAGTGCAGTGGCGCGATCTTGACTCACTGCAAGCTCCGCCTCAGCCTCCCGAGTAGCTGGGACTACAGGCACCCGCCACCACGCCCACCTAATTTTTTGTACTTTTAGTAGAGATGGGGTTTCACCATTCTAGCCAGGATGGTCTCGATCTCCTGACCTCGTGATCCACCCGCCTCGGCCTCCCAAAGTGCTGGGATTACAGGCGTGAGCCACCGCGCTCGGCCTTTTTTTTTTTTTTTTTTTTTTGAGACTGAGTCTCGCTCTGTTGCCCAGGCCAGAGTGCAGTGGCACGATCTCGGCTCACTGCAAGCTCTGCCTCCCAGGTTCATGCCATTCTCCTGCCTCAGCCTCCCGAGTATCTGGGACCACAAGTGCCCACCACCACAGCTGGCTAATTTTTTGGTATTTTTAGTAGAGACAGGGTTTCACCGTGTTAGCCAGGATGGTCTCGATCTCCTGACCTCGTGATCTGCCCGCCTCGGTCTCCCAAAGTGCTGGGATTACAGGCGTGAGCCATCATGCCCGGCCTGACCGACGTGTTTTTATACCAGCTCCCACCTTCCCATTCTCAAACACTGGCCCCCAGCTTTCTGACTGTGCCATTTTATCTTCTCAAATGCCTTTACTCATAAATTGCTCAAAATCCTGTTCTTTATTTTGATATTTATGACACCACACAGGTTCTCTTAGTAGTATCCTTTCTTACTAGGACTTCAATAACTATCCCATATAGATGGTTCTATAGTCCATTGTGTGTGTGTGTGTGTGTGTGTGTGTGTGTCTAGTTGCATGTGTAGTCTTAACTTCCAATGTCAATTTCCAGCCTTCTACTAGATTTCCTTATTGGGAAAACACAAGTTAGTCATTCAACAAATATCAGTGGAATACAGAACCAAGGACCAAATACAGTGCAAAACACTGAAACTTTAAACCCAGGAAGCCCTCAAGCAAACATCTTGTTTTACTCTATCTCCACCAGAAGGCCATCCTTCTTTTACCTCATTTAGCTTTCTCTTTTTCTTTTTTTTTTTTTCTGAGATGAACTTTCACTCTTATTGCCCAGGGTAGAGTGCAGTAGTGCCATCTTGGCTCACTGCAACCTCCGCCTCCCAGGTTCAAGCAATTCTCCTGCCTCAGCCTCCCGAGTAGCTGGGATTACAGGTGCCCGCCACCATGCCTGGCTAATTTGTTGTATTTTTAGTAGAGACAAGGGCTTCATCATGTTGGTCAGGCTAGTCTCGAACTCCTGACCTCAGGTGATCCACCCGCCTCGGCCTCCTAAAGTGCTGGGATTACAGGCTTGAACCACCACACCCGGCCTCATTTACCTTTCTCAATTCAAATTTTATTTCTCTCAACGTACCTTTCTCAGTTCACAGAACTACCATCTTCCTAGCTGTTTAGATTTTACCTATAAGAATCATTTAGTGCTGTGCTGGTAAATTTTTTAAAAACTGCACTCCTCCCGCTCCCCAGAAAAGTTCTACTTTGCAGTGTTGGACATTTTAGTGTTGTGCTTATTGACACTATAGCTAATTTAAGAAACAATTTGATATCACTGGACAGGAATCTGGGGAGAGATGCACAAAATTTGACCTTGGGAGCTCACGTAGACCAGCCTCAGCACACTCCTGGAATCAATTTTTTTTCTTAAATATTTATATGATATATTCAATCATTTACCAAACCACCTTTGGATTATGTACCCAATTACACCCTTTATATTCTCACCATCATGGCTGTCATGTAAGACTCATGGTGCAGTGCTGCCTTTTTTGGCTATCTGCCCTTGACATGTCATGACACATGTCCTCCAAGAACAGGTACAACCACATCACTCCATGATTCAAAATGTTTAATGACTTCCATTAGCAAACAAGGTCGATTTTGCCTGGGGCAGCTCTAAGTATGAAAATATTGGACAAGATAATGGCATCAAACGACAGACTGGACCCAGGAATAAAAACAAGGATGATTTTGTACTTTTGTTAAAGTAAATGAACTATTCAATATCTTCTGATGCTTTCTTTTGTGATTTTAGAAATGTTTCATATTGGCAAGAAAGTCCGCTTTGTTCTTTGTGTCTTTCCAGCTTCTCATATCCATTGCTTACATGTTATTGTTATTGCTGCTAACAGAGTTTACTTAGAACCTCACAGTATCTTCTAACTTGACTTTATTGTCTTCTCTCCAAGTCATTCTCCATGCTATCGTCAGAGATCCAGTCCCTCTCCGTATTGAGCAACTAGTACCTTTGTCATTGTATGAGCCATACTCCAAGATAGGTCTTTCTTGACCCATTTAATAGATGAGATGAATGAAGCTTAAAGAAGTAATCTGTGCAAGGTCACAAAAGTAGTTAGTGGGAAACTATCTCAACTTACTCTACCTCAAAAACATCTTCAGTAGGCCCAGCCCGGTGGCTCACACCTGTAATCCCAGCACTTTGGGAGGCCGAGGAAGGCAGATCACGAGATCATCCGATCGAGACCATCCTGGCTAACACAGTGAAACCCTGTCTCTACTAAAAATACAAAAAATTAGCCAGACGCGTTGGCGGGCGCCTGTAGTCCCAGCTACTCAGGAGGCTGAGGCAGGAGAATGGCGTGAACCCGGGAGGTGGAGCTTGCAGTGAGCCGAGATGGCGCCACTGCACTCCAGCCTGGGTGACAGAGCAAGACTCCCTCTCAAAAAAAAAAAAAAATCTTCAGTAGTAACTCATTCTATATAGAGTATCTGAAAGGCTCCCAGTACGACCTGATTCCAAACTACATTTCAACCTGAATTTCCACTATTTCTCTTTAATACTTTATGCTCAACCCATGTAAACAGCTCCCTAGTTTGCATGCAGCTGCCAATGTGAATACACTTTTACTCATAGGAGTCATCAGATCCAATCCCTTTCAACATATAACTAGATGAACTCCTTCACTTTTACACCAACACAAGGAAAACTGCCTTCTTCAGAAAGCATCCTGATTCCTTAAGAAATAACTTCTCATTCCTTTTTCTTAAATGCCATCTATTTTTACATCTCCAATAAAGTTTAATGTAATTTCAGTTTTGCATTAGTCTGTTCTCACACTGCTATAAAGAAATACCCGAGAATAGGTAATTTATAAAGGAAAGAGATTTAATTGACTCACAGTTCTGCATGGCTTGGGAGGCCTCAGGAAACTTAACAATCACAGTGGCAGGGGAAGCGGGTACCTTCATCACAAGGTGGCAGGAGAGAGAGAGAGAGTGTGAAGGAGGAGCTGTCAAACACTTACAAAACCATCAGAACTTGTGAGAACTCATTCACTATCACGAGAACAGCATGGAGGAAACTGCCCCCATGATCCAATCACTTTGCACTGAGTCCTTTTCTTGACATGTGGGAATTGCGGGGATTACAACTCATGAGATTTGGGTGGGGAGACAGTCAAACCTTCTCAACTTTATATTGTAATATTAAATATAATGTGTTTCAATGTATAGGTTGTGGGTGCCTAGAGTCCCAGGGTCCTCGTATCGAGTCGTATTGGTTTGCAATGCTGTGTGACAAATCACCAAAAACTTAAAAGCTTAAAACAATTCCCAGTATCCATGGGGCAAAAATCCAGATATAGCTTATCTGGATTCTCTATTCAGAATCTCACAGGCTGCAATCAAGGTGTCAGATGGTGAGCAGGTCTTATTTGAGGTTCTGGGTCCTCTTTTAGGCTTACATGGTTGTTGGCAGAATTTGTTTTTTGTGATTGTAGGACTGAAAGCCCTCAGCTCCTAGGTCTTCTGCCATTCCCTACCATGAAGCTTCCTGATCAATGACAGTTTGCTTCTTCAAAAGTAGATGACAGTCTCCAACTTGTTCCTAATCTCTGTATCCTCTTTTAATAGGCTCAACTATGTCAGATTTGTCCATACCCTTTTGATCAAGGTACCGTCAACTTGATATCTGCAAAAATCTGTTCATGCTTGCCACATAAAATAACATGATGACAGAAGTTATATACGATAATTGGTATCATGATCTAATAGTTAAAACTAAATTACAGCCCTGACCACATTCAAGATGAGAGGGTTATATATTAGTGTGGGCCATTGAGGGTCATTTTAAGACTATATCTGAAATGCCAACCTAGCCTGATGATGCCTTACTAAGAAATGATTTTAAGTTATTGGGTAATAATTGTGAAATTTATGAAGTGACAGTATAATACATCTCCTTTGCAATAAGTTAAAACATTTTATATGTGACAAATAATAGCTTATTGCCATTGAACATATTAAAATAAAAGTAAAAATATTGTGAATTTTGATGGAGTCTATTACTCAAGTACTATTTTTTAATTAATAGAAGTAATAGCAAAACCAAAATTATTTTTTAACTTTTGTTTGTAGTTCAGTGGTACAGGTGCAGTTTTGTTATATAAGTAAATTGTGTGTCACAGGGGTTTGGTGTACAGATTATTTCACCACCCAGGAAATAAGCACAGTACCTGATAGGTCATTTTTCAATCTTCACCCTCTTCCATCAGGTAGGCCCTAGTGTCTACTATTCCCTTCTTCGTGTCTATGTGTATTCAATGTTTAACTCCACCTTACAAGTGAGAACATGGGCATTTGGTTTTCTGCTTCTTTGTTAGTTCACTTAGGATAATGACCTCCAACTCCAACCACATTGCTGCAAATGATATGATCTCATTCATTTTTATGGCTGTGTAGTATTTCGTGGTGTATATATACCATATTTCTTTTGTCCAGTCGACCACTGATGGGTATTTAGGTTGATTCCATGTGTTTGCTATTGTGAATAGTGGTATGATGAACAGATGTGTGCCTGTATCTTTATGGCAGAACATTTTCTATTCCTTTGGATATATACCCAATGGTGGGATTGCTAGGTTCAATGGCAATTCTGTTTTGAATTATTTGAGAAATTGCCAAACTGATTTTCACAATGGCTTAAATAATTTACATTCCCACCAGCAGTGTATAAGCATTTCTTTTTCTTCTGAATCTTGCCAACATCTGTTGTTTTTTGACTTTTTAATATTAGCCATTCTGACACGTGTGAGATAGTATCTCATTGTGGTTTTGATTTGAATTTCTCTAGTGATTAGGGATGTTGAGCATTTTTTTTGTATGCTTATTGGCCACATTTATGTTTTCTTTTGAAAAGTGTGCATTCATGTCCTTTACCCACTTTTTAATGGGGTTGTTTTACTCTTGTTGATTTAAGCTCCTGATAGTATCTGGATATTAGGTGTTTATTGGATGCATAGTTTGTAAATATTTCCTTCCCATTCTGTAAGTAGTCTGTTTAATCTGTTGATAGTTTCCTTTGCTCTTCAAAGGCAACTATTTCTGGCCGTTACGTGCTTTATTTTTTTTAATTGTAAAAGTGGCAATTTTTAATTTACAAAATAGAACAAAGAAACACAAAATAGGGTCATCTATGTCAAGCAATTAATAATTTCCTAAAGAAAGATCAACCTGGATTTCAGAAAAGCACACTAGTCAATTACAGATCGACTTGCCCAAATGATGATTAAAGGACAATATCTGGAATATAGGTTGCAGAATGCCTCTCAAATATCTGAGATTCACACATTCCAGAATACCACGAAAACTAAACAAACAACAAAGCAATACTTAAACATCCGAGATTTCCCAGAGCTTGTATAAAATAGCATGCTAACTCACTCTGGAAAGCACAGGCTGTTTATCCTTTCAGATACAGAAGAAAAATTGAATCTGTTAACTGCTCTGTCTCTTCTATCTCCCCCTGAATGATCTCCACATTTAAGAGGTTTTTGCTAGAAGATAAAAAAGCATCCATGTGGATATCATTTAATAAAGACTCCTAATTTTGTTCCATAAAAAAGCATTTGACTTCAGAAAAGTTGTTATGTTTTCAAATTGTAAGGCTGTTAGTCACAAGCACACTAAGCCAAATATATCACCAAGGAAGGGATTAGGTGCCTCTACAAGTGAAATGGTTGAAATTTAAAATATTGCAAAATATTTGAAATGAATGTTTGAAAAGAAACTATCACCAGAGTAAACATTCTCTAAGACACTCAAACCAGTTTACCCAACACTTATGAATGGCATTCCACACTGATCACTGGTAAATCTCTGTATATTATGGCTTTTGAACCCAAACACCTTCAATTTTTCTTAATACTCTGTGTTCTGTCCTGGCATTCCATTCTTACACAGAATTAAAGCTATATGTGGCTGAAAGTGATCTGAAGTAGCTTTATTGTGGTTAGATTGCACCCAAATTAGATGAAGCACAACAAATTTACAAAAACAAAGTAGAAAAACAGACTCCTTTATTTTTGAATGACCGATCAAAGACTGTAGAGACATTATAGACCCATGTAAACCAAATTCTGTAGGAGTAATTATGTATAAAAGAGCTTCCAATCTACCTCTCCGTTCTGAGAAATAAAAGGCATTGCTCAGATAAAATGCAGAAAGTCCAACAACTGTGCTATGTAAAAACCTGGAGGACATCTGGGCTCTGAGTCTTAATCAATTTACAATAATAGTCTTTCAAGTCAATCTGATCAGTGGCTTTGAGTTGATTTGTATTGTTTGACTGCTGGAATCTCTATTTTTGGATCCCAAGGGCATGGTGATGTCTAAGACATCAGTGTCCTCTGAAAATAACATGGGTGCTGGCAATGACCGGACCTCAAACATTAAAAAAAAAATGGCGATTAACAATTTCCCATACACTTGCAAACATTTATGACATGTTCTTTCATCATTCCTTGTGAATGAAATATGAAAATATAGAAAATCCTACCATTTATTTAACCCCAAATTACTCCAGTCAGATTCCTTTTATGAAGATTACAGTGCAGATAAAAATATAAAAAGCTTGAGGGCAGTAAGGATGCTATATAATTCTACCTGTAGATCTTTCCTTTCCTAAGTAGTATTAATCATTTGTGCTGTACTTCATATACAGACCTCACGAAGTCAATCTCCCTGCCTCTTTGCACATTGCTTTGCTTTGACTAGATGTGGACTTGTGACTAGGTCTTCCTGATGAAGTTTGAGGGTAGGGGGAGACTCCAAGCTCCCTTTTATTCTAGCATGTCAATCAGCAAAATCGGCAGCAAGAAGAGACTGACATGAGTAGAACCATGCTTCTCTCAATATGAGATTGACATTAGCTTACATAGGAAATAATAGATAGTATTTTAAGTCACTCAAGACTTTGAGGTTGCTTATTGAAGCACAATGGAAATCAAACTGGCTGACACAATTTTCGTAGCAGAAACTTAAAAATTATTGTCAATAATTCTGATAATAGTAATGGCTTAGAGAAATATGGATATAAAAGATACATCTTATACATGCATGATTCATAGTTAAGGAGCCTAGCTTTTCCTCAAGTATAAATATCAATGCAAGCGTCTTACTAGTGAGATTTGTGTTTGCATGATTGAACACAAATTGACCCTGAATCCATTAAACAATTTCTTTTATTTTTTTCTTTCTAATTCCACTTATTCTTTCATACATTTAAGTATATTGATTAATCAATAAGCATGTTGATTTATAGCACAGATTTTAATGACATACAACCTTCAGTTGATTTAGCACGTTAAACTATATCACATATTAACCAATTGAAGCTCCATATATGTAGATTGTTTTATTATTAATATATAATTGTTATACATATTTTTGGAGTACACATGATATTTTGATACTTGTATATAAAGTGTAATGATCAAATCAGGTAACTGGAATATCCGTCATCTCAAACCCTTATTTTTTTCTTTGACTCGAAAACATTCCAATTCTTCCCTTCTAGTGATTTTAAAATATACAATAAATTGTTGTTAACTACATCTTCCCTGTTGTACTATTGAATATTAAAACTTATTCCTTCTGTCTATACATCTGTACACATGAACCAACTTCTTTTCAATCTCACCCTTCCCTACCCTTCTTAGCCTTTGGTTACCATCATTCTACTCTCTATCTCTGTGAGATTCACTTTTTTAGCTTCCACATATAAGTGAAAACATGTGATATTTGTCTTTCTGGGCCTGGTATATTTCACTTAACATAATGACCTCCAGTTCCACCAGTGTTGCTGCAAATAATAGAATTTCATTCTTTTTAATGGCAGAATTGTATCGCACTGTGTATATAAACATCACATTTTCTTTATCCATTCATTGGTTGATTTAAACTAAGATTGATTTCATATCTTGCCTCTTGTGAATAGTGCTACAATACACATGGGATACAGACATCTTTTTGATATACTGAAGTCCTTTATTTTGTTGATGTGCCTAGCAGTGGGATTGCTGGATCATATCATAATTCTATTTTTAGTTTTTTGAGGAAACTTTATACTGTTTGTATATTGGCTATATTTATTTACAATTCCACCAACAGTTTAGGAGTGGTTCCCTTTCTCTGCATCCACACTAGCATCTATTATTTTTTGTATTTTTAATAAACTATATTAGCTGGGGTGAGATGATACCTTATTGTTGTTGTGATTTGCACTTCGCTAATGATTAGTGATGTTGAGCATATTTTCATATACCTGTTGGCAATTTATATGTCTTCTTTCAAGAAATTTCTACTGGGTCTTTTGCCATTTTTAATAGGGTTGTTATATTATTATTATTATTATTTTGCTATTGTTTTAGTTATTTTTATATTCTGATTGTTAATTTCTTGTTGGATGGATAGTCTGCAAATATTTTCTCCCATTCTGTAGGATGTCTCTTTTTTCTGTTATCAACAACAGAATGAAGCATTTATTCAATGGTTTCTTCTAGTAGTTTCATAGTTTCGGGTATTATATTTAAGTCTTTAATTTATTTTGATTTGATTTTCATATATCATCAGAAATAGGGTCCTAGTATTACTTTTTTGCATATGAAGATCTAATGTTTTTCCACAACCATTAATGAAGGGACTTTCCTTTCCCCAATGTACATCTGTGGCATTGTCAAAAATGAGTTGGTTGTAACTGTGTGGACTTATATTTGGGTTTACTATTTTATTTTTTTGTTCTACATGTCTGTTTATATGAGAGTACCATGTTGTTTTGGTTACTATAGTTTTGTAGTATATTTTTAAATCAGATAATATGATGCCTTCAGCTTTGTTCTTTTTGCTCAGTATTTCTTTGGCTATTTGGAGTCTTTTGTCTTTCTATATGAATTTTAGAATTGAATCTGTAGGTTGCTTTGGGTAGTATTTACAAAATTAATTCTTCTAATATATGAATATGGAATATCTTTCAATTTTGTGTGTCCTCTTCTATTTTCTTTCATCAGTGTTATATAGTTTTTATTGGAGAGATCTTTAATTTCTTTGGTTAAATTTATTTCTAGGCATTTTTTGTAGCCATTATAAATGAGATTGCTTTCTTAATTCATTTTTCAGTTTGTTCACTGTTGGTATATAGAAATGCTTTTGATTTTTATAGACCCCTAACAACCTCTTCCTCCCAACTTTACATATGCTTGTCATGCTTTATGAGCAAATATAATGCTGTACCAAAGAAAAAGCCCATCTATCTACCTTATCAACTTAATTAATCTACCAGAGTAGATATGATACTGTTTTGAAAGGATGTGATGAACTTTAGCTTTCTACATATTTCAGTGATTACTTCAATTGTTATACAAAATATACATTGCTTTTTGAAATAAATAAAATTCATTTTAAAAAGTTGTTATTTTTCAAAAACTAAACTAAGTTTTATAACATATTGAAATTAAATTAAATTAAATTTAAATTAATGTTAATTTCCATCATATGTGAACCACATTATATAGTAAAGTAAAAGGTCAACTAATGTAGGAGTAATGTTTCAATGATGAATACAGTTCTTAGACTTAATAGTGAAAGCATATCTAATCTAGTATTCTAGGAATGCATTACAAGGGATCAGACAAAGGGAAAAGAAGGCAGCACAATATTTTAAAAACTATCATTAAATAGACATTTAAAATTTTGAACACATAAAAAAAATCCTCCCAAATTAACAATAGCAGCTTTAAACTATTAGAGGGAGGGAGAGGGTCTTGCCTTATGAACTGGGAAAGCAGAGGAAGGAGCAGTATAAGATTGATGGTTCTGTTTTGAGGTAAGCATTACAGGATATTCAAACATTGAAGAAACTTACAACAGAAACTTGAATTCAGCCCTGTCATTGAAGAAACTTACAACAGAAACTTGAATTCAGCCCTGTCATTTTTCACCGGTCTCCCCAGGAAAGCACTGACCTGCCTAGGGAGTGAGGAGAAAAGTCTCCTGAGAACCATTCTTTCACATGCATAACCCCTAAAATAAAATTAAACACACTTTGGGAGGCCGAGGAGGGCGGATCATGAGGCCAGGAGTTTGAGGCCAGTCTGGCCAACATAGTGATACCCTGTCTCTACTAAAAAAAAAAAAAAAAAAAAAAAAAATTAGCTGGGGGTGGTGGTGTGCGCCTGTAATCCCAACTATTCCGGAGGCTGAGGCAGGAGAATCACATAAACCTAGGAGGCAGAGGTTGCAACGAGCTGAGATTGTGCCATTGCACTCCAGCCCGGGAGACAGTGCGAGACTCCGTCTCAAAAAAACAAAAAAATAAAAATTAAACAACCTTTACTTTGAAGTCAGCCATACTTGCAATCCCTAATTTCAGTGGATTGCCTCAAAATATTGCCCATTTGGTTTAAACTTATTTCAAAATGTAAAAATATGTCATTCTGTCATTAAATTTTGAGTTTACACATAAACTTGAACGAACAAAGTGTAATTGGTTGCTAGATCCATATTCTTCAGATATGAGATCATGACAAAGAATTAAAAATCCTAAGATTGTTTAAAAAGAAGATTCAGAATAAAATAAGTTAAAAACCAATGACAAACATGAAATCTTTAATACTTTTGACCAAGGTCAATTTTAGAGTCATTGATTATTTGAACCAAAAACTTCATTTGAAAAATGGCAGAGGAGGCCGGGCGTGGTGGTTCACGCCTGTAATCCCAGCACTTTGGGAGGCTGAGGTGGGTGGATCACGAGATCAGCGGATCACGAGGTCAGGAGTTTGAGACCAGCCTGGCCAACGTAGTGAAACCCTGTCTCTACTAAAAATACAAAAAATTAACCAGGCGTGGTGGTGAGTGACTGTAATCCCAGCTACTCAGGAGGCTGAGGCAGGAGAATCACTTGAGCCTGGGAGGCGGAGGTTGCAATGAGCCGAGATTGCACCACTGCACTCCAGCCTGGGCGACAGTGCGAGACTGTCTCAAGAAAAAAAAAAAAAGAAAAGAAAAGAAAACAAAAATATCAGAGGAAATACACTGGGGAAAAGTAATGACCAATATCTGCCATCTTAGCATAGCCCACAACAAAATCAGATCTCTCATTTATTTTTCTTAACAGTATCTGCCTTCAGTTTAAGAATAATAGAAGTTTTTCTGAATATATCTTTTAATGTCGGTCTTGTCTATTCGTTTAACTTCACAATGATATAAAGTTTCATGGTATCTTTTACTTTCCTCTGTTCCCTTCACCCCAAACACGCTATACAAAATAAAACCATTTTTTATGTCTTTTCTAATAAGAGGTTATATACAATGTCAACACCTGCATTTTTATGTTAGAGGTTAAATCAGAACTTAGGGTTAACTTGGAGCACTTCCTGTCACCTTAGTGGTGGGGTGCCTCTTTTGAAAACAGAATAAGACAACTTCTGATTCCAACTCTGCATACTGAGGAGCAACTGATGATTTATTTCTGTGTCCCAGGTCCCAGAGGAAGGCTGGAGAACAGTCAAGTTGTTGTTCCCGACATCAGTGGTTTTGGCAATTATAGCATAAGAGAGAAACAGTCACAAGTTGAAAACATAAGCCAGTTTACTTTTTTAAATATTGCCACAAGAAAATAACTCACCTATTAATAAAAAAAAGTGGACCTATAGTTAAAATTATATTTATAGCTTGATCTTGATATTGTCTTTTTTCCTAAAAGAATGTTTTCCATATAATTTACTATAGTGTTTCTTTGAAAAAATATTAAAAATAATTAATTTATATATTTATGCAAGGAAGTTGAAGAGCTCCTGCTCAAAAATGGAAATTGGTGGCTACTTTGTATTGATGAATGTGTAGTTATAGTATTTAAAATATGATTCCAAAGACTGCATAAGAGAAATTAAAATTTGATATTAAAAATGGGTAAATAGAAGTATTTCAAATTTATTTTCTGGTTGACTTCAAAATAATACTTAAAAGTTAAAACTAAAATATGGCTTTTACTTCATCATATAAGCTTATGTTTGGCTTAAAAACTGGTAAATTCTATTGAATTATAAAATTTGTGTCTTGTTCTGTTAAGTTAGCCTTGGCCTCAGAGCAATAGTTTGCATAAGCAGTTGGAAGTGTTCACTTTTTTTTTTTCTAAATCTGAGGTCACTCTTCCGCCCAACTAACTAAATTTAATGTTGAAACCTGTATTTAACTGTTAGTAACTAAATACACAACAGAGTTTTCAGTCATCTAACACTTAATATTAACTTCTCAAACAGTTGGCCTTAACATCATAATTTGAAGCCCCCAAAAAATGGATTTTTACTTAATATCTTTCAATCAATATCCAGTAATATCATTGTTTGAGAGAACCTGGATTTTGACAGTTCCTCAATACTATGTTTCATATGCAATGGAAAAATATGATATTAATTGACAGAAATATATAAAATCCAGATAGATCTGATGTGCAAATTATAATTTAATGTCTTAATTGATACTTTGAAATAATTTTATTTACCTCAAATACTATACTCATAACTATCTCTTCTAGAATCAGAGAAAACATAAGAATATTTTCTGGTTTATTCTAGCCCTTCAATAAATCGATTAGATAATCCTCTATTCAACACTGGACCTATGGAGGGCCAATGGAGCCCCTCCAAGTAAGATTGAAATATTCCAAATAAACTAATCCTACGTGGATGCAATCTTTGCACTCACAATTTGTAAACTTTGAATTGATATTAGACATTAGAACACAGTAGTACGTGTTACAAGCTGCCTCTCCAAAATCAATGCCTTCACTATAGAACTTGCCTGAAGCAATGACTAAAACCAAGATTATCTCTGAACCATCAGAGATAGAAAATTCTGGGATGATTTCTACGTTTTGTGTTTTTGGAAGGATGAGTTATTGTGTCTCATTATAGATAATGAGACTCATTGTTTGGACGGCAAGTTATGGAACCCATCAACATACAAATTCTATGGTGAAAGGAACCATTACTTTAAGTGACTTATGTGCCACTTACTGAGTCAAATTAAATGATAAATCAACTGCTAAAAGAAAAAATTGCACAAACTATTTATAACCTGAAACTTGGGGCTCGACTCACTGATATGTAAGACTTATCTGCCCAAACACTAAATTTCTTGCTGTTAATGCATTTCCTTGTCTATCCACATCACTTCTTCATCTCATTGAGTCTTTGGTTTTCAGACACTCTATTATTAACTTACTCATCATCATTTCTACTCTCATAAAAAGCCTGTTTTCATTGATAGTCACTGAATAAACACATACTGAGGACCTGCCATATTTCAAAGGAAATTCACAAAGGATGAAACTGACAAGCAAGAAATGCACAGGGCCCTAAGGTGACTTGGAGGCTTTCAGATTAATGCTGTGGTAAGAGATGACATCACATTTTGAGAAATGACAAGCTTCCACTAAGAGTTAGGATTTTCTCTTTGTACTCCTCCTTTCCTACCTGTACTTTACAATTGGAATAATGACCAAGAATAACATAGAATGAAACTTGGCTTCATAAATAATAACAATTGAAAAGAAGCATTTATAGAACATTTATTAAAACTAAGTAGGTGAGCACAAACTGAATAGTTCTACTTAAAAATTAATAGACAGATATGCTTCTGTATCTTGGTAACAGATGTCTTAAGTTAAATTGACATGACATGAATTGTACTTTCAGTTACTTCAATGATGGAGTATCCATCTTTTAAAGATTACTCTGCATTGGCACCTTCAAACTAACTTGGCATTGTTCCTCTAAATGTCCTTGGCTCAAAATGTTTTACAATAAACTTCTAAGCCAGTGCAGGCAGAATCTTGGCTTTTATGGGATCTGCCTCTGCCCACTTCAGGATACGTGTTATAATAAGCAGACACGCTGTTTTTTCATTATTAATAATTTAGCATATTCTTTCATATCTACCAAACATCAACGTTTAATTCCAATTTTATTTTGTAAACACAAGTTTATGTAAACACTTTTTAATACCTGAGAATTTGCCTTGCCTTTAAAAGCAGAAGCACAGAGAAAAGAAGAAACAAGATGAAGGACTAGGTCAAAATGACTACAATTAAAGGCATTGAAATTACATTGCCAAGCTTTTTTGTTTGGTAATTATCTGCTTTGTAATTTTGGGAAAATAATCTCCCTCTTCCAATATTATGTATTATTAAATGGTAATTTTATATAGTTTATTTCTTGAGATGTTTCCTTAGTCATAATAGAAGTGAAAAAGTTCAAATGCTTAATAGCATTTCACTTTTACATTTTTTATCATCATACTTTTTATTTTTTCTCTATATCTGCGTAATTTCATTTATTTTTATACAAACAAGAAAATCACCCTGCTTTATGGAACTTCTGAGTATTTAATTCATCTTTATATCAACTTATTTTATATATGAGCAAGTAAAATGCAAATATAGAAATATGTGCCACAATTAGACATCATTTAAATTATATTTGAATGGTCAGATTTTTTTTGTCTCACTAAGCATGAACAAATGATGGTGGGTTTTCATAGAGAAGGTGTCTGGGCATTGCAAATGTGCAGAGTTCTGACAGTTCAAAGGCCTGTGCCATTGGGAAAAGCTAAAGCTGCCCAAAGTCAATTATTTACTCCTCAGCAAAGACTGTAAAGAAGCACAATGAACATGATAGTGGTCTGTAGGCCTAGTTGTGAACTAAAATAACCTAGGAAATTTTAACAGTCTCTGATGCCAAGTCTTATTGCTAAACTCTGATAATTGCTCTTAAATTCATTAAAGAATATGACACTTGAAATAAACTTGGAGGTATATTAAATACATTTACTGTTAGGAAGAATGATGTGGAATTGGCAACATTTTATTATGTGTTGAAATTAAAAGGCAATTTCTAGTTAATGACATTTTATGCAATTTCATTTCTCAACAGGGGCCTAGAAAATGAGGGCAATCTTACAACATTTATAAACATGTCGTTCGCGGTTAATTCTTAAAATATTTTTTATTATACTTTAAGTTCTGGGATACATGTGCAGAGCATGCAGGTTTGTTACATAGGTATACACATGCCATGGTGGTTCGCTGCACCCACCAACCCATCATCTACATTAGGTATTTCTCCAAATGCTATCTCACCCCTAGGCGTCCACCCCCTATAGGCACTGGTGTGTCATGTTTCCCTCTCTGGTCTTGTGTTCTTTTTGTTCGGCTCCCACTTATGAGCGAGAACATGCGGTGTTTGGTTTTCTGTTCTTGTGTTAGTCTGCTGAGAATGATGATTTCCAGCTTTATCCATGTCCCTGCAAAGGACATGAACTCACCCTTTTTTATGGCTGCATAGTATTCCATGGTGTATATGTGCCACATTTTCTTTATTCAGGGTTAATTTTATTTCTCCATTGAGTTAATCAGGCATGTCTTTCCTGAAATTAGGACTTGTCTATGATTCTGTAAGTGTACAATAAATAAATTTTAAAATAGTTTTAAAAATCACTACATTAGGAAAAAAAGAGATAAATTAATAAAGATGAAAATTTAAGTCATTGAGTCCTCCTGTAGTATCTATTATGGTATTCAAATATATATAACTTGAATTGTACTGAAAATTCAAATGCATATAAAAAATTATTTAAGAGTTGGAAATAAGACAAAAATTGGGTGAAATAGTTTTTTTCAGTTGTTTAGTGGGATTGTTTAGTTTTCTAATAATAATACAGTTATGTTTGAAAATGATTTATTATTTGCTCAGAAGCTACTATGAAATTACATATTAACTTTAAGATTTCTTCCTAAAAGAGATTATATTCCTGAAGATTATGTGTCATTGTCATTTCACATCTCCCATAGAAGTCTTATGCTAACATTCTTTTCTCCAAATGTCTAGAAATATCCAGTTTCTCAAATATTTTTGACCCATCTTTATCAACTTAACTGGTCTGTCATTAATCAGTTGAATACATTTTTGGCACATGTCTATTCTGTTTCTATGTGAATCTTTTTTTAACTTTTTGAAATTTTACTTTGAAAACAATGCCTATGTACATTGCCAAACTATGTTAAAATGAAAAGGGACAATTTTCTCACATCTTAACAGGCAATATACACAGGCATTCAAAAGATTCTAATCTATTTAACTATTTATTATTATATTGATAAGAGCATTTTTGATGTACGTGCATCACTGTTTTATTTTTCATGTATTTCAATATAATTTAAAACATCATTTTATCTTTTTTATAAAAAATTAGATTTAGTATTCACAAGGATGAGAAAGAAGTTTTACAGTCTTACTGGGTAACCAATATTCACTCATAGATATCTAAGAAAAGCATTGCTATAATCAGGTCATAAACAATCATTTAGTCAACACGTCCATGGCTCTGCTTCAGTGGCCCAAGTCTATCTGGGAGTCATAAGCAAGGGGTTCCCGACATGCTTCATTTTGGGATGAAGAGGAAACATTTTTCTAGTTTGGGCTTTACTATATTGAAATCAATACACTGAAATAAGTCTTTTAAAATATCTCAAGTGTCCTGTTTATTAAAATTCATTGAGCGTTTTTTTAAACTATTTTTCTCAGACTATTTTTTTGTTGTTCTGCTGTGTGTGTGTATTTTTTATTTTATTTTATTTCATTTATTTCATCTTTTTTTGAGACGGAGTCTTGCTCCATCACCCAGGCTAGAGTGCAGTGGCACGATCTCGGCTCACTGCAAGCTCCGCCTCCTGGGTTCATGCCATTCTCCTGACACAGCCTCCCAAGTAGCTGGGACTACAGGCGCCCGCCACCACACCCAGCTAATTTTGTATTTTTAGTAGAGATGGGGTTTCACCATATTAGCCAGGATGGTCTTGATCTCCTGACCTCATGATCCACCCACCTCGGCCTCCCAAAGTGTCAAACTATTTGTTTTATGAGATACTACCAGTCTTCCTCCTTAAACCTCTATATCTGATCTCTCTTACATTTTTCTACTGTGGTTGTCCATCTATCTGTTTGTGTAGCAGTGTCTCTATTTGTGTCTCTTTGTTTTCTTTTAGTTCCATATCTTTATGTTATTATTATGACCATCATTATCATCTTAGTCATAACTACCATTAATAAACCAATAATTGTGCTAGACCCCTTATATATATATATTAAAATTGATCTTCGACATATCACTGCAAGATATATGTATATGCAGGTGTGAGTCTGAGTGTATATAAAATAAACCTTTTTAGATGAGATACCATGCTCAAGGAGATTAAACACATTGCTCATGATCACGCTGCTAAATATCTACTAGAATATATCTCACAGTGGCTAGAAAAAAATGGGCCTACTAGGGCTGTGATTCTCAAATTTTAACTGTGCATGCAAAGAATCTGGGGATCTTTTTAAAATGCAGATTCTGATGAAACGAGTTCAGGTGGTTGCCTCAGATACTGCATTTCTAACAAGCTCCTCCATAAAACCATTGCTGCTAATCCAAAGCCCATACTTGAAGTAGCACAATACATAGGAGCAATAGATCAGGAAAACTGCCCTTTGATTCAAACCTGAAGAAGTACTCAGGAGTACACTGTTGTTACTAATTACTCAGCCTTGGTTGGTACGTTGTCAAAGATCAAAAAACATTTTTAAAGATAAAAAAATTATTGGAAGGTGTGTAATGAAGGGTTAATTCTTCAGACATGGCTTTCCAAAACCTTGCACATTCCAAAGGTCTTCGGGACTGGCTCTCGACAAGCTCCTGGGAGATGATAACCTATGAGCCCTTGGTATATGCTGCCTGATGAGAGTCTTCGTATACCTGAAAACGTAGGTCATACCAAATAGCTGATGCTAACAACGTGATTTCTTGTGAGCACCTGTTTCTGTATGCCTATGACTTTGTGTAATGCCATATTAATATGACCTCTCTTAGGGCATAGGGAGGTTGGGAACTAAGTAGCTAAGTTCAGTCACAGGACGCTCGATGCATATGTGGTGGAATCCTAATAAAAACCCTGGACTCAAGACTGACTGAGCTTCCCTAGTTGGCAACAAGTTCACACATGTTGTCTCACACCACTGTAAAGAAAATTAGTCAGTGTGAAGTCCCCACTATGAAAGGACACCTGTAAGCTCACATCTGGTTTGTCCTGGACTCAACTTTATGTGCTCTTATGCTTCTGATTATTTTAATCTGGTTTCTTTCACTGTTAGAAACTATAACCACAAAAAAAATCAGCTTTCTTGAGTTATGTGAATCATTAAACCAAAGGGGGACTTGGGGACCTCCAATAAAAAGTATATATATTCTTAAAAAGAAAAAGAAAACTGGCTATAGCAGATATTGTTGATGACTTGTCTTCTATGTCCTGGACTCAATGTGTTCACCTGAAATTCACCTGTTTCCAGCTAACTGAGAGCTCCCCACATCATGCCTGTCTTTCTGATTTTTGGGCCTCCTGGAAGCTTCTTGAGGGTAACCAGTGTTTCTCAACCACACATAGGAACGAAGAAGGAGTTAGGGGTGGAGAGTTAATGATTCTAAGGCAATCCTTAAGCAATAAGAGATGGGGATTCCAGCATCCCCATCTCTTTGTAAAGTTATTTTGAGACAATCTCCATACCTCCGTCATTACTGAGCACATAGCAGTAACTACTTATTCACACTGGCTTCGTGTTCTGTTTCATTTTCTCCACTTCCGTGCTTTCTCACTCAATTTCTGATTAAAGTATCTGACCCCAAATATTTGTTTCATAGTCTATTTTTGAGGGAATCCATAGCCAAGACAATAACAATGGGAGCTTTGCAATGAGGGAGGGTGGGTATAATCATCAGAAGGGTACCTACCTCACTGGGAACATGAAGGCCAGGAGAGCTTACTGTTTCATTGAAAGAAACATGTTGAATCTCAGTTGAATACCTATATATATATATATGCAATAAGTCGTGCCCTTTACTTATATCAAAGGAAAGTGCTCTTTACCTCTCTTTGTTGTTGTGTTTTTATCACTATTGCCTACACAAGCAGAATATCATACCCAGGATTTAAAGCCCTGTCTGCAGGATTTTCAAGCTCATGTTTTTATCATAAGTCACTCTGCTTCCATGTGTTTTAAATCTAATCCTCATTCCTCTGCTTTTACACCAGAGAATTCATCACTGACTTATTTTTGACTGACCTCCTTATAGAGCTGTCAAGTACACAATTTCTGCTGTGACCTTTCTCTTAGAGTTCAGTCATATAGCCTCTCACTAGAGATCATCTCCTCTTATCTTTCCTAATAATGAATTGTCAGTTAAAACTCAACATTTTTAAGATTGAGCTTACCATCTGCACACACACACACCATTATTGGTGTATTCTCATAGCCTTGAAACACTAATGTCATGTTGATGTCTGCCTTTTCTTTCTCTGCTACCTCATCCCTCATCCTTAGATTATTCTAAAAGATTCAATTAGATCAAGTTGGCTAATTATATTTTTCAGATCCTCTCTACCCTTACCAATTTTTTGTTTAACAAATTTTATAAATTTCTGGCAGGAGACTGTTGAAATCCCCATGGATGACTGTGGTTTTACTATTTTACCTTTCAGTTTTAATAGGTTTTATATTATGTATGTTGAAGTAATGCTATTGTGTGCATACATATTTATTATTTACATGTCTTCTTGTTGTATTTTCCCCTTTGTCATTATGAAATGTTATTCTTCATCCCCAGTGATATTTCCTGTTCTGATGTCTACTTTGCTCATCACAGTTTTAGTGGGTTTTGGTTTGTTTGTTTTTCTTTTTTTGGGTTCAAGTAAGTTTCTTATAAAGAGCATACAGTTGAGTCTGGGTTTTTAATCCTGTCTTATGATCTCTGCCTTTTAATAAGAATATTTTGTCAATTTACATTTAATGCAATTATCACTATGATTGAGTGTATAACTACTCTCTTGCTATATGTTTTCTAAATGTCTCATCATTTTTGTTCATTTTCCCCCTTTTTCTGCCTTCTTTTGAATTGAGAATTTAGTTTTTAAGATCCGCTTTTATCTCCACTATTAATTTTTAACCATTCATTTTTATTTTAATTTTAATGATTGATATAGGGCTCATAAAATAGACAGTTCTTGTTTTCCTTAGTTTTGATATGCAAAGGCTTTAGTTATCATGCTTTAGTTACATAGCACAAGCCCCAAAACAAAACAGTTTAGGTACAGCAGTGTATTAATTGGGACTAACGGCTTGAAGTACAAATTTTTTCTGTGAACTCTTCAGTCCATAAAACTATTAGGTAAATATCAGATTTGCATCAAGATCCATGGTTAGTCATGTCACTTTTCTCAATATCTATCAATAATCAATTATTATGTACCTGTTTTGTATTCATACAGAGACAGGAAAGCATACAGTAGTGTTGCTTCTTTGTCTTTCAGTGATAAAGGCATGACATTATACAAAAATTGATAAATGACAGAAAATCAGCCAACGAAAATGAAAGTGTGGCAAATAAATGAAAGTGTCAACACCGAAAGTGAAATTCAAATTGGATCTTGATGGATTTATAGAAGCAATAGTTAATTGCGAGAATGCTGACACAACTACCATCCAAGAGATTTCATATGTGCAGTCATGGGAACTTATGGAAGACATATTTACAACTTAAATGAAGAAGCTGATTGCAGGGAAAAGATGAAAGTTTTCCCAGAAGATGTGATGCTGAGGAAAAAAATTACATTGAAGAAACTCTCCAAGATGTTTAAAGACAATGAACGCACAAACAATAAAATGTTGGACAAATAATCAAAGTTATAAAGAAGAATGGCAATTCACTAAAGCATAAAAAATATTGAGAGTCACATGATGAGAAGTTGTGCAAATACTGTACAAACTACTCTGAATACATTTCAAAGAAATATATAAAACATGTATTTTAATTATCAATGTTTTAAATTATAGTGTACTATATAGATACTAGTTTCAGGGTTGTTTTTTGGTTTTTACTTTTCTATACATATATAACAGTAAGACATTTTTAATATTTTGACAAAGGTGTTTATTTATTTATTCTTTTATTTAGAGACAAGACCTCACTGTTGTCCAGGCTGGAGTGCAGTGGTATCAAAAAGGCTCACTGTAGCCTAGACCACCAGGCTGAGGTGATCCTCCCACCTCAGCTTCCTGGATAGCTGGGACTATAGGTACGTGTCACCACTCCTGGCTAATTTTTTGTAGTTTTTGTAGAGACAGGGTTCCGTCATGTTGCCCAAACTGTTCTCAAACTCCTGGGCTCAAGTGATCTGCCCACCTTGGCCTCTCAAAGTGCTGGAATTACCGGTGTGAGCCACTGCACCTGACTGACAAGTGTTTTTAATGATTGCAGGAAGAAGTTTATGTTTTCCCATTAATTATTAAGATAACTTTGCCCAGTTTCAACTTGCACAGTGGTTACTAAGGCCCCACACTGATGTGCATAAAGAGTACCATCTGTACTTTTTTTTTAACTTAAAACACACAACCTTCAAATAATATTTATAATACCTGCTATATAGTTTTAAAATATTGCAATTCTGAAGCCAGCATTACCATGATACCAAAACCTGGCAACCTATAATCCTGAAATGTAAGACCTCAAACTATAAGAATGCTAGAAGTAATCCTAGGAAACACCATTCTGAAAATCAGCCTTGGGCAAGAATTTATGACTAAGTCCTCAAAAGCAATTTCAACAAAACAAAAATTGACAAGTGGGACCTAATTAAACTAAAGAGCTTCTGCACAGTAAAAGAAACTATCAACAGAGCAAGCAAACACCCCACAGCATGGGCGAAAATATTCACAAACAATATGTTCAAGAAAAGTCTCATATCTGGAATCTATAAGGAACTTAAACAATTAAACAAGCAAAAAATGAATAACTTAATTTTAATAATGAGCAAAACCATGAACAGATACTTCTCAAAAGAAGACATACAAGTGGCTAACAAACATGAAAAAAAATGCTCGTAATCACTGATCTCAGAGAAATGTAAATCAAAACCAAAATGAGATATCGTCTCACACTAGCCAGAGTGGCTATTATTAAAGAACTCCAAAAATGTTTAGTAATATCTTTTATTGAAAAGTTCCTGCCAAGGCTATAGAAAAAGGGGAATGTTTATACACTGTTGGTGGGAATGTAAGTTAGTTCAGCCACTGGGGAAAGTAGTTTGGAGATTTCTCAAAGAGCTTAAAACAGAACTACCATTTGACTTAATAATCCCATTTCTGGTTATATATCCATAAGAAAATAAACTATTCTACCAAAAAGACACATAGACTTGTATGTTCATTGTAGCACTGTTCCCAATAGCAAAGATATGGAATCAACCTAAGTGCCCATCAGCAGCAGATTGGATAAAGAGAATATGGTACATATACACTATGGAATACTACACAGCCATAATAAAGAACAAAACCGTCTATTTGCAGCAACATGGATGCAACTTGCAGCCATTATCTTAAGCGAATTAATGCAGAAACAGAAAATCAAATACCACACGTTCTCACGTATAAATGGGAGTTAAACACAGGGTACTCATGGACATAAAAAGGGCAACAATAGAAACTGGACACTGCTAGAGGGAGAGGAAGGGAGGGAGGGAGACCGGGGTTGAAAAACTATCTGTTGGGTACTATGCTCAGTACCTGGGAGATGGGCTCAACCGTACCACCAACCTCAGCATCACACAATATATCCATGTAACAAACCTGTACATGTATTCCATAAATTTAAAATAAATGTTCAAATAAAAAAACAAATATTATAACTGTCTATCCATTTTCTCTCTACAGTTCTTTGCCCTACTGTCATAGGGTTTTCCTCCTTTCTTTATATATATTTTGAATACCACAGAAATAATTATTATTTTGGTTTTAAATAATCCATTACCTTTAACATTACTGAAAACACGAAAAAAAATCTTTTCTATATATTATTTCTTTTTCCTTTTTTTTTTTTTTTTTTTGAGATGGAGTCTTGCTCTGTTGCCCAGGCTGGAGTGCAGTGGTGCGATCATGGCTCCCTGCAACCTCCACTTCCTGGGTTCAAGCGATTCTCCTGCCTCAGCCTCCTGAGTAGGTGGGATTACAGGCGTGCACCACCACACCCAGCTAATTTTTGTATTTTTAGTAGAGACAGGGTTTGACCATGTTGGTCAGGCTGGTCTCCAACTCCTGACCTTGTGATCCGCCCGCCTCGGCCTCCCAAAGTGCTGAAATTACAGGTGTGAGCCACCATGCATGGCCCTATGTATTATTTCTAACATGAGTCATCTCTTTTTAAAAATGTAAATTATCCCAGCACCATTTATTAAATAGGAATCCTTTCCCCCATATCCAAGGATGATAGACTGGATTAAGAAAATGTGGCACATATACACCATGGAATACTATGCAGCCATAAAAAATGATGAGTTCATGTCCTTTATAGGGACATGGATGAAGCTGGAAACCATCATTCTCAGCAAACTATCGCATGGACAAAAAACCAAACACCGCATGTTCTCACTCATAGGTGGGAACTGAACAATGAGAACACATGGACACAGGAAGGGGAACATCACACACTGGGGCCTGTTGTGGGGTGGGGGCAGGGGGGAGGGATAGCATTAGGAGATATACCTAATGTTAAATGACAAGTTAATGGGTGCAGCACACCAACATGGCACATGTATACATGTGTAACAAACCTGCACGTTGTGCACATGTACCCTAAAACTTAAAGTATAATAATAAAGAAAGTAAATTATCATCCTGTTACTTTCTTTTTGTCTACCATTTCTTTCAGTCCCAGTATGCTGTTGATAAAATCTATCAGCTACTTATTGTCAAAATAGCTTTATTTGCTTTCATTTTTGTAAATTTCTTGATTTTTTTAGAATTTTCACTTGAATGAATTTCCAGGTTGACTTGTTTCTCTTGCTTTAAGTAATAGAATGTTGCGCTATGGTCTTCTGATATACATGCTTATCATAAAAAGTAGTTATTACATTGGTTCCATTGTCAATAATACATCTCTTTTTCTCCAACTGTTTTTAAGTTTTCTTTTTAAAAATAGCTTTCTTCAACTTAATCCTTTTATTCATTTTGATTTGAGTCCACTGCACTTCTGTTACCTGTTGGTTTATAGTTTTACCAAGTTTTAAAAATATCTCAACCACTACCTTTATAAATAGTTTTTGCCCTCCCCCCATTTCCTGGGATTTCAATTATGTGTGTTGTTAAGCTGCTTAATATTTTCTAATTCCATAATTTCTGTCTTTTCTTGGTCTGTTTCTATTAACTTTTTGTCTTGTTTTGGATCTTTTTTTGTTTATATGCATTTCTGTTTTTTTTTTTTTAATGTCTAAGGGAAATTCTGAATTGTACGTTGTTAGGATCTGGATTTTGTTTTATTTCTTTAAAGAGAGATGAACTCTGTTTTCAAATGCAGTTAAGTTATCTGAGATCAATGGTGATATTTTTTGCTTTTAAATGTGATTATAATGGCTTCAGAGCCTTGACTCTAGAGCTGATTCACCCCCCTACTAAGGTGTGATTATTCTGAGAACTCTATCGGATATTATAAGTTTCTCACTCTGGCTGGAGCACATACGGGTTCTTCTAAGGCCCACATGACCTCCAGGAATTTCTCTGGCCCACTGCTAATGAAGACTCATTTTTCTATCTCATGGAGTTTTCCTTTATGTAGGCACAGTTCAGTTCTCACTCAAGGACTCCAGAGAACCTCTATGTAAATCTCCACAGTTCTCTCTCTGTGCAGCCCTCTTCTCTCTGTCAGTCTGCCTTGATGATTCTAGTCACCTTGGCCTCCATAAACTTTGATATCTTGCTCTTAAATTCAGCAAATCATGATATTCTCTCTCAGATTGTCTCATACCATGCTGGAGGCTGGAAATCACTTTCAGTAAGTATGCTGGCACAATAAAGGGTATATATTGTTTTCTTTCTCTCAGAAATCACAGTTTTGTGCTGCCTATTTTTTTCATGCAATAAAAACAGTTTATATACTTGTTCTGGATTTCTAAACGTTTACAAAAGTTGCATAATTCTGGTAGTCATTAATTCTTCATCAGCAACAGTTGAATTCTCAGAGACTTGTTTAACTGCCCAGATGACAATTATCCTATTGCTTTATTCTTCAAATCAAGTAAGTGAATCAAAGTCAGTCTTAGTGATGATCAGTATCTCTATATTTTTGTCTAAAAAACAGAATGCTATTTTAATCTATAGATTCAAGTGTCATTTTATCTCTTTGAAGTTTTCAACAAGTAATGTTTCCGGTATTAACGTTCTTTCTTATTCTTCAAAACATCAAGTAGGCAGAGGTTGAGTCTCCATTGTCACGCATCTATATTTACCAACGCCGTATTAAGGATTTTTATTATGCCTTTGTCTTTTCATATAATTTACTTTTGTGTGGTTTCTACTAGATATTCACTATTTTTCTGGATGTAATTGCTGATGTATAGTGCCTATGTATTTCTTTCTTACATAATTCCTTAGTTGTTCACTTCAATTTCTAAATTGAGATTAACTTCAATTTGTCCTCTGATTACTTTGGTAATTCTACTTGTGATGCAGTTTTAGCAACTGTATCTTGTTTATGCTTTGTGTTCATTTTCATATTTAGAAAATAGAACACCAGGCATATATATTTTACTGATTTTTTTCTCTCTGCATTCCTTGTAGAACAGATCCAGGTATTAGCTAAGGGATCCTCTGGGGCAGGAGTGGTGTGGCATTGCAGTTTGTATCTTTTTTTAAATCCATGATTTTGTAATGGAATACCGTCACACTAATTTTCTTACTCCCTAAGTACTGGGTAATTGTTTCTCCTCCTATTAGCATTCACTTTTCTAAAGGTAATGTGGCTCGGATTTAGATTCCTAGGTTTCTAAATCTACATTTCTAATCTCTATATTATCACATGCTGGTTAATGCTTTTCTCTTTTGCTCCTCTCCACTTCTGTGAGCTTCATTCTGTTTGGAACTCAGAGTATATGAAATGAATAGAGTACATCAGCCTGAATTCTCTTACAACTTCAAATTCTTTCCATTTTATGGATAGACAACACTGAGTTACTCTATAGTGACTTTCCTACTTTTATTAATATCATGGTCACATTATTCCATAAAATCTTACCATTTTAAGAAAAATAGTTTTTGAATTACATCTCCCAGAGTAGCAGCAATGATATCTAGAAAAAGTGATCATCCTGAACATGTACTGATTATACATGTAAAAGCACTCACTCTGATCACTCCTTGTTTTAGTTGAAATATAACAGTGTTTGGCAGGTTTGCTTCTCCGTTTATGGTTTCAGGCTATAGTTGTTTCTCTGAAGATGCTTATCTTCTTATTTTTTCTTGTTTTCTTTTTGTTCTCAATGAAATGAATTTTAATAGAAGAATGAAATGTAAAATATTCAAATTCAGTGTCTTATAGTGTCTATAGTTTTGGGCACTTATTTTAAAACTGAATAATAATTTTCAATGCATATGACTCATTCTCTACCCTCCTTTCTTCCATTCTTCTGAATGTGTGACAAACAAGTATAGATGCTCTGAATGGTAATAAATTAAAAAATCATTTCATGATGGTCCTATTCCTGTAATTCTATTTTCCAATTGACCTCCATTTCCTATCCTAACTGCATAAAAGTGAAATAAATCAGTAACTATATAATTTTAAAAATAAGTGGTCTGAATGATTTTGCTGGGATAAGTAATAAAAAATGTTGAAATCTTTGAAGTTTTCAATTTGCTTAAAAAGAAAAAAGTTTCAGGCTTTGGCAAAGCAAACATGCATTTTGCTAAGTAATATTCCCCCTTAATTTTGAGATTTATTTTGGCTTCATACATTTCTTTCTTATATGAATACCATTAAAGTAAAAGTTATTTCAGAGTTATCAGGTTGAAGACTTTTATAGATGTATGTGCATGCATATTTATTCTTTCCTAAAAATACAGTTGTTTTAGTTTGGGCTGCCAGAGCAAAGTACCATAGACTAGGCACTTTGTAAACTGGATGGGTTTATAAACAACAGAAATTTATTTCTCACAGATCTTGAGTTCAGAAATATGAGATTAGAGTGCCAGCATGGATGGATTCTTGTGAGGACCCTCTTCTGACTTGCAGACTGCCGTCTTTTCTTTATATCCTCTCATGATAGAAAAAGAGCAAGAGAGTTCTCTGGGGTCTTTTTTATAAGGGTGCTAATCTCATTCACATGGGCTCCAGTCTCATGACGTAATTAGCTCCCAAAGACCCCACCTCCTAGTACCATACATTATGGGTTAGGATTTTGACATATGAATTTGGGTGGGGGAGAACAACAACCATTTTGTCCATTGCAATAGTGAAGGTGAAGGAGATATAAAATGAAATAAGTAAATCTTCCATAAATCTTTCATAAATTATAGTATAAGAAAATATCATGAATGGTTCAAATTTGTGATTTTTATCACTACAAAAGAGATTATGGGACTGTGATATGATCTGGCTATGTCCCCACCCACATCTCACCTTGAATTGTAATAATCCCAAAATGTCAAGGGTGGGGCCAGGTGGAGATAACTGAATCATGGGGGCGGTCTCCCCCATCCTGTTCTCATGGTAATGAATAAGTCTCTGTTGGTTTCATAAATGGGAGTTCCCCTGCACAAGCTCTTTTTCCTGCTGCCATGTAAGACATGCCTTTGCTCCTCCTTTGCGTTCTGCCATGATTGTGAGGCCTCCCCAGCCATGTGAAACTGTGAGTCCATTAAATCACTTGTTCTTTATAAATTACCCAGTCAAGTATGTCTTTATTTGCATGAAAACAGACTAATAACAGACTGATTCATCTGACTCAGAAATATTTGAATAGGACATCTAAAAAGGGCCTTGCAAGGTATGTTTTATGTGTATTGATGAAGATGGATGGAGTTTTCATGAAAGTTACACGCAAATGCACAGACCAGCCAAGGTGAATAATGAAAGAAATAAAAATTAGCAGAGATGGACAGAATAGAAACCAAACACGACTCATTTATTTACTTCTCTTTAAAGTGCCAAAGCACATACTTAATTTTTTTTTTTTTTTTTGAACTGGAGTCTCACTCTGTCACCCAGGCTGCAGTGCAGTGGCGCAGTCTAGGCTCACTGCAACCTCCACCTCCCCGGTTCAAGAAATTCTCCTGCCTCAGCCTCCCAAGTAGCTGGGATTCAAGCAATTCTCCTGCCTCAGCCTCCCAAGTAGCTGGGATTCAAGCAATTCTCCTGCCAAAGCCTCCCAAGTAGCTGGCACCAGCCACCACACCTGGTTAAATTTTTTTGTATTTTTAGTAAAGACGGGGTTTTACCATATTGGCCATGCTGGTCTTGAACTCCTGACCTTGTGATCTGCCTGCCTTGGCCTCCCGAAGTGTTGGGATTACAGGCATGAGCCACCATGCCCAACCACATAATTAATTTTTATCACAGATTTCACAGATTTTAAACTCCTCAAGTTACATTTCTCAAGTAGTAAAATCACTTATTTCTGAGTGCATTTAAGATGGACCTTGAGTTTATTTAAAATGCAGATTCCCAGGTCCTGTTCTATGCCTGTTAAATCAGAATCTCTGGACTTGGAACTAACTGACAAGTTTGCACTTTAAGCAAAAATCCTGGTGAATTCTACCGACTAAGGTTTTAAAGCAATTCATCTGACATGTGGAGTACAATCTCTTTAGTTATCTTTAGTGAATATCCTGCATAATATTCACAAAGATTGTAAGTAAATAGTTAAATGTATCAATGTTAAGACTTCAACAATTTAAGAAATGTTCCCAAATGCAGCTGGTTTTCTTACAAACTGGGAGGTATAGTTGAGTGTATGAATTGGAAAATGAGGACTAAAACTCTCTTTAAGGATAATACCAAAGGTAATTTTCCTAATCCATACTTTTTAAAATATTGCATTGGCTTTGGTCTTCTTGTTGAACGGTTAATAATTTGACCGATAAATCTATAAATTCTTGTTAAGAGCTTACTATAATCTTAGCTACATAAAGGTGATACAAAAGGAAGGGAACTATATAGTGCATGAAATTTGACCTAAGAGTTATGAAGAGTTTGAGAAAACAAGAGAAAATATGAAAGATTATCATAGAACAGAAGGTAATTGCATGGTATTAATTTTAAATGCTGCCACTATTCACAGGCTAAGGAAGAACAAAGAAGGTTTTTGTTGTAAAGTCAGGTTTCAGGAAGTGATTTGGCTAAGATCTGGACCTAAAAGCTGGGTAATATCACTTACAGAAAATATCATTACTGAAAATACCGAAACAGTCACTACCCACAATTTAGAAGAAAAAAACCTAAAGTTATCTTTGTCCCATAATAATCAAGCAGTTGTCATTTAGCTCCTTTCAAGGTAACAAGGGATTTCATAGAATATTATACTTCAATAGCACTTCATCAAAATTTCATTTGCAGTAAATCTAATTATCTCATTTCTTTTTTTTTTTTTTTTTTTTTTTTTTTTTTGAGACAGAGTCTCGCTCTTTCACCCAGGCCGGAGTGCAGTGGCGCGATCTCAGCTCACTGCAAGCTCCGCCTTCCGGGTTCACGCCATTCTCCTGCCTCAGCCCCCCGAGTAGCTGGGATTACAGGATTATCTCATTTCTTACAAAAGTTACCCATGGTGCTGAGAAAACTAGAAACTGGCCTTTAGATGATGCTTGGTATTGTTCCCATTTATTTTTAAAACTTGATATTTCTTCAGAGAATAAACTTTGACTGTTATATGATGACAACATGTCGGGTATCATCAATTTGGATTTTGTTAGATTCATTTTTTTTTTAGAATCCCAAGATAAATTGCTCAGTTTTTATGCTTAGTTTAAATTTGAGAGCCTTAATATAAACTTGTACAATTTTGTTGTCACTGTATGTTTTGTTATTATTTGGGAGGTGAGGAGAGTTCATTTGCAGTACAATTTTAGCATATTTTATAATATAGTCAGTCAAAAAAAAAAGCTTCACATGTATATATTTCTTCTTTATTTTAGACTGTAGGTTATGTATTTTAAAACCAATGGTTAGATGTCCCGTTATACAGATTTACTTCTTCCTATTTGGTGATTTTTTGATGCATTAAAAAGAGAAAATTGTATAAACTTAATGACTATTGACAAGTATTCAGAGAGATAATAAAGATCTATAATTAGCACAATGGAAGGACCTCCAAATCCACACTCTTTTGACGTTTTCTCACCTAAAAAGTATTTATTGCAGTTTTACTGGTCGATTGGTTGTCATTTTTCTTTCAGTTGTGTTTCTATGCAGAAATTGCATGGAACTGAACAGGAATTGCATTAGAATTGAGATTGCTTCCGATATTATTCACTAATGGGCAAATCCATTACTTTAGGTCCATTTCATATACAAGGAAATGCAGTTATTCCAAGGACAATTCAGGTAAATAACTACCGCAGCATGGACCCAAGGGTAGCAGTAGAAAGTGGTGCTGCTCTAAGTTTCTCCTCTAGTGGATGCCAAAAGAAAACATTCTTATCACTGTGTACATGCTAGGCATAATTGTTTTGGTATGTGTTCAGCACAGGCTTTGGCAAAAGTCTTTCTATGTAAATCCAAACAGTAACTGTTGAATTACTCATTTAAACTTACGTGTTTCACAGCACAAGTTGTTAGTGAAAGGTTTCAACTTCTTATTTTAGACATTAAACAGATACCTCAAATGTTTGGGAATTCTTCGTTTACATCTCAGCAATGGAAATATTTAGCTTTTTTTTTTTTTTTTTTTTTTTTTTTTTAGCTAGCCAAGAGTCCCTGTACAGTGAGCAATCTTTTGGGGTCTTATCTTCTCAGCACTGAAGAATTTCTATGTGGACACTAAAGTAATATTAAAACCACTCACTCTCACTGGTAATTTACAAAATACAGTTTTAATAAACAGCAATATCGACAACAACAATAGCAGTGATGAAACCTCTGAGGCAAGAGAGAATGTTAATTTTAGCAAAGAGTGTCTTGTCAACTGGACAAGCCTTACCAGTTCCTAGCCTCTAGTTTGTATACATTTATGCAATCATTTTGAATATCTACTCCCTGCATGCTGGTAAAAAAAATATGTGTCAGGACATTACATGTGAAGGGATAATTCAACATTTAAGTTTTTAAGAGTATGTTTTTTTCAGATCTTGTTCCCCAAAGTTAAACATTGTGGTAGATTGAGACTTTCATTATTAAATATTCTTACAGAAAACAGGAAATCATAAGGTCTTATTTATAATCATTAAGAGAAACCTGAAGGCCAATTACTCATTGAGTGTCAGGCAACTCAATTACATTATTGTATAGGACTTTGGTATGATAAAAGAATCCTCAGAACTATATTAAAAAATTGTGAGAAGGAGTTTACACAGGTCAGCCTATAAAACTACTGCATAATTTCTATCTGTAAATTAAAATAGAAAAGAAAAAAGATTGAATTAAATATGATAATAGTAAATTTCATTTCTAAGTGTGCCAAACTAGCTGGCCTTTCCTATTCTTGAATAAAATTATTCTGGTTGCCATAATGCATCCCGAAGCTTACCTAGATGAGGAGAAATTCAAAGTATTCCAACGTCTGGCCTCATGAATAGATCAAGCCTTGGGGGAAACCAGTGATCTCTTGGCAACAGGACCAGAAGGTACGTAATCTCTTGTTTTAATTATATTTCATCTGCTGAAAAATTGCTTATCTCTCTGAGATTTATCTTAGAGATGACTGAAAGTAATTTTGTGACCTTCACATTGTCCATATCTAAGTTAGATAATTGAAAATTTGGTGAGGATCCCAAAACCTCAAGTATGTATGGAGATTAAGATTTCCAACTCTGAAGAAAAACTGTCAGGTTCAAATCTTGGTCCTGTTCACCTCTGATGACTAGCTCTGTGGTTACGAAACCCTCCTGCCTCCCTTTATCCATCTGAAAAAAAAAATTGGTATGACTACATGGTTTGGCAAGTGGGGGCTAACTGAGCTACTAGACAACTTACACCGTAAGTTGACACAAAGCACATGTACAATAAGCATAATTAATATTACATTATTTTATTTTGTATGAGGTGGCAACAAATAGTTATCACATGCTTAATTTTAAATAAGCATTAATAGTGGTAGAAATTAAGGAAATATATTAGAGAAAACTCTTAGAAATATGAAGGCTCTATCTAGTTATATTTGTTTCTTATGTATCACATCCTCAATTTTAAATAAGAAGCATTAATAATAGTAGAAATTAAGAAAATACATTTATTAGAAAAGTCTATTAGAAATATCAAGGCTTAATCTAATTATATTTGTTTGTTAACTGAACTTGAGACATATGAATATTCACATACTTTAAGATATTTTATCACCTATTTGAAGAGGGACTCTGGCCACTCTAAGAACAACTCGCACATAGCAAAAACTAGTGATTGAGTACATTCTAAAGAGTAACATACATTTTGAAAGTAAGCTGTTGTTGTCTGGGCATGGTGGCTCACACCTGTAATCCCAGCACTTTGGGAGGCCGAGGCGGGCGGATCACGAGGTCAGGAGATCGAGACCATCCTGGTTAACACGATGAAACCCCCTCTCTACTAAAGAAAATACAAAAAATTAGCCGGCCATGGTGGCAGACGCCTGTAGTCCCAGCTACTCGGGAGGCTGAGGCAGGAGAATGGCATGAACCCGGGAGGTGGAGCTTGCAGTGAGCCAAGATTGTGCTAGTGCACTCCAGCCTGGGGGACAGAGTGACACTCTGTCTCAAAAAAAAAAAAAAAAAAAAAGTGAGCTGTTGTTATTGAACTTTTTATTATTACTTAATTACAAGAAAAAAACAAAGTAAACAACCAAAAAAATTATAGTGTTGAGAAAATGCCAAGGCTGCTCACCCACTTCTTTAACCATTCTTCAAACTTACCATATATATTTTTTTTGACTAAGTGAGATAAATCACATTGAAATGCATGAAATAATGTCTGGCATCCGGTAGATGCTCAGTGACTTTGTCCCCTTTAATGGTTTCAGCTGGCTAGGATTTCACACGAAGAACAGTAGCATTTTGGTATCACTAGGCTAACGTCCATTTTCTGTATTGGAGAGTAGAGAAACCCCTTGGGTGATAGCTTATTTTACCTACTATGGAATTTTTACAGAACAAAGTTAAGGGTCATCTGCTGTGTGGATTCCCACTGGTTACGTGAGACGTGGCAGAACATAATGGTAAGAAGAAGGATTCAGGAGCTGAACCATCTGGGTTCTTCAGGCTATATCACCTACTGCCTATGAGAGGCTTAGCCAGTTAGTTACCTTTGCGAGCTTCCTCTGGTGAGAATCAGAAGAGTTAATACATAAGGCACCAATTATAATACTAACCCTGGGATGTAAAAAGGCTGAGTTATTATTACTGGTTACCATTATTATTAAGAGTGTTAATAATAATTACTACAGCAATCTTTTCTAGACAAGGGAAAGTGAAGCAACTAATTAACTCTCAAGGAAAAAAAGGTTTTTTTTCACTGCTAAAGACTATTAACTCTGACATGAGTTTTAGAATAGTTTTGCTTTCTCTCTCTTTGCCTATATTTTCTTTATTTTTTATTCTAATGTTTTCAATTTACTCAAGGATTTTGGTACTAGATGGTGGTTCTGGTAGGCTGATCAAAGTTCATACCACAGGCAGTTAATTTTACCCAGATGGCTCCTGGTTCCTTTCTTTTTTAAATAAATCATATCCACTGCCGAGGTTGATATGAGGACTTCTGTCCATTGGCAAGTAGCATTGTAGCCACAATCTCTTATTAAAGCTTGAAACAAAATGGTGATTACTAGTGTTTATGGCCAAATTTTGTTCATGCCTGCCCACTGAATTTGTTTGGATACCAGGAAATTACGGACTGTGTGATTCAAATTAGGATAAGAGATTAAACCCTGGGAGCCATTCTTTAGCAAAGACTGTGCTGTTAAAAAAAATGGAAAATATCCTTTTAACCAAGTCAGTGAAATTAGCTTAGTCATGAGGATTGCAAGTGAGCTTTCTGAACTTGAGATGTAAACACAGTGCCAAAAAATTTCATCAGGAGACTGGGGAGAGATGCTGATTCTTATTTTGTGAGAGATTTGTAATGCTAACTTAATCTTCTGACTGAACCCCTTAATTTCCCATTTTTAACTATTCTAGATGCTTGTCTCAGGAAATGGAAGAAGAAGTCTCCTCAATGTTACCAGAGACATGCCATGTCATTTCTATCTTCTCGATACAACTACTTAGTTCCTTTTTTCTTTCATTTTTGCATAATTTCCATAGCAACATGTACATGGTGACTACATTACATCAATCAGCACCTCCACTCCTGGTCCCAGTTTTTTCTTTGCTAATCCTCACTGCTGACTTTTGTTGTTGTGGTTTCATTATCATTTCACAAGGTAACTACTGTCACCTTGGAAATGAATTGCGTGGTCAAAGCCCTTTAATACACAAAATATGTAAAATCTCCTCTTATGCGTATTATACATGAAAGAAGGTAAGACCATCAGTTAGTTGTGTCTCCTCTGTAGAAATAGCCAGAGCACCAGGACAGCTGCATCCTCTTTCATAGAAGTAGGAGAGCAGATGCTGAGGCAGGACACAATAGTTCTTCAGCCTGTGTTTTCTCCACTTGCATCCTAGAGCACTTGTTGAACTCTCTCTTAGGTAAATGGTAATATTTTCTGAAGGCACTAAGGGAATTTTTACCATGAGGGTAAATACCAATTAGCTATTATCTCCTCTTAGTAGGAGTGTAGCACAAAGAACTTCTGATTGATTGCTTTTCAGGGGCAGGGATAATTTGTTTGTTTGCTTGTTTATATAATTATTTATGATTTTAGTCAGATTGCATTCTAAGACTTTAGCAAGATTTCAATGAACATTTTCCTATTTTTTCTTTTTCTTTCTTCCTTTTTTTTTTTTTTTTTTTTTTTTGAGACAGAGTCTGGCTCTGTCGCCCAGGCTGGAGTGCAGTGGTGCGACCTCGGCTCACTGCAAGCTCCACCTCCCGGTTTCATGCCATTCTCCTGCCTCAGCCTCCCGAGTAGCTGGGACTACAGGTGCCTGCCACCATGCCCGGCTAATTTTTTTGTATTTTTTTTTTTTTAAGTAGAGATGGGGTTTCATCTTGTTGGCCAGGATGGTCTCGATCTCCTGACCGCGTGATCTGCCCACCTCGGCCTCCCAAACATTTTCCTATTTAAGCTTTGCCACTGAAAATTTTCTGTCTTTAAGTCCCACATAACAACTGCAGCCTGTAACATCTTGCTGACTGGCTTGACAGAGGATGGCCAATTTTTGTGTTTAGGCTCAGATGTGCAGTGCTGGGTTCTCAAATTGTGTCCCAGCCTGGGACAGTGTGGCTTTAATAACATCCTCATTATCCATCCTTTATACAAAAAAACCTTATATCTGTATGCAAAGCCATGGGCTCTTAAGATTTTGAGTGCATCATACACGCTACAGGCAGCAGATATATGAAGGATGTGCTTTCAGGCCAATCTCTGCCTAGTGTAGGCCCAGGTGGTATAATGCCTCATAACAGACCACATTCCCTGGGCAAAGACATTGTGAATGGTGGGATTAGTATCCTCCTGTGACATGTGACATCCTCCTTTGACCTACTCATTATGATTTGGATAGTTCCCCTCAAGTTTGGGCTAGAGTGTCAGTGAGTGGATTAACTCAGGACAATTCCAGTTCTTTCTATGTACCTTACTTTCATCATGAGGGATATGAAGAAAACATTAGATCATGTTGGATGCTGTTTGTCTGTTGTTTGGTTGGTTGGGTTTAACTATAAGAGCAGGTATCTAGTCTTCTAATTTTGTAAGGCTGCCATAATAATTTACATCCAAGCTGGTGGCTTAAAACAACAGATATTTATTCTCTCACAGTTGTAGAAACCAAAAGTCTGGAATCAGTGTCAGAGGACCATGTTCCTTCCAAAAGCCCTAGGGAAAAATTTTAATTCTTCCTTGCCTCTTCCAGCTTTTGGTGGCTCCAGGCGTTTCTTGGCTGATGGCAGCATAACTCCAGTCTCTACTTTTGTCTTCATATGTCATTATTCCCTACGTTTCTTTGTATTCTCCTTTTCTGTCTCTTATAAGGACACTCATTGGTGGATTTCGTGCTTATCTCAATCCAGCATGACCTCAAATTAAGATGCTAACCTTAATTACATCTACAAAGATTCTTATGCCAAATAAAGTTACATTCTGAGATTCCAGTTGAACATATCTTTGGGGAGCCACTGTTGAACCTACTATGCCTAACAGCTCAGGCCTGTCCCAAGGGCAGATTTAAAAAGAAAGAGAAATTCATTTTGCTTTCTGATTTTGAGATTGTTCCTCTTACCCCTACACTCCATTTTCAACACCTGAACTTTATCAAGAAAGCTCAAAGACAAAATGTGGCCAAGGTTGGCAATAAATACATTTTTGCCAATAATCTGATGGGAAATGTATGTTACTTCTTATAAATCAAAATAAATTGGATCTGCTGGCAATCTGGTTAACCTGCAATTTAGATTATGACAATGGTGTTCTTATTTTATGCATTTTCACATGCTCCAAATCTCCTTCTGTATCCCTTTCTAAAATTTTGCTGAGAGTCCATCTTTTCTGACCAAAGGTGATTTGATTCTCCACTAAAGTAGTTATTAAAAATATCTCCTTGTAGATAAAGAAAAAGTGGTTCATGTATACCACTGGAATTCTACACAGCCATAAAAAAGAACAAAATTAGGTTATTTGCAGCAAAATGGATGCATATGGAGGCCATTATCCTAAGCAAGATAACATGGAAACAGAACCAAATACTGCATGTTCTCACTTATAAGCAGGAGCAAACTATTGGGTATTCATGGTAATAATGGTGGAAAGGATAGTCACTGGGGACTACTAGAGGATGGAAAGAGGGTGAGAGGCAAGGGCCAAAAAACTATTTTTTGGGTCTTATGCCCACTACCTCGGTGAAAGATTGATTCATACTCCAAACCTCAACATCACTCAATATACCTTTGCAACTAACCTGCATGCATACCCCCAATTCTAAAATAAAAGTTGAAAAAAAAAAAGCTTAGAAAAGAATTGAAGGAAATACAAAAATAAGTTACCATGACTACCTCTTGATGGTGAGTATGGGTAATTTTTGTTGGTTTATATTGACCCCCTATTTAGCAAAATTCCTGAAATGATCACATTAATGGGAAAATATAGTTTTTCAGTTCCTAGAAAGGTTTGCTTGGTTTGTGTTTAAAAACAAATGATTCAATGGCTCTTTTCACAGACTTGATGGTGATTTGGGAGAAAATCCAGAAATTGGTGACCTATCATGAGTTCATAATTAGGCGATTATTTCTGATAAACCATTTCAATAGCATTAAAATGCTAAGCTGAACTAAGATGTTCATGAAATGTATTCAAATAAACAAACCCAATTTAAATATGATTGTATAAAAATATCTTACTTGAATTGATAATATAAATGCAAAATTTGTGAATGTTTATTTATAGTTCCTGTAATTTGGGGAAATTAAAGTCACTTGGGAACAATGTTTACTTCACTAGCAACCAAAGGAGTACAATTGAAAAATAATGACTTGAAAATATAAAAGTTAAAAAGGACTTCATTTCTTTTCACACAGTCTGAAAGAGTGAGTGCACAAGCTTTTCTCTGCCCAACTCCTCTTTGTCCACAACGAATTTTCAGAATTCCTCCGTGTCTGTCTTATAATTTCATTCCTTGCTCATCTAAGCAAGTTGGTTCAGAAACCCTAAGACTCTTATACCGTCAGTTGGGTTAGTTTAAAATAACCCCTATGAGCAGTTCAACACTGAATTGGCAATGCTTTGGAAAGCAGAGACCCTGTCAGCTAACCAGCCATCCTTTAAAATCAATTCATATTCTCACAGTCCCTGGGGATTGTTTCACAGAGCTAAAATTTCGCTGTTGGAACAGGGTTGCTTGAAGATAACAGGGACACTTGAAGGTAAGGATGTCAATATTTTGCTGTTTCTGAATGTCATTCATTCACAGATGGCTTAAGACATTTCAATTAATTCAAAGATGGCATAAGAAATTTGGATTTTCAAACTTTAGTTTTCTCATCTTAGAGTTTGAGGTAATTTTATTTGTCAGCTGCCAGAAAATAAAAAGAACGCGTAAGGTAGCAGACTAATATCTACACTGACCTATTGTAAAACCAGAAGGACCCATTTATTCAGCAAGAGACTTCTTTACTGTGTCTAGTTCAGGTTCCCGGAAAGATGGGACAATTCGTAGTAACACTCATTCCTTCTGCTAAGTGTCATGAGATAGGTTTAGACATACGGTCTCATTTTGATGATGTTTTAAACTTTGTTTATTTTACATAACCTGTGATAGAGCCAGTCAATGTAGGGGCCTAAACGTCGGTATAGCCTGTAATTTTGACAGATGCCCAGATTGTGGTATTGAGAAATAGGACAGATGTCCCGAGGGGCATATGTATAGAAATAGATGACATTTCACAGAGAATTTACTAATTTAATATAATGCTGAAACAACATGTGATAGTAGTTGAACCCATAATATAGAATACATTTGGGGAAATTTTTCTCACATATTTGACGTGGTGCCCAGAACTATATGATGTGAAGAGTAATTGTGTGTTTTATATGGGAACACATTAGTAAAACCTCATGTAAATCAAAATCAATCCAGATGAAAAATAATTAATAATGGTGTTTACAAACTCAAATAATACCTGCACAAGGCAATGGTATAAACAAAGTTTACAATGCCTCCAGATGGCAATATTTGAAAGATGATTTCGAGTTTTACACACAAATCGAGAATTTATTCATATAACATATGGAGCTAACTAAAATCCATATAATTCAAATTCGCTTACATTGTAACTAAATGGAATGGAAAAGGAGTTCCTGTTCATTTTACCACTTTCAGAATAGAAAATTCTGGATCTGGTGAAAATTGATCATTTTCCTTTTGTTTTAATTCAAGGTATAGACCCGTGTCTAAAGACATGGTTAACTGTTTAAGGAGAATAGAAGATGAAGAAGGGTTAAATGACAAGCAAGTTTTAAAAGTCTGATATCAACTAATTTTTAGGCAAGGAAGATTTAAAAATTTCACTGTGATTTGAGTGAGAAGCCCCTGATTTCTTATATCACATTGTAAGTTTAAAGAGGTAGGAATAAAAACATCATGGCTAAATCACCTGAAATGACTTCAAATTTTCTACAAATGATAAACATATCCAATGTGATAATTATAATTCAAGGCCCATTTTAATCTGACCCTAAATTTTCTTTCCCATTCTAAAAATCAATAAGCTAATCAATAAGCTCATAACATCCTACAGATTCTGCACACACACATGCACACACACAGAGAAACACAGTCACTTCTTCAAACACATTGTTTTTTCATTTTTCTTCACCTTTCATCTATTTATTTATTTGAGTGCCCACCTCCAAGGTAAGAGGGTTATTGAGATAATTTTATAAATGTCATGGGGCTTGCCCTCATAAAGTCTATATTCCAGAAAGGAAGTTGATAAGAAACAACCAATGGTTCAATTATTTATTAAAATTAGTTTTGATCATTATCTCTCTATCCACTATTAATCTACCTATAATCTTCTTTGCTCTTTTCCATGTTTAATGAACTCTTAGACTTTTCTTTTAACTTTTATTTTAAGTTCACGAGTACAAGTGCAGGTTTGGTACATTGGTAAATTTGTGTTGTGGTGGTTTATTGTACAGATTATTTCATCACCCTGATATTAAGCCTAATACCCACTAGTTATTTTTCCTGATCCTCTCCCTCTACCCTCTACCCTGTGAAAAGCCCCAGTGGGTGTTGTTTCCCTCTGTGTCCATGTGTGCTCATCAGTTAGCTCCCACTTATAAGTGAGAACATGTGGTATTTGGTTTTCTGTCTCTACATTAGTTGGCTAAGAATAATGGCCTCCAGCTCCATAATGTCCCTAAAAAGGACATGATCTCACTCTTTTTATGGCTGCATAGTATTCCATGATGAATATGTACCATATTTTCTTTATCCAGTCTATCACTGATGGGCATTTAGATTGATTCCATGTCTTTGCTTTGTGAATAGTGCTGCAATGAAGATATGCATGCATGTGTCTTTATAATAGAGTAATTTATATTCCTTTGGGTATTGATAAGGTTTGGCTGTTACCCCACCCAAATCTCATCTTGAATTATAGCTCCCATAATTCCCATGTGGCATGAGAGGGACCCAGTGGAAGATAATTGAATCATGGGGGCAGGTCTTTCCCATGCTGTTCTCCTGATAGTGAATAGATCTCATGAGATCTGATGGTTTTATAAATGGGAGTTGCCCTGCACAAGTTACAAGTTCTCTCTTGCCTGCCTCCATGTAAGATGTGACTTTGATCCTCATTCTCTTTCTGCCATGATTGTGAGGCCTCCCCAGCCATGTGGAACTGTGAGTCCATTAAACCTCTTTTCTTTATAATTTACCCAGTTTCAGATACATCTTTATTAACAGCATGAGAACAGACTAGTACCGGTAATGGGATTACTGGGTTGAGTGGTATTCCTTTCTTTAGGTCTTTGAAGAATCACCACCCTGTCTTCCACAATGGATGAACTAATTTACACTCCCACCAACTGTGTATAAGCATCCCTTTTTCTCTACAACCTTGCCAGCATCTTTCATTTTTTTATTTTTGATAATAGCCATTCTGACTGGTGTTAGTATCTCATTGTGGTTTTGATTTGCATTTCTCAGAGTCTAAAATCTAGAATTAAAACTTTTAACTTGGTAAGCCTATGTTGAATGGCTACAGAGAACCTAGATAAGCAATTTTCATTTGCATTTTATCCAAAACAGGTGGCAAGAAGAAAAGTTTAAGAATTTCAGGTGGCTTGATTGGACTCTTCTTCATGGGCCCTGAGTCAAGGACCTTCTCTTCCAGTGAATTTAAGGGTTTTGTGGAACACTAGTCTTTCTTTATGAACTCTGTCCTCTTTTCTCATACGATTTATCTTTTCCATATATGGATGGAATAAAACTGCAGAAAATATAATGAAATGGAAAACCATATATTTTTTAAAATAGAAATTTTTGAGTATTGACGTTCAAGGTTTTAATTCTAGATTAAAAAATACATTTTATTTACACACTCATCAGTTAATGGGCGCTTGAATTATTTTCACTTTTGGTTTATTATGAATAATGCTACTATGAACATTAATGTAGAAGTATTTGTGTGAACAAATAGAACAGACATGGTCAGTTCTCTTGGGTATATTCCTACAAGTAGAATTTCTGGGTCATATGGCAGCTCTATGTTTGATTTTATGCAGAATTTCTAAACTGTTTTTCAAAGAAACTGTTTTACATTCTGAGAAGCAATGTATGAGAGTTCTAATTCTTTTACATCCTCAACAACACTTGTTATTATCTGTCTTTTTTATTATAGTTATTCTGGTATTTGTGAAGTTTCATCTCATTATGATTGTGATTTGCATTTCCCTAATGGCTAATAACAGTCAGCATACTTTCGTGTGCCTGTTGGCCATTTGTATATCTTCCTTGGCGTAAAGTCTTTCAAATTACTTGCTCATTTTTTAATTATTTGTCTTTTGATTTTTTGGTTGTAACAGTTCCGTATATATTATGCATAAGTCCTTATCAGATACACAATGTGAAAATATTTTAGTCCTGCTATACTTGGTTTTCCCCTTTATAAGTGGTGTATTTTGTAGATCAAAAGCCTTTAATTTTAATGAAGTCCAATTTAACAATATTTTTCTTGTGTTGCTTGTGTTTTAAGTGTCATATTGTTTGTTAAGTGTCATAGGTTTTTTAATATGAATGAGTGTGGGATTTTCTCCAAAGATTTTTCTACAACCATTGTCATGATTATCCTTTTTGATCCTTTATTTTATTAATATAAATATTTTATTAATTGATTCTCCATTGTTGAAGCATATTTGTGTATCTGGGATAAATCCTACTTGGTCATGGTGTGTAATCCTATTTAAAGTTACTGGGTTTAGTTTGCTAGTATTTGATTGAGGGTTTTTTTTGTTTGCTTTGTATTTATAAGGAATATCAGACAGTTTTTTTCAACATTTATTTTAGATTCATGGGGCATATGTGCTGCTTTGTTACTTGGATATATTGTCTGATGTTAAGGTTTGGGGTATAAGTGATCCCATTTACCAAGGTACTACACATAGTACACAAAAGCAGGTTTTTCAACCCTTGCCTCTACTCCTCCTTCACTCCACCTGCTAGCTGTACCCAGTGTCTATTTTTGCCATCTTTACGTTTATGAGTACCTAATATTTAGCTCCAATTTATAATTGAGAAAAGACTGTATTTGGTTTTCTGTTACTGCATTAATCTGCTTAGGATAATGGCCTCCAGCTACATCTGTGTTGCTGCAAAGGACATGATTTTGTTATTTTTATGGCTGTGTAGTGTTCCATCATGTATATGTGCCATGTTTTCTTTATCCATTCCACCATTAGTGGGCACCTAGGTTGATTTCATGGCTGCTATTGTGAATAGGACTGCGAGGAACATATGAGAGCCTATGTATTATTGCTAAAACAATTTGTTTTCTTTTGGATACATAACCAGTAATGGGATTGCTGGGTCAAATCGTAATTCCCTTTTAAAGTCTTTAAAAAATCTCCAAACTACTTTCCACAGTGGCTGAACTAATTTAGATTTCCACTGAAAGTGTGCAAGCATTCCCTTTTCTCCATAGCCTTGCCAGCATCTGTTATTTTTTGATGTTTTAATAATACCCATTCTGACTGATGTGAGATGGAACCTCATTGTAGTGATTTGCATTTCTCTGATGATTAGTGATGAGAATTTTTTATATGTTTGTAAACCACTTTTATGTCTTCTTCTGAGAGGTGTCTATTCATGTCTTTTGTTCATTTGTATTCATTGTTTTATGCTTATTAATTGGTTTAATTTTCTTATAGATTTGGGGTATTGGGACCTTTGTTGGAAGTGTAGTTTGTGAGTATTTTATCTCATTCTGTAGGTTGCCTGTTTTCTCTGTTGATAATTTCTTTTACTGTGCAGAGCTCTTTAATTTAATTAGATCCCACTTGTCAATTTTTGTTTTGGTTGCAATTGCTTTTGAGGACTTAGTCATAAATTATTTCCCAAGGCCAATGTCCAGAATGGTGTTTCCTAGGATTCTTGTAGTTTGAGGTCTTATGTTTAAATCTTTAATCCAACCTCAGTTAATTTTTTTATATGGTGAAAGGTGGGGTTGAGTTTCATTCTTCTACATATCGCTACCCAACTAGCCCAGCACCATTTATTGAATAGGGAGTAGTCTTTTCCCTGTTGGTTATTTTTCTTAACTTTGTTAAAGATCAGATATCTGTAGGTGTGCAGCTTTATTTCTGGGTTCTCTGTTCCGTTCCATTGGTCTATGTGTTTTTGTACCAATACCATGCTGTTCTGGCACCAGCACCATGCTATTTTGGTTACTGTCACCTGATAGTATATTTTGAAGTCAGCAAACATGATTCCTCTGGCTTTGTTCTTTGTGATTAAGATTACTTTGGCTATTTTGGCTGTTTGGAGTTTCATATGAATTATTAGTTTTTTTCTGGTTTTATAGAAGAAAAATAAACGACATGGTAGTTTGGAACTTCCTAGAGACTTATTGAACGGCTCTGACCAAAATACTAATAGTGATATGGACAATAAAGTCCAGGCTGAAGTGGTCTCAGATGGAGATGAGGAACTTGTTGGGAACTGAAGCAAAGGTGACTCTTGTTATACTTTAGCAAAGAGACTGGCAGCATTTTTCCCCTGCCCTAAAGATTTGTGGAACTTTGAACTTGAGAGAGATGATTTAGGGCATCTGGTGCAATAAATTTCTAAGGAGCAAAGCATTCAAGAAGTGACTTGGGTACTGTTAAAAACATTCAGTTTTATTTATTCAGAAAGGTAGGATTTGGAGTTGAAATTTATGTTTAAAAGGGAAGCAGATCATAAAAGTTTGGTAAATTTGTAGCCTGATGATGTGATAGAAAAGAAAAACCCATTTTCTGAGGAGAAATTCAAGCTGGCTGTAGAAATTTGCATAAGTAATAAGGAGCCAAATGTTAATCATGAAGACAATGGGGAAAATGTCTCCAGGGCATGTCAGAGGTCTTTATGGCAGCCCCTCCCATCACAGGCCCAGAGGCCTAGGAGGAAAAAATGGTTTCATAGGTTGGGTCCAGGGCCTTGCTGCTTTGAACACTCTCCAAACTTGCTCCCCTGCATCCCAGCCATGGCTAAGAGGAGCCAGTGTATGTAGATCAGGTCATTGCTTCAGAGGGTGCAAGTCTCAAGCCTTGGCAGCTTACATGTGGCTTTGGGCCTCCAGGTACACAGAAATCAAGAATTGAGGTTTGAGAACCTCCACATAGATTTCAGAGGATTTGTGGAAATGTCTGGATGTCCAGGCAGAGGTGTGCTGCAGGGGCAGAGTCCTCATGGAAAACCTCATGTTAGCGCAGAGTGGAAGGGAAATGTGGAGTCAAGCACCCTCTGGGGCACTGCCTGGTGGAGCTGTGAGAAGAGGGCCACCATCATCTGGACTCCAAAATGGTAGATCCACTGACAACGTGCACCATGCACCTGGAAAAACTGCAGACACTCAATGCCAGCTCATGAAAGCAGCCAGAAGGGGAGCTGTACCCTGTAAAGACACAGGGGCAGAGCTGCCTAAGGTCATGGGCGCCTACCTCTTGCATCAGTGAGACCTCGATGTGAGACATGGAGAAAAAAGGATCATTTTGGAGCTTTAAGATTTGACTGCTCTGCTGGATTTTGGATTTCTATGGGGCCTGTAGCCCCTTCATTTTGCCAATTTTTCCCATCTGGAATAGCTGTATTTACACAATGCCTGTATCTCCATTGTATCTAGGAAGTAACTAACTTGCTTTTGATTTTACAGGCTCATAGGCAGAAGGGACTTGCCTTGTCTTAGATGAGACTTTGGACTGTGGACTTTTGAGTTAATGCTGAAATGAGTTAAGATTTTGGAGGACTGTTGGGAAAGCATGATTGGTTTTGAAATGTGAGGATGAGATTTGGGAGGGGCCACGGGTGGAATATTATTTGCTGTGTCCCCACTCAAATCTCATCCAGAATTTTAGCTCTCACAATCCCCATGTGTTGTGGGAGGGGCCCAGTGGGAAGTAATTGAATCTTAGAAGTGGGTCTTTCCCATGCTGTTCTTGTGATAGTAAATAAGTCTCATGACTCATGAGATCTGATGGTTTGATAAAGGGGAGTTCCCCTGCACACACTCTTTCTTGCCTGCTGCCATGTAAGACGTGTTTGCTTCCCCTTTGCTTTCCACCATGATTGTGAGGCCTCCCCAGCCATGTGGATTTGTGAGTCAATTAAAACTTTCCTTTATAAATTACCCAATCCCAAGTATGTCTTTATTAGCAGCCTGAGAACAGACTAATACAACAGGATTGTGGGAAGTTCTCCAGGCATTCAGAGCACCCACCTTCCTGAATTAGGAGTAGGGAAACCAACTGCACCAAGATCTTTGCACAGAAGAGGTGGGGTGATTCAGGCTGCTGAACCAGGCAAGCAGAAGCTTTGAATGCCTGGAGATCTACCTGAGCATGTAGCAGCAAAGGCCCCTGCACCAAGACCTCTGGCCAGGAAGGGTGGGGCATATCAAGCTGCTGATCCAGGCAAGTTGGTGCTCTGAATGTCTGGAGGTCTGCCTGAGTGTGGAGTAGAGAGGGCCATTCTGTATCATGATCTACGTCCAGGAAGGTTGGGTGGCTCAGGCTGCTGAACCAGAAGAACAGGTGCTTTAACTGCCTGGAGATCTGCCCAGGCATAAAGCAGAGAAGGCCTCCCTGCACCGTAGCTCTGAACAGAAAGAATAGTGGTGAGTCAGGCTGCTGATTCAAGTGAGTAAATGTCTGGAGGCCTGCCTGGTTATGGAGCAGAGAAAGCCCCACTGCACCAGGATCTCTGTACAGGAAGGGTGGAGCAGGTTAGGCTCTGAACCCAGTGAACAGATGCTCCTAATGCCTGGAGATCTGCCTTGGCATAAAGTGTAGGGGGCTGCTCTGCACCACAATCTATGTTCATGAAGAGTTGAGTGGCTAAGGCTGCTAGTCCAGGAAAGCAGCTGCGCCAAATGCCTGAATTTTTGCCTGGGGTTTGAGCAGAGGACCTCACTGCACTATTATCTTGGTAGGGCAGATGGAGACACCTAGAAATGGCACACACAGACCAATTCCAGGTCACTAGGCTGGCCTTGGCTGCAAATCTCACCACCCAGAAGAAACTGCAGCTGTAGCAGCACTCCTCCTGCCCCAGGCTTGTGACAAGGGAAAGCACAATTTCAGTGTCCACTCTGGATGTGCTTTCCATAGCTCTGGTGGTGGAGGCCCTTATCCCACTCTAGAGCAGGCCCCCCCCCCCAATCTCTGGTTCAAGAATAAAATTCCTGAGTGGTCATGCTGCCAAGTTGCCAAAGAATGCCTGACTTTGTATGCCTGGATTAAAAATGTTATCCTGTTCTTGGTCCCAGGTCTGGGAAAATGTCTGCAGCTTTTCCCAGTGTCTTTCCCTCACAACATCTCCAAGCCTCTCCCCATGCTGGCTCTAGGGCTTGGGAGAAAGACAGTGCTGTTTCTCGACCTGGGTCGCTTGAGTTCCCAATGGAAAAATGAGTCACATAGGGAGGCTCTCTGCCTCTCTCGTATCCTCCTGGAGCTTCAATCACTTTTACCAGGCAGATACCATCATGGAGACTGTCTGTCAGTGTTCTTTCTCCTCCACAGGATCTGGAGTGCCCTTCACAATTCTGATGATTTCCCATTTTCTTCTTGAATTAAAGCTCACAGAGTTGATCTTTATGCACTACTTACTACTTCCAAGTGGCTGAGGCATCATAAAAGCCTCTAATCTGCCACCTTGGGAAAAACAAATAGGGATTCTTAATTTGTTTTACTTGTGACGTATTTGTCTGGTTTTACTAGTCTTATAAAAAGAGTTGGAAAATAATCCCTCCTTTTCTATTTTTTGAGTGTGTTTGTGAAGAATTAGTGTAAACTCTTCTAAACATTTGGTAGAATGTATCAGTAAAGCCATCTATTCTAGGGATTATGTGTGTATTGGTGGAGGGAAGTTTTATATTGCCTACTTTATTTCTTCCTTCATGTATTTTGGGATTCTCTTGATAGGGGCATATGTGCTTACTGTTATGTTTTCTTGATGTATTAATCCTTTCTATCATTGTAAAATGCTCTTTCTCGCTAATCACAATTTATCTCTTGAAGTTTGTTTTGTGTGTTATTATGACCAGGTCTCTTTTGATTACTGTTTGAATGATTTATCTTATTCAGTCATTTGTATTCAAACTGTTTGTGTCTTTGAATATAAAGTGTGCCTGCTGAATAAAACAGATAGTTGGATTATGTTTTTTCTAAACCCATCTGCAAACTCTATTTTAAATGGAGTTTTTAATCTATATACATTTAATGTAATTACTGATACATAGAATTTATGTTTGCCAGTTTACCAGTTGTTTTCTATATGTCTTCTGCTTTTTTATTTCTCTATTTTTCTAAGATTGCCTTTTCTTTAGTCAATAGATATTTTTAATGCACTGTATTAATCCCCTTATCACTGATTTTATTATATTTTATAAGTTATTTTCTTAGGGTTGCCTGATGGGCTACAAGTAGTATCTTAATTTTTAAAAATCTAGTTAGATTTACCATCAACTTAATTTTAATAGCATACAAAAATTTTGATTCTAAATAGCATTGTTCTCTCCTTCTTCCTTTGTTGTATTACTATACATATTACATCTTTATTCATTGTATGCCAATCGGTACATTACTTATAACCATTGCTTTATGCAGTTTATTTTTGAATCAGGTAGGAGAAAAGAAAATAGTTACAAAGAATACATTTACATTCTCTTTCATATATTTCTAATTTTTGCTTTTTCTATTGTTCTGCATTTGTTTATATGGACTCTAGATATTGTCAAGTGTAATTTTATTTCATATTGAAATACCTCTTTTAATATTTCTTGCATGGAAACTTTGCTAGTAGGAGATTCTGTCAGTTTTGGTTTCAGAGAATAAGTGAGAATATTTTCACTTCTTTTTCATTTTTGAAGTATAGTTTTGTTGGTTATGAAATTAATCGTTGATAGTCATTTACTTCCAAAACTTTAAAAATGTCATCTCACTGCCTCTGGTTTCCATGGTTTCTAATGAAAAATCAGTGAAAAATTATTCAGACTCTTTTGCACATGATGAATTGCTCCTCTCTTGTTGTTTTCAAGATTCTTTCTTTGTCATTTTCTTTTGATTGTTTAATTATAATTTTTTAAAAATGTGAATCTCTTTGAGTTTATCCTACTTGGGAGTCATAGATCTTCTTGGATGTGCAAGTTAGTATTCTTTATCAAATTTTGGAAGTTTTTAAGTATGTTTTGTATTGTTCTTCATATATTTTTATGCCCCATTTCTCTTCTGTTCCCTCTCCTTTTGGGACTTCCATTATACATGTTTTGCTATGCTTGATGGTATCTCTGAGTCAGTCTATTTGTCTTTATTTCTTTTTCTTTCTGTTTCTTGCATTAGATAATCTCATTGACCTATATTTAAGTTAGCTAACTCTTTTCCCTGCTTGCTAAAATCTGCTGTTAAGTCACTCCAGTACATTTTTATACAGTTATTATACATTTTAATTCTATAATTAATATATATTTATACAATTGCTTATTAGTATTATTTATTTGGTGAGACATTTATTCTCAAATGTTCCTTTAGATTTTTAGGAATAGCTTATTTTAGTTATTAAACAAATTTTTATCATGGTGGATTTAAAAACCTTTGTCTACTAAGCCAAACACCTGAGATTTCTCATGGACAGTTTTATCGATTGCGTGTTTTCCTGTGTATGAGCCATATTGTCTTACTTTTTGTATGCCTTATAAGTTTTTGTTGAAAACTGAACATTTTAAATAATAAAAATGTGACAACTCTGAAAATTATATTTTACTCCCTTCAAATTTTGTTGATTTTGCTATTTGTTTTTGTTGTCATTTGTTTCTTTAGTGAATTTTCTGAACTAATTGTCTAAAGTTTTTGTTTTTTATCATGTTTGAACACTGAAGTCTCTGTTTGCTTAACTTACTAGTCAGTGAAAGAATAGACAGAAATTTCATTAAAGACCTGGAACCCGTAACTCTTCCAGTCTCTGCTGAGTGGCTCTGTGTGCATTTTAGGCCACACTTTTAACACCCAGCTGGTTGGTTGACAACTCTGCCTTAGTCTTCACATTCTGCTTTCCCATAGCTTCATGGTCATCTGGAGGTGAAAGCTTAGGGCCTTCTCATATTTTTCTTGAGAATAAGCATTGTGCTTAGAATGTGCACAATCATACATGTGTGTGACCTTTTATAGTGCCAGTAATATGTCAGAAGTCTCCGGAACTCCTATGTACATTTCCTAGCTTTTTAAGTTTTCCAGCTACCGTATTATTTGCCCTAACTGTTATCTACCACTTCATTCTACCATGATTTAAAGAATTTGCCTTTCAATATTTTCAATAAGTATGCTAGTTAAAAAGACTTTCATGGGCCAGCTACAAATGAGGTCAAATAAAGACAGTTTTATAAGTGGTATCTTGCAGTAAGCCACGTTCCAGGTCAAACAATAATTCTCAGGGAACTAAGCTGAAGGCTGCCAGGCTGCTAGTAGTCAGCGACTGAGGGATATTTGTTTTCAGGGTAACTGTAGAACTTGAGACAGGGTGATGAGAATAGGCAGCTTAAAATACCACAAAGCTTACAGCTCTTACCATAATTTAGCCTTTCTCTTTTGTTTTTTTGTTTATTAAATAAATTATTTTCAGATTCCTCAAAGTATTTGGCTAATTTCCAGAGTTTTAAAAGAGCTGATTCTGATTATTTTTGCACATTTTTAATTGTTTATATGGAGGAGATAATTTGCATATGCCCTCACATCATCATTTGTATTGCTATCACTCTTCTTTTTCATATTACGGTCAAATGTAATATCACTAGAAGTAAAAATATTTTCATGATCACTTGCTAATAAGATAAAAATAAGATATCTATTACGTATATAATTTAAATCCAATTTAAGATCAAGATTCAGCCTTAAACTTGACCTTTTCAGAAATGCTTTTTAATATTCAGAAGGTAGTGGTTCCTTCCTAAATAACACAATGTAGCTGTAAACAATTGGATCCGTTTCCTTTCCTTACCCATTTCATTGAACAAATGTCTTTTCCCTCAACTCCCTTATATTTTAGAATTATCTGACTCCTGTGGTCATCTTCTTTCCGAGGGTTAGTAATCATGAAATAACTTCTAAGCATATAAGTTTTTAGAAATTCATTTACATGATGTATAGTAGGCACACCGTCTTTCATGGAATTGAAACAGGATTCCTTCTTATCTCAAACCTGCAGGTTGTTGGGAAGCATGTAAGTGATACTGTTCACTTTGGCTACATCACGCCATTCTAAATTCATATCTTTTCAATGCTATTATTTCTGACATTTCATGCTGTAAACCTAGAAAGGCAGTACTCAGATGTCCACTTTGTGGATTTTGTATTTTTCTATGTGATAGGCCCATTTAATAATATATTTTTCCCTTTCAGGCACTTCGAATAATTTAAAGCAAATTATTTTCATGGAAAACTGGTCGATGTTTGAGTCCTCAAGTGCTTACACTAGGAGGGAAGTAACCTTTTCAGATGAGTGTCTGTTTCACTACATTTCCACAAGAAACATCAAATTTCATATTTCACTATTTTTAAACTAGAGAAATCTAGGAAATTGTCATTTTCCAAGAACAATATGATGCTGAATTTCCCCCTCTCCCTTTGCCAAACAGTGTGATAGAATTTTCAGTCATTCTCACAAGAATTAATAATTATTCTATTACTGTTTCAAAATAAAAATTCTCTGCCATTATCTCCACAAAATTTGTCACTTTGCCACCACCAGCACTATGATGACTGAGAATAATCAGAGCATAATTTGATTCCTATAACGTTAATAGAAGCTGACTAAATGGACATTTATTTGATAAGTGTTAGAGTGTAAGCTCCACACAGACAGTTTTTTTATCTGTTTTTTTCAGTGTCAGATACCAAGATTTGAGCACAGTTTCTGATGTATACTCAGTGCTAAATAGCATGTTGAATGAAGGGGTGAATGACTCCTGTGCTCAAATTCTATTTGATTAATTCAAACATAATCTGCCTCTTGTGCACAGGATGAAATTATCCTGACTCTGTATTTTTAACTATAATAATAGCAATATGAAATATATATGTATAATTTTATAAAATTTACAAAATCATTTACACACCACATTTTCTCACCTAAGACTCTAAACAGAGCAAGGCTTTATGATCATAATTTTATTGATAATCACATTTAGACTAGGAGAAATCGAGTGTGATTTATCCAAGAGTCACAGAGTGAGAAAATATCAAAAGGAGGATTCAAACTCAAGGCTTATGACTTCTAAGTCTCTATGTATTTCACTACATCCATACATTCTATATAGTATTTTTCAAAGTTTGCAAAGCAATGCCCCTTATTTACCTTATGTGATCCTTTTATTTCTCCGCTTCCCCAACTTTGGAGTTAAGCAGGGTTTTGTTTATCTAATGCTACACAAAAAGTCACCCCCAAACTTGGAAACCAAAATAATTATTTATGGTAATGTGTGTTGACTGAGCTCAACTGGTTATTTCTCACTTCAGATATCTCCTGGAGTGTCGGTCAGATGTAGCAGAATCTAGAGTCATCTGAAAGTTCAACTAGACTGGACAACCAAGAAAGTATCTTCATTCACATGTCTGACACCTCAGGTGGGATTGCTAAAAGAGCAGACACTATAGCTCTTTTTCTTTTTGTGGACTCCCCATATGGCTAGCTTTGGCTTCCTCAAACTTAGAGTCCTCAGAGTGCTTGAACTTCATGTTCAAAAAGTTGGCTTCCCACAGACTACACATTCCAAGAGAAAAAGAAACATGCCACATTCTATTGTTTACATACGGCAAGCCCTCATTTATTTTGGTTAAAAACTATACAGAAAAGTGAATACTGGACAGCATGTTTCACTCAGGGCCATTTTTCAAAAGATAGCAGCACTCTACAATGGTGAACATACATATTGTAGAACTGAGTGGCCAATTTCTTTACCTATAGCCTGGGTTTGACTCACTTATTGGATTACGTTGGAAATCCAAGGTAAATCTTACTTAATTTCTCTTAGTTTCCATTCCTTATTAAAGTATAGCAATTGCTACCTCATAAGGTTGTGTCACTTTGGAATTAGATAATCAAAATAAATGAACTTTGCAAACTCTAAAGTGTTATCTATTTTTTTTTTTATTAATGGTGTCATGGGACATTGGCTGCTTCTGTTTGAAAATCAAACCTTTCTTCACTGGTATCTTCTTAATCCTCAGAGACTAGAAATTTGAAGTCAAAATATATCATATGAACTGATCTTTCCCTCCACCACCATTTTATTCCACTGTTATATGTACTCAACAGACTTCTTACAGTTAAATTCATTTTCCAAAGCCGCCATTCTGACTAACCACTCCCTAATATTCTCTGTACCAAATATGTCTCAAGCCTGGTAAAAAATGAACCCTATAATTTTCCTGGACAACATTTCCTTATAAATTCAAATTTACCTAAAATTATCTCCTCCATAATTATTCCTTAAGCTTCTTTGAGATCAGTAGCTTCAAAGCAGGTGAAGTCTCAGTAACTCGAGCAGAAGATGTTACCTATTAAGCATCCAGCACTATTGCAGGAATTGGTTTTCACTCAATTGTTTAATTATCATCACTGTTCTCTTTCAATTAGGAAAAAATAAGGATATAAGAGAATAGAAAGTAGGGCAGTATCAGGTACTGTATTGGAGAAAGGCAGAAAAATTGAGGAGGAATGAAGTGCATGTACGGAGAGTTACGCTGTGAAGATAGTACTTCAATAGTTTCCAACACGGTGCAAAAAGAACTTTTATGTTCTGAACCAATCTTAATGTTAAATGTAACCTTTATCTCTCACTCATTGCACTAAAAGATATATTGAATTATAACTCTTCATTTGAAACAAATGATAATCGGAACGATTCAGTATAGGGGAAAACATAAGGGGGAACGCAGAAATTGTCATTTTCAGGAAAATGTTCTCTGGTAAGAGGATAGGATGTGGTGTGGTCTTTGGTAGAAATACTGACAGACCAGCCACTCTCAAAGGAAGGAAAGCAAAGAATGTGATTTCAGATGCAGGTATGCTGATGGATTTGATGGTGGGAGCATCAGGAAATTCTCTTTTGGCTGCTATCATTTTCACTGTAAAATGAAAAACAAGAATATTAGCTGAGAGAGGAAGGGCAGAAAAATTTGGAGGTTTAAGAAGAGAGGTCAAAGTGTACCTCACAAAGGTACATGTCCCAGGTAGGACCCAAAAACTCTTTTAAGGGATTAGTATGAATGGTGGAAAAGAAAGAATTTTGCTTTCCTCAGATCTGGAATTGCATGCTATATTGGCCTGGAGCTGCCAACAGCCATCTTTCCAAATGTGTAGAAAAGTCAGACTGAAAACAAAGTCAACACGGAAAATAATAGATCAAATATGGAATGAGAGAGGCAAAATTCTTACATTACCATTGCAGGGCATGAGAGCAGCCAGGCTTGTACAGAGAGCACCCCCTGAGGTTTTCTACTACATGAGTGAATAAATTTCTTTGTTGATTAAGCTTGTTTGAATGTGTTTTTGTCAATTATAATCAAAAGAGTACTCAATACATCAGATAGTTAAGGAGTGGTGTTTTAAGTTTCACATAATAAATTCTTAAAATGACCAGAAAAATAGTGTAACAAATTGATAGATTATCAAGATGGTTTTTAGAATTAGAAAACTGAGTTTGAATTTTGACTGCTCCATGTAATGAGATGTGTGAACTTTGGGCTTACTTAATCTCTCTGAGCTTCATATCATCGATAAATTGAGTATAATGATAACATCTCCCATGTAAGTCCTGGGCAATATATCAGTGTTTTATACATATTATCTTCCCAATATTCCAATTCTCCAGTAGAGCAGGTATTATTATCTTGCATTTACAAATGAGAAGAGTGAGACTTAGCAAGGTTAATAATCAGCCCAACATTCCACAACTAGTAAGGTGGTATTGAACCCATGTTTCTATTACCTGAAACCTGGAGTGACCACAAAGTCTCAATTCACCTGGGACTATTGTAGTCTGTGCCTATTGCACCTGCATTCCATCCAATTAGCACACTCTTTCACTTACAAAAAAAAGAAAATCTCGGATTTGACAATAGATTAGATGGTCACCGTTGAAGGTTGGGTTTTACAAGAAGCTGACTCTGAAGTCACAGATCAGCTTGCGGGAAGTTAATTGGGGAATACTCTCTGGATCTACATCTTAGGGGGTAAAAAAAAAAATCAAGATTGGCCACGGGAAGAACAAAAGTCTCAGCAAACCCCACAGGGACCTTGGAAGCTGGAATGACACTTTGGAGTTGTTCCATTTGGAAAAGAGTTTCTGAGCCATGATATCACTGTATCATCCCACTCACCATATGAGGTCTGGCCCTAAGAAAAGGGAGTGCTCTTCAACAAGATAGCACTCTTCAGCTGAGGACAATTTCTGGAGAAAGCTGACAGCCGAGAGTTTTATGCTGGCAGCACTCCCAGTAGCTGGAGAAAGAAGTTCTTCAGAAGGACTGGGCCACATACATCTCTACCACAGCTGTAAGCTTTCATTTCTCATGATTGACTTACTGCCTCTGGACAATAGTTTCTTCACAAAGTTGCTCTGAGTATTTTTTTTTTTTCTTTTTTGAGACGGAGTCTCACTCTGTCGCCAAGGCTGGAGTGCAGTGGCACGATCTTGGCTCACTGCAAGCTCCGCCTCCCGGGTTCACACCATTCTCCTGCCTCAGCCTCCCGAGTAGCTGGGACAACAGGCTTCTGCCACCATGCCCGGCTAATTTTTTGTATATTTAGTAGAGATGTAGTTTCACCGTGTTAGCCAGGATGGTCTTGATCTCCTGACCTCGTGATCCGCCCGCCTCAGCCTCCCAAAACGCTAGGATTACAGGCGTGAGCCACCATGCCTGGCCGCTCTGAGTATTAATAAAAGCATGCTTATATTATGTTTAATAGTACCTGGTATATATTAATATATACTTACATATTTATACACACACCACACCTACTCCTATACATATAGATTCAATAAATGGCAACAATTATTTTGTTAAATACGTGTGATATACATATAATAATAACATAAATATTATTATTGTAAAGTTACCACTTCAAAACGAGGAGTCTGAAATCATTGAAAGATAAGATTTATAAAATTTTGTTTGGAGTTCGTCTAACTTGAAAGATCGCCAAGAGCAGCCCAGCACAATGTCCTGATACATAAACTGTTAAAAATCCTGAAGCTTCTTGAGAGCCACATAGGCAGAAAGAATCTAGGTATAGGTCAGTGAAAGGAATCCCATATGAGAAGTGGTGGTGGAGGAAGTGTGGGTTGGTGGGAGAGATGTATGGCTATTAACGTGCTGTTGAAATCCACCAATTCTCATACTCAAAAGCCTTTGGGAAGAAGAGAGGAAAATGTTTTTCCCCTAACTGTTTGCAATCTTCTTTAAGTACTAAGCCCATGATTGGGGTGGTTGTGGAAAAGGTGGATCTAGAACTCCATCAAACAACTTCCCTCTGGCCATTTCTGCATCCTCACTGTATTATTTGTTAATTCTACTCCTAAAATTGTGTGGAGGTTAACCAGGGCTTTAAACTAAACATATTAGTAGTAAAAGAGAGATTCCCTATTGAATTAATCTGACGTGATTACAGAAAAGACAACTCATTCCTCCAGGACTTGGAGCCTTTGGAGTGTGCACATGCATAGAAAATGTGGTGGTTAATTTTTCTAAGGTCAGCTTGGCTGGGCTAAGGGATGCCCAAATAGCGGGTAAAACATTATTTCTGGCTGCGTCTGTGAACGCGTCATTTTGATAGACTGAGTAAAGATTGCCCTCACCAATGTGGGTGGAGCTCATGCAATGCATTGAGGACCCAAACAGAACAAAAAGGCAGAGGAAGGGAGAACTGGCTGTCTCTGCTTGAGCTGGGACAGCATCTTTTTCTTTCTTTGGACATCAGTTATTTGGTTCTCTGAACTTTGGACTCAAAATGGAATTTCTGCCATTGATTCCCCTGGTTCTCAGACCTTGAAGTTTGGACTGGCACTATACTACTTGCCTTCCTGGGCCTCTGGCTTGCAAACAGCAGTTGATGGGATTTCTCAGCCTCCAAAATCACATGACCCAATCCCTCATAATAATTATCTTTCTATATATTTTTATATAGGTATTGATTCTGTTTCTCTGGAGAACTCTGTCTGAAATAGATATTTGGAAATAGCAAGCAAAAATTTCGGAAACTCTTCCTAGTCAAAATATAAAGTAGACAATTAATTACCCTCATGGAGTAGTAGCATCCCGGGCAATATATTTTGCTAATGCAGCAAAATACAATTGTTAGTTGACTCACACTTGCTCTAAGTCTATCTATCTATCTATATATGATTTTTTTTGTCTCTTTCAATTTTCTTATGCTGATCACGACGATCAGAAGACTGGTTTTTAGACTACTGGTAACTACTACAAGTTTGAAATATTTAATTTGAGTTAATTCATATACCATTATGAGAAAGTTTGAGAGAAACTTAATGCTCAATTAACAAATAATTTAAATATTATTTCCATTTTATTACTTGATTCCCCAAGTCTTTCAGTGGCTGCCTTGGATAATAGGTATGCTTTGGAATGTACACGTGAGCTTTCAAAAGCAAAACAAAATGAATTATGACATTCTTTTATGAAGTAGAATTTCTGAGAGTAATTCAGTGTAAGTAAAATCAATATAAACATCTATATTACCCCTGATTGATGGGAAAAGGATAATATACTATCAAAACTACCTTGAAAGTAATCATAAAGTGGATTTTCCACTCAGGATAACTTTTCACAGTTTTATTCCCTAGAAGAGAATGTTACGTGCTATTAAACCTCATGAACCCTTGACCTTGGTTCATATAAAGACAGTGAGAACTGGTCCCAGTTATTAAAGAAATTTGGCATAGACACATTCTTGCTTTTATAGTAAGAAATAATAAGGTTTTCTTTCACTCTGGGGAGAGGCTATTAAAGCTAAATATTACAATGATTTTTAAGGGAGAGAGTTCGTTTTGACAATCCAAGAGAAGTGTATGTTTCGCATAAATACATAATGTAGAGGAGATTTGTGATTTTATAAAGATGACCAAAACTAAAAACAAAGTAAGTGTGTTAACATATGGAATAAGAAACATTCCTGTTAGACCAGCTTCTAAAAACAATTTGAATTATTAGACGGAGATTACATTTCATTTTATAAAGAGCAAAAATTAGATAGGTAATTGTCCTGTTACAAATTATTGGAGAATATTTTATATATTTAAATAATTCACTACCAATGACTGCATGAACAGAAATACAGATTACATTTACTGTCCCTCTCTATTAGAGGAAGTTTAATTTTATGATTGTGTCTGGAATTGGTGGGTTCTTGGTCTGACTTCAAGAATGATGCCGCGGACCTTCGCAGCGAGTGTTACAATTCTTAAAGATGGTGTGTCTGGAGTCTGTTCCTTCATATTTTCAGATGCGTCCCGAGTTTCTTCTCTCTAGTGGGTTCGTGGGTTCGTGGTCGCGCTGACTTCAGGGGTGAAGCTGCAGACCTTCCCCGTGAGTGTTACAACTCTTAAAGGTGGCACATCTGGAGTTGTCATTCCTTCCGGTGGGTTCCTGGTCTCGCTGGCCTCAGGACTGAAACTGCAGACCTTCCAGATGAGTGTTACAGTTCATAAAGGTGGTGTCCAGAGTTGTTGGTTCCTCCCATCCAGAGTTGTTCCACTCTCCCCATGGTTCATGGTCTCGCTGGCTTCAGCAGTTAAGCCGCAGACCTGCACTGTGAGTGTTACAGCTTATAAAGGCGGCACAGACCCAAAGAGTGAACAGCAGCAATATTTATTGCAAAGAGGGAAAGAACAAAGCCACCACAGCATGGAAGGTGACCTGAGAGGGTTGCAGCTGCTGGCTCGGGTGGTCTGCTTTTATTCCCTTATCTGGTCCCACCCACATCCTGCTGATTGGTCCATTTTACAGAGAGCTGATTGGTCCATTTTACAGAGAGCTGATTGGTACGTTTGGACAGAGTGCTTATTGGTGTGTTTACAAACCTTTAGCTAGACACAGAGTGCTGATTGGTGCGTTTACAATCCTTTAGCTAGATGGAAAAGTTCTCCAAGTCCCTACCCGGCCCAGAAGCCCAGCCGGTTTCACCTCTCACTGGCACTGGCTGCGGGACTTTGCGGCACTTATCCCGGGCACTCCGGCAGCCTAGAGAAAGCTCCTCCCAGACAATCAAGAGGAAAAGAGGGGAAGCAAGAAAGAGACGGAGACCCGCCATCGTGGCCAAAGACCCCGCGAAGAGGGAACGGTGGTCGACGCACGGGACCCAGCCTCCGATCAAGCCCAGCAGGCGCTGAGATCACGCCCACCCAGACCGCACGCCGGCCGGCCAGCGCTGGGCGCAGCCCCGGCTCCTGCTGGCACCTCTCTCTTCACACTTCCCCAAGAGCAGAGGGAGCCGGCTCAGGTCTCGGCCAGCCCCAGAGAAGGGCCCTCATAGTGCAGAGGTGGGCTGAAGGGCTCCTGGAGCGCAGCCAGAGCGGACGCGGAGGCCGAGGAAGCGCCGAGAGCCAGCGAGGGCTGCTAGCACGTTGTCACCTCTCATGATGTTGTAAAATAAGAAAGGGTAAATGTTATTTAAGAATTCCTTCCTGGCCAGGCACGGTGGCTCACGCCTGTAATCCCAGCACTTTCGGAGGCTGAGGCAGGCGGATCATGAGGTCAGGGGATCCAGACAGGAGATAGAGACCATCCTGGCTAACACGGTGAAACCCCGTCTCTACTAAAACTCCAAAAAATTAGCCGGGCGTGGTGGCGGGCGCCTGTAGTCCCACCTACTCCAAAGACAGAGGCAGGAGAATGGCGTGAACCCGGGAGGCGGAGCTTGCAGTGAGCCGAGATGCCGCCACTGCACTCCAGACTGGGCGACAGAGTGAGAGACTCTGTCTCAAAAAAAAGAAAAAAAAAAGAAAAGAATTGCTTGTTTCCTGCTGTAGTTATTTGTCAAAAGATACAAAAAATCTATAAGAGTTAAGCAAAGCTATATTTATTTTGCTGCAACACTACTATGCACAGTGACATGGTCAAGTTGCTTTTTATAATGATTTATAGTGATATTAATTTGCGTCAGTCGTTTTCATGACCCCAAAGCCAACTCAATAATACCAGAAAATACTTGTTTGCTTGCCTACATTTTGTAATAATCCAATGTCCTGAAATAAAAATGAATATTTTCTTCCTGGAAATAAAGTGAGATAATTTTCTTCTTCCAAGAGAGTCATGAAACAAGAACAGAATGACATTATACTAAACTATTTCACAAATATGGGTCAACAGTGGAGGCTTTTTTGTTCATTTATGTAAATTTGATTTGGCTCTATTTTCCTGAGTTGCATTTTATGCTTCTTTCACCTGCCTTGCCAAATGAAAAGAAAAATCATTTATTTATTAAAACATACACTAATACAAGAAAATAATTTCACTCTTCACAAACTTTGGCATTATGAAGTCACTGGTTACTGGAGATTTAATTTCTGTAACATATCTGAAGTGCTTATTTTTTTCTTTCCATGAAGGAAACCTTTTGGAATTAAGATATGGTACATTGAACTAAACGAGGATTGCATTTGCTGTTTCTGTGATAACATTTTACATCTGAAATTCCAATAAATATTTCTCTTCTTGCTTTGAGGTGGTTTAGTTAATCATTCAGGTGGTTGGCTTTCATAAGAAGTAAAGGCGCGCCAGCATTTATAGTTTCCCAGAGTTCGTTTTTTGCCTCAAGCTTGTATTTATTCTTATTACACTCACTAGCTTAGATACCAGGTGAATACCTGGGAGAAAGAAAAAATTAATTTAAAAAGTAATAAAAATAAAAGAACAAAAAAACACAAAACTATTCAACATGCCAGCAATCCTGTTCTCTTAAGAAACCTACCTGTTTTTTTCAATGCGTATAAGTTTTAGCATTTTATAGCAATTAGATGAGTCTCTATATCATTAGAACTTATGTCCTTGGAATTAGGACAATACTATTTTCTGCAATAAATATTTGGCTCTAGAAATCTATTTTGACCTGTACTATAATGCATAGCAGCAGAATTAAAATATTGTGTGTTATCATCAAAAGTTTCAGCCTTATTTTTTCACATTTGAATATAAATATTAAAATGATGAAGGCCCCTTTTAGTCTTTTTATTCTTAGAGAAGGCTGAATAAATGTTATAAAACAAGAAAAAGACTGTAAAAGAATAATTGCTAATTATAAAAAAAATTTAAATATATCATCAAGCCATAATAGCGGTTCTCTATTTCCTTTTTTAATTTAAAATGGACATGAACAAACTTTCATAATACCTTTGTGGAATCTAGTTAGAGCTTTACTCCATTACAGAACAGAAACTTTTCACTGTGAAGAGATCAAAAGCACTGCTTTCCTTTGTGGCAAATGAACATTTAATTATCTAACGCTAAATAAAATTTGCTGGCAAAAGATATGCTAGTAAAAAAACAACACAAGGCTTTTTTCTGACAGTATGATTTACATAGCTACATTTTCATTACTTTTATTTTTCTACATAACTAGTGTCTTTTCAGTTGCAAATGTTTGACATTCTGACAAGTAGTGTGGCAGAGTCTTAGATTATAGGTTGCATTTAGCCAAAAGAAAGACTTCGAATGGAATTTTTTTCTATTGACACACTTTCTAACAACATACTTATTTTCTAAAAAGGTTTTTATAACTTAGTGTTGATAATATCAAATATCTAAGCAATTTTGCTTAAAAAGCATAGAACACCAATATTTAATGAAGATTAGTTAAATAGCACACATTGACTACTTGTTTAAAAATATTCAGAAAAGTTTTGACACATGCTAAAGTGCTGAAGTATGGTTTTGGCCTTCCATAAAAATAATATATTGTGCATAAATGGAAGCAGAATGAAGAAAGCGATGAGAAAACATCTAGAAAATTGCTAGTGTGGTAAACATATTAAAATAATTTGGCATGGGAAATGTTTTTTCTCTTTTAAATTTAATTATGGTAAGAAAGAAGAGCATTTTAAAGAAGATGTTAATTTCCATCAACAATATGCAAGAGAAACTAATGTAGAGTATGTATATTAGAGAAACACATAACTGCATATATGTATGGTTAAAACTTAATGCCTTCTGGCTTTGTCATTTATAAGAATTATTACCTACACAAGGAGTACTGTGCTGAACCCTTTGCATTTCCTTAGTTTTATCACATAAAAGCAAACACATCTCCATTTTCTAGATTTTCTTTCTTTTTTTTTTTTTTTTTGGTGTTCACCTGGTATTTACCTCTAAATTTCTAAATAACTGTGCAAAGGAGGGTTAACCCAATAGATGAGATTGCTCAAACCTTCCACATTCCCAAGAAAAATCTATTTTCCGGACTAGTCCCTGGCTGGCTCATGGAAGCTTAAGCACTGGGCTTCTCAGAGTCATGAAAATAAGGTCGCTCCACTTTTTACTCTTTGGTTCTTGGACTCATACAGTCTATCTTAATGGTTAAATGACCGTCAGGTCAACACACATTCTGCATCTCAAAGGACAACACTACAATCCCACGCATATTATCTCCAAGTTTATGCTTAGCTTCACTTTTAATTTTCTCAGGCCTCACCCTTTTGGGTGATATGGGGTTTAGTATGCAACCGTCTTGTGTCCATTAACACACCTCTTTCACCATAAAACAGGTTTCTTTGCCTGTGAGTATATAATACAGGGTCCCATGCCAATATATCTGTGAACAATACTATCCTTAAGTAGTAGTATGGTCCTAGCCATTGCTGGCAAGAAAAGCAAATTTTAAATGAGCCTTACTCAAAACCAACTGCTCCCCTTTTTGGAATGATCCTAAATGCTCAACTTGCAACCAAGTGGCTGGTTGGCCTCCCCATAGAACAGTGTCCTGTTGAGGTCATGGTTTCTGATGATGACAGGATGGATATTCTGCAGCCACAATAGAAACCTGGATGAGAGGGAGCCTATGCTGTTGGCTTGCCAGCAGCCACCTTGGCTACCTCCACTATGAGCGCCTCCACTATAAGCAGCTAAGGAGAGATACTAGCTGGCATTTGCTGGATAAAAGACATCCCATCCACTTTGTTGTTTAGTGTCTGCTCTTCAGTGGGTGTTCTCTGATGGGCCGTGATGTAAGATAACAATACATCTTCTTTCTACCTGATTCCATGTGTTCATCTACACTACTTTTTCCCAAATCGAGGTCAGTGTTAGGGCTCTGAACACAATACCCTAAAGTTTGGTACCTGGTGTGCTGAGTACTTTGAACTAAAGGAGATTGGAAGGACCTCAGAAGCAAGGTCTTTCTGACTTCTTATCCTCCTGTTTCCTTCTTCTCTTTCTTTGCTGAAGTCAGTCATGGAACTCAGAATTCCTATTCTCCAAGGTGGATCATAGAAAGTAAAATTCTTCTTCCCCGAGGCACGTCATGGAAACAAAAATTCTCTTCCAAAGCAAGCCATAAAACCTAGAAGGCTCATTCTAACTTTTTTCCCTTCTCCCTTGCAGACACTTATTCTAGGAAGGTCCTGCCCACACCTAGGAGGAAGAAACCCTACACAAAGAGGCTAATAAATATTTGAATAGAAAGGCATTATTGTGCTTCCCCCTTCAGTCTATTACCAATGGATTATACACTTTTGTCTAGTCAGCTTTCTACGTGGATACCCATTCTTCATGAGCCTAAGCATCAAAATAGACAGTTCCCCCTGGGTCATTGGGTCTTCATTTCTGAAGGCTCCTGTGTCATGTAAAAAACTGATTAAATAAATTGCTATCCTTTTCTCTTGTTAATCTCTGTCTTTTGTTACAGGAGTGTCAGCCATGACCTATGATGTGTGAAGAAAGATATCTCACACCTTTCTACCCCTTCACCGCTGTCTATTCCACTCTTAATCTGCACTCAACTACTGTGACTCTCCTCTTGGTCTCTTATCCCAGAGTACTGTGACTCTACCTCTAAGCCTTGCTTCCTGCTCTTGTGCCATTTTTTACATCTTTCTCTAATCTTACGGATTAAATTATATCCATTTGAACGTCTGGGATGAAATCTGTTTTCTGATGCATCCCTTACAAATATAAGGACATTTCAACAAATATTTAAGGGAGGATATCTCAGAGGAGGCTGTTTTGGACAGAATTAACACCAAGATCTAATAATGAAATCATACCTTGCCTGGATCTTTGAAAAACAGTACGACCAGTGTGAATGAATGGAGCAACCAAGAGGTTAGGCAGTAGGAGATGAGGCCAGAGAAGAAAGAGGGTGTGGTAGCCCCCTAATCCTGGCACTTACTTCCACTGGATCTAAAATCCAGCACGGAATTATGCTGACCACATCAGCCTAACTAATATTGATCTAAGTAACATTTATGTTCTAGCACCTAAATCAGGAGTCTGCAAAGGATAGCCCACTGCCAAAATCTGGCCCACTCTCCAGTTTTTGTAACTAAAATGTTATCAGAACTCAGCCAAGTCCATTCATTTACAAACTGTCTACGGTGGCAGAGACAATACGGCTCACAAAGTCTAAAATATTTACTCTCTGGCTCTTTATAGAAAAAATTTGCTGACCCCTTGTCTAAATTATAGCAAGTATGAAATCCTCTATCATCAGCAATGGCATAGAAGGCAGCATAGGAATTTTTAAATTTGCCCTTGAATTATATTGTAAGCCTTATGTATGAGGTCCTATTTTTGCAAAGTGCTGAGCACCCCATCCTATAATGAGGAGTGCCCACTTTCCTTTCTCAATTGGTCTGTCTTATAACATTTACGAAGAGACTCACAGTCTCTCTGTGGCCTTGTATTCTTGGCTAATATCCCTTTTTTTTCTTCCTGGAGTACTCTCTACTCTGTCTTAGAGTTTCCAACTGTTTATCTGAAGTAGTGGTGTCAGCCTCTGCAATGCTTTCTGTTCTACAGGGTGTAGGGTCTTTTTTTTTTTTTTTTTTTTTTTTTTGAGACAGGGTTTCACTTCCTTGCCCATGCTGGATCACAGTGGCATGATAATGGCTCACTGCAGCCTTGACCTCCTAGTCCCAAACTAATCATCCCAACAGCCTCCCAAGTAGCTGGGACTACAGGTACACACCATCGTGCCTGGCTAACTTTTGAACTGTTTTGTAGAGGTTTCCCCATTTTGCCTAGGCTGGTCATGAACTCCCGGCCTCAAGCCATCCAACCCACCTCAGCCTTCCAAAGCACTGAGATTACAGGCATAAGCCACAGTGCCCAGCTGAGTGTAGGGTCTTGATCCTCTGGTCTGTCCCACCTTGTCTTCTTTTGCTACAAGTAATTAGACAAAGTTCTAAGGTACAACAGGGATGCTGAGTCTAGTTTGTTTAAAGATACTATTCAGTTCCTATGAAAAGATCCATGAGTGTGTAGCTTGGTTTTTAGTACAGCCTTGACAAGTTAATCCAGTAGAGAAACCTGCATGCAAATGTGATTTCTGATTATAGCCTTGGCTACTTACGCAGTTTTTGGTGTTACTGAATTTTTTTAAACAACTTTCCAATTTCACAGGCTTACCCAAGGGTATGATCAGTGAAAACCACAGCTTCTTTGTTAGTTGTAAAGGACTCGGAAGTCAGTGATGGCTGTTGTTGACTCACTCATAAACAGCACATTAAGGAAAAGGAAGTTGAACAGTCGTCTACAGTTGTAAAAGGAGCACAAATAGTCTCTGTTTAATTTTTTTTTCTTTTTATATGTGGCCCGTCTAACAATTCTATCATGATCATCGTCAATCATTATCATCCTCCTCAACAAAGCTCTAATTTTATTTAGTTTCAGAAAAATTTAAGCTGATGGCAGTTCAATCCCTTTGAACCTGTGATTGAGATCATATTGTTCTTTAATTGTGAAGCCTCATTTAGATTAATATTAATAAAATATTTATATAAATTTTGATGATTTTATAAATGTAGTCTTGACAGAATGATATGATCTCAATCACAGAATAATATTTGTGAGAAACCAATGCTACCTCATTCAGTAACTTTACCTTATATAGTTATTGGCTGTTTAGTTTTTCTTCTTCGTGGTCAAACAAAACATAGTAATCAGATTTACAAACCTAGTAATCAGATTATGAGATTATTCAACTCAAATATATACAATATAATTGTACTACATGAGCTGTTTGTACAAACATTTTCACTAACATCACCAGAATTGAGAAATATGTAAAGTAATGTATATTTTTTATTAGATAGTTTAATTCCAGCCAAGTATCAAGCCGTTTCCATAATCTGACATACTAGCTAAGGGAAAATAATGAGGCCACTCAGAAGTTTCTTTTTCTAGTTGTCTCAGTAGCTTGGATGTGATAAGCATGAAAAAACATGAATTGCTAAACCAAATTAAAAAAAAATTTCTGAAACTATATAACACTTCTGAGAGGGCTGCAGATTTGTTAGCAGGTTGTTTTTCAGTCTGAAAAAAATGATTAAATATTTCTACTGGGAATGGAACATTTCAGTCATAACAAAATATAAACTCTAAGGAAGCTAATACTAATATTGTTTGTTAAAATCCTTTTGTATTCTTTGCTTTTCATAGAGGGAGAGAGTTAAGTTACAAGGGAATGGTGAACCACAACAAATGAAAAGTCGTTTTGTGAGTAGTGTACCTTTGCATTGCTGTATTTCGAAAGGTTTGCAAAAAAAAAATGAAAAAGAATGTCAATTATTTTTCTCTAAAATTGTGCCTAATTATGTTATATGATATTAAGTTAACTAATGTTTAAAGAGAATACATAGTATGCAAAATACTTCACACTTCACACATATCATTTTTAATTGAATTGTTAAAAAAAAATAAGCACAATTGCCCCTGTTTCACCAATGATTAAATTAAGATGGCCATAATCTATGGAAGCTGCCCAAAGAAAAACAGTGATGGAGTCAGATATAAATGAGTCAGACTCCAAATCCCAATCCCTTTTTCATAAAGTGTTTAGTAAATATTTTGATCTAAAATGTAAGAGTGTGGCTATAAAAATGCCAACTATATAATAGTTTGATTCTTGTTTCTATTTATTTGAAACCTAATTAGTGTATTTCCACAGTATATAACATAATGCTAAAAGAGAAATTTGGTATTTTCAGTTTCCTTTAAATTTTCTGACCTGATTTTATTTTATAAACAATTTGCATTTACCAGAATGTTAGAAACTCGGTAATTATGTTTTGGTTCAGTGTTTTTTACCTGCCATCTACTTTACATAAAAAACATTTCTGTAAAAGGAAGCAGATTTTAATGAGCAAGCTACACAGAAATTTTCATCTCACACTTAACAATGGATATTATTGTTCTTATAATTTGCACTTCTCAGTCATAAGACATCCCTCTGTGGTTGTCATAATTGGTCTAATGAATTTCTTAAAATAAATGAAAGTCTAATTTGATCCGGTGCCCATGAACAATCCACTCATTCAAATCTAAATCACTGACCTGATTTGAAGACGAATCATGCCAAAATGAAGTCATGCTTTCCTATTAAGTGTGTTGCCTCAGTGCAAGCTTTTGAATGGCTTGTTCTTAAGGTTTGAAGTGGGGATTTCCAGTGACAAAGAAACACAATTTGATCTCATAACCCTAGACACCCAGACTTATTTTAAATGACAGAGACTTAAGATTGAGAGAAAATCTGAGTCATCGTCCAGTTCAGTACTTTTCACTTAGTGGGAAATGTTCTGGTCACCTTGGGTTTGAACAGTTTAGCAACATTGCAGGATCTTCTACAGATGCATACATAAGCATTTGAACAAATTCTCTAGGTAGGCAAAGATCATTGCAGCTGAATGTCTAATGATCTTTATCGCAGACTTATCTATCCAATGTTCCAGGGTAAATGTTCTATTATTAACATTCCTGAGGAAATACATTCATGGATATATATGTTTAGCTATATTATTTAACTACTATTTCAAATCTATATCAAGACTGGTCTTAACATTTCTAAAATAAGTAACTATATCAACATCATAAAAAATGCTGCCACATTTTTTTCGAGAAAGAAATACTCTCTAGACATAGTGTTAAACCTTTCTGCATTAGAACTAAAAACCGTGAAAAGAAGAACAGTTTTTATTGTGTTAAGACACTGATTGCTGGTTAGGAAAGAGCGTGTGTGTGTGTGTGTGTGTCAGAGAGACAGAGAGAGAGAAAAGCAGGGGAAGCTTGTAATGCATAATCAAATAGTAAGGTTATGAGAGATTTATCCCAGATTATCTATAATTTTCATTGGTCCATGAATGGTGGAGGAAAGGTAAAAATATCTTTAATTCCAGATTTCATCTTTGGCCACCAACAAAGGGGCATCACTTATCCTATTGGTTTTAAATACCAATGAACTAGTGTAAAAGATGAGGATTCATAAATTATTTCACTCAGAACAAAGCTTTCAAATGTCTGAAACTAGCCAGAATCTTGTCAACAATTTCCAAAATCAGATTCTGAAATTTGATGTTGTTTGCAAAACTCCTTCACCAAGATTCCCAAGAAAGGAAAATGATAGGAGTGAAGTTTGGGAGAGAGGACATAATAAAAACATAAAATTGAAGAATTTGTTCTTGATCATTGTGGAAATAGGAGAATACCATATTTTATATTTATTAATTAACTTGTCTCTAATGACAGAAAGAAATGTAAAGAAATACTATGAACACCACAAAATTAGACAGCCTAGGTGAAATGGACTGTACACCTCAAAATTAGATAACCTAGATGAAATGGACAAATTTTTAGCCACGCATAAATTACCTAATGTGATTCAAGAAGAAGAAGAAATTCTTAACGGCCTACAACAAGAATGGAGAATAGACCAGTAATCAAAACTCCTCCTCAACAACAACAAAAGCCCAGTATCAGATGTCTCACTGGTGAATTCTGTCAAACGTGTAAAAAAGAATAAACACCAATTCATCTTAAATTCTTCCAAAAAATAGAAGAAGGAGCATTTCTCAAGTCATTACATGAGACAAGCATTATCCTTATACCAAAGTCAGATGGAGAAATCCAAAGAACAGAAAGTTACAGACCCATATTTCCTATGAATACAAGTAGAAAAAAGGTAATTAATAAAGCATTCCAATGTATAATATTATCTCAAAGAATAAAATACCTAGGAACAAATTTGAACAAGGAAGTGAAAGACTTGTACACTGAAAACTACAAAACACTGCTAAAAAAGTTAAAGAAGATCTACATAAATGAAAATATTGGGAGACTTAGTATTGTTATGTTTCCAATTCTACCCAAAGTGATCTACAAGTTCAAAGCAATTCTTATCAAAATTCCAACAGCCTCTTTGCAGAAATGAAAAAGCCAGTCCTCAAACTCATATGGAGTTGCAAAGGGATCTGAATACTCCAAACAATGCTGAAAAAGAAAACAAAATGAAAGGACTCACACTTCCCAATTACTGCAAAGCTAGATGGTCAAATCAGTATGGCCCTGGCTAATGGATAAACAGACAAGCCAATAGAATTCAATAGAGAGTCCAGAAATAAACCCATACATCTATGGAACACTGATTTTTAATAAGAGCACCAAGTGTATTCTATGGGGAAAAGAATAGTCTTATCAACAATGGTGTGGGACAACTGTATTTCTACATTTAAAAGAATAAAATTGGGTCTGCGTTTTATGCCATATAACAAATTAATTCAACATGATTCACTGACCCAATATAAGAGCTAAACTTATAGCATGCTTAGAAGAAAACATGAGTAAATCTACATGATTTTTAAATTTGGCATTTAATCTTTTTTTGTGTAAAACTAAAATAATGAGCAACAAAAGAAAAGTTAGACAAATTGAAATTCATCAAAATTTAAATATATTGTTTATCAAAGGACATTATAAAGAAAGTGAAATAACGTATAGAAGTGGATAAAATATTTGCAAATTATATATCTAATAGGGGTTTAATAATCAGAATCTACAAGGAAGACCTACAACTCAACAACAGAAATGCACACAACCATCTGGGCGCAGTGGCTCAAGCCTGGAATCCCAGCACTTTGAGAGGCCGAGGCGGGTGAATCACTTGAGGTCAGGAGATCGAGACGAGCCTGGCAAACGTGGTGAAACTCCGTCTCTACTAAAAGTACAAAAATTTGTCGGGCGTAGTGGTGGGTGTCTGTAATCCCAGCTACTTGGGAGGCTGAGGCAGGAGAATCGCTTAAACCTGGAAGGCGGAGGTTACAGTGAGCCAAGATCGCACCATTGCACTCCAGCCTGGGCGACAAGAGCGAAACTCCGTCTGAATAGGTGTTTCTCAAATAAGTTATACAAATGACCAATAAGCACACAAAAAAGACGTCCAACATTTTTAGCCATTAGGGAAATTCAAATAAAAGCCACAATGAGTTGTTACTTCATATCTACCAGGATAATTATATAATTTAATTTTTTTATAAAGAAAAATAATAAATCTTGGTGAGAATGTGGAGATATTGTAACCCTCAGACACTGATGATAGGAATGTAAAATAGTGCAGATGCTGTAGAAAAGTTTGGCAGTTTTCCAAGATGTTAATAATAGAACTCCCATGTGACCCAGCAACTTCTCTCTTAGATATATGACCAAAAGAATGGAAAACAAAGTCTCATGCAGGTACTTGTATACCAATATTTATTATTCATAATTGTCAAACGGTGAAAGCAACCCAAGTAACTATCCACAGATGAATGGATAAACAAAATATTCTATATAACTGCAATAAAATATTATTCAGCAATAGAAAGAAATGCAGTTCTGATGCATGCTAAAACATGGATTAACCTTGAAAACATTATGCTGAGTGAAATGAGCCAGACACAAAAGTATTAATATTGTATGATTCCACCTATATAAAATATATATTATAGGGACATAAAATAGAGGAGAGGCTACCATAGGCTGGGGTGAAGGCAAATGAAGGGAAATGTTGAAAAATAAAAGAACAAATTGAAAGAACACACACTACCCAATTACTACAAAGCCAGGTAATCAAATCAGTATGATCCTGGCACATGGATAAACATACAGGCCAATGGAATAAAACTGAGAGTTCAGAAATAAACCTATACATCTATGGAAAATCGATTTTTAACAAGAGCACTCACCTTGCTTAATGAGTTTCTATCTGAGTTGAGAATTTCTCCCTGGGATGATAAAAAGTTTTGCAAATAATGATGATGGTTACATAGCATTGCAAATGTAATCGACACCACTAAATGATATATGTAAAATAATTAAGATATCAAATTTTATTTTATGTGCATTATACCCCAAGGAAAAAAAATAAAAAGGAAATAAAACAGAATGTATGGAATATTGATTTTAATTGATCAATATGCCATTCCAACTAGTTTTGATTTTATCCCGTTGAATTTATCCTGGTTATTTTTAATTATATCATCATAATTACATTTAATAAAAATGTTACAAAAATTAAAAATTTAGAGATTGGCAGAATGGATAAAAGTATGGTTAACTATATGCTCTCTAAAAGAGATACTTTATATTCAAAGACACAATATGTTGAAATTAAAGTGAAGGAAGGGGATATACCATGAGTAGCCAAAATAGAGCTAGATATACTAATACAGACACATATATTTTAAGACAAAATTTGTTACTGAAGTCAAAGACATTATAAAATGATGAGTGATTCAATTCATCAGGAAGTTATAACAATTATAAATGTATATATGCCTAGCTAAAGAAATCAGAAACAAAATAAACAATCTAACAATGTACCTTAAGGAACTAGAAAAGCAAGAATAAACAAAACCCAAAGTGAATAAATGAAAACAAATGATAAAAATCTTAGCAAAAATGAATAAAAATTAGACTAAAAATAATACAGAAGATCAATTTTAAAAAGTTGTTTTTTGAAAAGACAAACAAATTCAACAAACCTTTAGCCAGAATAAGAAAAAGACCTAAATAAAATCAGAACCCAAAAGAGTCATAAAAACTGAGACCACAGAAATACAAATAATCATTAGAGACTATTACAAACATCTATAAATTAATAAATTGAAAACTTAGAAAAAATGAAAAAATTCCTGAACCCATGCAACCTACAAGTTTGAACCATGAAGAAATAGAAAACCTCAACAAACCAATAGTGAATAATATTATTATGAGTGCCTTTATTATGATTGAAGCCATAATAAAAATTTTCCCATCAAAGGAAGACCTTATGGCTTTATTGTTGAATTCTACCAAATATTTAAAAAAGAGATTATACCAATTCTTCTCAAACTCTTTTAAAAAATTGAAGTAGAGTGAGTACTTCCCAACTCCTTCTACCAGGCCAACATTATTTATAACCAAACCAGACAAGGACACACAAAAAGAGAATACTACAGAGCAGTATCACTGATAAACATAGACGCAAAAATCTTCAATGAAATACTAGCAAACCAATTTCAGCAACACATTAAAAAGATCTTACACCATAATCAACTGGGATTCATTCCAGGGATGCAAGGATGGCTCAACATATATAAATCAATAATTACATTAGTAAGCAAAAGCAAAAAACATATGATCATTTAAATAAATGCTAAAAAAACCATTCAATGAAATTCCACATCTCTTTAAGATAAAATCCCTCCACAAACTGGGTATAGAATGAGCATACTTAAGAATAATAAGAGCCATATATGGCAAACGACAACTAGCGTCTTACTCAATGGAGAAAAATGGAAAGCCTTTCCTCTGGGATCTGGAGCAAGACTAGGATGCCTACTTTCACCACTTTTATTCAACATAGTACTGAAAGTCTTAGCAAGAGCAATTAAGCAAGAGAATTAAAGAGTATTCCAAATTGGAAAGGAAGAAGCTGAATTATCCTTGTTTGCAGATGACATAATGTTATACTTGAAAAAGACCCTGAAGATGCCATGAAAAAACTCTTTGAACAGATAAATGAATGCAGTAAAGTTGCAAGATGGAAAATAAACATACAAAAATCAGTAGCATTTATATATGCCAACAGAGAATGATCTGAAAAAGAAATTAAAAAATTACCAATTACAACAGCTACAGAGAATATGAAACACCTAGGAATCAATTTAACCAAAGAAGTAAAAGATGTATACAAGAAAAACTGTAAAACATTGATGAAAGAAATTGAAGAGGACAGAAAAAAGGAAAACTATTCCATACTCATTAATTAGAAAAATTAATTTGATTCATATGACAATATTACCCAAAACAATTTATAAATCCATTTCACTCCCTATCAAAATACTCAAGTTTCTCACATAAATAGAAAACAAATCCTGAAATTGATATAGAACCACAAAAAATCCAGTAGCCAAAGCAATCCTGAGCAAAATGAACAAAGCTTGGAGACATCACACTATATGACTTCAAAATTTACTACAACGCTATAGTAACCAAATCAACATGGTCCTGGCATAGAAACAGAAACATTGGCTGGGTGCGGTGGCTCACGCCTGTAATCCCAGCACTTTGGGAGGCTGAAGTGGGTGGATCACAAGGTCAGGAGTTTAAGACCAGCCTGGCCAACATGGTGAAACCCTGTCTCTACTAAAGATAAAAAAAATTAGTGTGGTGGCACACACCTGCAATCCCAGCTACTAGGGAGTCTGAGGCAGGAGAATCTCTTGAACCTGGGAGGTGGAGGTTGCAGTGAGCTGAGATCACACCATTGCACTCCAACCTGGGTGACAGGGCGAGACTCCATCTCAAAAACAAACAAACAAACAAACAAAACCAGAAACATAGACTAATGAAACATCATAGAGAACCCAGATGTAAATCACGCATTTACAACATTTACGCAAATGAGCCAATTCATTACGCAAATGAGCATCCATTGACAAGGATGCTAGAAATACACAGTGGGAAAAGGACAGTCTCTATAATAAACGGTGCTAGGAAACCAGATAACCATATGCAGAAGAATGAAACTAACCCCTTATTTCTTACCATATACAAAAATCAAATCAAAATGACTTAAAGACTTAAATCTAAGATGTAAAACTATGACACTAGAAGTATACTTTTGGGAAGCACTCCAGGACATTGGTCTGGGCAAAGATTATTTTTTAAGACCTCAAAATCACAGGCAAAAGCAAAAGCAGATAAATGGGATTACATTAAGCTAAAAAGCTTCTGTCTAGCAAACAAGACCATCAACAAACTGAAGATACAGGCCATGGAGTTGAATAATGTATTTGCAAACTGTCAATCTGACAAGGAATTAGTAACCAGAGTATATGAGATGCTTAAACAGTCCAATAGAAAAAAAATCTGATTAAGAACTGGGCAAAAGATTAAATAGACATTTCTCTCCAGGAAACATGCAAATGGCAAATAGGTGTATGAAAAAGGTTTAACATGACTGATCATCAGAAAAATGCAGATAAAAACAGTGAGACATTCTCTAACCCTAGTAAAATGGCTTTTTTCAAAAAGAAAAAATAAGAGATACTGCTGAGGATGTAGATAAAGAAGGATGCTCATTTACTGTTTGTGGGACTATAAATTAGTACAGCCACTTACAGTTCTTACCAAACTTCTACCTTTTTTGTTTGTTTTTTGAATAAACACTTTGTGGATTCCTCAAAGCATTTGGCTAATTTTTCAAGTTCTAAAAATGTTGATCCTGATTATTTTTGCCAGTTTTTAAAATTGCCTTTATGGAGGAAGTAATTTGCTGATGCCCTCACTCCATCATTTTCATTGATACCATTCCTTTATCTTTTGCATTAGAGTAGAATTTAATATCACCTGAAACGAAAATATTTTTATCAGCGCTTGATAATAAATGCCAATTATAAGATAAAAATAAGATTTCTTTTTCATTATTTAAATCCAAGTTAGGATCAAGAACCAGCAATTTCACTGCTGACTATGTGTCTAAAATAAAGGAAATCAATACATCAGAGAAGTATCTGTGCTCTTATGTCTATTGCAGTACTATTTGCAATAGTCAAGATATGGAATCAATCTAATCGCCCATAAAAAGTTGAAAGAATGAAGACAATGTGGTATATACACTCAATAAAATATTATTCAATCTTACAAAAGAATAAAATCCTGCCCTTTGCAGCAACATGGACAGAAATGGAGGTCATTACATTAAATGAAATCAGCCAGACACAGAGAGACAAATGTCATATGTTTGCACTCATAAATGGGAGCTAAAAAAGTGGATCTCATGAAGATAGAGAGTAGATTGGTGGTTTACCAGAGGCCAGGAAAGATAGAGGGTGACGAGTAACAAAGAGAGGTTGATTAGTGGGTACAAATACTTCGTTTGGTAGAAGAAATAAGATCTACTCTTTGAGAGATAAGGAGAGTGACTATCGTTTACTCTAAATGTACTTCTATTGTGTATCAAAAAAAATTAAAAAATAAAAACATTAAAAAACATAAAGCAAAAATACACAGAAATGATAGAGAAATAAACAATTTGACAACAATAGTTGGAGGTTTCAGTACCTCACTCTCAATTGTAGATGGAACAACTAAGCAGAAGATTACAAGGATCAATCTTAAAAACAAACTAGAACTAAAAGTCACCCATGGAACAACCATACCTGGAACATTCTTTGACTATCCATTGGCTTACAAAACAAGGCACAATAAATGTAAATGACTGAGATCATACAATGTATGTTCTTTGGCCCAAATGGGATGAAATTTGAAATCAATTACAGAAGAAAATTTGGAAAAATCCCAAATATGTGAAAATTAATAAACTCCCTAAATAACAAATGAATCAAAGAATAAGTTAAAGAAAAATGAGAAAATATTGTGAGATTAAAAAAATAGAAACAAAGCATACCAAAACTTACAGGATAAAGATAAAATAGTACTTAGAGGAAAAAGTATAGCTGCCAATGTCCATATTTTTAAAAATCCAAATCAATAATATGACTATCTTAAGAAACTAGAAAAAGAAGAGCAAATTCTAGTCAAAAAAGCAGAAGGAAGGAGATAATAAAAATGAGAGTGGAAATAAATAAAATAAAGATTAGAAAAGTTATAGAGAAAACCAGTGAAATAAAAGATGTGTAATTCTTTAAGAAGGTCAACAAATAATGACAAAACTTTAGATAGATGAAATAGGAAAACAAAGAACAAAGACTCAAATTACTAAAATCAGAACGAAGAGGAATAGCAGCACTAACGAATTTTCAGATACCTAAAAATAGTATATGTCCACAAATTATATAACCTAGATGAAATTAACTCCTCAAAGACATAATCTAATTTAAATGACTCAAGAATAAATACAAAATGTAAATAAACCAATAACAATTAAAGAAATTGTATTTGTAATAAAATCATTTTCACAAAGGGTAGTCCAAACCCAGATAGCTTCATTGGTGAGTTCTACCAAATGTTTATGAAACGGTAATATCAATCCTTCACAAACTATTCAAAAATAAAATTAAATTAAAAGGTAGAGCAAGCACTTCCTAACTTATTCTGTGAGGCCAAAATTACCTTAATGCCAAAACCAAACAAAGCCATCATGGGAAAATAAACTACACACTAAAATACCTTATGAATATAAATGCAAGATTTCTAAACAAAATATTAGCAAACTACATCCAGCAATATATGGAAAAGAACTGATTATTTTCCATGACCAAGGATTTGTCCTGGGAATACAAGCTTGTTTTAACATTCAAAAACAAGTCAGGGTAAAATACCATCTCGATACAATAAAGGACAAAAAAATACATGATAGATACAGAAAAAGCATTTGACAAAATCACACACTATTTAAAACAAAAAAGTAAAAAAAAAAAAAAAAAAAAAAAAGACCCAGGAAGCTAGTTATAGAAGGAAACTAGCTCAACCAAATAAAGGTTATTTACAAAAGCCCCAAGCCAACATTATACTTAATAGTGAAGACTGAATGATTTACCCCTAAGTTCAGGACAGATGGATATTCTCACAGTGACTGCGCAACATTGTACTAAAGGATCTGGCCCGGACAATTTGGCAAGAAAAAGAAATAAAAGTCATCCAGATTGGAAAAGAAAAAGTACAACTATCTCTATTAGCAGATGACATAATCTTGGACATGGAAAATTCTAATGAATCTGCATAAAAACCTCTTAAATCTAAGAAATGAATTCAGTAAGACTGCCAGATACAAGATGACTACCCCAAAAGCAGCTGTATTTCTATACATTTTCAATGAAAAATTCAAAAATTAAGAAAACAACTCCATTTAAAATAACATCTAAAATTTAAAATCACTTAGGAATAAATTTAACAAAAGAATCAAAGTCATGTACACTGAAAACTAAAAACTGTTGTTGAAAGAAACTAAATAAAAGGTAAGCCACCTGATGGTTACGTATAAGAAAATTAATATTATTAAAATGGTAAAATTTTCAAAATAATCTACAGATTCAGTACATTCTCTACCAAAATCCAAGTTTCCTTTTTCAAAATTGACAAGGTGATATTTAAATTCATAAGGAATGTAAGGGACCAAGAATGGCCAAAATCATCTTGAAAAAGATTGAAGTTGGAAGACCCTGACTTCCTGATTTAAAATTTACTGTAAAACTACATTAATCAAGGCATTGTAGGATTGGCACAAAGATAAATATATATATATATATATAAAAGGTTGCTCAGACAATGCACTGGAGAAAGAAGTCTTTTCAACAGAAGACCCTTCTAAAATTTGGGGATAATGTGGTCCTTCTTAGAGGCACTTGATACCTCAACCATATCCCATGACGGTGAACAAAGTTTCCCTGGCCTTGTGAAGGGTGGACAGAAACAAGCCATGAAGCAGGCCTAGAATGGTATCCAAGAATCCTTCGGCATGCAGTCTTCCTTTCTTTGTCACTTATATCCAGGTTAGAGATATTTTTCTTGTGTTTATGTAAAGTATGAGAACATGTATCACACTATCTAGATTCCTACCTATATACTCTATTTATATTGATGTATTTCTGAATTTACCACCCTCCTATGGGAATGTAATCTCTCGAAGGAAGGGACCAAGGGCATCTTGCTCAACATTTGTACTATTCACCTAATATGCTTAGCATGTCACAGTTGACAGCAAAGTATTTGCTTATTGACCAATCAATTAATTTTAAAAATCCATACATCAACTCATATTTCTCTAAAAATGAATTATTGATCAGCCATTATAAGAAAGAAAAGAAAGAGAAAGCAAGCAAGCAAGGAAGGAAGGAAGGAAGGAAAGAAGAGAAAGAAAGAAAGAAAGAAAGAAAGAAAGAAAGAAAGAAAGAAAGAAAGAAAGAAAGAAAAAAGAAAGAAAGAAAAAGAAAGAAAGAAAGAAGAAAGAAAGAAAAAGAAAGAAGAAAGAGAGAGAAAGAAAGAGAGAGAGAGAAAGAAAGAGAGAGAGGGAGGGAGGGAAGGAAAGAAGAAAGAGTGAGTCAGACAAGGAGAGGTGAGCTAGCTTTGTAAATATCCATAATCCATTTTTAACTATAACTAAGAAATCACGTTGCCCAAGGCCTTGGGAGTCCACTCCTTGTACCAGCAAGCCTTGGATGTCAGACATGAAATCAAAAGAGATTATTTTGGAGCTTTAAGTTTTAATGACTGCCTTGCTGGGATTCCAACTTGCTTGGGGCCTGTATCTTCTTTCTTTTGGTCAATTTCTCCCTTTTTGAACAGGAATGCTTACCCAATTCCTATACCTCCATTGCATCTTGGAAGTAAATAACCTGTTTTTTATTTTACAGGATCATAGATGGAAGGGACTTGCCTTGTCTCAGACAGGACTTGGGACTTTTGAGTCAATGCTGGAATCAGTTAAGAATTTAGGGGACTGTTGGGAAGGCATGATACCATTTTGAAATGTCAAAAGGGCATGAGATTTGCGAAGGGCCAGAGCAGAATGATATACTTTTCAGAATGATATCCCCCAAATATCATGTTGAATTGTAATCCCCAATGCTGGGGTGAGGTCTTGTGGGAGGTGTTTGGATCATGGAGGCAGATCTCTCATGACTTGGTACTTACTTCATGATAGTGAGTTCTCATGGGATCTAGTCCTTTAAAAGTGTGTGGCACCTCCTCTGCTCACTCTCTTTCTTGCTCCTGCTTTTACTATGTGACATGCCAGCTCTCCCTTTACCTTCTGCCATGATTGGAAGCTTCCTGAGGCCTTCCCAGAAGCAGATGCCAATATGCTGCCTGTACAACCTGCAGAACTGTGAGTCAATACAACCTCCTTTTTTATAAACTACCCATTCTCAGATGTTTCTTTACAGCATGCAAGAATGGCCTAATACACAGTTTAATGAGGATGCTGTATTTTGCAAATATATTTGTCTCCCCACAAATCACCTGATGTGTTTTGATCAGATAGCTCTTCTAATTAATATTAGAGGATATAATTTATAGAAATTAATATATTTTTGTAATTTTTGTTCTGTAAAACTATTAATATGTAGTTTGCTATAATTATACAATATAAGCTAAGTTTTTGAAAATTTATTCACAATTTTGACAGTGAAATAAACACAAGTATGTTGGTAGCAACATTATTAAAATTTAATCTATTTTTTAAAAATGGTAATATGTGCATTGAGAAGAAAAGTAAAAGACCATAAGAGAACACAAAGTAAAAATCAAAATTCTTTTACCTTTCTCCTCCAGCCAACCAAGGAATCAACCGATAGAAACAACTCTGTGTTTGTAGGTTTGAATATGTGTTATATGCACTTATAAATTCTTCCAGAGAAACTCTATACACGTAACAGAAGCTTTTTACACAAATGTTTGCACTTAGCACACATTGTTCTGAAATTTGCTCCCCCTCACCTCCCCACACCCCAATGAGTTGAATGCTATATATTAGAAAACCTTATGTTTTTATATAACACTATAGTATAATGCTATTTCATTATTATTTGAAATTATACATAAATTATAATTTTCATTGAATGGATATTATAGAGCTAATTAACACAAATTACTTTTAATTTTCTTATTTAGTGTTGTCATTTATAGCAAAATTCTGGTAATACTATTTTAATAGTCTTCTGAAAATCTACTACCCAAACAGGTATTAACGTAATGTCTTGCTATTGCGTTGAAAATGTCTCTAAATAACTTGCATTGTTATTGTCTCTAAATAATTGCAGTTACTGTCTCTAAATAACTTGAAATTCGGTATATTGTGCTTTCCTTATTTTGAAATGTTTAAAAATAAATTGGTCTTTATTTACTTGCATAAATATATTAGATTTTTCTAAGTACTATTTTTATATTTTACCTACTTTCACTGAAATATGTAAACACTCTCAAAGAAGTGTCTGGGAATTTTTATTTGCTGATTTATTTATTATATTTATTTTCTCCTACTTTCTTCTCTTCTTGATTTTGAAATCCTAAAATCCCTTAATTAAACTCATTTATTTCCTTTAATTATATCTTCCTGTCTCATGAAAACATATTCCTTAATTTTGCCTTAAAAAGTTATGCACAAAATGAGTTTCCTTGAAAATCAAAGAGCCTCAAACAGTAAAACAAATACAAATAAGCATACTGTTCACCATTTAGAGTTCTGATGGAAGGGAAAAGGTCAGAGGAAATGGAAAACATGAAACTAGCACGTTTCCTGGCTAAAATGTGTATAAGGATTGTGTCAGGTCTCCTATTCCATTTATAAGTGGAAAGTATGTTTTAGTTCCACACAATACTGAGTAGAAGCTTCAAAGTACAGATATGCTCAGGAACAAATGCATGCTTGTTACTTTTAAATCACTTGTATATATTCTAATGTTCTTTGTCCTCTTGGAGTCTCCAACTCAGATTAATATTTTATTACAGCAGTTACTGTTTTTAAAATGGACAGCCTGACTTAATCTCAATTTGTTAACAGTGATTTAAATGAAATATCTTTGAATAATTAATATTAAGTATTCACGATATGTAAAAGACTAGTTAGCTAGGTTAACTTTGCTTAATAAAAATGAAGTGACTGAAGTCAATGTACATGATGAGCTATATTTCTTGAATGCCTTTATACTTGTATTTGTTGATTTGTTGGAAAGAAACCTGAACATTTATTAAGGTTTCATTATATGGCTAAAGAATTGTATGCTTTTCAACCACAGTGCACTCTGTTTTTTGTTATTAAAGAAGAAAGCTCAACTTAACTAAAAATGGAGATTTGCTTGTTAGATGATTGTTTTTAAGAATAATTGTGTTTTGTTTCTACATGCAGAAGCTAATTTTAAATACTTATTGAATTAAAAAGAAAAAAGTATGCAAAATTATAAAAATTTTGGCCAGTATTTTTACTGCTTAAATAGTGTAAATCATTTTTAAAAGTCATTAATTTGTCTATCAGGAATAATCAATGGATGTTACACAGCATCTTTCTGTCTCTGTTAAGAAAGGTTTTAGCCAGGCGCGGTGGCTCACGCCTGTAATCCCAGCACTTTGGGAGGCCTAGGTGGGTGGATCATGAGGTCAGGAGATCGAAACCATCCTGGCTAACACAGTGAAACCCCGTCTCTACTAAAAATACAAAAAAGTTAGCCGGGTGTGGTGGCGGGCGCCTGTAGGCAGGAGAATGGCATGAACCCGGGAGGCGGAGCTTGCAGTGAGCTGAGATCGCGCCACTGCACTCCAGTCTGGGCGACAGAGCGAGACTCCGTCTCAAAAATAAAAAAAAAAGAAGAAAGTTTTTTGACACAAACAAAGCACTTGATAAAATATTTGAAATTAAGATATTTCAATTAAAATCAAATAATAAAATGTGAATCTGCCAAAGAAAATATTTTGTTTATATTGTGTTAAGACATACTGTCAACTTTTCAAATGCATAGTATAGTATTGTTAACTATAGGCACGATGTTATGCAGTAGATCTCTAGGTCTTATTTATCTTGCGTAATTGAAACTTTGTACACATTAAGTAGCAACCTCTCATTTCCATTCTCCACAGTCGTTGATAACCACTATTCTGCTCTGTTTCTGAGTTTGACGATTTTAGATATTTCGTATAAATGGAGTCAAGCAGCATTTGTCCTTCTGTGACTGGCTTGTTTCACTTAGCATAATGTCCTTCAGGTTAATCCATTTTGTCACCTATAACAGGATTTCTTTCTTTTGTAAGTCTGTATAATATTCCATTGCACAGGCAGACACATTTTCTTTATCCATTTATCTATTGATGGAGATTGAGGTTTTTTTATCTTGGCTCATGTGAATAATGCTACAGTGAACAGGGGAGTGCAGATACTTACTCAAGATCTTGGTTTTAATTATATATACCCCAAACTGGGAATGCTGGGTCACATGGTAGTTCTATTTTTATTTTTTTGAGAGACCTTCTTACTGTTTTCCATAGCAGTTGCACCATTTTATATTCCCATCAACAGTACAGAAAAGTTCCAACTTCTCTATATCCTTATCAATGCATTTTTTAAAAAATAATAGCCATCTTAACAGGTTTGAGGTGAAAATATTGTGGTTTTGATTTTCATTGCCCTGCTGATTAGTGATGATGATTATAATATTTTTCATATACCTGTTGGCTATTTGTATGGTTTTTTTTTTTTTTTTTTTGGCTAAATGTCTATTCAAGTCCTTTGCCTATGGCTTAATCTGCTTTTTTTTAATTACTGCATTGTAGTTCATATATTTTACATATTAACATCTAACAGATACATGGTTTGGAAAAACATACATTTTCCCCGAGTTCATATGTTGCCTTGTCACTCTGTTGATTGGTTCCTTTGCTTTGCACAAGCTTTTTAGTTTAATGTAGTTCTGCTTGTCTATGTTTGTTTTGGTTGCCTGTGCTTTTGCTATTACATTCAAGAAATCATTGCCAACACAAATATCATAAAGCATTTTTTCTGTATTTTTTCTAGGAGTTTTACCGTTTCACGTCTTACATTTAAAAATTTATTCCATGTGGAGTTGATGTTTTTTGTATAGCGTAAGAGAAGGATCCAATTTCATTGTTTGCATGAGGTTATTCAGTTTTTCCAATACCATGTGTTGAAGAGATTATCCCTTTCCCATTTTGTATTTTTGTCCCACTTGTCAAAATTCAAGTATATGTGACAGTACATAACAATATATGTAGGGATTTATTTCTGTACTCTCTATTCTATTTCATTGGTGTATCTGTCTGCTTTGTGCTACTATTATGCTATTTTAATTATTGTAGCTTTGTAATGTATTTTGAAACCTGGTAGTGTTATGCCTTCATCTTTGTTCTTCTTTCACAAGATTGCTTTGGTTACTCAGGGTCTTTTTTGGTTCCATATGAATTTTATAATTGTTTTCAATTTTTGTAAAAACTTGCCATTGGGATTTTCATAGGGATGTTATTGAATCTATACCCTGTTTTGGATAGTATGGACATTTTAACATGAAGTTTTATTCAATGTTTACTCTCATCTCAGTGAATGAGAACTGGAAAAGAAAACTTAGAGCAGCATTTATTCTACTGATTTTGATTATTTCTGTTTTTCTGATTCATTTGGAAGTGGGTGAGTGGGTGACTGAAGAATCTCAGTGGAATTTTTAAGCCTACCAAAAAAAACAGCTTTACTGGGTCAAAAATTACTCAGGGTAAGTCAGAGATATGACTCTAAACTTATTTAAAGATCCCACTGTAATTTCCAGCCACCCACTACAAAATCAGCCAGTGAAGCAGAAATCATCAAAACTATTTGAGTAAGTGCCATTCTGCATTCTCTTTTCAATTTTCTTTTCTAGTTTTCATTCACTGAAGTGAAGAATAAGCATTGAATATAACTTCGTGTGATTTTATGGTTCTTAAGTGGTGTCCAATTTCAGAAAAGAAAAATAAGTCTCTTTCCTGATGTACTTCATGCTGCTTTGATGACCACTGCCTTGGTTTATGCATTTTTCTTCATATGAATTTCAGCAGTGACCTTTTTATGGATATGTTATTAGTAGTAGTAGTAGTATCATCATTTAAGATGGAGTTTTGCTCTTGTTTCCCAGGCTGGAGTGCAATGGCGTGATCTCGGCTCACTGCAACCTCCACCTCCCGGGTTCAAGTGATTCTCCTGCCTCAGCCTCCCTAGCAGTTGGGATTGCAGGTGCCCACCACCACGCCCAGCTAAATTTTTGTAGTTTTAGTAGAGACTGGGTTTCACTATGTTGGCCAGGCTGGTCTCAAACTCCTAACCTCAGGTGATCCACCCACCTCATCCTCCCAAAGTGCTGGGATTACAGGTGTAGGCCACCACACCTGGCTTATGGGTCCATTATTAACAGTTGCTTTATATTTCTATTTTTCAGTCAAAAAAGGACTTACTATTCGACAAGCATTCTTTATATATGTAAATATACGTATAAATTAAAATTCTAAGCAATGTTCACACACATGCATACACACATAAACACACACGCACACACATGCATACACACTGAGAACGTACTATCCACCAGGAATGGTCCTAATTGACATACCAAAGATGTATAAAAATTAAGTTGATCTTCACAACAATCAAATGGGTGGGTACCATTATTATCCTATTATGTGGATGAGTAAAGAAACTGGACTCAGAGAGATAATTTGCTCAAGTTTGCACAGCTATTGAAAGAGATTTGCCTGATTTCAAACCCAGTTAGGCTTATTCTTCATCTTAGGCACTACATAGGTAAGTTTTGTGTACAAATATTGGCATTGTTTTAAATTGCAAATAATTAGCGAATTGATCTGAAATTAGCCAAACGGTTTGAAAATTAATACAGGATAAGATTAATACAGATCCTTAATCTGAAATGCTAAGGAACAGAAGTGTTTTGGATTTTAGGGTTTTTTGGATTTTGAGATATTTGCATTATTCTGTTTGAGCATCCCAAATCTGAAATATTTGAAGCATTTTACTCAGCATTTTGTTTGAGCATCACTTCAATACTCAAAAGTTTTAAACTGAGCATTCAGAATTACAAATTTTCAAATCTAGGATGTTTCACCTGTATCTCAGTACGATATATTCAAATTTTACAGTATTTGCTGGCTACATATACAATACAAAACATTATGTTCAATCCAAAACATTCTGTGTTGAAAAATATTTAATATTCTAGAGAGTATTGAAAATAATGTTATAACAATCAGTAAAAAAAATTACACTATATATGAATGCTGAATGAGTCTAAAATACCAATATTAAAACAAAATATTTAAATTGGTTAACTCCCATTAAAACTGTGGTTGTGGCTGGGCACAGTGGCTCACGCCTGTAATCCTAGCGCTTTGGGAGGCCAAGTTGGGTGGATCACCTGAGGTCAGGAGTTTATGACCATCCTGGCCAACATGGCAAAACCCCGTCTCTACTAAAAATATAAAAATTAGCCAGGCATGGTAGCGTGCACCTGTAGTTTCCCCTATTCAGGAGGCTGAGGCAGGAGGATCACTTGATCCTGGGAGGTGGAGGGTGCAGTGAGCTGAGACCACATCACTGCATTCCAGCCTGGGCAACAAGGTGAGACTCCATCTAAGAAAAAAACAAAAAACAAAACAAAAAAAAAACTGTGGGTGATTTATTTTTTCACTTTCCTTTTGGATAGGACACACTAGAAATACTGAGGTTGGTAATGAAAAGAGAAACTTTTTACAGCATTTTTTCTTGGGAAGACACCTCAGAGTATGGAACTCTGAACAACACATACATAAAACCATAGACTTGATAAAATTTTCATCATGCTTTTCACCATTTCACCTGTCATCCACCTAACATTGTTCTAGAAGGAATATGTAATGAATGATTGAACTTTCCTTTGCATATTTGTACACACCATTGTTTCTAAGAAATAAAGCCACATTGCAGCAACTAACTAATTAAAGAGAATGAATGAATGACAAGGATTTCTAGAAAAGCATGTTTCCAGATCTCTGCATATAAGCGAAGTGCCTGCCTAGGTTTCTTTGTGATTCTCTTGGTATAAATGAATTCAGAAGGTGGGAACTCTTTTATTATCTAGTTATATCATAAAGATGATAGAATACTTCATAAGATTTAAATGTCTAAATGCACAGAATATGCTTTTAAATTAATTATCCTCACATGACAGTTGGGGGAATATCCAGTAAAATTATCGGAAACCAAAATTCTTACACAGCAGTTCGAGAAATGAAATAGAAAAGTGTTGTGAAAGAGAGTAGCAAATGGGACATGTGCCAAGTGGGCAAATGAGGGTCTAAGTCAACATATTTTACTCCAGAATTTTCTCCTCACCACATTTCTTCTCATTCTGGTCATTGGCAGTCTGTGACAACAATACTTCCTGAAAATGTGTTGCAGCTGTAGAGTAATTCCATAGCAGATTTATTTTCCTTTGGCACTTTTTGTAATTGGCATTGAGGAAACATACAAGAATTATTCCTTATCTTTTTTACGTTGGCAAGTTTTATATTGTTTAAACGATTTCTTTAGTTGTGTAAAATATCATTTGGTAGAATATTAGAAGAAGTTTGGGCTTTCAAGTTTGTTGATTTGAGTGAGAGGTATATTGACCAGTTTTAGCACAAGGTAGAATTTAATTATCTTGGCTACTTAGGAAAAAATACACACAGAGATACATACACACAGACAAGCAAATATCTTCAATAGTATCATATCTAATGTATATGTTTTCCTTAGAGCCTTAACTGAAACATACATGCTAAATTTTATACAGATATTTTATCTCAATATACACAAGTTACATATGTGGATATAATATGAAGTTGAAAATCCTGAAGATAACCATATATGATGAGTTTATTGTTAAGATCAGAAAATACGAATGTTCTGAACTCCACAAAAACTCGGCAAATGTAATTTCTAAAAACGCAAAAATGTTCAAAAGTGTATTTACTAAACTTTTTAGTATTACTGTTGTTTTTATTCTTTTTATTGATATATATCAGAGTCGTATATATTTTAGGGGTACATGGGATAGTTTGATACATGTATGTAATGTGAAATGATCAAATCAGGGTTACTGGGTAATCTATTTTTTCCTTGTATTGGAAACACTATAGTTCTTTTCTAGCTATTTTGAAATATACAATAAAATATTAACAATAAATTAGAACTTATTATTTCTGTCCAACTGTGTTATTTACTATTAACTAATTCTTTTTCATCCTCCCTACCCCTCTCACACTTTGATAACCACCATTCTACTCTCTATCTCAAGGAAATCCACTTTCTTTGCTCCCCCATATGAGTGAGAACATGGAATGTTTGTCTTTCTGTGCCTGGGTTATTTCACTTAACATAATGACCTCCAGTTCTGTTTATGTTGCTGCAAATGACAAGATTTCATTTTTTTATGGCTAAATAGTGGCCAGCAAGAATACAAAAACAGTGCTCACTATTACCAATCATCAGGGAAATGCAAATCAAAACCACAATGAGATATCAACTCATCCCAGTTGGAATGGCTATTATTAAATAGAAATAAATAAAATATGTTAGCTAGGATGCAAAGAAAGGGGAACGCTCATACACTGTTACGGGAATGTAAAGTAGTACAGCCATATGGAAGACAGTATAGAAATTACTCAAAAACAAAACAAAATAAAACAAAACAAAAAAAGCCTGTAATCCCAGCAGTTTGGGAGGTGAAGGCCGGCAGATCGCTTGAGGTTAGGAGTTCGACCAGCCTGGTCAACATGGGGAAACACTATCTCTACTAAAATTACAAAAATTAGCTTGGCGCGGTAGTGCATGCCTGTAATCCCAGCTACTTGGAAAGCTGAGGCAGGAGAATTGCTTGAACCCAGGAGGTGGTGGTTATAGTGAGCCGAAATCATGCCAATGCACTCCAGCCTGAGTGGCAGAGCAAGACTCTGTCTCAAAAAAAAAAAAAAAAAAAAAAAAAAAAAAAGAACTACGATGTAATCCATCAATCCCATTACTGGCTATATATCCAAAGAGGGGAAATCAGTATATTAAAGACATATCTGCACTCCCATATTCATTGCAGCAATATTCACAATAGTGAAGCTATGGAATCAACCTAAGTGTCCATCAACAGATAAATGGATAAAGAGTATCTATATGTATATGAGTACATATATGAAAAAATATATATGAATCCTAAACTTTGTAAGAAATTAGTATAGTTTTAGGCTTACAGAAGAACTGTGAGGGCGACAGAGTTTTCATGTGCACCACACTGAGTTTTTATTGTTGCAAACATTATACATTAGTATGGTAACTTTTTTTACAATTAATAAACAAATACAAGTATATTATTTTAACAGTAGTCTACACTTTATTCAGGTTTCCTTGGCTTTAGATTTCTGTCCCAGGATCCCATCAAGAATAAAATTACATTTTTCTGTCATGTCTCCTTAGGCTACTGTGGGCCATGACAATTTCTTAGAGGTTTTCTGTTTTTGATGACTGATATGGTTTGACTGTGTCCCCACCCAAATCTCAACTTGAATTATATCAGTAGAGTGGAGAGTTGCTGAAAAGATACCCAAAATATGTAAGCAACTTTGGAACTGCATAACAGGCAGAGGTTGGAACAGTTTGGAGGGCTCAGAAGAAGACAGGAAAATGGGGGAAATTTTGGAAAGCATGATTGGTTCTGAAATGTGAGGACACGAGATTTCGAGGGGTTGAGGTGAAATGATATGGTTTGGCTGTGTCCCCATCCAATCACTTGTTGAATGGCTTTGATAAAATGCTGATAGTGATATGAACAATAAGGTCCAGGGTGAGGTGGTCTAAGATGGAGATGAAGAACTTATAGGGAACTGGAGCAAAGGTGATTCTTGTTATGTTTTAGCAAAGAGACTAGTAGCACTTGTCCCTGCCCTAGAGATCTGTGGAATATTGAACTTGAGATTATTTAAGATACCTGGCAGAAGAAATTTCTAAGCAGCAAAGCATTCAAAAGGTGACTCGGTGCTGTTAAAAGCATTTTGTTTGGGAAGGGAAACAGCATAAAAGTTCAGAAAGTTTGCAGCCTGACAATGCAGTAGAAAAGAAAAACCCATTTTTTTGTGGAGAAATTCAAGCCAGCTGCAGAAATTTGCATAAGTAGCAAGGAGGCTAATGCTAATCCCCAAGACCATGGAGAAGATGTCTCCAGGCCATGTCAGAGACCTTCAGGGAAGCCCCTCCCATCATAAGCCCAGAGGCCGAGGAGGAAAAAGTGGTTTTGTGGGCCAGGCCCAGGGTCCACATGCTGTGGACTTGGTACCTTGTGTCCCAGCTGCTTCAGACGTGGCTCCAAAGGGCCAATGTAGAGCTTGGGCTGTGACTTCAGAGGGTGGAAGCCCTAAGCCTTTGCAGTTTGCACATGGTGTTGAGCCTGTTGGTGCACAGAAGTCAAGAATTGAGGTTTGGGAACCTCCATCTAGATTTCAGAAGATGTATGGAAACTCCTGGATGCCCAGGCGAGTTTGCTGCAGGGGTGGGGCCCTCAGGGAGAACCTCTACTAAGGCACTGTGGAAGGGAAATGTGGGGTTGGAGCCCCCACACAGAGTCCCTACTTGGGCACTGCCTAGTGGAGCTGTGAGAAGAGGGCCACCGTCCTCCAGACCCCAGAATGGTAGATCTACCGACAGCTTGCACCATGCACCTGGAAAAGCCACAGACACTCAGTGCCAGCCCATGAAAGTGGCTGGGAGGGAGGCTGTACCCTGCAAAGTCACAAAGGTGGAACTGCCCAAGACCATGAGAACCCACCTCTTGCATCAGCATAACCTGGATGTGAGAACTAAAGTCAAAGGAGATCATTTTGAAGCTTTAAGATTTGACTTCCCCACTGGATTTTGGACTTGCAAGGGGCCTGTAACCCCTTTGTTTTGGCCAATTTCTCCTATTTAAAACAGCTGTATTTACCCAATACCTGTACCCCCATTGTATCTAAGAAGTAACTAGTTTGATTTTGATTTTACAGGCTCATAGGTGGAAGGGACTTGCCTTGTCTCAGATGAGACTTTGGACTGTGCACTTTTGAGTTAATGGTGGAATGAGTTGAGACTTTGAAGGACTGTTGGGAAGGCATGATTGGTTCTGAAATGTGAGGACACGAGATTTCGAGGGGTCAGGGTGGAATGATATGGTTTGGCTGTGTCCCCATCCAAATCACAACTTGAATTGTATCTCTCAGAATTCCCACATGTTGTAGGGGGCACTCAGGGGGAGGTAATTGAATCATGGGAGAACAGTCATTTCCATGCTATTCTCATGATAGTGAATAAGTCTCACACTATCCAGTGGTTTTATCAGGGGTTTCCCCTTTGCTTGCTCCTCATTTTCCCTTGCTGCTGCCATGTAAGAAGTGCCTTTTGCCTCCCGCCATGATTCTGAGGCCTCCCCAGCCATGTGGAACTGTAAGTTCAGTTAAACCTCTTTTGCTTCCCAGTCTTGGGTATGTCTTTATCAGCAGTGAGTAAACAGACTGATGCAATGACCTGAGAGTTTTGAGGGGGTACTCATCATGTACTTCGCAGAATGCTCAATCAGGTTTTTTCTAATGCTTTTCTCATCATAAGACATAGGTTATTGGTTTTTAAAAGGAAGACCACAAGGTAAAGTGTAATTCTCATCACATTACATTAAAAGTAGATACTGTAAGTATAATCTACCACTGATTTTATTGTGTATGTTTAAACTGTACAACATGTCTTGATATACATAGTGAAATAATTAGCATAATCAAGCAAATTAATGTATCTATCACTTTACATTGTTTTTGCGTGTGAGGTAAGAGCACCTAAAATGTATTACTGTTGATGTTAATCTTGATCACGTAGCTGATAGAGTTTGTCATTTTCCTTGACCATAAACTTACTTTTTTCCCCCTTTCTACACTGTAGTCTTTGGGAGGAAGTCACTGCACAGCCTACATTTAAAGAATGAGGGCTTATTCTCTACCTCCTTGAGGGCAGAGTGTAATGTAGATACTCATCTATGTTACTTTTACTCTTTATGTAAATTACTTCGAAATTTTCTGCATCAGAGATTTGTCTCTTCTCTCCTATTTGTTTATTCATTTATTTATATTGCAACATATTTGTATGGACTCACAAATATATTTTTTAAGCTGGGGTTTATATTCAGTATTTAACACTATTTTGTTTTTCAAGGTGTTCTAGCTTTGGCCATTGGGAGCTATTTTAGTTGGCTCCTGTGTCTTTTGTGTGTCTTTGACACAATTCTATCATTGTGAGTATTTCTGTTTGTTTGTTTTGGTTTTTTGCACTTGCTTGCCTTCTACCCCTACAAGGTATTCCAAGCACATCTCCTATATTTCTTGACTCAATCCTAGAACCAGCCATTTCTCCAAAGATTCATGGTTCCTTTTAACAGAGAATAGTATTAGGAACCAAGATCTAAGTGCTAAGTGGGCTTATTGCTACTTCAGTGTTGATGCTTCCAGACTATCTCAACTGACAGAGAAAAAAAAATGTGTGAGTATATTAACCCATGTATATACACATATTAATAAATATATCTATATTTCTATAGCCAGAAATATCTATATTAAGCAAAATGTAAGTTCATACTGGTGTATTGAAGTCTACTGTAATAACACATGGATAATTCCAGCCGTATCTCCTTGGTCACTGCAATCTCTCGTTCCAAAAGTAAGAAAACTGCCTGTCAGCCACTGTCAGACAATCATTTATATAGTTGTTCAACTCCATTATGTTTGTATAGTGGTATGAGGATTGTTAATCTGTACCCCTGTGTAAACACCCTTTTCAACTAGAATATGGTGCTTATGTAGTTTCTTTTGCCTTTACTATTACAGACTCATCTCCATTTATTTTCAAAGTTACTTATGTCACCACTGTTATCCTCCACTCCCTTCAGATAAGATATTTCATACATTTGTAATACAGTTAGATATTTTTTGTCTCAGCCTGAATTCCATCTTGGAGTCTCCTGACCTCTAAATGACTTTTTAAAAAATCTGTGTAAGGTTAGGTTTACTTTTTGTTTTGTAAAGTTCTGTGGATTGCAACAGACTGATAGTGTATGTACTCAATATTTCAGCATCACACAGAATAATCTCAGCTCCCTAAAAAACCTCTGTGTTCCATCTCTTCACTACTGTCACCCATCCCACAAACCCCCACTGAATGCCTGGCAACCACTGGTATGTTAAGCATATCTATAGTTTAGCCTTTTTAAAAAATAGCATATGAATATAATCATATGGTAAGTAGCATTTTCCAGCTGGATAGTTTTCCTTAGCAATATGCATTTAAGATTCACCCATATCTTTGCATGGCTTGACACTTCATCCTTTTTTATTATTTAATAGTATTTCATTGAATGGATTTTTTGTATTATGCTTATCTATTTACTTATTGAAGGACACTCTGGTTGCTTACAGTTTTTGGTGATTATGAATAAAAATACAATAAACATAGCTTTGTTAAGAAATTGTCAAACTGTTTTCCAGGGTGGCTGTATCATTTGCAGTTCCACTAGCAAGAATGGTTGCTCAGCCTCCTTCCCTGTGATTGATGTTATCAGGTTTATTTGGGAGACAGGAGGGAGCTCTTAGCCGCAGTCCAACAGTTGTGTAGTGGTATATCATCATTGTTTTCATTTGAAGCAAATTTTCAAGCAAATGATGTATCATTTTCTTAGGTGCCATCTGTTACATTTAGTAATGTAACGGTTTATATATTTTGCTCATTTTTAATTGGGTCTTTTGGTTTAATATTGCTGACTTTTAGTGTTCCTAGCATGCTTTGGATACTACTCATTTATCAGATATATTTTGCAAATGCTTTCTCCACGTGCATGGCTTCACTTTTTATTCTATCAACAGTCACTTTCACAAAATATTTCATTTTTAATGAAATAGAAGATCAATATTTTATTTCATTAATCATCCTTTTGTTGTTTTATCTAAAAACTTGTCATCAAATTCAAGGGCATGTAGATTTTGCCCACGTTTTCTTCTAGAGCTTTTATAGTTTGTCATTTTACATTTAGGTCTATGACGCATTTTAACTTAATTTTTCAGTAAAGTGTAAAGTCTGTGTTTAGGATTATTTTATCATATGACCATCCAAATAAGTCTATCTTTACTCCATTGAACTGAATTTTTGCCTTTGTCAAAAATCAATTGACAATATTTGTGTGGGTCTAGTATGCTTTATTCTATTGATTCACATGTTTTGTTTTGTTTTGTTTTTCCTTTGGCAAACTACACTGTCTCAATTATAGTTGCCTTATAGTAAATTTAAAAATTGGGTAGTATGAGTCCTCCAACTTTGTTATTCTTTTTCAGTACTGTGTGGGATATTCTAGAGCCTTTGCTTTTCCATATGAACTTCAGAAAACTATTATATCTACAAAATAGTTTTCTGGGTTTTGACTGAGTTTGCATTGAATCTATAGATCAAATTGGCAAGAATTAACATCAAATATAAATATATGTATATTTTTTATTTAATTTCAAATTTAATTATTATTGGTATTTAGGAAAGCAATTGACTTTGTACATTTAAAATGTACCATGCAATGTGCTATACTACTTATTAGTGACAGGAGTTTTTTGGTGGATTCTTTGAGGTTACTTACATAGACAGTTACATCATTTGTAATGAAAGACGGTTTTATTTCTTTCCTTTTCATAGTTTATAAATAGAATTTATTTTAATGTCATATTGCACAAACTAGGACTTTCAGTATGTTGTTTAATAGCATGGGAAAACATCTTTGCCTTCTTCTGAATCTTAGGAGAAAAGTGTTCAGTGTTGTAAGTTAAGTATGATGTTAATTGTAGGTTTTGTGTAAATGTATCTTATTGAGGTGAGAAAATTCCCCTTTTACCCTAGGTTTTCTGAGATTCATTATCATAAATGAGTGTTGAGTTTTGTCAAATGCATTTTTGATATCAACCCATATAATCATATACTTTTTTCTTTAACATGTTGATATGGTGGATTACATTTATTGAATTTTTTAATGGTGAATCACTCTTGTATACCTCAATCCTTCATTTGTGTTGCAATGAAAAAGGGATGTATTGTTATTGGTCTGTTTCACTTTGTTACGATATATGGTTGTCCATAGTGTCTACTCATGCCCCAATATCTTGTAGATATTTAAAAAATAAAACAGCTCTTTAAATTTTTCCTATACCCTTGATTTGTTGAGAGTTTAATGAAGAAACAGAAAACACTTTGAATATTTTAAGCAAGAAAGAATTCATTAAAGTAAGTAGATGCTTACAAATTTATTGACAGAGGAAAAGGAGCAAAAGTCAGGGACGGCCAATGAAGTATAGATCTCTCACAGCGGTTTCCATAGAAGAACGTTAATTAGTATAGTGACTAATAATAATAAAAATAGCTAATCTTTTTCAAGAATTTACCATGTGACAGAAACATAGATCTAGGGCCGGGCGCGGTGGCTCACGCCTGTAATCCCAGCACTTTGGGAGGCCGAGGCGGGCGGATCACGAGGTCAGGAGATCGAGACCATCCCGGCTAAAACGGTGAAACCCCGTCTCTACTAAAAATACAAAAAATTAGCCGGGCGTAGTGGCGGGCGCCTGTAGTCCCAGCTACTCGGGAGGCTGAGGCAGGAGAATGGCGTGAACCCGGGAGGTGGAGCTTGCAGTGAGCGGAGATCCCGCCACTGCACTCCAGCCTGGGCGACAGAGCGAGACTCCGTCTCAAAAAAAAAAAAAAAAAAAAAAAGAAACATAGATCTAGGGGACACATTCCCCTTTTCCCTAGTGGAAATCAAGGTAGACCAAGACCAGTAGATTAAAACAGAAATCAGAGATGTGCTATGGTTTGGCCCTCTGTCGCCACCCAAATCTCGTCTAGAATTGTAATCCCCAACTGTTGAGAGAGGAACCTGGTGGGAGGTGATTGTATCGTGGGAGCCATTTCCCCTGTGCTGTTCTTGTTATGGTGAATGAGTTCTCATGAGATCTGATGTTTTTAAAGTAGCAGTTTCCCCTGTGCACACACACACTCTCTCTCCTGCCACCTTGTAAAGAAGGTACTTGGTTCTCCTTCACCTTCCACCATAATTGTAAGTTCCCTGAGGCCTTCCCAGCCATGCAGAACAGTGAGTCAATTAAACATCTTTCCTTTATAAATTACACAGTCTCAGGCAGTTCTTTATAACAGTGTGAAAACGAATTAATACAAAACTTCAATTTAACAATTAAATCATGTGATAAATACAGTCCTCTCATCGTGTTGCTTAAAATTAGGGATCAGAATCTCAACGAGAGGAATAGAAATATTGCCTGATTTCAGACGAACACCCCCTTGTATTAATTTCCAGAAGTCAGAAACTATAGTCTATAAGCCAAAATTGGGCTCACCATGTGTTTTTATATGGCCAGCAAGCCAAGCATAGTTTCTTTATTTTTAAGTGATTGCATTTTAATGTATTATAAATGCTTACATCATATCCTCAATTTTGTCTCCTGGACCACAAAGCCTAAAATATTTACTACATGAATCTTTAAGAAAATAGTTTGCTGATCTCCCGATTTAGTCTACCAAACTACAATTAGTGTTGTTTTCATTTTTGTTCTCTATATGCATGTTGCCATTTTTACACTTCTTCAGAAAAACATTGAGAATTTTTCTACACTCACTATTTCCATTTGTGCCTAAGGACAACTTTTTCTTTTTCTTCTCTTTTTTTTTGAAGAAATTTGTTTATGAACTTAGATAAAATTTATAGCTTTGCTTGAAAATTTGGTACTTACTACCTTTGCAATTCTCTTTATTTATTATTATTACTTTTATTTTTCCATAAGTTATTGGGGTACAGGAGGTATTTGGTTATATAAGTTCTTTAGTGGCGATTTGTGTGATTTTGGTGCACCCATTACCCAAGGAGTATACACTGCACCATACTCGGTCTTTTATCCCTCGCCCCTCTCCCACTTTTCCCCTCAAGTCCCAAAAGTCCATTGTATCATTCTTATGCCTTGTAATGTTTGTTTTTCCATTCCAGAGTTACTTCACTTAGAATTAAATAGTCTCCAAACACATCCAGGTCACTGCAAATGCTGTTAATTTATTCCTTTTTATGGCTGCGTCGTATTTCATAGTATATATACCACAGTATGTTTATTCACTCATTGATTGATGGGCAGTTGATTCCATGATTTTGCAAGTGTGAATTGTGCTGCTATAATCATGCGTGTACAAGTATCTTTTTTGAATAATGACTTATTTTCCTCTGGAGAGATACCCAATAGTGGGATTGCTGGATTAAATGGTAGTTCTACTTTTAATTCTTCAAGGAATCTCTACACTGTTTTCCACAGTGGCTGTACTACTTTACATTCCCACTAGCAGTGTAGAAGTGTTCCCTGTTCACTGCATCCACGTCAACATCTACTGTTTTTTGATTTTTTGTTTATGGCCATTCTTGCAGGAGTAAGGTGATATCACATTGTGGTTTTGATTTGCATTTCTCTGATCATTAGTGATGTTGAGCATTTTTTCATATGTTTGTTGGCCATTTGTATACCTTCTTCTCAGAATTGTTTATTGATATCCTTAGTCCACTTTTTGATGGGATTGTTTTTTACTTACTGATTTGTTTGAGTTCATTGCAGATTCTGGATATTACTCCTTCATCAGATGTATACATCATGAAGATTTTCTCCCACTCTGCGGGTTGTCTGTTTACTCTGCTGACTGTTCCTTTTACCATGCAAAAGAGTTTTAGTTTAATTAGGCCCCAGCTATTTATCTTTATTTTTATTGCATTTGCTTTTGGGTTCTTTGTCATGAAATCTTTGCCTAACCCAATGTCTAGAAGGATTTTTCCAACATTATCTTCTAGAATTTTTATAGTTTAGTTCTTAGGTTTAAGTCCTTAATTCGTTTGGCGTTGATTTTTGTATAAGGTGAGAGATGAGGATCCAGTTTCATTCTCCCACATGTGGCTTGCCAATTATACCAGCAACATTTGCTGAAAGTGATGTCCTTTCCCCACTTTATGTTTTTGTTTGCTTTGTTGAAGATCAGTTGGCTGTAAGTTTTGGGGTTTATTTCTGGCTTCTCTGTTCTGTTCCATTGGTCTATATGCCTGTTTTTCAACCAGTACCATGTTGTTTTGGTGACTATGGCCTTATAGTATAGTTTGAAATCAGGTAGTGCATGCCTCCAGATTTGCTCTTTTTGCTTAGTCTTGCTTTGGCTATGTGGATCTTTTTTGGCTCCATATGATTGTAGAATCGTTTTTTCAAATTCTGTGAAGAACAATGGTGGTATTTTGATGGGGACTGCATTGAATTTGTAGATAGCTTTTGGCAGTAGGGTCATTTTCACAATATTGATTCTACCTATCCATGAGCATGAGATGTGTTTCCATTTGTTCGTGTCATCTATGACTTCTTTCAGCCGTGTTTTATAGTTTTCCTTGTAGAGGTCTTTTGGCACCTGGTTATGTATATTCCTAAGCTTTTTGTTTGTTTGTTTTTTGCAGCTATTGTGAAAGGGGTTGAGTTCTTGATTTCAACCTCCACTTGGTCACTGTTGGTATACAGAAGAGCTACTGATGTGTGTACATTAATCTTTTATCCAGAAACTTTGCTGAATTCTTTCATCAGTTCTAGGAGCTTTCTGGAGGAGTCCTTAGGGTTTTCAAGGTAAACAATCATATCATCAGCAAATCATATCATCAGTGACAGTTTGACTTCCTCTTTACTGATTTGGGTGAACTTTATTTCTTTCTCTTGCCTGACTGCTGTGGCTAGGACTTCCAGTACTTTGTTGAAGAGAGTGGTAACAGTGGTCATCCTTGTCTTGTTCCATTTCTCAGAGGGAATGCTTTCAACTTTTCCCCATTCAGTATTATACTGGCTGTGGGTTTGTCATAGATGGCTTTTATTACATTAAGGTATGTCCCTTGTATGCCGATTTTGCTGAGAGTTTTAATCATAAACTGATGCTGGATTTTGTCGAAGGCTTTTTCTGTGTCTATTGAGATGATCATAGTGATTTTTGTTTTAAATTCTGTTTATGTGGTGTATCATATGTTAAACCATCCCTGAATCCCTGGTATGAAACTCACTTGATCATGGATTACTTTTTTGATATGTTGTTGGATTCAGTTAGCTAGTATTTTGTTAAGGATTTTAGCATCTAGCATCTATGTTCATCAAGGATATTGGTCTGTAGTTTTCTTTTCTGGTTATGTCTTTTCCTGGTTTTGGTATCAGGGTGATGCTGGCTTCATAGAATGAATTAGGGAGGGTTCCTTCTTTCTCTATCTTGTGGAATAGTGTCAAAAGGATTGGTACCAATTCTTCTTTGAAGATCTGGTAGAATTCTGCTGTGAATCTGTCTGGTCCTGGACATTTTTTGTTAGCAATTTCTAGATTACCATTTCAATATTGCTGCTTGTTATTGGTCAGTTCAGGGTATCTAATTCTTCCTGATTTAAGCTAGGAGGCTTGTATTTTTCCAGGAATTTATCCATCTCTTCTAGGTTTTCTAGTTTACATGCATAAAGGTGTTAATAGTAGCCCTGACTTATCTTTTCTATTTCAGTGGTGTCAGTTCTGATATCTCCTGTTTCATTTCTTAGTGAGGTTTTTTGGATTTTCTCTCTTCTTTTCTTGGTTAATCTTGCTAACAGTCTGTCAATTTTATTTATCTTTTCAAAGAACCAGCTTTTTATTTTGTTTATCTTTTGTATATTTTTTGTTTCAGTTTCATTTAGTTGTGCTCTGATCTTGGTTATTTCCTTTCTTCTGCTTGGTTTGGGTTTGGTTTGTTCTTGTTTCTCTAGTTCTTTGAGATGTGACCTTAGATTGTCTGTTTGGGCTCTTTCAAATTTTTGATGTAGGTGTTTACGGCTATGAGCTTTCTTCTTAGCATTACCTTTGCTGTATCCCAGAGGTTTTGATAAGTTGTGTCATTCTTGTCATTCAGTTGGAAGAATTTTTTAATTTCCATCCTGATTTTGTTTTTGACCCGATGCTCATTCAGGAGCAGGTTATTTAATTTTCATTTATTTGCATGGTTTTGAAGGTTCCTTTTGGAGTTGATTTCCAGTTTTATTCCACTGTGGTCTGACAGAGTGCTTAATATAATATCACTTTTCTTAAATGTAATGAGGCTCGTTTTATGGCCTATAATATAGTCAATACAGGAGAAAGTTCCACACGCTGTTTAATAGAATGTGTATTCTGTGGTTGTTGGATGAAATGTTCGGTGTATATCTGTTAAGTCCATTTGTTCCAAGGTATAGTTTAAACCCATTGTTTCTTTGTTGACTTTCTGTCTTGATGACCTATCTAGTGCTGTCAGTGGAGTATTGACATCCCCTACTATTGTTGTGTTGCTGTCTATCTCATTCCATTTCTTAGGTCTATTAGTAATTGTTTTATTAATTTCAGAGCTCCAGTGTTAGGTGCATAGGTTTAGGATTGTGATATTTTCCTGTTGGACAAGGTCTTTTAGCATTCTTTTTTTTTTTTTTGAGATGGAGTCTCGCTCTGTCACCCAGGCTGGCGTGCAGTGGCATGATCTCGGCTCACTGCAAGCTCTGCGTCCCGGGTTCACGCCATTCTCCTGCCTCAGCCTCCCGAGTAGCTGGGACTACAGGTGCCCACCACCACGCCCGGCATGCTTCCCTTCCCTTAAGGGTTTGAGCATCTGTGGTGGCCAAACAGACAAGCCACACGCCTGTCACATGTCCTGCAAGGGAGGTGGGGGAACTCTCCCATTTCACTATCAAAAGAATTTACTGTTCGTTCCAGTCAATACCTAACTATAGGGCGCTGACCTCCTTTATTTATTTTTGACAGCTTACAATTGTCAATTATTTCTCTGATCCTTTAAAAGGTAGTCTTCCCTTAAGGGAAGGGGAGCATGCAGACGGACAGGTGCAGGAGACAGAATGAGTGCTCCTGGTCTCTAGCCCCACAGCAGCGTCCAGGAGTGGGTGCCTGCAGCTCCGAAATCACAATGGGGTGAGTGTTACAGTGCACTCTCTTAGATTTACCATCTATGGATGGCTTAAGTGTTAACCAGCTCAATGTCCTCTTGGTATCCAGGTCCTTGTCTGACATCCAGGAAGAATCAGGTCACACAAGGACTTGAAGGATGAATGCAGGAATGCAGGGGTTTTATTAAGTGGTGGAGGTGGCTCTCAGCAGGATGAATGGGGAACTGAAAAAGGGATGGAGTGGGAAGCTGATATTCCCCTGGAGTTGACAATCCAGCAGCTGATCACCTCTCTGACTGCCCCCAGCCGATTCCTATTGGCGTTCAGGTGCTCCTTTTCTTCTCTTTGCCCCATTTTCCTGCCATCCTTCTGCTCTTCTGTTAGTCCTCTCGTCTGCTTGTCTGCTTCTGGAGCCTTGGGTCTGGGACTTATATGGGTACAGAATAGGGGGTTGTGGCAGGCCAAAAGACAACTTTTGGGTGCCAAAACAGGAATGTCTGTTCCCATTTGGGGCCACAGGTTTCCAGGCTTGAGGGCAGGGTCTTTGCCAGGGAACCGCCCTCTTCTACCCAGTATTTCCCTGTCTCCTGTCCATATCAGTAGCTGAGATTTCTAAGGCTGGTATTTTAAAGGGGTTGAGGTAACCCTAGGGACATGGTCCAGGATCACCATGGCTAGAGTGTGATCAAGTTTTGGTGTGCTGGGTTGAACAGAGACTTTTGCAGTTCTCACCCAGTTCCCATTATACTAAAGTTTACTGTACTTATCTACCAACTTGTTGACTTTCTTGTCCAACTTAACACTTGGAGTGTTAAGATTGCAGAAGCATCTGGAACCCCAAATATTCTTTGAGGAATTTTCTTTGTACTGATACAGTCTGTAATATCTGGTGTACCCACCTACTATAGGTTGTGTTTCACAGAGATCACGTGGGTTTTTAGGGGCATATAGCTGAAAGTGGACTCAAGTACAGAGAGTCACTATTTGTAGCCTCAAACCATTGTTTCCTTCTTAGATGTAAGATTTTTCCTTATGTGTTTATTTACAGACTCCTTCCTCATTTTTTTTTCCTTAGGAAATTTCTAACTTTTTTTTACCTTCCATGCTTTCTGTTGAATGCATTCCTTTATTTATTTATTTTTTATTTTAGTTTAATTTTTTGAGACGGTGTCTCACTCTGTTGCCCAGGCTGGAGTGCAGTGGTGCAATTTTGGCTCACTGCAAGTTCTACCTCCCGGTTCACGCCATTCTCCTGTCTCAGCCTCCTGAGTAGCTGGGACTACAGGCACCCACCACTACGCTTAATTTTTTGTATTTTTAGTAGAGATGGGGTTTCACCATCTTGGCCAGGATGGTTTCAATCTCCTGACCTCGTGATCCACCCGCCTGGGCCTCCCAAAGTGCTGGGATTACAGGCGTGAGCCACCATGCCTAGCCACATTCCTTTATTTCTATCAAGCAGATCAGTGTATGTTAGAAAGAACCTTAATTTTGGATAAGATTTTTACCTTTCATGGGCTAAAAGTCTCCATTAAAGAAAATTAATAGATAAATATGTTAACATCTTGATATTAGTTTATTTGAACCTGAGCTCATACTCAATCAGTGTTTTCAGCAATATTTAATTCTGTTTTTGTAGGTTTCACATTCTACTTGCAAAATAATGGATGATTATTACCTTTTTATTATGATGATGTTTGTGAGTGAATTTTCAGGCATTTTTATTGGAATTTGTGATCACATTGAGAGCCATAAAATATTTTACATTTTTCAGATAGAAGTAATAGTACGGGGCTGGGTGCAGTGGCTCACGCTTGTAATCCCAGTTCTTTGGGAGGCCAAGATGGGCGGATCACCTGAGGTCAGGAGTTCAAGACCAGCCTCCCCAACATGGTGAAGCCCTATCTCTACTAAAAATAGAAAAATTAACCAGGCATGGTGGCGCATGCTTGTAGTCCCAGCTACTAGCAAGGCTGAAGCTGGATGATATCTTGAACCCGGGAGGCAGAGGATACAGTGAGTCGAGATTGTGCCACTGCACTCCAGCCTAGGAGACAGATGGAGACCCTGTCTCAAAAAAAAAAAAAAAAAAAAAGGAAAAAAAAAGTGAAGTGATAGTGGGACCCACTTCTGAAAGAGATCCTGTTGCATCCTTATCCCTCTGTTAGTTCTCTCATATATGCAATGGGGAGTTTCTGTTAAGTTTTTTGATTTATGAAATGATACTCAATGCCAGGAATGACACTAATTAAAATCCGTATATTTACTCATTTGAATCTTGACAATCATTCTTATTTAGATGAACCTCATTCAAATAGTTAATATTTAACATGTTTTCTTCAGGAATTTTTATTAGCAATGAGAATGTTAATTGAGGATGGCTGGGCTGGCTGGGCTTACATTCCATAAGAATTGTACCCTTTTATTGAATATTTAAACTAAGTTTAAGTATATATAAAAGAACAGATATTGCAACATGTTTCTGGTATTAATTTCCAAAAAACTTTTTTATACGTGAAATTATGAAATGGTACTTCCTATAGTCTAGTACTAAAGATAAAAAAAAGTCTTTTATCATTCTTACTGCATAAAAATGCTTTAGTGCGTATTGTTAAGAAGAATAAACCAATCCACTTTAGTTTCCTTATCCCTGTGACTCATTTATGCACTTGATATTTCTCAGTGTAGCCCTACAACAATGTCTTTAAATTATGTAATTTTCTATGAATTCAACAAAAGAAACCTAAAAGTTGACTCTGAGCATTTTCTTGGCCTTCCTCATTTTGTGGTTGATTGTGGCCTACATAATTTCCCTGAAATGAGTCAGCTTCCTTCCAAATAGTTTAGGATTCCAAGCCCTCTATATAGCCTGCTGCTCAACACTTGTTCTTTGCTCATTTCTACTGCCAATATATTTTGTTATAAAAATGAACCACATTTTTCGGCCAATAATAATATATTTGCTATAAAGGTTATATTGCCAATTTCACTAGGTTCCATAAAGAACCTTATCATCACCACTGCTATTTCTCTAAATAAATATATGCATGAAAATTGTGTAGAGGGAGAAAGTTTTAAAACATTAATTATGTATACAGAAAGTTCCAACTGATATCTAGCAAAAACATGAATAATTTTTCAGTTTCATTCACCTAGTGTGCAAACTAGGATCAATCATAATGAAAAAAAAACCCTCCCCCAAAACAGCTACAGCTTCATTTTTCTCGTCTTCTCTGTGATGAAGGCTCCAAGTTGACACAGATGGTAATAATAGAGAGGCCAGTTCTGAGAGCTGCCAACTGCGTCATCCTGACCCCTTTCAACACACCTCATCCGAAACGATAACTATAATTCCTGTCCTACATTACACTCTGCTGTAGTGCCACACATCTTTTAAAAGTATTAAGGAAACCATTCAGAGAGCATTATTGGAAAATAAGAGAGGGCAACTATTCTGGTCAATCAAGTAATGAGTTTTAATACTTCCCAGCAGTTACCTAAAATCCCAGCTGATTTCAAAGACTAAGAGGTAAAAGGGAAAAGGCTCAATGGCAGAGTGGGGATGGGCTGGGGAGAAATCCTTTAGAGCTAATATGTTATCTGACAGTGTTATCTTCCTCCACTTTTATCTGCAGTATTTCAACATACATAAATCTATTATAGTGTTGGAGAAAGGGCCCACTGTCTGAACCTTTATTCTTTTAGGAGAAACATCCATGTAAAGCTCTTTGTAGATTAAGCAATTCAATTTTATACATAGAGAATGCCTAATTGGCCAAAAAAATTCTATTCTACTTAAAGCTATACCATAATTAAAAAATAGTAAATAGCAAGAGCGCTTTAAAATAAATTTGATCAATGAATATTCCTTGTCCATTTGTATAAAATACTTAAATAAAAAGTTTTGTAAAATGTTATGATATTTATCTGCTCTAAAATATTTTACTATTAACTCAAACTTTTACCCTAGGACTGATTCATATTTACACAACTTCAATGTTGAAGTAAAATCCTACAGCCTATCATGTGAATTTATACAAATCATGTATGTAGTATGTAGGGTTTTTTCTTTTTCAAATTAAGAATATCAGAAAATACAAAACAAAATTTTATTTATTATTCATTATTTCAGATCTGCAGTAAACAGAATCCTGCTCAGATAATTTGAGAAATTTTCCAAATAAGAGTATGAATGAACAAATGTTGAGACATCTAGAGATTAGCAGCTGTGGGAAGTCATTGCCAGCTCTAAGCTGAAGAGCAAAGGAGGTAATAGCACTACAGGATCTGAAGAGTAATAGAGCCTTAAGGTAGTGGTCTTCCTCATTGGAACTGCAGTCATTGAAGGTATCGACCACTGACAGACAATGCTGCCAAATATGATAGGGAGTGGGGAACAAATACCCCAACCTTCCCTCTTGCCTTGTGATTGGCATGCCATTGCTCCCCATTTCCTGAACCCAGCAATCTGAAGCCAAATGGAAAGAAAGTCAGTAACACAATCCAAGGGAGTCAGCCTCTCAGAACAGAAAAAAGAACATGAAAAGACAAAGACTTGATTGAGGTCAGAAGGCAAAATAAGAAACCCAACACATCCATATTCCCAACACAAAGACTTGACCACAGAGAATTAATAGCTGGTAAATTTTGCCTACAGCTACTTAACAAAAAATAAATATCACTCTATTTGGATATGCATGGTAAATTTCTGCATATACCATGGCATATGGATTTTCAAAGATGTAAAAAAAATGCATAAAATCACAAATAGGAAGAAACAATCATTCCAAATATTTACACATGAAAGTAAGCATCACTGTGATGGTTAATATTGAGTGTCAACTTGATTGGATTAAAGGATACGAAGTATTATTCCTGGGTGTGTCTGTGAGGGGGTTACCAAAGGAGATTAACACTTGAGTCAATGGACTAGGAGAGACAGACCCACCCTTAATCTGGGTGGGCACCGTCTAACCAGCTGCCAGAACAGCTAGGATAAAAGCAGGCACAGAACGTGAAAGGACTGGTCTGGCTAAGTTATCTGGGCTCCATCTTTCTCCTGTGCTGGATGCTTCCTGGCCTTGAACATCAGACTCCAAGTTATTCAGCTTTTGGACTCGTGAACATACATCAGTGATTTGCCAGGGGTTCTCAGGCCTTCAGCCACAGACTGAAGGCTGCACTGTCGGCTTCTCTACTTTTGAGGTTTTGGGACTTTGACTTGCTTCCTGGCTCCTCAACTTGCAGATGGCCTATTAGGGGACCTCACCTTGTGATTGTGTGGGTCAATTTCCCTTAAAAACTCCCCTTCATATATTCATCTATCCTATTAGTTCCGTTTCTTTAGAGAACCCTGACTAATGTAATCATTAACTATGAGTGAACCTCATTTCAGATATTTTTCTATGGATATACACATATGGAAAAACAGAAAGACAAAGATAAACTTTTTGTTAATAAACATGAGACTATACTATATAAAGCAATTACAGTAAAATCAATGAATTTATTTTACTTTAATTTATAAGAATAAAATATCTGAAATAAAGGAGTTCAAATAAATGTTTCCTTACCACAGTGCTGTTTTATATTTTAACACAACCTAAAGTTTAGAAAATATTTTACTCAGATTAAAAGATACGCATCGGTAATGTAATCATAGTTTTCCATTTAAAAAATCTATTAACTTTCTGCTACAAACAAGGAAGATATTAGAATGTAGCATATTTCCATCCATCTTCTGCTTATATCCCAACGTTTGTAAAATATATTATTCTATTTACATTATTCGGGTTTACTTTTTATATTGTTACATTCTGCAAAAATGTTTAGTTCTATTTTCAAGGGGAATAGATTTTTATTTGTGTAGGTGTTATAAGACTGTCTTTACTTGAATTCTTTGAGTCTTACATTCCATAAATTATTAGGGTCTTTCATGTTTTCAAATGTCTCCATGCCTTGTTGATACTTGAACTCTAACTTAGCTGGCTATACAATGATTGGGTCACATTTCTTTACCTTTTGAACTTTTAGAAGTTGCTTCGTTGTCTCTAGCCACAACATACTGATGGCTGTGGAGAAAATATGGGACTCATCTGATTTGTCTTCTCTGTTTGTATTTTCTTTCTCTGCTCTAGATGCCTGATGAATGATACCTTTACCTTGAAATTTAATAGCCTGAAAAGGTTGTCTTGATGTTAGGTAACATGAATTAAAATTTTATGGTACACCATCTGCAGTTTAAGTTTTTTACATTCTTTCTTTTTACATCTCAATTTTAAGAGGTGTTGCAAAGAAATCACTGTAAATACAGAAGTAGCCCTCATGTTCCACCAAAGTCAATTAGAGTGTTTCATGGATGTGCATGAACCTGTAAATGTCAAGAAAGTTAAAAAACTGAACCCAGGCCGGGCACGGTGGCTCACGCCTGTAATCCCAGCACTTTGGGAGGCCGAGGCGGGCGGATCATGAGGTCAGGAGATCGAGACCATCCTGGCTAACACGGTGAAACCCCGTCTCTACTAAAAATACAAAAAATTACCCGGGAGTGGTGGTGGGCGCCTGTAGTCCCAGCTACTCAGGAGGCTGAGGCAGGAGAATGGCGTGAACACGGGAGGCGGAGCTTGCAGTGAGCTGAGATCACATCACTGCACTCCAGCCTGGGTGACTGAGTGAGAGTCTGTCACAAAAAAAAAAAAAAAAAAAAAAAACCTGACCCCAACAAAGGGGTCTTACAAAAAACAAGGAACAAACAAACAAAAATGTTACAACCGAACAACAGACTTTTGAGTCATGTTTCAGGCCAAGAGGTGATGAGTTACTGTAGTTGCTTGAGCTGGTTGGTGAAATATTACCTGGCAACAAAACTGAAATAGAAGGTGGCTTAGTAAAATGCAGATTCAGAATGAGTGCCTTAAGGTTAAGGCATATAAGACCAAACTGATTTTCTTTTTCACGAGGTCTTCAGGTAAGGCCATTGTAGAAGATACCTTGTTTGCGAACTTCAGTAAATTACTTCACTTGTCTCATATTTTCATTTTCAGGATGGAGGCTTGAGATTGAATTGTAGTGCAATTAGGTAAATTTTTACCCATTTTAAATATAATATTAAAATATTAATTATAAATTACCTTATTTGAATCTGGAATAATATTTATTGCAGGGCATATAATCTAAGCTGTAAACGTCCTGTCAGAAGACAACATATTCATCTTGCTAAGGTATAAGCTATATGACTGGCACTGTGCTCAACTCAGAGTCATTGAATGAACAGTATTTATTTAATCTATGAATGAGAGCACTTCAAGTATACAGAAAGATATCTCAAAAGATTCAGCCTTACATTGCTCATAACTTCAATGACTTAGATGAAAACCTCCTGAACATTTTTATCAGTTGTATAGGTACCCCAAATCATAAGGGAATGTTTATCAATTAGATGATGAAATGGGGATGCAACTACATCATGGCAGGCTAAAGCAATAGAATGACTTTGACAAGAGGAAATTACATAGAGGCACCTGAGTCTCCTAAACCAATTTCAAAGGTATGAGAGGGGGGTGATATAAATAAATAGTTGATAGATGAAAAAACTCAGAAGTTATAGTTGACAGCAATTTTAATATAATATGAAAAATGTGGTTGGACTTTTAGGGAAAAAAACCTAATAAAATCTAATGGAAATTAGTGGTCCACTCATTTCTCCACCTAGGATGTTAAAAATATTTCTTCTGGGTATGACATCCCAGAAGAGGTGTAGGCCTTCGAAGTCATGCTCAGAAGGAAGATATCAGAGGGGTTAAAGGAAATTTGATGCCAGGTGTAAAACGTATTTCAAAGAACTGAACATCTTACACTAAGTAAAATTCTATTGGGTGAAGGCCAAATATCTCCAAACATATGAAGAGGTGTCATGTAAAAAGATATTACATGTGATCTCTGTAGCCCCAGGGGTTCCTGCTGATCTAGGACATATGTACTGAAGTTATGAACAGAAATTTAAAAATCAGAGAAACCTAAACATGAGAAGCATCACGTGGACGGCTCTGATGTGTAAATCCTCATCACTGGAAGTGTTCGAAAGAGGCAGAATAACCCCTTTAAAAGGCTTTTAATAAAGTTATCAAAAATTGTAAAAATAATGAAATTATTTTGAAGTCCTTTCTAAACTAAAATTATATAACTATTAATACATCATTTCTTCCATTTTTTTAAGAATGTGAAAAATAATTTAACCTAGGCTACCTAGGTGTAAATCACGTTTCCACCAGTCCTTAGTTGTACAGTATTGAAAAAAGTATGTAAATTGTTACTGTTTATGTTTCTTCACCTGCAAAATGACAATAAATGGGTTATTGAGGCTATCACATGAATTAATATCTGGAAGATACAGTGAATGTCAGAGTAAAAATGCACATGCAACAAAACTAGTTTTTAATATTTTGTGGAAAACATTGAAAAATTTGACTCAGCACTACTGTTCAATCCCTGCAGAAAACTAGATTGCCAGTGGAAGAGTCTTGAGAGGGACAAAATGCCGAAGGACAAAGAAGAGCAAACTCAGTCACCTAACAATAACCACAGCACCTCCATTTGAGCTATGCCTGTTATAGAGTGTCTCATAGTCACTGGTCTATAGTAAGTATAAAAAAATTGTGATCAAGTGAATATATACATTAATCAATTAATATCAGGCTTCTCTATAAAATTTAATACTTATGAAATGTGTCTGGTGCTGAAATACATTGTAAAAATATCCCACTAATCTTAATTCAATAGTTTGTTCATCAGAAATATCATTAAGATATCCATTGGTAATAATTAATAATAAAACTTGACGCAGACTTAGTGCAGAACCAGGGCCATGAACCCTTATGATGAATGAAGAAAGGTATCACATCTTTCCACCCCTACATCCCATTGATGACAGTTGACAAAGTAAAGAGTAAAACTGAATATACGGTGGTCCTCCAGCTAGTGTCCCTGGGGTCAGGTCCCTGGAGTATCTGGATCCTTCTCGATTTCAACCCTGATTTTACACTTCTCACCATTTTGCATTCTTTGAAATTCTTGTCTTTTAGTGTTTATGTCAAAGATCTCTCTCTCTCTCTATGTCAAAGATCTTTCTCTCTCTCTCTCTCACACACACACACACACACACACCACTCTTTTCATTCTTACATTTAACTTTTATTTTCATCAAAATATGTACATAGTTTTGAGTTAAATAGATTTAGATTTTTTCCATAAAACAGGATTATACCAATTCAATCTCTTTTTTCCTCCACTTTCAACCATGTTAACTAATTATTTTGATATTTACCTTCAGAAGTCAAACAACATACACTTAGCATCGTATGTTTCCTCCCATTTTGGAAAGTGAAGATTTATCTCTCAACTCTCTATTCAGTTCTCATTTTGGGATTTTCTGTAAGCATGATTCTAGCATTATTTTAAGGTAAGTTTAAACAAGGTAGGATCTTTTTGTGTTTGTTCACTGATGTATCTCAAGCATTCCCAGCAGTAAAGATAGGTACAAGAAAGATATTTAATAAATAATTTTTGAACTGATGAATGAATCCTAACTTTTTTTGTCTTTTACTTCTCTCTTTTATTTGACTATCTTGTTCATTTAGCCTATGTCTTCCTCTTTCTTGTTTTATTCCCTTTGTGGGCCGAACACAACCCCCAAAAGCTTTAAAAGAAAGAGTGTATACATGGTTTTTAATTTTGTTTTTGTGTTTTAAAACATTAAATGTATCAAAATGCTTTTATTCTATATTTAAACTTGAATAATTCTTTATCTAGGTATAGGATTCTAGGTTGGAAATCATATTCCCTTAGAATTTTGAAGTTATTGATCTATTGTTTTTTAATATCTTCACTGTACTCTTACTTTTGGTGAGAGCTTGGCAGGGTTTGGAAATACAGATTGAAAGTAAATTTCCCTATGATAGAAGTACTTGCTTTATTGTATTCTAGTTTTAGCATTTAAGTAAAAATGCCCATGGCAGTCATCATTAACCTTGTATGTGTTTGTTCTTTTTCTCTGGAAGCTATGGGCTCTGCTATTTGCTCCAGTGTTCCAAGGCCTTAAAAACCTTTGTCTTAGTGTTCATTTATTTTTAACCATTGTACTGGTTAAAATGGACCCTTTTAATCTGAACAGTTTTATGTGCCCAATTCTCAGAAAGTTTCTTCAATTGACTGGATGATTTTCTCTCTTCATTTTTCTCTATCAAATTATTTGGATATTGAATCTACTACACTGATTCATTCCAACATTACAATTCTTTACCTTTGATTTTTAAATCCTTCCAGTTTGTACTGTATGTTGTATGAGGTTTTCTCAAGTTTACCTTCCAATCTTTGTATTAATTGTTTCATTTCTACCTGTCCAGTTCTCAGGAACTTTCATCAATTGACTGAATGATTTCCTCTCTTCATTTTTCTCTATCAAATTACTTGGATATTGAATCTACTGGTTTGATTGATTCTAACATTATAATTCTTTACCTTTGATTTTTAAATCCTTCCAGTTTATACTGTATGTTGTTTATCTTCTAATCTTTTTATTGACTGTTTCCTTTGTATTATAGATGCCATTTCTGAGACCTTTTCTATTCTCTGGTGTTTGTATCATCCTCTTCTTGTTTTATGGATGCATTATCTTCTCTTATCTCTCTGAGGTGATTAAATGGCTAAAATGCAAAACTTTGGGAAAGGCTTGCATGAGTCTTTCAGGTAGATTCATTGCTCTCTGATGGATATCCAAAGATATGTGATTATATCTATCTGTTTTATGTGTATTCTATTATAATTTTCCCATTATTTAATGTTATCTATAAATTCCCAAGCTGTAAATCTTAGTAGAACTCACATTATATTTATATGTGTTCCTCACCATACTCTAAAATGCTCAAGTCATAAGCTTTCTTAATCTTTTTTGAATAAGGAATGGAAAAATTCACACAAAATACATACTTGCTTTTACCTTGTTTATAATTCTATCTTTAGCAGTCAGCAAAGTGCATGTTATGCTTTATATTCTCAGGATACAACTTACCAACAAATTGATGGAATTTGAAAGAGATTTTTTTTTGCTTATAAAACATTTTGGTGGCCCTAAATTTTCAAGCATGTGCTTTGTACTTGGGAAGCAATTCACCCATTTATTTGGCAACAGTATTTCTTTCATATCTACTTGGTGCTATGGAGAAGTAAATTAAAACAAAGTTTAAAAAATCTTGTGAATTTAATTATCCAATTACTTAGTTCATTACGAATATGTGCAAATCCGAATCGAATAAATAAACAATTCCATGAGGACAGAGGCTCTGCTATTTTACTTGTAATTACACTTTTGGCTCTCATGGCATCTATTTATTGTCAGACATTGTTTTTCTACGTAGATACAGTCTAGAGTAGATAATTATTAGATGCAGCCAAAATTTAAAAAGAAATTCAATGAAAGAAACCTTGTTTTAAGCTGAAGATTGCACAAATTACTTCTTCTCTCAATACCGTCTGATACCCACCATTCTACATAAATAATTTGTACATAGTTGCTCATTGCCTAAAAAAAAAAATGTTTGCCCGTGTGAGACATCGATGCATCAATAGTGCTTAATTATAATGACAGCTTCAAGCCACAGTATTTTTCCACATTTTTTTAGTTCTATGTTCTCTTAAAACTAGTCTACCTAGGCTGGGCGTGGTGGCTCACGCCTGTAATCCCAGCACTTTGGGAAGCCAAGGGCAGGCGGATCACAATGTCAGGAGATCGAGACCATCCTGGCTAACACTATGAAACCCCGTTTCTACTAAAAATACAAAACATTAACTGGGCGTGGTGGGGGGCGCCTGTAGTCCCAGCTACTTGGGAGGCTGAGGCAGGAGAATGGCCTGAACCCGGGAGGCAGAGCTTGCAGTGAGCTGAGATCGCACCACTGCACTCCAGCCTGGGCGACAGAGCAAGACTCCGTCTCAAAACAAAACAAAACAAAACAAAAAAAACTAGTCTACCTCTTCCCTTAGAAACTTTGCATCATTTAACAACTTGTGTTAGAGAGAATAATAGCCTCCCAAAAATGCCTATGACTTAGTCACCAGAATCTATTCATCTGTTACCTTACATGGAAAGCAGGACTTTGTGGGTGCTATTAAATTCTTGAGATGGACAATTATTCTGGATTATCTAGATAGATAACAATCTAATGATATAATCTCTTTAGAGCAGGAAATCTTTCCTAGCTGGGCCAGAGAGCAAGATGAGACAGGAAAAAGGAAAGAGTTTCAAAGAGTGAGAGGGACAAGCTTTAATGTTGCTAGCTTTGCAGATGGAAGAATAGGGTGAAAGGTGAGGAATATAGGTGGTTCCAGGAGCTGGAAATGGCCCTCACTTGAGACAGCCAAAAGATGGGAGCCTCCACCCTACACCACTAAGGATATGTACTCACCCAACAGCCTAAATGAGGTAACAGGCTTTTTCTAGAGCCTCCTGAGAAGGATACAGCCTGCTTGAAACCTTTGCTGGATTTTGGATAATACATTTGTGTTGTTCAAGTCATTAAATTGACTGTAATTTGTTATTGCACAATAGAAACCTAATAAACAGGCCTGTCACGGTAGCTCACGCCTGTAATCCCAGCACTTTGGGAGGCCGAAATGGGCGGATCGCCTGAGGTCAGGAGTTTGAGACCAGCCTAGCCAACATGGTGAAACGCCATCTCTGCTAAAAATACAAAAATTAGCTGGGCATGGTGGTGGATGCCTGTAATCCCAGCTACTCAGGAGGCTGAGGCAGGAGATTGGCATGAACCTGGGAGGTGGAGGTTGCAGGGAGCCGAGGTCACGCCATTGTACTACAGCCTGAGTGACAAGAGCAAAACTCCATCTCAAAAAAAAGAAAGAGGAAGAAAGAAAAAAAGAAAGAGAGAGAGACAGAAAGAAAGCAAGCAAGCTAATAAACACCATAACAATGCTTCTTTCTCTGAATTCATTTAGAACTTGCTAAGCATCCTAATGTAGTTATCAATGAGGAATCCTATACTGCATTGTAAGAAGACGTATGAATGTTTTAAAAAATATGTTTTTACAAGTCTCTAGTGTTTGAGTTTATTCAGGTCTATTGGTTCAAGGGTTCTAGTATTAAAGTCACAAGTGATTAAGCGCCACACTACACAATTATCTATCCATTATTTAGCACAGAGATTTGGAACAGAGGAGGCAAGTCAGTAGAAAATTGTATAAATTTTAGTACTTTTTATGATTTCCTTAAAAAACAGAAAATAAATGAAAATAAAATATACATTAAGTAAAAAGAGGTATAAATGTAATGTTACTATATATTTCATTTCTTGAGTAACATATGAAAGATTTTTTTAAAGTCACATTTAGGCTAAGACAATTTTCTTTAAAATAGCTCTGTTAAATTTTGGACAAAGTGTCTTTGCCTTTCTCTCATTCTTCATTTTCTCTTTCATTTTCTTTTTTCATCTATCCTAAGTACAGAAGTCACAAAATAGATAGCATAAAATATTTATTGAGCTCTTCAAATATCCATTCAAAAATTCTCTGATAAAGACAATTTTCAAAGCACCACCAAAGAGAGATGACTCAAAGGACCAGCAAGCAATTTAAATATCTCATGTAATACTTAATTTTAAGTATCTCTTTGCATATCTATCGGTCTCATTATTTTCCAAAAGTCTGACCCTGGAGTTCTGATACCCAAACTCATTTGAATGTATGGATTTTTCCTTCCTCATTAGAGTAGAATGTAAAGATTTTTCTTTCCTTATTATGGTTCAGCTCACTTATACCTATTAAATAACTGGTGAGAATGTTTTGACTTCATCTTTACCCTTAAATTTAACATTTAAATATAAATATCAGTTGCACTTTAAAAATTCACATATCCACTAAGCATTCAGTTTAGAAAGTGTTGTGTACATCATGAGAAATAGAACTGTATGATGTAAGATTTGTGCTTTATTTAGCATGGGTGATAAATGTATTTATATTACAGCGTACATGTTTGCTTTTGACCATTTTTGTTTTGTCCAAATTTTCACAATAAGGCCCAAAATATTCACTTGTATGTTCTCTTCAATCCTCTATCTCAATTCTACTTTGCATCCAAGTATCTGGGATGAAAAGAAAATTAGTCGAAAGTTTTAGGACTTTAAGTGAGTAGATTTTTATTACTGCCCTGAAAAAAAAAATTAAAAAGGAAATGTCATGAAAACAATGGGTTCTAGAAAAAAAAAGCTGATATTTCTAATACAGTAAGAAAATAGATGTAATTGTCAACTCCGAAGGAGGTCATTTCACTAGCACATCCTATGGAGTGGCTGAGCTGTTAGCAGCAGAAGGCTATCCTAATGACAAACATACAACCAAAAGCCCCAGACAAGCAAACTGTTGCACACAGGGCTGTGTGTGTGTGTGTGTGTGTGTGTGTGTGTGTGTGTGTGTTTGTGTATGCTTGCATATATGTTTCAACTGAAATCCACTTGTGTTTGAGCCTTTGATAATATTCGGACTGGACTTCGTGTTACTAAAATCTAGATTTCAAAGTGTGCTTTCAGAAACAGGGAACCCTGAGATGTTCCCTGGCTAGACGCTCTTTTGATGGATTCATGATTGCTGAGCTAGCCTTTCAAAGGGCCACAATAACTTTAATTCCAGGAAATAGCATCAGGTCAACAAATTACTTGCTTGTGGTCTGTTTGTTTTCTCAGGTCTGGATTTTCTTTGATCTTGGGTAAGCTCAAACTAATTTGGAATAAAATGAAAACAGTTCTCTGCTTCCCCACCTTTAATCAGTAATACCCCTGACTGTTTTAATTAGAAGCAAAAGAACAGTTCTCTGTCAACTCAAGGCAAAGGACACACAGTCCTGCCGTGGCAGAGGGAGTTGGATCCCAGGGTGGAAAGCAAGGCAATATGAAATAACGTTTGGCCCTATTTTCTTAGGGAAAAAGAGTAAGGTTTTGCTTCACTCTAGTTTAAGTTACAGCACACCCTTTCCTCTTTATTTTTTGTTACTTCTCTTCTACCGTCCAATAATTCTTCCAACCCTGCCTCTGTTCCCAATTGGTACTGTAAGGTACTGGCATTTTCCACAGGAGATTCTTGACTATAATCCTTCAATCAACTTGCTGAGTTAAGCATACGCTTTCATCAAAAACTGTATAAAACCTGTGTGGCAAAGACTGATACCTTTTGTTCTTTGGTTGGAATCAAAGTGTATACTTTAAACCATCTTTTATGGAACCAGAACTTTTATTTCTCCTTATCATTCTCTTCAGTAGGACTGCTATAAATTAGACATAGCAGCTCTTGTTTTTATTAAACAGCACATTACTGAGACAATTTATTCAAAATGCAAGATTTCATAAGCTGTACCAGTAGCTTCAAAAGGGTGAATACAGGTTTTAGAATTTGGTACCCTTACACAACACAAATCTATAATGTTTTCATGTAACTATATAGAAGTGCATTTTTGTTAATATCATTTCCTCTTTTTGGTTAGTGTTTCTTCTTCACTTCCTTATGAATTATGCATAAGTGAGAAAACAAGACTTTTTTCATGTACAATGATCCTATTTTCCTGAACAGAACCCTGGCTGAACGGTATTAAAATTCAGGTTCCAAAATGAGCCAGTGGTAAAGAAGAAATAGAGTGGAAATTTAACACATCCATTTATTATACACTGCAAAATGCAACAGGGACAGATGCCCCATGATATTTCTCCTCAGCTGTGATCACTTTCTCTACAATGTTGAACTAGTGGCTCTTGCTCTAGGGACTATCTGGACAATTACCTGCAGCTTGGAGTCATTACGGAGATGATCGTCAAGGAACTGGCTCATTTGGGTTACACTCACTGCTCTGTTCCTAACTTCCTGTGTAAACAACTCTGGAGCTTAAACTTTTCTTATCTATATTATAAAAATATGCAAATAATTTCTAATATTTAGAAAAGTTATATAATTTTAATTCTAAATGTAACTGACAGATGGCGGAATTTCTCCCTTTTTTGGCAACACTGTTTTTAAAGTTTAGAATAGAGATTTTGGTCATCTCAATCACTGCCTCTCTCTAGCCCTGGTATCAGCATGTTTAAGTCATCCGAACACTGTACACACCATGAAATTCTACAAGAAGATATTATGTAAATGAGCCAAATTTACAACTTTGGATAGAGAAACTGATTTTAAAAATATAGTTAATAATCCATAAATGATGAAGAGGTATGTTTTCTGCTAGCTTATAGTTATGGTGGTGGAGTGAGGGGCAGTTGTGTTCTCCTCTTTGTATTTCCTCTGGACGGTAATGTACTTATTCTCTAATGCAGCACCTTTTAATAAACGTTTAGTTTCTAAGCTCTTGTGATTTTGTTAGTCTCAGCATTTTCTTATTTTTCAGCAGAACTGGCTGTGAATTAGAATCTTTTCTATAAAGTTGCTATAAAATTGCCACCAACAACCAAAACTCAGCCAGCTGACACACCACCAAAAGTGGTGTGATTATTACAAAGTGCCCCCACATATTTTTGTGTGACCCTACATGAACAACAACAAAATTTGGGATGCTCTCCTTTCAATTTTAAGCAGAGGAATTAGTTCAACTAAGCAAATGGTCAAGGATAATAAGATTCCTGAGAGAGTAGAGAAAAAACAGGGACAATTGTATTTATCTTTTGTAAAATCAAGTTTATAAGAATATGTCTCAGGGCCACAGTTAATAAAATATCTATTTTGTTTTCTTGAGAACCACAATGAAGGTATTAGTGTAAAAGGTCATCCATAGATGCCCTACGGAGTTAACAGCACAATTGAGCTCTTGCTGCTTCTGTTACAAGAGTGCTTCAAACACACCATTCAACTGATCACATCTATTAGACCTCACCCCATTCTTGCAACAGTTCTCAGAAAATAAGAGGAATGTGGTTTTCAGAGACTTATGTCTCTCCTGGAGCCCCCTTAATGGCAGGGTTAGGTGGGAGAGCATGGAGGAAGCCTCTCAAGAAGTGAGACACATGCACTTTCCAGATGATGATGATGATGATGATTATTATTATTATTATTTTTGACGGAGTCTCGCTCTGTTGCCCAGGCTGGAGTGCAGCTGGTTGATCTTTCAGCTCACTGCAACCTCCACCTCCTGGGTTCAAGTGATTCTCCCACCTCAGCCTCCTGAGTAGCTGGGACTACAGGCACCTACCATCATGCCCAGCTAATTTTTGTGTTTTTTTGGAGACAGGTTTTCACCATGTTGGCCAGACTGGTCTTGAACTTCTGACCTCAGGTTATCTGCCCATCTCAGCCTCCCAAAGTGCTGGGGTTATAGGTGTGAGCCGCCACACCCAGCTGACACATACACTTTCTAGATTGTTATTTATTTATTTGTTTGTTTGTTTTTGAGACAGAGTCTTGCTCTGTCAACCAGGCTGGAGTGCAGTGGCACAATCTTGGCTCACTGCAACCTCTGCCGCCCGGGTTCAAGTAATTCTCCCACCTCAGCTACTTTCTAGGTCTTGTAGGACAGGAAGTTGCCACATGGTGAGAAGGAAAAAGGTCAGATTATGAGCAGGAACTGAGTAATTTTTACCTATGACCCTGGGACTCATTTAAACTCTAATCAAACAGAGAAAAGTACAGTAACCAAAATTATTCTTAAGACAGATTATGCATGTATATATCATTGATTTTATTGCCTAATTCAGCAGAGGAATTACTAATGATATTTTGCTAATTCTACAGGAAGATAGTGTGGAAACATAAGCTAACCAATGCCTCATTTCTGATGTTTCTTACCTAGTATGGTGATTAGCGTCAGTGTTTTTAAATCATTCTCTAAAAAGCACATCCCTGCCTGATTTTCTTTCCATGTGTTCTGTTGATTACTGAGAAAGAAATGTCAAAGTCTTCAACTGTAATAGTGGATCTATGTGTTTGTTTTATTTATTTATTTTTAAATGTTTTATTTCCATAGGCTTTGGGGAACAGGTGGTATTTTGGTTACATGAGTAAGTTCTTTCGTGGTGATTTGTGAGATTTTGGTGCACCCAACATCCAAGCAGTATACACTGAATGCAATTTGTAGTCTTTTATCCCTCACTCCCCTCCCACCCTTTCCCCTAGTCCCCAAAGTCCCTCCTATCATTCTTATGCCTTTGCATCCTCATAGCTTAGCTCCCACTTATGAGTGAGAATGTACGATGTTTGGTTTTTCCATTCCTGAGTTACTTCTCTCAGAATAACAATCTCCAGTTCCATCCAACTTGCTGCAAATGCCATTCATTCATTCCTTTTTATGACTGAGTTTGTTTTAATTTTCCTTTCAGTTTATTCAGTTTTGGCTTTATGTATTTGGTTTGTTTGTGTTTGTTATTGTAGTAAAATACACATAATATAAAATTTATCATTCTAACTATTTTAAGTGTAACATTCAATAGTATTAAATACATCCAGAATGTCATGCACCCATCACCACCATAACACTTTTTTGTCTTGTAAAACTGAACTCCCCATTCCTCCCTCTCTCCAGCTCCTGGCACCAACCATTCTATTTCTTATCTCTATGATTTTTGACTATTCTAATTACCTCATGTAAGTAGACTCATACCATATTTGCCTTTTTACGACTGGCTTATTTCACTTAGCATAATGTCCTTAAGGTTCATCCATGTTGTAGCATTTATCATAATTTTCTTTCCTTTTAAGGCTAAATAATATTCTATTGTATGTATATACCACACTTTGCTTATCCATTTATCTGTTGATGGAAACGGGTTTCTTCCACATTTTGCTATCATGAGTAATGCTGAAATAAATTTGGTAAATATCTCTTCAAGACCCTGATTTTAGTTATTTTGGATATATACCCAGAAACGTAAATGCTGTATTATATGGTAACTGTATTTTTAATTTTTTGAGGCACCACCATACTTTCTTCCAGCTGTACAATCTTATACTCCTATCAATACTACACAAGGGTTCTAATTTCTCCACATGCTTGCTAACATTTGTTATTTTCTGTTTTTTGTTTTTTAATAGGAGTCATCCTAATGGGTATTGAGTGCTATTTTCTTGTTTTGATTTGAAGTTCTCTGATGATTAATGAACACAGAATAGAATAGAGAGCTCATAAGCAAATCCTCACATGTATGGTCAAATGTTTTTTGACAAGGGTGCTGTGATTATTAAATGAGAAAAGAACAATCTTTTCAATAAATGATACTGAAAACTATATCCACAAGCAAAATAAAGAAATTGGACCTTTACCTAACTCCATATACAAAAATTAACCCAAAATGGGTTAAAGACCTAAATATAAGACTTAAAATTATAAAACTCTTAGAAGGGAACACAGGGCAAAAGCTTCCCAACGTTAGATTTGGCAGTAACTTCTGGGATATAACCAAAGGCACAGGCAACACAACAAAAAATACAAAGAAAAATTGGGCATCATAATTTTTTTTTTTTTTTTTTGTGACAGAGTCTTGTCGTCCAGGCTGGAGTACAGTGGCATGATCTCGGCTCACTGCAACCTCCGCCTCCCAGGTTCAAGAGATTCTCCTGCCTCAGCCTCCTGACCTCCTGAGTAGCTGTGATTACAGGCATGCACCACCATGCGTGGCTAATTTTTGTATTTTTAGTAGAGATAGGGTTTCACCATGTTGACCAGGATAAGTCTCGATCTCTTGACATCATGATCCGCCTGCCTCAGCCTCCCAAAGTGCTGGGATTACAAGTGTGAGCCACTGCTCCTAGTCTTTTTTTTTTTTTTGAGACAGCGTCTTGCCCTGTCACCCAGGCTGGAGTGCAGTGGTACAACCTTGGCTCACTGCAACCTCCGCCGCCTGGATTCCAGTGATTCTCATCCCTCAGCCTCCCAAGTAGCTGGGATTACAGGCATGTGACACCATGCCCAGCTAATTTTCATATTTTTAGTAGAAACAGGGGGTCTCACTATGTTAGCCAGGCTGGTCTCAAACTCCTGATCTCAAGTAATCCACCCGCCTCAGCCTCTTGAAGTGTTGGGATTACAAGCATGAGCCACTGCACTCAGCCACCATAAAAATTTTTTTAAAATTATTTATCAAAATCACAGACAAAAGGCAATCCACAGAATAGGAGAAAATATTTGCGAATGAAATATCTGATAAGAGATTAATAACCAAAATACACACAGACCTCCTAAAACTCAACAACAACAAAAACAAACAAGTCTATTTAAAAATGGGCAAGAGAATAAATATACATTTCTCCAAAGAATATACAACTGGCTTTAGTATTGGCTTCAAAATAGTATTTTGAAGCTCTACTATTAGATACATATACAATTAGGGTTTTTATCTCTTCTTGGCAACTTGACCCTTTGATTTTTATGTAATATCTCTCATTGTTCCTTTTAAATTTCTCTGCTCTGAAATATGCTTTGATAATCATTTAGTCACTTCAGCTTTCTCTTCATTAGTGTTTCCATGGTATCCTTTTCCCTATCCTTTTATTTTTAACTTATTTATATCATTACATAAAGTAACATTTTATGGAAAGGATATATTTGATTTTTTTATTTGGTCCATTCTGATAATGTCTGCATTTTTTTTTTTTTTTTTTTGAGACGGAGTCTCGCTCTGTCACCCAGGCTGGAGTGCAGTGGCACAATCTCGGCTCACTGCAAGATACACCTCCCGGGTTCACGCCATTCTCCTGCCTCAGCCTCCCGAGTAGCTGGGACTACAGGTGCCCACCACCATGCCCGGGTAATTTTTTGTATTTTTAGCACAGAGAGTTTCACTGTGTTAGCCAGGATGGTCTCGATCTCCTGACCTCGTGATCCGCCTGCCTCTGCCTCCCAAAGTGCTGGGATTACAGGCGTGAGCCACCGCGCCCGGCCGACAATGTCTGTATTTTACTTGGTTTGTGTAGCCATTTACATTTAATGTAAATATTGGGATTTTGAATTATGCCTACCACTCTATCATGTATGTTTACTTTTTCTTCCCTTTGCTTTATTTTTCTGTTTCCCCTTCCCTGCCTTCTTTTGTTATTTGAACATTTTCAGTTTAACCAAGTTTGAGTTTTGCTGCTGCTACTTCTTTTATTTACTGCAGGCTTCGTATTGTTTTACAGGACCGTTGCCTTGTGCTCAAAGGGGTGGCTGAAGTGCCAGAGATTTTTGGTTTTCTGCTCTTTGTTTTTTTGTTTTTTTTCTTAGTGTTTGTGATATACCTTCAACTTTCATAATCTCTGCAAACTGCACTGCAGCAGGGGTCTCACTCCATAGTACTGTCCTCCTCCCATACTGGTAGCCTGCTCTTACCTTTTGGATTCTGGGCTAGTGGTGGTGTCTGGCAAGGATTCACTCTTGTCCACGTTCAGCCTCAGCTTAGACAGACCTTGTGTGCCAGGCCTCCTGGGGAGGAGGGAACTATCTCAGCATTCTTACTCCTTCACCTCATGTCAGCCAGCTATGTCCTTGTTCTGTGGTTGGTTCTTACAAGGTATTCTCTGATCCTACCCCATGATAGCAGACCTCGAATTGGTGATAGATAATAGATTCTGGGCCCAGGATAGTTTTTACAGGAATTTTTCTTCTGCTTTTTCCACAGTGAAAATGGGTCTTTGTCAGTGTCCTTAAAGTGTGGGTTGTTGTCCCTCCTCCAAGTGCTGTAGGTCTTTGATTCATAGGAGAAAAGACTAAATATAATTGTAGGAATTTGTATCTCCCAGGCCCCAGTAGCTACAGATCATTTTCTACAGTCTTGCGTCAGCAAGAACAGCTCTTTTTGGTCTGTTCTGTTCCAGACTATCTCATAAATTACTGCAGGAGGTACTTTTAAAAGAGCTTGCAAGAGAGTATCTGGGCCCTCAATTATTTCAGCCGTACCTGAAAGCTAGCTCACCCTTGGCATTTAATAATTTTATAAAATTTCAGCTGATTTTTAAATTTTCTTTCATGGAAGCTGTTGAGTAGCCCCTTATTTCCCTAATTCTTTGACTCAGATAAGACTATTCTTCTGTTTTATCTCTTATTATAGAGGTATGTTCCTCTTTGGAATTTAAGTAATTTGGTTGGACTGCAACCTCAGGTATCTAATGTGCTCAAAAAAGTTATAATTTTATGGGTTTTTTTTTTTTTGTCTTTATCTCATTGTTAGAATGGGAACAATGTTCTTTTCAGCTTTCTACATCTTAGCCAGAAACAGAAATCTCTTTCCTTTGGTATGGCTCCACCTATATGATATCAAGATAATTTAATAGTATGTAGCCACAGTGCACTAGGAAAATTAATTGGCTTTTACCAGCTTTCTGCTGATAATGCCTTAACTTGAAGAAGTTAAATAATTTTGGAAAAGTCAGATATTGGGAACAATCAAATTTCGAATATACACATCCAATATAATCAGATAAGTAGTAAATAGTTAACAACAACAATTAACGTCAGAAAATAGATCCAAGCTCTCATACATTTGTCTATCAAGATAAAAGCTTCAGGGGAATAGACAGCTTTTATCATAATAAACCATAAAGGTAAATCCCTCCTCCCTCACACAACACACATTCTTTTTTTTTTTTTTTTTTTTGTATTGTGAGATTTTTATTAGAAACGTTTTTCTGCCTGGCGCTGTGGCTCACGCCTGTAATCCCAGCACTTTGGGAGGCTGAGGCAGGCAGATCATGACGTCAGGAGATCGAGACCATCCTGGCTAACACGGTGAAATCCCGTCTCTACTAAAAATACAAAAAATTAGCCGGCTGTGGTGGCGGACGCCCGTAGCCCCAGCTACTCTGGAGGCTGAGGGAGGAGAATGGCGTGAACCCGGGAGGTGGAGTTTGCAGTGAGCCGAGATCACGCCAGTGCACTCCAGCCTGCGCGACAGAGCGAGACTCCGTCTCAAAAAAAAAAAAAAAGAAACGTTTTTCTTCATGTACCATTGAATTTCTTCAAGTTTTACAGTACTCTCTGAAACTTTACCATGAGCTTCTGTGCGGGGGTCTTTCCCGCAGACCCTGACCCAATGATAGATGAATAACGTACACTGAAACAGATATTCTGCTTGTCAGTCTAGCTAAGGATCTGCGCCCCTCACAGACACCAAGGAAGGTGCTGTAAAGAGTTGGCAGCCACAGCCTTGACTAGCTGGCCTGGCTGGCATTTATTCAGCACACATTAAATGACAAAGGCTTTGAGTCAACACACCTGTGGGTAATTAACCTGGTCACACCCACTCTGGAGAGGGCCATCTTGCCTGCCAATGATTAAAGGTTAGTCTTAGGACCACATGAGTAAACAAGCTATTTAGATAAACTATTCTACATTCTTTTGTATCCGCACCCTAAGCTCTCTGGCTCCTGAAAACAGACTCTGGCTGCCTTCAGCCAAACTACCTGACGCTATGCAAAACTTCCTGGCTTTCCAAGAAGGTTTGCTTTTTTCTATTCCTATCATTTCTTCTGCCATCCTGACTGAACCCCTAACACTTCTATTACAACTACTTTTAAGGTAATATATAACAATCAAACTAGAATCCAAACAACTATAATCTTAAACTAATGTACAAAGAGAGGGGACATTTACAATCTTTTTCATGGATAGCCAATCAATAAATCATCTCAACTCGTGTCAATAGAGGCTTAGTTCAACTTTCCACACCTCATAGATACTCGAAACATAATATCATCAAGTTGCAAATGTTCATATAGAGGGTTGTTTATGCTCACTGGACTATGTTTAGGCAAGAAAAAATGTCTTGAGAAATTTTATAAACCATTTAAGCAATGTGTACAGGAATAAAATGACATTATCCACTAATGTTTAGTTTAACATAAAATTAGATTAACTAGAACATCCTATTCCCAAAGAAATGCAGTCAGTAATGGATTTATAATAACAAGAATTAGAAATATTTATGAAAATTTCTTCTGAGAACGTCACTGAATTTTCATCTGTGTAACTTAAGTTATTCCTCCAAGATCCCTATGAAGTAGGAAAATGTTTTATCTTCACCACATGACAAAGTACACGAGTAGTTAAGTATCTTACCACAGGATATTTTGGTAGAAAACAACATAATTCTATTTGTTCAGACATTTACATTTGAATTAATTTACAAATGCATGTAATAAACCATCTAAGTCATTTTTATAACTCTTTAAAAATCCCAAGAGCATACAGTGCATTTATACTGCTGGAGATTAGCTAACAGTTAAAGATAAGAAACAATCAATAAAATAATCATTGTACAGGAAATACTATCGTGTAATTGTGCACACTTATCAGGGATTAACTCTCTCCTTAATCTTTAATAAACTTCATCTTAGAAAATACCTAGCCCGCATCTTTCTTCTTTCAACTGTATCCTTAACTTTATTTTCAGATAAAGTGCCTTATGAACAAACATTTGATTGTCCATTAAAACTGTCCTGCTCTTTTAAAATCCAGTTGAAATTCTTTTCTGAGTACCAAACTGATATCTTTGCCGGTTTTTATTTTGTTTTGTTTTTAAATGGAACAGAACACAATATCTTTTGGACAGCTACAATGCTTATTCAAAAGTAGTGTTGAGATGAGAAGTAATCCTTTTTAATGTTTTACCAAAGAACTGCTTTAATGTTATGCGGTGCTAATAACTGCTTTAATCCTTTAGATTTCTTTTAGCCAAAAACAGAGTGATGAGTTCCTCTATACTTAGTCTGTAACTTTGTTTAATATTCTTTCAATAAACTTTTAAGAAATAATCTTAATTTTGAATGTGTTGGTTGTTTTCTAACTCAAGTACATTGAATAAGTTACGAACAAATACCAGCCCTTCAGCTAAATAATAGACATCTTTCTGGAAAGTGACACTGTTCCCTTCCTCTAAAGATAAAGCAAAATAATGCATTGAATGTTACACCAAATACCTTACTAGAGAGTTTTACAGAGATATTTCCTGATGTCATAGGGAGGGCTTCAGCTTCTATAATAAAGAAGAATTTGGTTAAAATTCTAAGTTTACTTAGTCAAATGTGTGACCTGGATCCGTGAGTCTCTTTCCTCATCTATAGGATAGGGATTATAATGTATCATTTTAAAGGTAGTTGTCAAGAGCCAATGTTTTAAATATTTAAATAGCCCTATAGAGAACGTGGAGCTTCATGAAAGAGAAAATATTTCTTTCTTTGTTTTCTATGCCTATAGCCTACTCAGACATTGAGTTTATGTATATTTTGTACTTACTATTGAATCACACACTGGCTCATTGCAATATCATTATATCTGAAAGAAGAGACACTAGGGGATAGTGGTAGAGAGAAAAAAAGGAATTTTTTTTTTTTTTTTTTGAGACGGAGTGTTACTCTGTCCCCCAGGCTGGAGTGCACTGGCAAGATCTCAGCTCACTGCAAGCTCTGCCTCCCAGGTTCACACCATTCTCCTGCCTCAGCCTCCCGAGTAGCTGGGACTACAGGCGTCCGCCACCACGCCTGGCTAATTTTTTGTATTTTTAGTAGATACAGGATTTCACCATGTTAGCCAGGATGGTCTCCATGTCCTGACCTCGTGATCCGCCCACCTTGGCCTCCCAAAGTGCTGGGATTACAGGCATGAGCCACCATGCCCAGCCAAAAGGAATTTTTAATGTTCAATAAAATAAAATAAAAAATACTCTGTTTCCAAGCCCTGTTTTCTAATAGATCACACCTACACTTTTAGAAATAGATTTCTAGCCTCCCAACCATTGCAATAGATGCAGAAGTTTCTACAAAATATTTAGACAATTATTTTAATCTTTGCTGAAACATTTCTAGTGATAGGCGTAGAACCTCCAATTTTATTTATATATTTAAATAATTTAGTCAATGTCTAAATCTCTATAATTGCCCAGTTTAAGTCTTATGGACCTTCATAAACAAATTCTAACTCTCCTTTGTTGTGAGAATCTTTTAAGGACCGTGTTCATGATCTATAGTGAATATGTTGTTCTTCTCTGTCCACATTCCCTTCTTGAGCTGTTTTTCCTTCCTTCACTCCTTGCAGCCTTGGTGAGACTCTCTTGGTGGCCTGTGATTGGAGTGACCAGAAGTTAACACTCTGTCCCTTGTATAGTCATGATTCCAGGGGCTGGCACAAGAACAAAGCAAAACCATTCTCGGCCTTCATGGCTAAATAAGCAATGATCTCCCCTTTTTGCTTAAGATAATCTGAGTGGTATTCAGTTGCTTCATTAGCAATTAATGACTTGTGAATATACTTTGTCTATATCATAGTTTTTCTTTTATTTTCCCTCTGTAACAACGCTTTGTCCATCTTCAGTGTTAAGCCTATTTCAGACTCTTTACCATACATTGTTCTTTTTTTCCAAATGATGCATTTTTTTCTGCTTTTCTTAAAATGAATTTCCAAGAAATTAGCAAAAATATGCTAATGACCAATGCAGAGACTATGCACCAGCACCCTCCTTGTTCTGATTGCTGTTTTTCTAATAATGAAGCCTAAGTTGGCATAGCTTTGCTGGCACCCCATCACCTAATTTCCTGGCATTGAGTTTGTGAACAAGTAAACTCCTGGGGCATCCTAGTTGACCACCAGACAAAAGAATGAGGGTGAAGGTAGGGTGTTAAAGCCCTAGGGTGCCTTCCTATGAGGTTTCCTGCAGGCATTGGCCACTGCTCTTCGCAAAGCAGCTAATTCTCTGCATCCCCTTCTCCCTCCTGGTTCTGGCAACTTCTCTCTCTACTCCTGACTTTGAATTTAGGTTTGGTAACAGTTTCACTGATGCTAGCCCATATTCTTTCAAGGTTCCTCTATACTTAGTCTATATTTTTGTTTAATATATTTTTTCCACAAACTTTAAAAAAAAATCTTATTTTGAGTGTGTTGTTTTCTAACTCAAGCACATTGAATAAGTTAAGAACAAACACCAGAACCTTAGCTGAATAATATTGTAGACACCTCTATGCAGAGTGACACTGATCCCCTCCTCTAAAGATAAAGCAAAATATCATTTTATTAAAATTAATAGAAATAAAATGGTACTTGTTATATAATAAAATAGTATTAAAATATTAAAATGTTTTGCTAATATAACAAAATAGTATTTAATAAATATTATTGAATATAATATTTTCTATAATATAAAGCTAGATTATAATATAAATACAATGTAACATTTGCTATGAATAAATATTCCCATGGTTGGCATTTCAGCAGTGAGGTACAGTTGCATTAATAGGTACATGTCCTTTCCCTAATATCTAACAATATAAAATTAAGAGTAGTTGGAGATGAAAAAATAGGACATAATTTTATGAGCATGGAAATAATAAAGACTGTGTTTGCTCACAATAAATGCAATACCGCTACCCCATCCTCTCAGTGATTCACATTAAACACTGAATATTTGCCTTATAACAGGAGGGAAGAAAAGATCAAAGACTATTAAACAAGGCTGAGAGTTACGGCCCAAGGATTTAGTTGCGGCATAACTTCTTGAAAACCACTTCTCTATTCAAAGGGGAAGTGCTTGAGATAGTTTTGTTAGAAGGTCATTGTCTTCTTTTAGAAGGCGTATGATTTTGTATGTGTATTCATGTGTATGCCCACATGACACAAAAACTTTTTAGATATGCCACAGAATAGTGAGAATAAAAGTGGGGAGGAAGAGCTCTATTTGTAGACCCCTTAAATACAAGCTATAAACAATGCATTTGACATTTTGTGCAATCACTCTGAATTCTAATTTTAAAATTAAAATTAAATTTAAAATTAAATCTAAAATGAAAATAAAATTAAAATTAAAATAACTATTTTAATTTTAAAAATATTTTTTGAAGATATTTTTATTTATGTGAATAAGCATTTTTTACAGAGTTAAGAGTTACAGTCAATGGTGTACATGTTTTTAAATCTCTGAACATATATTGTCAAATTGCTCTAATAAAATTATATAAATTTATATTTCAAACAATCATATAAAAAGTGCTGGTCTCACACTGTGATGAGTCGCATTGCGGAATCAATCTTTAATTGCAAACTTTTTTCCTGCAACAGTCAAAATTCTTGGGTGATGGGCAGACAACTGGAAGGCGGGTACCCTGTTTTGTATAGGAACATCCTTTGTTTATAATGTCTGCTCTGTTTACTTAATCCAGACCTCACCATTTTACTTTGATCCCACATAAAACTCAAGAAGCAATATTAAGAACTAACACTGGGCTAGGTGCAGCGCTTTGGGAGGCTAACGTGGGAGGATTGCTTGCGCCCAAGAGTTCAAGACCAGCCTGGGCAACATAGCAAGACTCTATCCCTACAAAAAATAAAAAAACTAGCCAGGCCTGTAATCTCAGCTACTAGGGATGCTGAGGCAGGAGGATGGGTTCAGCCCAGGCGTTCAAGGTTACGGTGAGGTATAATCACACGAATAAACTCTAGCCCAGGCACCAGAGTGAGACTATCTCTTAAAGAAAAAAAAAAATGATTAGCCTCAAAGGAACCCCTAGTATGTCAGGAAGATGAGACAGTATCTAATATAAATTATTTTTTACAAGGTAGAGGAAAGTAATTCATATTCAGAAAGAGGTTGTTGAGGTGACATTGGAGATGTTTGTACATTTTGAGTGAGTCAGTTCTAGCTGGGGGCCCATTTGTCTCAGGATCACTTGTGACTGAGAAAGAAGAGAATTTTGCCTCTAGGACATTATTTTAAATTTATTCAAAATTACATGCAAAAATAGTCACCCACAGATGGTTACTCCGTAGCTTGCCCAAATTGAACAGATCGTTCCAGAACTGTTCTCAGAGGTGGATAAATGCCCACTTTACAAATCCCCAGTTGTCAGTCTTCAGAGACTAGAGAGAAATGGAATGCAGCTGAGAGAATCTAAACTCTTCCTCAACCCTTGGAGGAGGTCTCTTCCCAGGGCAGGATTCAAGTGCATCTGCTTTGCTGCAAGGCAAGTTCCCTATTGAACGAGAGCTCAACCCAGAAGATTTCAAAAACCATGCCTGGGGACTTTTAAGACCACATTTTACAAACACTTTAAAATGTGGTTTTGATGCTGTTAACCTTTAACCATGCTTTTTTTTTTTTTTTTTTGAAAAAGCTCTCTGTTTAGAATCTTGCAACTCTCTCAGACGAACTACAGATCATCATTTCCATAACTACACCAACTTACAGCGAACTTCTTTCTGGTGTTTATTATCTGTATTGCCATTCATTGCCTCTTATTGCTTTGTTGTTGATGTTGTTGTTGTTTTTATAAGCAAGCCTTGAACTCTAGGAAGATTGTAAGCATCTTGGGGTTAGGGGATAGATATTTTATCTCAGTCTATTTGCTTTAAACAAAGTAAGTTCTAACATTGCGTATTGAGTACTGTACTTGTTAACAATTCTCAGCATGTGAAACATATCATTTGTGCAGCTTGGAAAAGTAACTTATATGATTATACAGAATGTTTGTGATTTGGTCAGGGAGTATTATTTCCTCTCATTAATTGCCGTGTGCAGAAGACTTAAAGTGGAAATAGTTTTCACTGGAGAAAAAGAAAAAGGAAAACCATGTTGATTCTTACTGCCAGTCACCACAGACTGTAAGCCTTAGTGCTTCCAGGCAAAACGAATAAGTCAAAAGTAAAAGTTAGACCTTTAAAACTTTGTTGAAACTTTTAAAGAAAGAATATTTATTGGAGAGAACCAATTAAGTGAGTGTTGGGGGGGAAATTGCTCAAGTTTATGACAATAGAACCATCTTTGGATTATTTATCATCACTTCTATAAACTGTCTTTAAGTATATACTGACCATATACTTTGCTCAGGATGGTCCTGGTTTGTGCTCGATGTCCTAAGAAATTATCAATAGCTCCTCCCCAACCCTTCCACACACAGCATGTCACAAAGGGGATACTAAATTTTATGACTGCTACGCAGATTGAATGTCTTAGTCAAGATCTCTACTTTCAAAGAATGAAAAACCACGCAAATCAATCAATAAAAAGTGGTTTTTCAGATTAGATAATTGTATACTTTGCTAGTTTTGAACCACTCATCAGATATTGGACTGTTTTAATATGCTGCCAGCATTATCAAATAATAAAGGTAAAAAATAGGTATTTCTGGTCAGATTCTGGACTAGCTTACTATGTGCAAACTTTCAAAATAGATTTTAGTATTTCTGATATTTGCGCTTTGTTCATGCAAAGTAAATTAGAATCTGGTGTATTTAAAAGAATGCACCAGAACATTTTAAAAGAATGTTTATTTTCTTCAATTAAAAACAATTCTTTAGAGAGAACATTTAGATCTGATTCTAGCTATTCAAACTAAGGAGAAATAAATGACTTCAACACAGAATGACTGACTAGGTATTTGCAGGGTGATTTGAAGTCCCAAGGGATAATGAACTTCTGTGTATTTCATAAGAGTGTTATTAACAAGCAAGTGGCTTTTTGGGTCAAGAGCTTGGTTCCTAAAAGTAATGTCAAACCCATCACATATTCTCAGAAGCATGTGCATTTAGGTTCAATCTCATTATGCAAGCTTATGTCAATCAATTTCCAGTTCCCAGTTTCCAAGGATGTTAGAAGAGAAATTAGTTCTTTACCTGAAAATTCTATTTGAAGTGGGAATTAGTCTTTGAAATAAACAAAACCATCACAAATACCAGCATGCTCCGGAAGAATTCATTCCTTTAAAGAGCAATATGTTCCCTCTGCTTCACTGAAGAAAAGGAGTTTGATGGGTAATTCCTAAATTATGTTTTAAAATGTTTATCATAAAGTCTTAGAATAATAGAAGTGCACCTGCAAAAATAAGCATATATTTTGGGTCTTGGTTGTGGTTGTGGCATATGCCTGTAAATGAGCAGAAGTAATTCCAACTGCTTTTGCTGTTATTGCCATTATTGTTTGTTGGTGATACTTTTATGGCTCTGGCAGCCTGGAGACAGAATTTCTTAGATAGATAAAAGATGAAGGGGAAGAATGGGAAGTGAGGAAATGAAAAGGGGAAGAATAGTGCGTGGTATGAATTATGAGAAATCAAAATATAATGCCATGTGACAAAATGTCAATCATTTCTATTTACCTCCACTATTAAAGTTATTAAATTAATCTTTAGAACTATAGACCTGGAAGTTTATTTGAGATGATCCCTGGAATTTATCACTACTATTAGTAATACCCAATTCAGTTCTTAGGTTCCCTTCATTGATATTAACTTACTTATTGGATGAAACTTCATTATCGTTCTTTCTTATGCATTCTAGGTACCCAATACTTTAACTGAAAAGCAAAATTTTAAAAATAGTCTTGAAAATTATTTTTAAGTTTAGAAAGAACCTGCTATAAACAGAAAAGGTGAGGTTGGAGGAGAGAAACTCATGAGAAACCAAATAGCCAAAGTAATGAGTAGCCCTTTTTTGAGAACTTATTAAACTAATCAATGGTAAGAAAATATCTCTAAAATAATTGGGAAAACTAGACTAGTCACTATTTTTTTTTAAATTTTTATTTTGATCTTAGGAACAGCATGAAAATTATGTAAATTCCTGTTTTCTTCGTGATGATACCAAATTATGTATTAACAAAATTGAATGATGTCTGGAATGTGTTTTAAAGCATTCTAAAAAAAAGTAGTATTACGAAACAAGATTTCAAAATATTGATTATTGTTGAAGATGAATTATGGGATTTCCATAAACTAAAAAAACCAACATTGTATTTCATGTAAGTTAATAAGCTGAACCTAAAATGTGCATGATTGATCAAAACCCTGGAATTAGACAAGGCACTCCTGAAGAAGAAAGACATGAGAGGACCTATCTTATCATATTTCAGGACTTATTACAAAACAGTATTAATTCATGCATATAACAATTAATTATTGAATATCTGTTATTTGCTAGGCATACTTATTGATGTTTAAAATACAGCAGTGACAGTATAGTATTGGTGCCGAGATAGACAAGTAGATAAGGTGAATAGAATATAGAAGCCAATGATGGATCCCTGCATATATTTATACTTAATATATGACTTGCCTGGGAAGAAAGACTCAACAAATGCTGCAGGAACGATTAATCATTCACAATAAAATAAATAAAATTTGATCTCTGCATAACTTGCCTACACACACACACACACACACACACACACACACACACGCAAAATCCTCAGAACACACAGATTAGATTCCCGGCAGATTATAGACATAAAAGATAAAAACTAACGTCTTACAAGAAAACATAAGCAATGTATTTGATCTGAATGTAAAGAAAAATGTCTTAAACAAGGTGCAGTAAGTGCAAAGCATAAAAAAGTTTATAAATTTGACATTAAAATTAAAAACTTCTGTGTATCAAAGCATCCTGAAGAAAAAGTAAACACACACACAGAATCAAGAAAGAATATGTTTTCAAAATCTGTAACTAACTCCTACAAATCAATAACAAATAAGCTATGCAACCCCCAAAATGAGCAAAAATAAGGAGAAATCAGCAGCGTGCTGAAGAGGAAGCATAAAATGTGAAAAATTGTAGGATAAGTTGATCAACGTCTTATGCTGCTGGTGAGGATATAATATGGCATAACCATTTTGAAGACGCACTTTTGCATTATCTTGTAAATTTGAAAATATACATCATCTATGACCTAGCAAGTACACTATTAAATAAATGTCCTGGCAAAACTTCTGCTCACAGCGTAACATGAGTATTGATTCTTCTATTCTTCTAACAGCATCATTGGGTCACTCAGTAGTGTTTCACTGGTGACTGGTTTCATCTGAAATTTTTTATAAAGTTTATTTTAGGTTCAGGGGTACATGTGCAGGGTTGTTATATAGAAAAAACTCGTGTCACTGGGTTTTTTGTACAGATTATTTCATCATGTAAACTTAGTACTCAATTGTTACTTTTTCTGATCCTCTCCCTCTTTCCACCCTCCACCCCCAAGTAGGCTCTAGTGTCTGTTGTTCCCTTCTTGTGTTTTCATCATTTAGCTCCCATTTATAAGTGAGGATATGCTATATTTGGTTTTCTGTTCCTATGTTAGTTTTCTAAGGATAATGGCCTCCAGCTCCATCCATGTTCATACAAAGGACATGACCTCATTCTTTTTTTATGGATGCATAGTATTCTATGGTGCATATGTGCTTATGTGTACCACATTTTCTTTATTCAGTCTACCATTGATGGGCACTTATATTGATTCCATGTCTTTGCTGTAGTGAATAGTGCTGCAATGAACATACATGCCCATGTGTCTTAATGGTAGAATTATTTACATTTCTTGGTATATACCCAGTAATGGGATTCCTGAGTCTAATGGTAGTTCTGGTTTTAGCTCTTTGAAGAATCATCATACTGCTTTCTGCAATGATTGAACTAATTTACACTCCCACCAACAGTATATAAGTGTTCCCTTTTCTCTGCAACCTCTCCAGCCCCTACTATTTTTTTACTTTTTGATAATAGCCATTCTGACTGGTATGAGATAACATCTCATTGTGGTTTTTATTTGCATTTTTCTGATGACAAATGATTTCAGCTTTTTTTTTCATATGCTTGTTGGCTTCATGTATATCTTCTTTTGAAAAGTGTCTGTTCACATCATTTGCCCACTTTTAAATGGGGCTGTTTGTTTCTTCCTTATAAATTTATTTACTTTCCTTAAACAAATTAAAAAAATTAAAAAGCTGGATATTAGACCATTGTCAGATGCATAGTTTGCAAATATTTTATCCCATTCTGTAAGTTGTCTGTTTACTCATTGATAACTTCTTTTGCTGTGTAGAAACTCTTTAATTTAATTAGATTCTATTTGTCAAGTTTTGTTTCTGTTGCAGTTGTTTTTGGCATCTTCGTTGTGAAATTTTAGCCAATTCCTGTGTCCAGAATGGTATTTCCTAGGTTGTCTTCCAAGGTTTTTATAGTTTTGAGAACTACATTTAAGTGTTCATTCCATCTTGAGTTGATTTTTGTATATTGGACAAGTAAGGGGTCCAGTATTAATCTTCTACATATGGTTAGCCAGTTACCTTAGTGTTGCAGAAAGTTCAGGGACCCCAAACGGAGGGACCGGCTGGAGCCGTGGCAGAGAAATATGAATTGTGAAAATTTCATGGACATTTATCAGTACCCAAATAACACTTTTATAATTTTTTATGCCTGTTCTTTACTTTAATCTCTTAATCCTGTTATCTTCGTAAGCTGAGGATATATGTCACCTCAGGACCACTGTGATAATTGTGTTAACTGTACACATTGATTGTAAAACATATGTGTTTGAACAATAAGAAATCAGTGCACCTTGAAAAAGAACAGTATAACAGCAATATTTAGGGAACAAGGGAAAACAACCATAAGGTCTGACTGCCTGTGGGATCGGGCAAAAAGAGCCATATTTTTCTTCTTGCAGAGAGCCTATAAACAGACATGCTAGTAGGAGAGATATTGCTAAATTCTTTTCCTAGCAAGGAATATTAATATTAATACCCTGGGAAAGGAATGCATTCCTGGGGGGAGGTCTATAAACGACCACTCTGAGAGTGTCTGTCTTATACAGTTGAGATAAAGACTGAGATACGCCCTGGTCTCCTGCAGTACCCTCAGGCTTATTAGGGTGGGGAAGAAACTCTGCCCTGGTAAATTTGTGGTCAGAACGGTTCTCTGTTCTTGAACCCTGTTTTCTGTTGTTTAAGATGTTTATCAAGACAATACGTGCACAGCTGAACATAGACCTTTATCAGTTGTTCTGCTTTGTCTTTGTCCTGTTCCCTCAGAAGCATGTGATCTTTGCTCTGCTTTTTGCCCTTTGAAGCATGTGATCTTTGTACCTACTCCCTGTTTTACACCCCTTCCCCTTTTGAAACCCTTAATAAAAAACTTTCTGGTTTGAGCCTCAGGTGAGCATCATGGTCCTACCGACATGTGATGTCACCCCCAGCGGCCCAGCTGTAAAATTCCTCTCTTTGTACTCTTTCTCTTTATTTCTCAGCCAGCTGACACTTATGGAAAATAGAAAGAACCTACATTGAAATATTGGGGTTGGGTTCCCCCGATACCCTAGTACCGTTTATTAAATACGAAGTTCATTCCCCACTGCTCATTTTTGTCAACTTTTTTGAAAATCAGATACGTAGTTATAGGTGTATGGCTTATTTCTGGGCTCTCTAGTCTGTTCCATTGATCTATGTGTCTGCTTTTGTACCATGAGGTCCATGTTGTACCAACAGGTCCACGTTGTACCAACAGGACCAAGCTGTTTTAGTTACTACAGCCCTGTAGTATAGTTTGAAGTCGAGGAACGTGATGCCTCCTGCTTTGTTGATTTTGTTTAGGATTGCCTTGGATATTCAAGTTCTTTTCTGGTTCCATATAAATTTTAAAATAGTTTTTTTCTAGTTCTGTAAATAATATCATTGGTAGTTGGATAGGAATAGTATTGATTTTGTAAATTGCTTTGGACAGTATGACCATTTTAACCATATTAATTTCTTCCTATCCATGAGCATGAAATGTTTTTCCATTTGTTTGTTTCATCTCTGATTTTTTAAGCAATGTCTGGTAATTCTCATTGTACTGATCTTTCAACTCCCTGGTTAGCTGTTCCTAAGAACTTTATTATTTTTGTGAGTATTGTGAATTGAATTGTATTTTTGACTTTGCCCTCAGCTTGGCTGTTTTTGGTGTATAGGAATGCTAGTAATTTTTTTTTTTTTTTTTTTTTTTTTTTTTTTTTTTTGAGACAAGATCTTGCTCTGTTTCCCAGGCTGGAGTACAGTGGCAAGATCGTGGCTCACTACAGCCTCTGCCTCCCAAGTTCAAGCAATCCTCCCATCTCAGCTAACCCAGTAGGTGGTAACACAGGTGCATGCCACCACATCCACCTAATTTTTTATGTTTTGTAGAGACAAGGTATCACCATGTTTTTCAGGGTGGTCTTGGGCTCCTGGGTTCAAGCAATCCACCCACCTCAGCCTCCCAAAGTGCTGGGATTACAGGCATGAGACACTACACCTGGCTGGAATGCTAGTGATTTTTGTACATTGATGTATCCTGAAACTTTGCTGAAGTTGTTTATCAGCTGAAGGAGCTTTTGGGCTGTGACTATGGGGTTTTCTAGATATAGAATCATATCGTCTGCAAATAGGGATAGTTTGACTTCCTTTCTTCCTATTTGGGTGTCGTTTATTTCTTTCTCTTGCCTGATTACGCTGGCCTGGACTTCCAATACTTCGATGAATAGGAGTGATGGAGAGGGTATTTTTGTCTTGTGCCGGTTTTCCAGAGAAATGTTTCAAGCTTTCGCCCATTCAGTAAGATGTCGGCTATGGATTTGTCATAGATGGATCTTACTATTTTAAGTCTGTTCCTTCAATAGCTAGTTTCTTGAGAGTTTTTAACATGAATGAATGTTGAGTTTTATCAGAAGCTTTCTCTGCATCTATTGAGATAATCATGTAGTTTTTGTATTTAGTTCTGTTTATGTGATGAATCACATTTATTTTTGTTTTTATTTATTTATATGTTTTGAGACAGAGTCTTGCTCTGTCACCATTCTGGAGTACAGTGGCGCAATCTCAGCTCACTGCAACCTCCACCTCCCAGGTTCAAGCAATTCTGCTGCCTCAGCCTCCCAAGTAGCTTGGACTTCAGGCACGCACCAACACACCCGGCTAATTTTTTGTATTTTAGTAGAGATGGGGTTTCACCATGTTGGACAAGATGGTCTCTATCTCCTGACCTTGTGATCTGCCCACCTCAGCCTCCCAAAGTGTTGGGATTACAGGCGTGAGCCACCGCACTCTGCCAAATCACGTTTATTAATTTGCATATGTTAAACCACCTTTGCATCTCAGGGATAAAGCTAACTTGATCATGATGGACTAACTTTTTGTTGTGCTGCTGGATGTGTTTCGCTAGTGTTTTTTTGTTGAAGATTTTTTCATCAATGTCCATCAAAGATATTGGCCTGAAGTTTTCTTTTACTGTTGTGTTTCTGTCAGACTTTAATATCAGGATGATGCTGGCCTCAAAGAATAAGTTGGGGAGGAGTCCTTCCTTCTCATTTTTTTCAAATAGTTTCAGTAGAAACGTTACCAGCTCTTCTTTGTACAGCTGGTAGAATTTGTCTATGAATCTGTCTGGTCCTGGGCTTTTATTTGGTTGGTAAGCTATTTATTACTGATTCAGTTTTAGAGATCATTGCAGGTGTGTTCAGGAATTTAGTTTCTTTCTGGTTCAGTCTTGGGAGGGTGTATGTGTCCTTTATCAGGACTTTTTGTTAAGACTTCACTCACATGCCTGGTCTCTTAATGGGGCAGTTGAAGGCTGGCCTCTGATGAATGGGCTTCTGTCTCTCTAAATGTAGTCTTACAGCCTTTCCATAAAGTCCCTTAGCAGAGAAGTCAGACTACCCTTTGAGTGTATAGAGACTACATTGCAGCTTAGGTCTTCTATATATCAAAGCAGAAACTGCAAATCCTCTTTGAAGCTAGATCTGAAACTGGCATAACTTCATTTTCTCTACATTCAGCTGATGAAAGGCATCACAGGTCAGTCTAGTTCAAGAAGAGGAAATAGTTCAAATCTTGTACTGGAAGATTATGAAGGAATTTACAGATTTTTTTTTTTTTTTTTGAGACAGAGTCTCGCTCTATCATCCAGGCTGGAGTGCAGTGGTGCAATCTCAGCTCATTGCAAGCTCCGCCTCCCAGGTTCATGCCATTCTCCTGCCTCAGCCTCCCAAGTAGCTGGGACTACAGGTGCCTGCCACCACGCCCGGCCAATTGTTTGTATTTTTAGTAGAGACAGGGTTTCACCATGTTAGTCAGGATGGTCTCGATCTCCTGACCTCATGATCCACCTGCCTTGGCCTCCCAAAGTGCTGGGATTACAGGTGTGAGCCACCACGCCCAGCCAGAATTTACAGATATTTTTAAGCCACAGAATGTTCATGACAGTCTTGCTCATAACAATAACATGAGAACAACTTAAATGTCCATCTGTGAAAAAAATCTCATAGCTCACAAAATGAAACACTACATAACAGTGAAAATCCACTGAAGGCATTATATGTTGTCAAACAGATGAATCTTAGGAACAATTTTGTTGTTGTTTTTAACGTAAAAAGTTTTTTTCAATACAACACATTCTTATTAACTATAGTCACCATGTTGTACAATAGATCTCTTGAATGAATTCCTCATATGTAACTGAAATTTTGTATCCTTTGACTAATATCTCCCCAACCCCTTTTCCACAAGCCCCTGATAGCCGTCATTCTAGTCTCTACTTTTATGAGTTCAACTTTTTAAAATTTGACGCGTAAATAAGACTATGCAGTATTTGTCTTTCTTTCTTTGGCTTATTTCACTTAGCCTGATGTAGTCCGGTTTCATCTATATTGTTGCAAATGTAAGATTTCCCTTTCCTTTTATGGGAAAATAGTATTCCCTTGTGTATATACACCACAATTTCTTTATCCATTCATCTGTTGATGGACACTTACTTAGATTGGTTTCTTATCTTGGCTGTTGTGAATAATGCTGCAATGAACAATGACGTGAAGATCTCTTTCTGATATGTTGATTTCACTTCCTTTAGATATACACTTAGTAAGTAAATAGCTGCAACATATAGTAATTCTATTTTTAATTTTTTGAGGATCCTCTATATTGCTTTTCATAGTGGGTGCACTAATTTACATTCCTACCAACAATGTGCAAAGACTACCTTTTCTCCACAGCTGCACCTATTGTTATCATTCATCTTGATAATAGCCATTTTAGCAGGTGCAATTTCTCATCAGGAATTTTTTCCTAATATCTCAGACTTGGAAATTTGCATTTATCTGATGATTAGTGATGTTGCACACTTACTTACATACCTGTTAACCATTTGTATATCTCCTTTTGAGTGAAGTCTGTCCAGATATTTTACCCATTTATTTATTTTATTTATTTATTTATTTATTCATTCATTTTGAGATGGAGTTTCACTCTTGTTACCCAGGCTGGAGTGCAATAGCGTGATTTCGGCTCAGTGCAACCTCCTCCTTCCAGGTTCAAGCGATTCTCTTTCCTCAACCTCCCAAGTAGCTGGGATTGTAGGCATGTGCCACCATGCCCAGCTAATTTTGTATTTTTAGTAGAGACGGGGTTTTGTCATGTTGACCAGGATGGTTTTGAACTCCCGACCTCAGGTGATCCACCCACCTCGGCCTCCCAAAGTGCTGGGATTACAGGGGTGAGCTACTGTGCGCGGCCTTTTGCCCATTTTTAATTGTTTGTTTACTATTGAGTTGCTTGAGTCCCTTATGTATTTTGGATAGTGGCTCCTTATCAGATAGGTGGTTTGCAAATATTTTCTGCCATTCCATAGGTTTTCTCTTCACTCTGCTGATTGTTTCTTTGGCTGTGCAATAGCTTTCTATTTGATGTGATCCTATTTGTCTATTTTTGCTTTCGTTGCTTAGGAATGTTATAAGTCCTTCAATTAATCTTCAAGTTTTAGACCCTTTAAAAAAAAACATTCTTTTTGAGCCGTTAAAATATGCTTTGCAGAAGACTGGTACCAGCTGCTTGGAAATTTCCTCCTATATTCCTTCAGTCTTCAGTCATTTCTGCTCAGCTTCATTTATGCTCATGGTCTCATCATCCACCTCCAGAATGTTTTTAAAATCCTTCATACATTGATGGTATTTCTTATTTCTCTTCTCATCTGCATTTTATTTCACAGGGCTCTGTGATGATTGTGTGTGTATAGCTAATTGTCCTGTGCAATAGGTTTTATGTATGCATTTTCTGAATTACAACCATGAGAATACTGGAGCCAAGATAATGGGATCCAAAATTGACAAATCTCAATTCACATCGTTTTGCACTCCTTAAAAGGAAAGGACTTAATAAATGTTAGTAACCTGTACACAATATTTATACACAATTTGCTAGTTTTGAATTATAGAGAATGGCAGTCAAAAAAGGGGAACATAATCTGTTCGTTATTTTGGTTTCTTCAAATATATGTTAAAAATTTTAAATGAACATTCTAATGATAAAATATTTTAATTTTAGAAGAGTGTTATCTTGGGACTTTTAGGCCCTGTAATGTCTCTTGGAATTCAAAAGCTTTTGCATAATAATGTTTTGATGAGTTTAAGTGTAAATGTAAATAAAAAAATAATAAGGATTAAATTTTCTTTGACACATATGTGAAAATTTTGAGAAAAAACATGTCTGGCACATATGTTCTGGAGTCAGTAAAACAGGAACTATGAGCAAATTGTCCCAAAGTAGTTCACAAAACACAAAATCCACAAGAAAAGGGTATCCAATTCACCCCGCAAAACAGAGGACAAACGTGTATTACTAAATTAACAGAGGTAGATCCATATATTTTATTTGTTTCCTTGGGAATATAGAATGTCTTAAAAGTTGAATCTCAATAAATCAGTTTTATGCAGTGTTCTGATATGTTATACTCATTTTGCTTCTAAAACCTTCTAGAATCCTGTATAAGACTAGTTAACCAATTGGGAACAACGTTAGCAAATATTTCCACACACACACACACACACACACACACGCACAGATGGCCAGAGTTTTGCTTAAACATCTTTCTATTGCAGTCAGAACTATTCCTTCATAGAGAAACTAATGTGTATATTTTTAATAACAGGTTTATATTATTGAAATGACTGTCACACATGCTGACCCAGAGGCTGTGAGGACAATAGCAGTCCTACAGTTGTACAGAATTTAAAAAGGAATGAAATATTTTATATCAAATATGAACTTGGTTGTACTTGTTGCAATAGATGGACTTAATTTAAAGCCAAAAGCATATTTCAATTCCCTTATTTCCTAACACAAAGTAAAAGAGGCAGATGGATACTGTCATATAAGAACAAGTTTGACCAAAATGGTCTTAACTGGAAGGTTAATGATAATAAATTAAATTAAATGTAAACAACCAAATGAAACTGAATGTTCTGCCAGAAGCAGCAAAAATATATCTCAGAGTAATAAACCATAACATCTTCAGGAAAGTTCCCAGGGAAACAGTCTTAATTCTCTCAGCAGGTACTACCTATATTAAAGGGTTTTTTTCTAGCATGAAGTTTATAATTTGTAACTGCTAATGAATCAGATTATATTTGCCAGGTTCATCCAGTAAATTACTGTTGTTGTTGCTGTTGCTGTTCTTGTTATTTTATGAACATAGCATTGGAGAGAGAAGTTAGAAAATGGGTGCTTATGACCAAAACACATTTTAAGGTCAGTTCACTTCAAGACAGCAAAATGGATTCAAGGTCTTCTTTAAAATGAGGAATTGTTTTAGTCTGCTTTGCTGTTGCTATAGCAGGATACCTGAGACTGGGTAGTTTAAAAAGAAGAGAAATTTATTTCTTAGAGTTCTAAAAAAAAAAGTCGAAGTTCCAGGGGCTCATATCTGGTGAGGGCCTTCTTGCGCATCATCCCATGGAAGAAGGCAGAAGGGAAAGAAAGGATGTAAGAGTGAAAATGCACAAGAGGGCCAAGCTTGCTTTCATAACAAGCCCACTCTTGCAATAATTAACCCATTCCTGTGAGACCAACACTAATCCATTGATGAGGTCTCTGCCGTCATGACCTAATCACTTCCTACTAGACCCTACTTTCCAACCCTGTTGCATTAGGGGTTAAGTTTCTAACACATGAATTATGGGAGAGACATTCAAACCATAGCAGGAATCTCTTTTTCTAATTATTGCTAATTTTCAAAAGTGAGGGCTATCTACCTTCTCTACAAACAGGAATTACAGACTTTAGACTGAACACAGTGTCACAATGTGGTAATGATCAAATGCTGTTCATATTAAAATCACTTGAGAGAAACGTTAAATATACAGATTCCTGAGCATCAGTCCAGGTTCAGCCAGATACTGAATCAGAATCTGCTGTGTTGGGGCTCAGGAATCATTAATTTGTAGAGCCACATTTGGAAGCTACTGCCTTGAAAGACATAGAAAGGAGGGACTTATCTCTTACTTTTCCTCAGGATCTTTTCTGAATTTGCAGATATTTGGGCTAGGACAAACATCACATATCTTCAAGGGAGAATTGTAGTATAAACATCAGGAACAGGTGCCTACACAAGATTGTCCCCTCCTGCCTAAATTTACTTGATGCTACTTGTAATCCAGATGCTTATGCAAAGATGCTTGTGGGTTTAGGAACCATTTGCAGAGAACAAAGAGAAAGAACTAATATATAGAGAATACATTATGCATCAGATACTTATTACTTTTATGTACCTTATATAAGTAAAACCTCCATCACACATACTGGAATGCATCATTAGTATTATTCACATTGTACAAATGAGGATTGCAACAGAGAGAAGAATGAGACATTCAAACTAGGCCATGAGGCATGCAAATGGCACAGCTGGGATTCAAACTTAGCTCCAACTCTTCCAAAAATAGCAGGAGAGTCAGAATCTGTTTCATTTCTTTTACCTTTCAATATCTACAATATGAATATACTGGTCAAATATAATGAAACTTCATTTATTAGATACAGTTGGGGGAGAGACAGGCATATCTTTTCTAATACATTGGGAAATCTGAAATATGTGATCACCAGAATAAGGGATCTGCATGATACCACAGTCTCCATCTGATGTAGTTTAATTTTAGGAAATGTATGATCGATGTGTCAATGTTCTGATTCTCTCTTATTATGAATTTATCATAGTATTAATAGTTGAATCATTAAAATCCTAAGCCTTGATTTAGCATCTTGTATTTATTAATTGCTTTTAGCTTATTTCAAGAAAGCAAAGTGCTTCATTTATTGAAGAAAATCTACAAAACAGTTATTTTTTAAAATTGAAGATTGCAAAATTGTTAAATATATAATATAGTTGTTGCCTTTATTTGCTTCTTCCATAAATGTAATTTTTATGAGATGTTTCATAAAAATATTCTGGAATTCAAAGCAAAGCACTATACGTAAAGTTACAAGCAAGTGGAAGGCAAGATGTTTCAACAGTTTTGTACTCAGCCATTTATGACCAACTCCAACGGTCACTGCAATCCTGACATTTCAGAGAAAACGAAAATGTTTCTGTCCATACTGGCCCTTTACTTTTTCTAGTCATTTATTCAGCAACATCTGTTTGCTGCTGTTAATTAAACATTGAACAAGTAGCTATTGGCTTACTTGGAAAAAGCCTGGAGGTCAACTTTACACACTGGACTTCTATAAATTCTGTGAAAAGAAAAATCAGATCTCATTTATTTCAAGCTCAATTTCATCAATCACAGGGTCTGGCATGAAACTAAGGCTCTTCTAACACTCGGTAAATAAATGAGCAAGTGTGCTGGTGGGTCCTTCTGTGAATGGTATTTTTTTTCTATTCATTCTATATATTCCACTCTTCACGATTCCCAAACAAGAGACGTTACTTCTCCCTTTTGAATGAGTCAATGCAATGAGATATCACTTCATAAAATAACCTTGAAGACAAATTTAAGTGTTCTTTCTTTTAAAATGTAGATATCGGCCAGGCGCAGTGGCTCACGCCTGTAATCCCAGCACTTTGGGAGGCTGAGGTGGGCGGATCACGAGGTCAGGAGATTGAGACCATCCTGGCTAACACGATGAAACCCCATCTCTACTAAAAACACAAAAAGTTAGTCGGGCATGGTGGCGGGCGCCTGTAGTCCCAGCTACTCGGGAGGCTGAGGCAGGAGAATGGCGTGAACCCCAGAGACGGAGCTTGCAGTGAACCGAGATCGCGCCACTGCACTCCAGCCTGGGCGACAGAGCAAGACTCCGTCTCAAAATAAATAAATAAATAAATAAATAAATAAATAAATAAATAAATAAATAATAAATTAAAAAAATAAAATGTAGATATCACAGCGGAAAAAAGGGCAGTATGAAAAGTCCTAGGCCCTTCAGATGAAAATGAGGATAAGATAATATGAAATACCTGAACAACTTGCTTTTTCAATGGGGACATAATCACAAGATGCAGATGTGTGTGCAAAGAACACACATGCACCAGATAAAATAAACATAAGTGCCCTTTCTACAGACAGAACACCTGGCTTTGTGGAAAGTTAGAAGGCCACACAATGCCTCAGAAAATGCATAAAATAAACTAAAACTAAGCACTAAATTCAATACTAAAACCCCTTCATCTGGGACTCAAGTTACCATTCGATTAGCATGCAACTATAATAACATATGCCTAAACTTTCCAAAAACCCACAATCTTGAAAGAAAGTGGTCCCATGACATGCAGGTATCTGAGTTAGCAGTTCTGCTTCAATGAAGAGAAAGCAAAAAGGAAAAGGGAGCTATCATCTATTGAGCACTTAATACATTCCAGGTGCTATGAAAGGTACTTTATTTAGGTCATCTCCCTCCCTTTAAACATGAAGGAACAAATGGCAAGGTAAGAACAAATAATATTATAGGTTTCAATAAACAATATCAATATTTTATTCATAATTATTACCTGTCTCTGGCATTCCCTATCCACCAGTCTAGAAAAATATGTGACAAAAATGAAACAAAAGAATAAAATACATTTTTTTCTAACTTGCTGATAGAAGGTTGATCATTGGAACTCTAAATGCATGGAAAAGTCTTCTATCTAATTTAAAAGGTAGATTTTTTTTTTTTTTTTTCGAGATGGAGTCTCACTCTGTCGCCCCGGCTGGAGTGCAGTGGCGCGATCTCAGCTCACTGCAAACTCCGCCTCCCGGGTTCACGCCATTCTCCTGCCTCAGCCTCCCGAGTAGCTGGGACTATAGGCGCCCGCCACCACGCCAGGCTAATTTTTTTGTATTTAAGTAGAGACGGGGTTTCAGGATGTTAGCCAGGATGGCCTCGATCTCCTGACCTCGTGATCCACCCTCCTCGGCCTCCCGAAGTGCTGGGATTACAGGCGTGAGCCACCGTGCCCGGCCAAAAGGTAGATTTCTTTTGAAAGTCTAACTGCCATCTCTTATACTCATGTTGAAATAAATTAGGAAGAACATATTAATTCTCACTTGTGTTGTCCCCTGTTTTTGCATAAAAAATAATATTGTCTCGTGTTCTCTCAATTTCATACTTGAAAATCAGAGGGCACAGATATGAGGATACATACTGATGCTAGTCCAACTATGCTGAATACCCATATCAAACTTGTATACCTTATATAATTTTACCCTATTAAAACATGATCATTGACCTTGGACAAGCTACTTAACAGCTCCAAGTTGAAATTTTCTCATCCGTGATATGGGTCTTTCTGTAATATGTACTTATAGAGTTGTTGAAGATATTAAATTACATAATACATGTTAATTATTTAGCACATGGTAAATACTAATGAATATAGGCTATTTATCCTAGTTTGTACAATACCTACCCAAATGGTGAGATCTGGGAAAGAAATTTAACGGTGGTCACAGCTTACCAAAGGGATTTTCTATCCTACCAAGCTGACAAGCTCCTATCCTATACTTGCTGAGAGATGTCTGATTACTGACGGTGCACAGTTTAGGCCTAAGGAATAACTCTCGGTATATACACAAACACATCCATATGCAGCTCCATTAGAAAATATATCATTAAAATATCAGTACTTTGATTGTTTTTCCAACTAAAATATAATATTAAGTATATTTATTAACATATTTAAGTACAACATATAGTAAAAATAACATGAATAATGACATAAACCTATTAAAAGATAATTAATTATTTAGGCTACTGATTTGTATACCCCCATCAATTTATAGGAACTAAACATATACAAGAAGATATTATCCTTTGGGGCATGTCTAGATTTCAAAATGAGTCTAAAGATCTCTTTTAATGTTTTTCCTGAGGAAATAAAGCATTTTATTTTAATAAAATATTTATAAAACTGGCTGGATTATTATACATCAGGGAAGACAAGTTAGTCTTAGCTTGAATATCAATGGTGATTAATTAGCAATGGATATGTGCTCCCCAGAGTGCCATACCATAAGGAAGTGTCTGGAACAAACCCAGATAAGGTGGGAGGTCTGAGAGCTGTATATTTGCTATACTGGCTTTTGTTTTAATTTTAAATATATATTGTCAGTCCATAGAAGCTCTAGATGAAACAAAAACGAAGTTTCCCATTTTAAATAAATACTTAAGAAAATTTAAAAAGTCGAACTAAAGGGGAAACTTTGACATAAAATTTTATGAAAATATATATTTCTTTTTTGAGGACTGTATCATTTTGGTGCACACTTTTTTTTTTTTTTTTTAAGATCCAGGGTACATGTGCAGGATGTGCAGGTTTGTTACATAGGTAAACGTCTGCCATGGTGATTTGCTGCACCTATCAACCTATCACCTAAGTATTAAGCCCAACATGCATTAGTTATTTTTCCTGGTGCTCTCCAATCCCCCACCGCCACCTGCCTCTAGGCCCCATTGTGTGTTGTTCCCCTCCCTGTGTCCTTGCGTTCACATTGTTCAGCTCCACTTGTAATTGAGAACATGTGATATTTGATTTTCTGTTCCTGTGTTAGTTTGTTGAGGATAATGGCTTCCAGCTCCATCCATGTCCTTGTAAAGGAGATTATCTCATTCCTTTTTAGGGCTGCATAGTATTCCATGGTGTATATGTACCACATTTTCTTTATCCAGTCTGTCATTGATGGGCATTTCATTTAAGTCCATGTCTTTGCTATTGTGAATAGTGCTGCAATGAACATATGTGTGCATTCATCTTTATAATAGAAATGATTTATATTCCTTTGGATATATACCCACTAATAGGATTGCTGGGTCAAATGGTATTTCTGGTTCTAGGTCTTTGAGGAATCACCACACTGTCTTCCACAATGGTTGAACTAATTTACTTTCCCACCAACAGTATAAAATTTTTTGTATCTCTCTGCAGCTCCGCCAGCATCTGTTGTTTCATAACTTTTTAATAGTCGTCATTCTGACTGGTGTGAGATGGTATCTCACTGTGGTTCTGATTTGTACTTCTCTAATGATCAGTGATGTTGAGGGGTTTTTTTACATGTTTGTTGGCCACATAAATGTCTTCTTTTGAGACATGTCTGTTTATGTCCTTTGCCCAATTTTTTTTTTTTTTGAGACAGAGTCTCACTCTGTTGCCCAGGCTGGAGTGCAGTGGCGCCACCTCAGCTCACTGCTACCTCTGACTCCTGGGTTCAAGCAATTCCCTGCCTCAGTCTCCCAAGTAGCTGGGATTACAGGCGCCTGCCACCTTGCCCAGCTAATTTTTGTATTTTTAGTAGAGACGGGGTTTCACTATCTTGGCCGGGCTAGTCTCAAACTCCTGACCTTGTGATCCACCTGCCTCGGCCTCCCAAAGTGCTGGGATTACAGGCGTGAGCCACCAAACCCAGCCTCCTTTGCCCACTTTTTAATGCTATTTTTTTTCTTGTAAATTTAAGTTCCTTGTAGACTTTGGATATTAGACCTTTGTCAGATGAATAGATTTCAAAAATGTTCTCCCATTCTGTAGGTTGTCTGTTCACTCTGAGGATAGTTTCTTTTGCTGTGCAGAAGCTCTTCAGTTTAATCAGATACCATTTGTCAACTTTTGCTTTTGTTGCAATTGCTTTTGATTTTCTCATCATGAAATCTGCCCATGTATATGTCCTGAATGCCATTGCCTAGGTTTTCTTCTAGGGTTTTTGCAGTTTTGGGTTTTACATTTAAGTATTTAACCCATCTTGAATTCATTTTTGTATATGGTGTAACAAGGGGTCCAGTTTCAATTTTCTGCATATGGCTAGCCAGTTCTCCCAGCACCATCTATTAAATAGGGAATCTTTTCCCCATTGCTTGCTTTTGTCAGGTTTTTTGGAGATCAGATGGTTGTAAATATCCGGTTTTATTTCTGAGTTCTTTATTCTGTTCCATTGGTCTATGTGTCTGTTTTTGTACTATGCTGTTTTGGTTACTGTAGCCTTGTAGTATAGTTTGAAGTCAGGTAGAGTGATGCCTCCAGCTTTGTTCTTTTTCCTTAGGATTGTCTTGGCTATACATGCTATTTTTGGTTCCATATGAATTTTAAAATAATTTTTATCTAATTCTGTGAAGAATGTCAACAGTAGTTTAATGGAAATAACATTGAATCTGTCAGTTACTTTGGGCAGAATAACCATTTTTATGATATTGATTCTGCCTATTCATGAGCATGGAATGTTTTTCCATTTGTTTGTGTTCTCTCTGATTTCCTTGAGCACCACTGTTCAAGGAGAACTTGGTGTTTACTTTTGAATTAGTCGTAAATTGGCTGGATTTTGCATTGGTGATTTCTACATTTCTGATGACAAATGAGCAAGTTGAATTAGAGTAGATGAGTTGATGACAGTTGGTGACACTGTTGCTTTGCACTTCTATATACTTGAATGAGCCATCTGATGTTTCAAATACTAAATGTAACCATTTATTAAATGAACTTAGCTAGACTTACATAACCTAAGGTTTGGATGGAACCTTATAAAGATCTTGTCACCTACATTTTTTCTTCACAGATTACTACAAAGGTGGGGGGGGAGAGAGAGTGAGACAGAGAGAGAGAGAGAGAGAAATCATAAAATCTAATGTGATTACATACATAATTTTTCCCAGCAAGTTATTATGGCTATCACTACAAGAAAGATTGCAGATTCACGTTACATTAGTATCCTTCTTTCTGCTTAAAATAGAAATAGCACATGATTTATTTATTTAAAGGAACTTATGTATCCTATATATAATTGATATGGTTTGGCTGGGTCCACACCCAAAACTCATCTTGAATTGCAGCTCCCATAAATCCCACATGCCATGGGAGGGAACGAGTGAAAGGTAATTTAATCAGGACGGCAGGTTTTTCTCATGCTGTTCTCTTGGTAGTGAATAAGTCTCACGAGATCTGATGGTTTTATAAAGGGCAGTTCCCCTACACATGCTCTCTTGCATGCCACCATGTAAGATGTGCCTTGCTCCTCCTTCACCTTCCACCATGACTGGGAGGCCTCCTCAGCCATGTGCAACCATGAGTCCATTAAATCTCTTTTCTTTATAGATTGCCCAGTCTCAGGTATTACTTCATAGTAGCATGAAAATGGACTAATACAATAATGAATGACAAAAGCACATATTTTATAAACTTCTTTGCAATAAGATTAATGAGAGGTCTTTTGCTGGTAAAATAAAAAGTTTTATTATATCAAAACCTCATTTGTAAACTGGTTTTTAATTTAAAGGTAACTTTATGCACCTCAGTATTCTTTTATAAGAAGATGTAACACATGTTCTTTACACTGGGCATTGAAATATCTATAGTATTAGAGTCTTGAACTATCTCCTCTCTCCCTTTTTCTCATTCATAAATTCCTGATATATACAATGATTTGTTTCATTAAGTCTATAACCAGAAACTTATGCTTGATGAGAAACCTTTTAGGAAGTGTTTGTCTGAAGCTATCTACATAGCTTATTGCAATGATTAATTTTTGTGTCAATTTTACTGGGCCATGGGGTGCCCAGAAATTTGGTCAAATATTATTCGGAGCATTTGTGTGGGGGAGTTTTTAAATAAGTTAAATATTTAATTTGGTAGACTTTGAGTTAAGTAGATTGTCCTTGTTAATGTAGGTGGGCCTCATTCAATCAGTTGAAGGGCTGAAGGGAACAAAATCACTAGTTTCTTCAAAGCAAGAGAGAACTCTAAAGCAGACTGCCTTCAGATTAGAACTGTACCACTGGCTTTCCTGAGTCTCCTCTGTCAGCTCACCTTGCAGATTTTGGACTTACTAGCCTTCATACGACATGAGCCAATTCCTTACTATAAATCTCTTTGCATGTGTGTGACCCAACCTCTTTCCCCTCCAACACACACCCTATTAGTTGTGTCTTACTGGAGAACTGTGACTATCATACTCAGTTTATATACGATGGAGAGGTAATTTTTACTGTCACTTTATAATAACTGATTTAATGCTGTCAGCTGTGAATTTTAGTGAATTAAAACTCATATCAAGGGGGGCAAATACAAAAGCTTTGAGTATGAAATAGTTTTGGTACAAGTACAAAGGAAATACAAACTGTCAATGTCTGAGATATTTTTAACACACCAAAAGTTGTACAGAAACAATTAATAAAGATTGAAACAAAGGAGGAAATTGACTTTGTTTTGAGGTGATTATGTGGGAGTCAGTGAGAAACATGCAGTTTGTGACCCTAAAATTTTCTTTGGATCACTTTGGTGTGAGAACTGCTATGTCACTGATGGAGTTGGAGAAGGGTTTAGAGCCAAGTATGTATTCTTAATGATAGTGAGAAATCTGAGGAAATTGTTTAAAGGGACTTTTAAGAATTAAGTCTGGAAATTCCTTGTAAAAAAAAAATTGAGGACAGTCAGGAGAAAATACCAGCAAATAAAGGGGACATTGAAACCATTCATTCAGATTAAATTTGTGCAGAATAAATGTAGAGAAAAACAAAACTAAAAACTAATGCTTGAGGAATTACTCCAATCCAGTGGGAGGAGAAGAAAGAGAAGGTAGTGAAAGAAATAAACATTCAGAAAGTAAGAAAAGAATTAGAGATAGTCTAATGTAGCCAGAAGTACATATCCCAGACCTTAGAAAATGGTTTTCACCGTCTCAGATTTTTCTGAAGTAAATATAAACAAATCCATTTTCTGTCTCTTCTTCCTTTAATTACATTATTATCCATTGGTCAAAGCAATATGAACCAATTCTAGTAGAAATTACATTGAAAGCTCCAATGAAATAGGATTTTCTTGGGAGTCACCCAAGAAATAGATTTTCTGAGCAGAGGTTTACACTTAGGTATGGTACTAATAAAGATTATCTGCAATAAGATTGGCAATGACAAATTGCCTACTATAGTAATAGCTTCATTATATAGAATTATTACTTGGAAAATTAATTTTAATTGAAAACAATTTATCTGAGTGGTAGAAGTAAAAAGATTCTCCCGGCAGAGCTTATACCTGCTGTGTCTACTTAGCAGTGATTATTTCCCTAACTTTCTATTGACTCAAGGCTTTCTGTGCTCTATATTTTCCTCATGCATATAAAATTATTTCCACAGATAGGAACACAGCATTTCTTTGCATTTAATCTTCATTTATAACCAAATTACTATATGAAACTTATATATCTGCATCTCATTTGGGAAAAAACTGGTACTTGCAAGAAAGTTTATTGGCAATAAAAAGAATGTATTTAAATTTACACACACACACACACACACACAAATTCAGAATAAAGTCATCTCCTGATAGCTTCTCCCATTTACAATATTTGTTCAAGGAATGAAAACTACATATTCCTTATTAAAAACATTTTTCCTCCATTATGATTTGAAATTGTCAAATAAGAGGAGTGGTCATATCCCAAATCAAAAATTCTTTTTGAGCTGCACTTCTCCCTGATTAAGTATTTAATCCTCACCTAAAGGTCTCTCTAAAGTTGAGGTCTTGAAAAATTCCTTCTTGGTGTATCTTCCAAATAGAAATGCACTGTTAAAGCTTTCGTACAATAAGAACACATTTGGAATTACGTATCTGATTCATTGCTACAGTTTACAACTAGAACCTAGGAGTTTCCACTGAAAACTGAGATAATCACTCATGGTAATTTAAGAATCGTAACTTTTCTGGATGTTTCCTACTACCATCATATTTGTAGAAAATAGGAAATACCTGTTTTAAAAAGATTCCACAGAAATGTGTTTAATATATATCACTATGCACAAATAGATGCACAAATTTATACTGTCTTTTGTCATTGTTTTTTTTTTTTTTTTTTTTTAGATGGAGCCTGGCTCTGTCACCCAGGCTGGAGTGCGGTGGTGTAATCTCAGCTCACTGCAACCTCCACCTCTCGGGTTCAAGCAATTCTCCCGCCTCAGCCTCCCGAGTAGCTGGGATTACAGGGGCCCGCCATCGTGCCCAGCTAATATTTGTAATTTTGTAGAGATGGGGTTTCACCGTGTTGGCCAGGCTGGTTTTGAACTCCTGATCTCAGGTGATTTTTTTTTTTATATATACTTTAAGTTCTGGGATACATGTCCAGAATGTGCAGGTTTGTTACATAGGTATAATGTGCCATGGTAGTTTGCTGCACCCATCTCCCCATCATCTAGGTTTTAAGCCCTGCATGTATTAGATATTTGTCCTAATGCTCTCCCTCCTCTTGCCCCACAACCCCTGACAGGCCTCAGTGTGTGATGTTCCCCTCCCTGTGTCCATGTGTTCTCACTGTTCACCTCCCACTAATGAATGAGAACATGCGGTGTTTGGTTTTCTGTTCTTGTGTTAGTTTGCTGAGAATGACGGTTTCCAGCTTCATTCCTGCCCTGGCAAAGGACATGAACTTATTCTTTTTTATGATTGCATAGTATTCCATGGTGTTTATGTGCCACATTTCTTTATCCAGTCTATCATTGATGGGCATTTGGTTTGGTTTGGCTTTGAAACTGCAATCCCTTTTCCCAAAAATCCCCACTTTTCCCACTTTCTGAATTAAGCTCACACAGCAGGTTGGCATTTAAGACATACCACTCTCTGGGAAAAAACCCTCAATTTTACCACATATCTATAGCCTATAGATTAACTGGATCATTATTATTATTAATCAGTTTTTAAGCCCACCTCATTGAATATATGAGACTCTCAAGATTAGAAGATGGGACGGCATTCTCTAGGAAAACTGTCTTCTGGATCAAATGACACACCAATTTCAAGATCTTCCTGATTCCATCAGTTACTCCCTTTTTCCATCAACTGTCTTTGTGTGTTTCTTTCCTCGGATTGAAGATATTTACATTTCTGATTGACATCAATATAATTATTTTTTTTTTCCGAGACAGGGTCTAACTCTGCCGCCCAGGCTGGAGTGCAGTGGTAAGATCTCGGCTCACTGCTACCTCCACCTCCTGGGTTCAAGCGATTGTCTTACCCTCAGCCTCCCGAGTAGTGGGGACTATGGAGCATGCCACCATTCCTGGCCTGATATATATATTTTAGTAGAGACAGAGAGATGGGGTTTTGCCATTTAGGCTAGGCTGGTCTCGAACTCCTGACCTCAGGTGATCCGCCTGCCTCAGCCTCCCAAAGTGCTGGGATTACAGGTGTGAACCACCAAGGCTGCCCTCTTATAATCATTGTGATATGCATATTACCTTCAAAATTTATGCTAATGGAACTGAATTGCTTGTAAATCATGAATGAATGGCTTGTAAAATCATCCTACAATGAAATATTCATTGGAATTTTTTTTCTGTCCTGACTCACAGCTGCATAAGAGAATTAGAAACAGTCAATGACATGGATATTTTATGTGCATGTTATCAAATAAAATTATATTTTTTAAAAATAGCACATTTGATATCACATATACATATATTAAGCCAGGATAACTTTAAGAAAATGATACCAGTTATCATTACTCTTTATCTCATTTATCTGAAGAAAATGCACTTGAAGCATAGGAATCTCTCCTCCCTATTACAGGGGATGCAAGCAAGAAACACATTTTGTTCTTGTGAAAGACTTAATGGGAGGAAAAAACAGAGGCTGGAAAGCCCTAATCTGACCTTCAAACAAAAAAGTCCTTTGAAAATAATGAAGTAAGTAATTTCCTCCCCTCTATTGGCAATGCCATCTCAATCTCTAAGAATTTCCTATTCACTCCTTGACCTTTCCAATGAGGTCATCACCAAAGGAAATGTCTTACTTCAAGAGTAAGAGCAGACTTTAAAGATCTTAAACAATTTCAGAGTATAGACCTTGTTAGATCCTGTTCTCTTGAAGGGAAAGAGTAAGCAAGAGTTTTTTGCCAAAGAAATAACTTCTCAATGAATTTCAAAGCACTTGTGTGTGTTCGGAAAGTAAAAAGCTGGACTCCATATAAATTCTAACATTTCAATACATTTTACATTGCCTACATCTTGAAATAATACTTTAGCTACTGAGGATTGTCATTTATTGATAAGGCTACATCTGATTTAGGAACTTATACTATTAAAAAAAACAGAAGAAATGTTGAGCTGAAAAAAGTATAAACTTTTCTCAAATAAAATATGTCCTTTTGACTACATGGTTTCACCTTATTCAAAGGGCAATTATTTTCTATAAATCTATATATGTTTGCAATTTATATGAAAGTTTTAGAAAATAATTTATGTTGCTCATATATAAGTAGCTACAGTGTTAAAATTTCTATTATATTATTTTACTTTTTAAAATAATTTGTATCTGATTTATGGTGTGCAAGACTTAAGATGAGAATTTAGTGAATTATATTTATGTCATACAGAACAGCAAAAAAGATAAATATATAAATAAATGATGAGATGTATGATATTCTAGTCATGGCTGGTCACGGTGGCTCAGTGGCTCACACCTATAATACCGGCACTTGGGGAGGCCGAGGTGGTTGGATCACCTGAGGTCAGGAGTTCGAGACCAGCCTGACCAACATGGTGAAACTCCATCTCTACTAAAAATACAAAAATTAGCCAGGCATGGTGGTAGGGCCTGTAATCCCAGCTACTCAGGAGGCTGAGACAGGAGAATTGCTTGAACCCGGGAGGTGGAGGTTGCAGTGAGCTGAGATCGCGCCAATGCACTCCAGCCTGGACGACAAGGGCAAAACTCCATTTCAAAAAAAAAAAAAAAAGATATTCTAGTCATGAAAAATAACAGTTGTGAAAGTTTAAATTAAGAAACTGAGGAAATGATAATTTTTTTAAAAATTGTATCAGCTTTCTTTGTGCTGATATTAAATCAGAACTGTTCTAAACATGATTCTCATATAATTGGTTACTATTTTAAAATGACAGATATTGAATGTGTTAATAAACCTTTCTGAAGCCATCTTATTTCATGGCCCCTCAGAAGTAGAATCTGAACACAAGATTTGAGAGCGAGTGATGCAATAAAGAAGTTCTGCCAAAAGAAACCACTCAGAAAGTGTAGGAAATACAACTGGAAAAAACAAGTCAAGCAAGGCTATGATTTCAGGTGAGGCACCAGCCTCAGTCTGACTGGATGGGGAGCTCTGGAGGGTAAATTGCACTTTATAGTTGGTCCTATGGGGAATCAAGTGTGCTGTGCTGTTGTATTCCACTAAGCATTCATTAGCTATGGGCCATAAGCTGTCCACAGACAACTCAGCTCTAAAAAGATAATCTGTCCTCGAAACTTTCCATGCCAGTCTTTACCAGCAAAGCACAGAGAGCCTAAGGAGCGGTCACACAGTTCCTATGGGGGATCCACGGTTTTTACATGAGGCACCAACATTGTCTACTCTAGGAAGCATATTGAATTTTAATTAGCAATTCTAAGAATTGCTCATAATATTGTTGCAGATACCACCAGCCGCCTACCCCAGAACCATTCACCACTGCTACGACCACCACCATCACTGACACCACCACCTGTAGCTCTCTTACCCTTTGCTGATTTAGCCTGATATTATTAAAGTGTTTACCTTTACACGATGCACTTTTAACTATTAGAATGATTATTGGTTTTACCCAGCCATATAAGTGGCATTTTCCTTCACAGTGGTTAGTTTAAAGTTAGCAAGAAACTTAATCTTCTTGATTTTTCAAGGAAAATGTATCCACATTTTCCACCCTAATAAAAAAAAAATGCACAGAAGAAAATATTCTTCATGACAACATCATCATGCCTGCATGCATTGACAGAAATTACTAAGGTCATGTTGCCATCATAAGTGGCAACAAAATATACAGTCTACAGATAGCAAAGTAAATCATGGAAAGCCACAAAGGTTTGGGTGAGACTTCTGGGCCACTGTAATCTCCGCAGAGCTGGATTTTTATTAAGCAAATAAAAAAACTAAATAATTGTCAATTGGGTCTTCTGTGTTAGCAAATGCATTTTTATTAATATAATAATAGCTGTCAAGCTATTGGCCTTTATAAAGAGCCTACAATGTGCCAGCTATATTTATAAGTACTTTACATATATCAATTCATTCTGGTGAAAGAGAACACATCCCATAGCTGCTAATAAATATCATAATTGTCACATATAATCAAGATATTTGGCTCCTATTGAAAACGTTCAAATTATGTTGTGTTGCTCACTGAAGTTACTATACATTATCACTACTACTTCCAGCAAAAACTATAGGGAGGAAACAGCAGATTATGTTTAAGTAATGTAAATAGCCATCTTAGTAAAATACTTACATAATATGTGTTTTTGATTTTCTTAATAATAGTCTTGTGCAGAAAAACTTTTTATAATTTAGAAGAATACTAAACTAACTATTGAAAACATTTGTATGTCTGTTTTCATCTCCTATATTTTTCCAGGCAATATGAGCAGAATACTAACCACAGAGTTTTCAAAGCCATATCAAACATAATCAATATGTTTGTGAAATCAAAGCACAAACATTCAAATTTCTGATATTTAATATACAAAGCGTATCTATACAATTTATAATTTGATAAATTTTACATGCTTATTCTTTCTCTGAATGTATTACATAATTACATGAGATATATTAACTCATATGCTACAATATTTCATTTAAGAATAGTGTCCTCTTCAAAATCGATTTGGGAATACTTACAGCTTGATTTAGCTCGACGGAATAAATGAAAATCTTAGAAGTTTAATTGTTGCTAGATCCAGTGAGAAAAACTATCCGGTATGGTACCTTTGCCTGCTATTATTCTTCTCTATTTATCTTTATTAGTATTCTAGAGTTATTAAGAATAGATTATAATTGAAATACGAGAAGTCCTGGGAAAACTTCATGGGCAGCCACCTAACCACTTTTTTTATATTCTACCGAAACTGGCTTTAAGGAAGAACGATCAGAGTACATACTTTAATTACAAGCAGAAGAACAGAGTAACTTTAACTTTATGATATTCAGTATTTTTTTATTCTAATCTTTATGTGACCCTGAAAATTTGAATTCAGGCTGGGTGTGGTGGCTCATGCCTGTAATCCCAGCACTTTAGGAAGCCCAGGTGGGTGGATCCCCTGAGGTCAGGAATTCAAGACCAACCTGGTCAACATGGCGAAACCCTGTCTCAATTAAAAATGCAAAAATCAGCTGGGTGCAGTGGCACGTGCCTGTAATCCCAGCTACTTGGGAGGCTGAGGCAGGAGGATCACTTGAACATGGGAGGCAGAGATTGCAGTGAGCTCAGATCATGCCACTGCACTCCAGCCTGGGAAACAGAGCGAGACTCCATTTCAAAATAAAAAGTAAAATAAAATAAATAAATAAATAAATTCATCTTTCTGAGAGTTAAAGCTAATGTCTATAAATTTTGGTTGATAATTAATAATATTTATCTGTGACTTCATAAAGAGTTAAAGGATGAATATAAAAGAATATGATTGCCTTAGTGTGTGAATCTCATGTGGTAAGCACACTTGATAAATGTCAGATCCTCTCAGTTATTTTTTTCTTTGCGACTCAGAGCCCACAGTAGGTGGAAATACCAATACCAAATTACCCTACGGAGACTAAAAACAGGACTAAAGGAGTTAAAGATATGAACTTCAGTATCTTGCGGGAGCTAAGATTTTAATTTATGCTGAGATGTAAAAAACTGACCTGATGTATTTTATTCCACAAGGGTATTTGAATTTTAAAGGATAAACTTTTACATAAATGTTATTATATATGTTTATCCAAAATATTCGAGGACAGAGTAGAACTTTCATAGAGGAGGAATTTTCCCACGGTGGTGAAAGGCAGTGTGCCACGCGGAGGGCTGCAGGGACAGTAGTATAGAAGGGCTAAACGGTGGTGAGAGTGTTGGAACATTCTCACGTAGCTGACACATAAACTGTAAATGGGATGTGAGACAAGAAAAGCAAAGGCTAGGCTTTGAAAGTGAGGGCCAGACTTCAAAAATCTTGAATGAAATAAAATAATAATTAATAATAATGGTTGACATACAGATTTCAAATGGCACTCCAAGGCACTATGTCTTGGAGTATCAAATTTAGTTTAAGACTGAGAGTAGGATTATACGAGTAGGAGATGCATCCTATTCACATGAAAATAAAGAGAGACATTGAGGAATAGAATGAAAAATTAACTTCAATAGTATGAAACTTCCGAGAGTGGTAAGTACCGCAGTTATAGAAGGTAATCATCACCCTTATTGATAAATGAAGAAACTAAGTTTAGATGGTCAAGATAATTTTCCCAGGATTATGTAACTGACAAGTCAGAGAACGGGAAATTTACCTATCTAAGCTTTGTTTTTTCCAAAACGATGCACTGTATGTTAAGAAAATAAATTTTTAGACAAAAGTAACAAGTCATTTGAGCATTTAAAATAGCTAAAAGCTACAATCACACAGACACACATACACACACACACACATATCCAACAACAAGGAAGGTAGAGGTATTTTGGCATTTGAAATTATCCTAGTAAGAAATGATAAATGTCTGAAATAGTGTAGAATTATTTCCCTTTACTGTCAGAGGCTAAATTGATGTTGGAAACATTACTTTCTTTGATAATAAAGTATTGTCATTATTAAGTGTTTATAAGGTATATGTGAATAAATCACATAGTTACTTTTAAAGGTAACTCATGCTGGTGAAAAGATATGGAGAGGCAAAAAAGCCAATGTTTTAAAGTTTTAATATATTTTTAAGTGTATGAAGCAACCAATTTATTTTGATATAATCAGTGGTGAAAGTAATGGCATCAAGCATCCGTGGAGGCTTTTAATGAGAATCATGTGCTATGTAAAGCTGTTGGACAGAGTTTAAAGGATCAGAATGTTGGAGGATATAAAAAAAAAATGGCAAATGCCCAGTTGCTTTTGTAAGGGATTTTAAATTAAAGCAGCAAACCTTTTAAAGCATCACACAGTGGGCAAAATGAAAATGAAAGCTAATTAACCTGAATTATTTTTCAGTTGTACAATTTTGCAATAATCTTCCATGGAGTTCATGACCAGAGGATGACTAGACCTTGAGAAGTATTTGAAGAAGGGGTCAAGGTGGGAGCCAAGGCAACCATCTGAAACAGCTGGCCTGCCTGGGCATGTCTGAGCCAGATGTCTACTTCTGGTCCAGAGTTAGAATTATGTATAAAATCAGGTACTGGGAACAATTTATCTATGTTAAAAAGATGTGTGTGTGTGAATGGATGTATATACGTGTGCTATAAGAACAGAAAATAGTATCTTAATTGTAATAGAAGAAACTTGGACAGCATGTTTCAAAAGCCTTAAAATTCATATCATTTTACACATTATTTCAATTCTTACTAATTTATATTAAAGATATCATTAGAGCGAATATGAGTATTTATTACTATACTGTTTATTGCCATTTTATTTATAATAACAAAACATTCCAATCATTTTAATTGTTAGTAGTAGGGGAATGGTGAAACAATTCATGGAATATTCAAGAAATAAAATGTGTGCAGCCATGAAAAGTCATGCAATAGAAGAATATTTAATGACACAGGTGTAGAGTAAAACTAAAAATTATTATAAATAATCACATCTACAAATTGTTAGTTTAAAAGTATATTTAAGGAATTTATATCCAAATTATATATGTATTTATAAAAAGACAAGAAATACACAAAATATTTTAGATTATATTATCCAAATGGAGTTACATGTACTTTTTTGTTTACGTTATGCTATTAGAAATTTACTCATTTTTATAAAATAAAATTGTTTTTTATTTTACTAAAAATACTGTTTTGAGATATCAACAGTTGGGGAAAATGTGTTAGCAAAGAACTAAAAGAAAGCTGTATAAGCATAAGAAATACATTTTTACTTCAGCCTAAAACTAAGCCCTTAACATTCCTTAACTGAGGAATGTCAACCATCTCATTACATTTCCTTAGGCTGCAAAATATGTAAGTATACCTCTCTTTTCCTATTGTGCTTTTATGAAAATAATCTCTTTGGTATTCTGGTATTCTTTTATGACATATCAATTTTAAAAAATAAAGTTGTGTATCCACCAACACATTTTCATACATTGGCACATGGTATTTATAACTCTAAAGCCAAAGTGGGCACAGACTAGGACCTGCTGAAGCAGGGAATCTGAGTCTCACAGGGCGGCTTCAACCTCTATGACCATCTAAGAATCTTTTGGAATGATCCCCATCAGCAATGTATAATTGTACACATTTTACCATGCCCACACTAACACCAGAAATTATCTTTAATAATATTTTAAATGCATAAAATACTTATTAAAATAATTTTGAAGAATAAAAATATATAATAAATATTTTGTAATAGATATATCCTGCAATTATGTTGTGGAAGAAAAGTACAATAAGGAAAGAAACCCAAAATGGTGACAACTTTGTTTTTAAGAGTGAATGAGTATATATGTGAAGGAAAAAAGAAGGGAGAGGGAGAGACAGAGAGAGAGAGGGAGCACAGGTAGGAAGAGGAAGAGAAGGAACAGAGAAGAAAGAATTAGATCTCCCTTTTGTTGGTTGATAATTTAATTAACTACCTTTCTTAGGAATATATTATACATTCAGTTGAATAAATAGAATGACAGATAGCAAAAAATATTCAGTGTAACATAATGTCCAATATAGTCTAATTCCAGTTTTCTAGCTGATAGTCCTGGGAGTCCTAGAGAGAGAAGACTGAGGGAAAGAGAAATCCCTCCTCCTGACTGCTTCCCAGTGACTTATGAGTGAAGGTATTAAAGCCAAATACGGTCTTTCTGTGTTTTCCATGTTCCACCTCTTTTCAAGCATTTGTGTGAGAACCAGGGACACCTTAAGGGAGAAGGGAATGGTGACACTGCCCTTCTCCTTTTTCCTCCAAAATTTCTGATTGTAGTAAATGGCTTCATTCAAAGTTAACCTTGCATTAAATATATTTCAAAATATATCAACTTGGTAATGCAAATATACATGAAAAGAAAATAGTTTACTCATGTAGTTTATGGCATAGTGATGCTAAAATGAGTTAATATTTATTTTATGAAAGAATACTTGTACATATAGAATTTATTATTAATTAATACTAAACATTTACTGATTAATAATTCGGATGGTTTTGATTTAATGAAGTGTTTCATACATGTGTATACGTGTGTGTGTGTCTGTGTATATATGTTTTGCTCTGGGCAACAAGAGCGAAACTCCGCCTATAATAATAATTAATGAATTAATTTAATTAATTCTTCCTATACTTCTTTTTTTTTTTTTTCACTCTTACTGCCCAGGCTGGAGTGTAATGGCGTGACCTCGGCTCACTGCAACCTCTGCCTCACGAGTTCAAGTGATTCTCCTGCCTCAGTCTCCCGAGTAGCTGGGATTACAGGCATGCGCCACCACACCCAGCTAATTTTGTAGTTTTAGTAGAGATGGGGTTTCTCCATGTTGGTCAGGCTGGTCTCGAACTCCCGGCTCCAGGTGATCCATCTGCCTTGGTCTCCCAAAATGCTGGGATTGCAGGCATGAGCCACAGCGCCTGGCCTACTCATACGTCTATATTTGTTGCAGAAAATGATAAAGCGTTCAATAAAATAATTCTATGCAGTAGAATAAATTTTTTGTGGAAGTGAAATAGAACTATGCGTTCAAAGAAAAAAAAGAACAGTCAAAGATTTCCAGATGCTACGAATGAACATGTTCATGAATAATTCTATATGGATGATGGCAGGGATCAAATTGCCATTATATTTTCAATTTCATCGAATATGTTGTTAAAATTGATAGATTTTATTTCAAAATATTTCTGTTTATAATGTACCAAAGATTATACACCATTTACAACTATTACAATGAAAACATTTAAATGTCAACCTAAAACATTTACAAGTGAGTTCCTAGTTTTTGAAAATTATATAAAAGGCAATTGAAAAAAGAAAAAAACACTGTCTTGGAACACATATATCCCTGTAACCATCCACCTAGAATTTGGTAAGTTCAATGGGAAAGGCTTTCCAGTATTCATATTTGTGGACCCATGTTTTAGCTGAGTGGTAGGAATACAGTTATTTCATTTCTGAGTGTTGAATAAATATAGTGTCATATTTGAGTGAAGATTATAGGACTTAGAAGATCTAGAAATCATAACATCCAAAACAAGCTATAGGCAAGATTTTCACTTCTATAATTCTTGGTCTTCATTCATAAAAATCGAGACCACATTAATGCTTACTTCAAAGGAGCTGAATGTCAGCAGAGGCTAAAAAATGTAGTTTACTGGATCATATTAAGAATTACAAGTTTTATTTGAAAGAATATTTCCATCTAAATTATCGTTCTAAACATCTAAAGAATGTGTCAAGCATAAAGACTAGTCTATCTAGCTGAAGTACAGAGAAGGAATTGTAGAGAGTAGAGGTTAGTGGGGAGGCTAATTAATAGGTTGTCATGTCAGTACAAGTGAGACGATAAGTCTAGCTTGCACTAGGATGCTGACATCAGAGAAGGAGACAAATAGATTCAAGAGGAATTGGCAGATAAGTGTCTCAGAATATATTGATGAATGCAAATGAGGACAATTTACGGACAGCCAGAATTCTGGTCTAAACAGCTAGATAGGTGGTGGTGCCACGTAACAGGAGGGATCATTGAGGGATACAGGAGAATCAGGTTTAAGGGTGAAAATCATGATTATAATATTGGTTAGGTTCAGTTGAACCAGTCTTTTGGAAATGGAAGTGAATGTGTGAAGGTAATTGAGTATCAAGCTGGAGATCAGACAGGATGTTCTGATGCTACAGATGTTGACGAAAAAGTCACTGTTATTAGAATGCTCTCCTGCTTTCTACTAACAGAGATAAGAACTGAAGTCATTTGCATGGAGTCAGTGGAGGCAAAGAACTTCAGGTGTAGACTCTGAGGATCATTAAGTTGAAAATACTTATTGTGTAGGGTGGATGAACACATTATCTAGAGTAACAATGTGCTGAGAGTAATTGCAAACCCTCAACCTCAATCCAGAGGTTGAATGAAGCTGAAAATAGTTTGTTGGAGGCTGGCCTCCATTACCAGGGAACATAGAGACCTCACATTAATTAGTGTGCATTTTTGAAATTCTAATAGTCTTTCTTGGTTGAGCAGTTAAAACAAATCAAAACAAAACAAAAAACCTCATTATTCACTGAAAGTTGCTAATAGAAGATATGGGCTTATATCTGAATAATCTCCATATGGATTTATACCTGAATTCCACCTTTCCTAAAAAATATAATAACCTTTGTGTTTGTGTGTGAAAGTAATGTATAAATTCCTGGAGTTAAAACAAACTAACAAAAAAGAAGTAATTCAATCTGGGAAATCAAAAGCTGATGTATATGTGTGTGGATAAGTGTGGAGTGACAGGAGTTAGAAGTAGGGGAGGCGTATCAGCATCTGTGGAAAGGGACTTCTAGTCATATCAATTGAAGGAAAGTTTGGAGGAAAGCTTTGGAGCTCTATTCCTGTCTTTTGATACTAACTTAAGAGGATAATTGCCCTTCCATTCATTATGGAAATCCGAAACAAGAGGCCAGGTTACTCAATGATACTGAGTAAAACCAGGACAGCATAATAACATTAATGTATTAATGTAGTAAGGAGCTGATACCAACCACACCAGAATAACAAGTTTTCCTTCTGTGAGTTTTCCTTTCCATGCCATTATCCTTTCAATCTCAAAGATAATGGGGTGGAAGGGGGGAAGCTAAGAAGATATTCTCCTCTCTCAGTCTGGTCCCAGGGAGGAAAAACTTTTGATATTTGTATGCATGGGGTCTTCTCTGATACAGTATCTAGAAAAGAGCAAGAAAAGCTGAGGTAGGTATAAAGATTAAATGAACAGCATTGCAGTTGCCACAGTAATGTCAGCCAATCCCATAAGGAATTCTAGAGCCCTTTAGAGATATCACTAATTGAGACCAGGGAGCCAGGCCTTTGAATGCTGCAATGACCAATTATTGGACACCAATCACTGGACACAGGGAAAGAGATGGGATAGTTCCCTTAGGTTGAGAACAATTTCTGACAAGGGATGCAGGCAACACTGCCAGTAGGTAAGAAAATAAGGGCCCCCATCCTGAAGGATGACATAAACAGCACCTCATTATAACCACTACATTTTCTTTCAGGTTACTCTTTTCTTTCAAAGAAATGTAAGGTGAGTATTGTCCACTCTACCCAAAAGAATCTACACATTTGATGCAATCCCTGTCAAAACACAAATGACATTCCTCAAAGAAATATTTTAAAAATCATAAAATCTGTGTGGAACTACAAAAGGGCCCAAGTAGTCAAAGAAATTTTGAGCAAAACAGACAAACAAACAAACAAAAAGCTGCAGACATCATGCCACCTGATTTCAAAATATACTGCAAAGCCATAGTAACCAAAATAAAATGGCATTGGTATAAAAACCAGACATGTAGATCAATGGAACAGAAAAGATAATCCAGAAATAAATCCATGGATTTAGAGCCAATTGATTTTTGACAAAGACATCAAGAACATACATTGAGGAAAAGACAGCATCTTCAATAAATGGTGCCGGAATATTTGGATATCAATATGCAGAATAGCTAAACGAGGCCCTTTAAACAAAATTTAACTTAAAATTATTAAGGACTTAAATGTAAGATGCAAAACTATAAAAGCAATAGAAAACAAGTTAGGGAAAATTCATCAGGACATTGGTCTAGGAAAAGATTTCATTGATGAGACCTCAAATGCACAGGCAATAAAAGTTAAAACAGACAAACAAGAATATATCAGACTAAAACTCCCTGCATAAATAACAAAGGAAACAACAGCGTGAGGAAACTATCTGTAGATTAGGAGAAAATATTCGCAAACTATGCATCTGACAAAGGACTAATACCCAGAATATATGAGGAACTCAAACAACTCAACAACAACAACAACAACAACAGCAAAAACAATCCATTAAAACACAGGCATTTCTGAGTAGACATTTCTCAAATAAAAAAGACATACAAATGATCAACAAGTATATAAAAAATCCGCCACAAATCATCAGGGAAATGCAGATTAAAGCCACCATGAGATAACATCTCACCCCAGTTAGAATGGCTACTATCAAAAAGAACCCCCGAAAAATTTGTGCAGAGAAAAGGGAATTCTTATATACTGCTAATGGGATATAAATTCATACAGCCATAATGGAAAACAGTAGCGTTTTTTCAAAACACTATGTATAAAATTTCCATATTATCCAGCAATCTTACTGTTGAATATTTATCTGAAGAAAAGAAAATCAGCTTATCAAAGATATATCTGAACTCCCATGTTTATTGAAGTGCTATTCACAATGACCAAGATAGAGAATCAACCTAAATGTCTATCAACAGATGAATGAATGAAGAAAATGTGGTATATATATACACAATGGAATACTATTCAGCCATAAAAAGAATGAAATACTTTCATTTGTGGCAACAGGGATAAGCCTAAAGGACATTATGTTGAGTAAAGTAACTCAGGCACAGAAAGATTTATACTGAATGTTCTCACTCGTATGTAAGAACTGAAAGAAGTTGAACACATAGAAGTGGAGAGAATTGTGGTTATTAGAGGCTTGGAAGTATAGGTGGTATGGGTGGGTAGGGAGAAGTTGGCTAAGTCATACAAAATTACAGCTAGATATGAGGAATAAGTTCTAGTGCTCTATAGCACTGTAGGGAGAATATAGTTAAAAGTAGTTTATTATATATTTTTGAAAAGCTAGAAGACAGAATTTCGAATGTTCCCCAAACTGTTATGAGTATGCTAATTATCTTTATTTATCTTGATTACCTTAATTGGATCATTACACATTGTTCCCATGTATTGAAATATCACTAGATGCCATAAATATGATTTAGGCTGGTGCAAAAGTAATTGTGGTTTTGGGCTGTGAATTTTAAATCATTATAACTAGGCTCAAACACATCTTTATTAATCAAAATAGGAGTCATTATAATCAACACATTTTTGCCAACAAGAAATAAGTTTGCTTATTCCTGTAGCATAAAAATATGTGCTTCGGGATTCGACAAACTCTTGGAAAGCATTTTCTGCATCCTGCTGGTTGTGGAAGCATTTTCCCTGCAAAAAGTTGTCGAGATGCTTGAAGAAGTGGTAGTTGGTTGGAGGGAGGTAAGGTGAATATGGCGGAAAAGGCAAAGCTTTGTAGCCCAATTCGTTCAACTTTTGAAGCATTGGTTGTGTAACATGTGGTCAGGCATTGTTGTGGAGAAGAACCAGGCCCTTTATGTTGACCAGTGCCGACTGCAGGCTTTGCAGTTTTTGGTGTATCTCATTGATTTGCTGTGCATACTTCTCAGGTATAATGGTTTCACCAGGATTCAGACAGTTGTGGTAAATTAGACCAGCAGCAGACCCACCAAACTGAACATGACCTTTTTTTTTGGTGCAAATTTGGCTACGGGAAGGGCTTTGGAACTTCTCAGTCCAACCACTGAGCTGGTCATCACCAGTTGTCGTATAAAATCCACTTTTCATTGGACATCACAATCTGATCGAGAAATGGTTTGTTGTTGTTGCATAGAATGAGAGAAGACGACACTACAAAAAGTCAAATTTTTGGAGTTTCACTCAGCTCATGAGGCACCCGCTTACAGAGCTTTTTTGCCTTTCCTATTTGCTTCAAATACCAAACCACCATAGAATGGTCTACATTGAGTTCCTTGGCAACTTCTCATGTAGTTGTAAAAGGATCAACTTCAATGATTGCTCTCAATTGGTCATTGTCAACTTCCGGTGGCCAGCCACTGTGATCTTCATCAAGGCTCTTGTCTCCTTTGCAAAATGTCTTGAACCACCACTGCACTGTATGTTCGTTAGCAGTTTCTGGGCCAAATGCATTGCTGAGTTTGCAAGTTGTCTCTGCTGCTTTATGACCCACTTTGAACTCAAATAAGAAAACTACTGGAATTTGCTTTTTGTCTAACATCATTTCCACAGTCTAAAATAAATATCGAACAAACAGCAAGTAATAAGTCATTAGCAAGAAAACAGAAAGCAAAAAATGCCCATTAAAACACTATGTAACATAACCACATTAAAGAATGTATTCCAATATCAAATGGCAAATTCCAACAGTGAAAAAGCCGCAATTACGTTTGCACCAACATAATACAATTATTATGTGTCAACTAAAAATAAGTGAAAAAATATGAATAGAATTAACAAGAGTTATCCTTTGCAGAAACCAATTCTATTCTATGAACTGTCAAATATGATCAACATATCCTTCACATCTACGTTCAAATCAAAGGTAGGGAACAGTTCATTGATGTGTTCTGATAAGAATAAGACTTACAGGTGGATTTGTAAACTTTGGGGAGTCATTCATGATGAGTGTAAACAAAATTTATTATCTTTGATGAGCATCCAAACCAAGATACACACAATTTATAAAACATGACTAGCTTTTAAAATTCCCTTATTGGCTGCAATGGTTGTTTCTTTTAAATAAGCAAAAGGGGCCTGGTGAGATCTGAAACACCTGGGTGACAGTGGCATCAATCAAATGTCTCTTTCATCCATTTCTTTACCCTGATGTAAGAAATCTAGACGCTTGCAAAATGTTCCCTTTAACAAGACGAACCACATTTGTCTGTAACTACCGTAATAGTTTATTCAGAAATTCATGCCCCTAACATTTGTGGGGCTCAGGACAGGAAATCAAATGTAAGCCTGCATACCATATGTCTAAATTCTTAAAAGTTATAAATCAACCTAAAAACCCATTAAATATATTCTATTCTTCCACATTGACCAATATAGCTTTATAATGATCATGTGCAAATATGTGAAAAGCTACCATTTTCAATCTAAGAACATCTGCAAAATATCAAATAGCACTGAATTTTATTATTGTTGTTCATGTCAAGCATCTTGGAGAAGGCCATGTTGTCTGGATTCAGCAAGTTGTTTTCTGATTAAAAGGCAAATGTGCTTTTGCCATTTACAAAGAATTGTATTACGGCTTATGGAAATACATATTGTTTTAACATTTACCCAAACTGTGACTTTCAAGTTTTGGAAATTACTAGGAAATGCACCAGCTAAAAGTCAAAGGGATTATTGTTAGTTTTATCTCCACTATTTTTACTTCAGTATCAATGATGAAGTCATTGCAAAAGCAAGAAAAGGATAATGTCAACCAGGGCAAACACAAAATGAGCAGGTATATAATATGTTAAAACCCTCCACGGTTTACTTTGTTTCAATACCTATAATGAAAATGTTTGCTTTTTCCTAGAAGAGTCTCTACCCAGTTTAACACTAATTTCCCTGTGTACCTGTTTTTGAGTTTTATTATCACCATCAAATAAGCAGTTTAAAATAATAAGCCCAGATCTTATTTATTAAAATTTATGGGCCATTTTCACCAGGAAAAGTGAAGAATCTTCTGAACAGCCTTGTATACATCAGACAAAATATGCATAATGAGGGCAGTAGGTACATTTAAAATTATAGGGTGACACACTGACTTCCTTTAAAAGTAAACGAAGAGGGAGGAAAATATGAGTTTTTAAATATTAAATTCCATCATAATTCCTGATATCTGATTAAGTACACTCCACTTTTCTTATAGGCAGATACCAATACAATAGCTTTCAAGTAATGTTTAAAATGTTTTTTTTCTCTTTGGACAATCACATTGTACGTACCTCTCCTAAAGAATTTCCCACTTTAAGACCCAATATTCCAATACAAAGGGTACACAGATGTAAGGCCATGTAGAGAAAAGTTAAAAATAAAAACTACAGAATCTGGTACAGCTGGGGATAATTAGTGAAAAACAAGTTTTTGCCAGAAATAAAAGGAAGTTGGGTAGACAAATTTTTCTTTAGCCAGGTTTTGGAAGATTCATGGAAAGAGAACATATTTACAACCCCACCCCTTCTCTTCTATTCCATAGAATCTAGCAAAAAAACCTCCATCATATAATACTTCTTTTTAATAAAACTTGGTTGATTCAAATAACATTTGAAAAATCAATCAATTTTGAGGTTCTCTATATCTTTTTAAACCAATCCTGAAGCTTGAACATGCTGTTTGAAGACCCAGAGCAATCCCTTCCAAATGTCTGTATCATTTTATTTTCTGTACTTGAATGCTAGTGTCTGATAGTGCAAGATTACTATTTTACAAATACTACTTCACGTATTTTCCTTCAGAAGCAAATCTTCTTCTGGGTTATGAATTTAATGACATGATGTTGCTCTCATAAAACCAAACTTTCTATCAAGATTTCATTCAATTTAATACACAGTAATCAGCATCTGCTCTGTGTCAGATAGTTATGTGGGGATACAAATCTTTCCACATAAGACTCAGTTTCTAGCCTCAAGTCCCTTGCAGTCTAGCTAAGTAAGAAGACACAGGCTGTGTTTCCCCTTGATGATTAAAATGTTCCATGGGCTGGGAATTCTGTGCACTAGACGTTGTCTGCACTTGATTTCTATCATTCAACAAGATACTTTTTTTTAAATTGGTGAACTGAAAATACTTCCAATTGTATATTTCCTTTCTGTTCTCATTGCAAAAGTATTCAATCAATGAGGAAATTAATCATAATGAGGAAACTGACTGAATATAATGGCATAGCTATAAATTTATATAAAAATATATTTTTTACTATGTAGGTTCTTCAAACGAAGTTACACCCAGTCATTCTATGAATGAGAGAAAACTGGATTTGTTCTTGTGAAGCCAATTTAGACTTAGGTTGGCTTAAATTTACTTTTTATTTAATCCATGTGCTACTCCTTAAATTATCAACATATAGCAACTCAAAAGAATACGTTTGCATTAATTTATGATGCCTTGGTAAAGAGTTTGGTCTTTGCTTTTCTTTCAAGCTGGAGCCATCGCATGAATATTTACACTTTAAAATTCACAAAAGGACATTCTCACAGGTTCGCTGGAGCTTAATGAGTAGTTAATATATCTGCACCGAAGTGACAGGTAAGGAAATGTAAGTTTTATGTAATGTTTCCATTTTGGATTTTGCTTTCTTTCTTGACATCCTTCCCTTCCATTATACTGTTACCTCTCTTACTTCTAAATATTTCCTTTTATTTTCCAGTACAATCTTCCTGCAACTTTTTAATGTTGTCATTAAGCCTAGGCCTGATGTATGTTCTTTGCTTAATCTCTAAGAATCAGGTGAAGAACAAACAAGGATTTATAAAATGTTGAATTAGTGAACTGATTTGATATGACCTCAAGGCAGTTAAACTTTCTATCTATTGAAGTAATTTAACACAGGAGCTGAAACAATTCTCTAAATCTGTACCTACCATATTGCAGAATATTTGCAACAAGTATTTTAATATCCAACATAATTTTTATAATTTTCTAAAGACCTTTTGTATAGAACACTCTTGATAATAGGTTTAATAAAATTGCCTTACAGAAAAAAATCATTATTATTTTTACTCCAGCAGTGAGAGTGGAAAGACTCCATTACACTTTACTTTCTTGAAAATGTTAAAAAAAGAAACACTACATATCATTAATATTCCCTAAATAAGATATGTGAATCCAATTACAAGGGTCTTCGAAAATCATATAACAATTAGTTTAGAGCAATTGATTTTCTCTTCAACGAACATCTTGAAAGCATTTTCTTTGTGTGAAGAAACTTAGAAGTTTCAAAACCAACATGGTAAAATCTAAATATGCTTTTATTTCTGTAAATTAAAATTATGATTTAAGAATATTTATTCCTTGATATGTCTCTATTGTATTCTGTAATCAAAACCCTAGAACAAAAATAAAGTGTCTCTCATTCTAGTTTCCAAACAGGATAATAACTGACACTTAACATTTATTTTATTTAAAGTCCTGTTGTAGAACATTCCACCACGGAACACTGCTTACGACTGGGAAAATTCTTACTTCTTTAATGCAGGAAGTGTTCAACCCTGACACATGCATGGCAAAGACATCCAGGTTGCACAATTGTCTAAACTCCCCGCCAATTACTTGGACCAGGACTCCCAAAAACTTTATGTGCTTTTGGCTTCTGCTATGCTCTTTAAAACAACATAGTCCTAACTAACTGCATTCCACTGCTAAAGAACAACCCTGACTCCAGATAATCAGTCACTGAGGTCCTTGCCTTATCACCACCATTCGTTCAAAACAGGGACCCTGTGTCCTTTTAGCTCCTCTTTTTGTCAGAGGCTCATGCCAGATGGACACCACTCTTGCCCTACCTCTCATGGGTCTTTAACCTTTCTGCGTGTTTCTCTCTCTGCCTAGGATGGCTATTTCTACCAATCACGTTAAAGTGACTAACAGAATGTTTAAATTTCTTCAACGTAAATGATAGCTTATGGATAGCAACTATTAATGGGCATTTTGTTTTTTTGTTTCTGGGTTTTTGTTGTTGTTTTTAATTAATTAATTTTATTTTATCTTATTTCTTTTTAGAAGCACCGTCTCACTTGTCACACAAGCTGGAGAGCAGTGGCATGATCATAGATTACTGCAATCTAGACCTCCTGGCCTCAAGCTATTCTTCCACTTCAGCCTCCCAAAGTGCTAGGATTACAGGCATGAGCCACCACACCTGGCCAAATATTTAGCTTTTTAAAAGAAAAGAGTTGGTCATTATTTGTAAAGAAATCTGCCCATTCCCTTAGTAAAATCAGCCAGGTCAGTTACCGGTTCAGGGATTAAAATAAATAATTTGTAGTTGTGTTATAATAGACACTATTTTCCAGGGTCGGCAATGGTAAACAACCATTAGAAACAGAAACTTCGAGCACCCTGCCATAGTGAAATGTGGCCCTCTGTGGTAAATTAAAGATGGCCACAAATATTTTCCTATGTTTTATATTGAGAGGTGAAGTCTAATTCCCCTCTCCTTGAATTTGTGCTGGCCTTAATGATTTGTCCAATAGAAGGCATGAGGGATAACATTCTTAGACTTCTCAGGCTAGCTCAGAAGAAGTCTCATAGCTTCCACTAGATTTATTAGAATGTTGGTTCTCAGATCATTGAGATGCCATGTAAGAAGTTAGGCTATCCTAAGAAACTACAGGAAGACCCTGAGATGACCTGAAGCGAGAGAAAGACACAGCCGTCCAACAAGCCTCAGCTGTTTCAGGCCCTAAGGATTTGAGTCATCCTAGCTGAGGTTCCAAACTTTGGGATCAGGTACGTGTTATCTTTACTGAGCTCTGCCCAAATTGTAGATTCATAAGCAAAATCAATGATTGTTGTTATTTTAATCCATTAAGGTTTTATTTCTCAGGGGAGAAGTGTTACTCAGCAATGGCTAACCGGAACATCTTCCATTATTATTGATGATGTCAGTTTGAAATTATGAAAATTTTTGGAGAGTTTCCTTATCAGATCTTTCCTATGTAGTAATATAGTTGGAGCCATCACAAAGCCGAATTTTGAAGCAGGTAAAACTTGTCTTTTATGCCCTCTATTTTAAATCCCTCCCTCTCTCTCTCTCTGTGTATGTATGTATATATATACATACATATATGTACATTCTCCACCTATGGCATTTCCTACCAACTGAGCAGTTTAACAGAGACCCAAAGCTCCCCATGGACTGCTTCTCACTGCTTTTTCCAAATAAACCCTATTAGAAAGTATAATTTTAAATGTATCTAATTTCATCCATTTTTAGTTGTGACTGGTCATTCCTACTTGGTTATTTATTTTAGGATTACTTCTTCCTTCTACAAACATCATTTTCTGTTCTCACTATCTCTACATCAGTTCTGAAATAGATAATTACTAGATCACATCTGTTTATCCTAAATTCACCCAGGCCACTCTCTACATTGCATCCAGGAGTCTTTCCTGAAATATAACTATTAACACTAATCTGCTTTGTAACCCTCCCCTTCACACATCATGTATAACACATACACACATGCGCACGCACGCACACACACACACATTCTTTAGAAAAGGGACTAAATTCTTTAAAATATTTTACATAGTCCTTAAAATTTGTCTTTGATTTTGGTTTAGTCTTATTATTTTCTCACCATTACCCTAAACTCTGAACCAGAGTTCTAATTCCAGGAAACATTCATAGCTCCTTGATGTGTGCACTCTCATTTCCAGGTCTCTGAAATGTTTTTTACATGAGTTTCTCTGCTCTGTGGAACTCACTGAATCTCTCTGCCGTTTCTTGTACCCTTCAACCTTCCAATTGTCCCACTGTCCCTCAGTCAAAACAACTATTGTGATAAAGACTTCCTGGGCCCATCTTTCTTAATACTAATTATATAATCTTTCTATTTAATCCCATGGAAGCGATAGATATCTCTACAATATCCCTAATATTATTATTTGGTTTTCAGTGTATCATAAATATCTAAGTGCCAGTAGAGTGACTTATTCACTATCCTTTGTGATCCTAGTGACCTGGATAGAAGAGGAAACAAGTCTGTTAGATGCATAAATATATAAGTGAATGATTATTTTTGTGTGCCCATGTTGAACTATGTATTTAATATACAAGAAATACAATTTTAATATCAAAACTATTATTATTATATTATTACTATAGCTACTTTTAATCTTAAATTGAAAGATTTCAAAATGCATTTTTGTAGGATTACTTCCTAATTCTTTCTCTTTGGGTAAAAGCACCCAAAACTTTTCCAGTTTTACCATGAGCTCACATGTTTTTATAACATTTATGTAAAATATCACTCTAACTAGACTACTTGCTTATGTAGTAGTATAGTAGTTTCCCTTTAAGGAATGTATAAGAATTATATATTGCTGTTAACAAATTAATAAGATTTTTGTTGTTCCTAGCATTTATAGAGCCCTGGATGGCCACTGGGAAATTCCTTCAAATAGTAATCTAAAATATACTTCAGTAAAGTGACTCTTGTCAGTGGCAATAAAGTAGGTCATTGTTCATGATCATTACCAAATTTTTTACATTTCATTGAATTATTTTACCATCAGAAACAACTTATCAAAACACAGCAATACCTGCCAAAATACACTTTTTAAATCTATTAATTCATAAGTTGTATAAAATAGTGCATCTACTTTATAATTTTAGATTAATACAACCATAATCATTGGTTTATTTCTAAAAATAAAAAATGCTTATTATTTTTAAGAACAACAATATTTATTATTTCTTAAAATAGCATTTATCTTTTAATGTAGTCTGTTGAGCATGTTTCATATTTAAAATATTAGATTTCTAGAAGAGATATTGAGCTAAGTGAAACTATTGCTTGGAGGAAAATGGGGAGAGAAAATGGGAAAGCAAGTAGAGGTACTAACATGAACCAGGAAAAGCTGAATCACGTCTACCTGCAAATGACCTGAGTATCACAAGTGTTCTTCAGTTAGAAAACAGGTTATTGATAGGGTATCCTATCAAGGTGGAAAAGGAGAGCATCTAAACCACAAGTTTCTGACATAGCTGTTGACAAAGGCTTGAGCAATACAGCTTTATTCCAGAACAAGATGGCCTCAGCCTTCATAAATGGCCCCCAAAATGAAAATAAGCATATAAATCAGCATAGAAGATTAGATGTCAAAGCCAAGTTTCGCCAAAGTTAATGATTCCATTTAAATATGGCTATTGAATGTGTTCTTGACAAATGAAAAAGAATATTCCAAATTTTTTTAAATGGGTACAAATAGACGCTTTTCCTAAGAGCTAGTCTGTATCTAGAGAGAAGACAGAATCAGAACGTGGCAGAAACAGAAATCTCTCTAAAGTCCAAATAAGTGAATTTTATTGAAATTTTTTTTTTTTTTTTTTGGGAGGGGACAGAGTTTCGCTCTGTTACCCAGGCTGGAGTGCAATGGCATGGTCTCAGCACACTGCAACCTCTGCCTCCTGGGTTCAAGTGATTCTCCTGCCTCAGCCTCCTGAGTAGCTGGGATTATGGGAGCCTGCCATACCACCCAGCTAATTTTTGTATTTTTAGTAGAGACTGGGTTTCTCACTGTTGGCCAAGCTGGTCTCAAACTCCTGACCTCAGGTGATCTGCCTGCCTTCACCTCCCAAAGTGCCGGGATTACAGGCATGAGCCACCGTGCCTGGCCCAAGTAAATAAATTTTAAATCACTCTTAAGCAACCTACTGGAATGACATTATCAAACATCCATCAGGTACACTTAGGATGAGAGATATGAAGACAAACATGCTTATAACTCATCAGCTCTCAATATAATTAGATTTTGGTTAAACTGTAATAAGAACATTGTACTGCATTAATTCAGGTTTGTTTTCTTTTTTCTTATGTCTTCAGTAGGAATTTATTTTGAAAAAGCTATACACAACTTGCTTGTGTTAGAGAATCATTGTGGTCAAAGGTTATAGGAGGCAAAGAAATTCCCATTCTAGATGCAGAAGAGCCTGCAAACTGAGCAAGATATATGTAAATGCAAGATATCAGAAACAGGTCTAGGAGCAGATGGTGACCCCTTTCTACATGTTATTCAGCTACTGCAATATATGTTAATCAACTTGAATAATGTATGTCATTCAAACCTACTAAACATCAAGCTACAACGAATGACACTGTGAATATATTTTCATTGCTCCTCTAATTATGTCTTTGATACTGATTTTGACGAATGGAACTAGAGAGGGCATAAAAGTATCTGTATTGCTCTTGAGACATACCCCATGCCAACCATGGTGTCACTCACGTAATAAATTTTTAACAAATATCTGTTGAATGAGTAACTGAGTGGTACAAATCAGTTGCAATGTTGTAATTACACATCAATCAACAGCATATTCACTTTCATAAATGCTGGTAGACTAATAATAGGTATTTCAAATTTCACATGTCCAAAACTGATTTCCGTTTTTTTCCCAACCATAATATTATCCTCCTGCAGACTTTCCCATTTCAATCATCAACATCTCTATCCTCTCTGTTTCTCAGGTTCTACCTTCAAAATAGATATTTATGGAACCAGTTCCTTCTCACCACCTGCACTGTTGTTACCATTGTGATCCAAGTCTCCATCACCTCTCACTTAGATTATTTCCATAGCTTCTTGGCTGGCCTTTACTTCCATCCTGTGCCATCTACTTTTGGCATAGCCACCCAGTGTGATCCTCAAAAAACCTAATTCAGATCATGGCTTTCCTCTCTTCTAAGCCTCCATTGGCTGCCTTACAATGGCCTTCAATGCCATAGATGATTTACTCTTGAGCTAGATGACTAAGTAACATTATCAAATATCCATCAAGCAAAGTTAAGATGAGAGAAATGAAAAGAGGCAGGATACTCTGTAACTCAACTGCTCTCAATATAATTAGATTTTGACTGAAATACAATGAGAAAATTGTATTCTGTTAACTTGGATTTCCTTTTTCTTCTGCTCAGCCTACCTCTTACTACTCCTCCCTTTGCTCATTCTTCTAGAAACACTGGCTTGTGAACCACTTCTTAACCATGCCAGTTTTGCTTCCAACCCAGGCTTTTGAACTTGCTGTTTTCTTTTGCCTGGAACCATTCTTCCCATAATTATTTCCATGGCTCATTTCCTCGTTTCTTTCAGGACTGGACTCAAATGTCACCTGCTTAGAGAAGACTTATTTGACTTACTACTTAAGTTTTCCCATTTTCTAGCATTCCTTATCTTCTTTTCCTGCTTTATTTTTTTCTATAGCACTTACAACCATCTAGTGGATTTTAATATACATCTCCCCTAGCCCATGACAGAAAGAAAACTACAGGAAGACAGGTATGTTTGTGAATTTTGTTTACTACTATACCTCCAGAACCTAGAACAATGCCTAACACGTAAGAGACACTCAATGAGGCTGGGTGCAGTGGCTCACACCTGTAATCCTTGCACTTTGAGAGGCTGAGGTGGGTGGATCACAAGGTCAAGAGATCGAGACCATCCTGGTCAACATGGTGAAACCCCGTCTCTACTAAAAATACAAAAATTAGCTGGGCGTGGTGGCACGCACCTGTAGTCTCAGCTACTCAGGAGGCTGAGGCAGGAGAATCGCTTGAACCTGGGAGTCTGAGGTTGCAGTGAGCCGAGTCATGCCACTGTGCTCCAGCCTGGTGACAGAGCGAGACTTCGTCTCCAAAAAACAAAAAAGGATACTCAGTGAGTACTTGTTAGATGAATGCATGAATGTCAGGAAAGCCTAATCACCATTACTCATTCTATTGCTATATATAAGGCAATGATAATTTATTTGGCTCATCCAGAAAGCTTTAGCAAGACTGATAACAACCCCCAGGGAAGAACTCATGAACTCCATACTGCCCAACAAAATCTTTCTTGGCTTCTCCTTCTTTTTTGTCACTCCTCCTCTTTTGCTTTTCTCCACCCTATGCTACCTCCTAATAAAATTCCTTGCTTGAATTCTGTCCAATGCAAGGCTCACAAAAATAAGTTAAACAGATCTTTCCAGACAACTAGTGTTTTCTACTATCCTGGAATTTCACTCCAATACAGTACATTTCTATCACACTACCTTTTAATGAAATCTTTACCCTGAATACTCAAAAAGTCATCTTCTGTATGAGCATGTCTGCTTTTAGTAGACATAAATGGCTAGCCTCTGTGACTGTTTTCTTTTTAACAATAAAAGAAGAAACAAACACAATGGACAATTATTAAACAATGGACAATTGATCACAATTAAACAATGGACAATTGATTAGAAAAAGCTCGCTTGCTAACTGAGTAATTCTTTGACACACAGTTTTCATCTCATTTTATTATGTTAAAAAATAGAATAACAATAATACAGTAAAACCCTGTTTTGAGGCACCATTATAGTGTAATTATGGATTTAGTTATACGGCCCACCACCTCATATCCCTGATGTATCATATAGCTCAGCATATTACACAATTCATCAAGGGTAAAAATTATTTTTCCCAATCTAGGCTTAATTATATATCGAGTGTGCTGCTGAAAAGTTTCCCCTACCATTATCTCTTCTCAGCATAAGGGGGACAGTGTCTGTACATTGAGAAGTTATTGGTATTGCTATTATTTTTAGCAACCTATCATCATGCACCCTCGGGGGTGAGAACATAAGTTAACAGAGATGATAAGGGACCCTTACACATACAGAAGAAGCAGAGTGTCTGGAGCTACATACACTCAAGAGCTACGAATTACTTCAAGAGAATCCAATATGTACTAAGCAAAATTTAAAATTGAACTGCTCACTGCAGTTTCAACAGTTGTAAAGTAATGTCCCCTGTATTCGTCCATTTTCATGCTGCTGATAAAGATATACCTGAGACTAGGCAACTTACAAAAGAAAAAGGTTTAATTGGACTTACAGTTCCACGTGACTGGGGAAGCCTCACAATCATGGTGGAAGGCAAGGAGGATCAAGTCACATCTTACGTGGATGGCAGCAAGCAAAAAAGAGAGAGAGCTTGTGCAAGGAAACTCCCATTTTTAAAAACCATCAGATTTTGTGAGACTCATTCACTATCAGGAGAACAGTGCAGGAAAGACCCGCCCCCATAAGTCAATCACCTCCCACCGGGTTCCTTCCAGGACATGTGGGAATTGTGGGGGTTACAAGTCAAGATGAAATTTTGGTGGGAACACAACCAAAGCATATCATCCTCTAAAGAATAATAATGTCAGTAATAATAGCAAAAATATATAGTAATGATAGCAAATAGTAATAGATGACATTAAATGAGCACTACTATGGCCACTGATCTAATTATTTTACCTGCAATAATTCATTACAGAAATAATTCTTTGTAGGATCTGAATTTTAGGGGAATACATGTCATGAAATCTGAGGATTTTTTAAAGATTATCATGCTCCCATTAGGCAAGGGAACACTCATTGTTGTTCTTGTCTTTGCCTTCACCTAAGAAAATAATGAAGGGTGGTAAACAAGGATAAGAAGGAATTCATTTATTTATTTATTTTCCTGAAATACAAATGAAGGATCGACAATAGAAGGAAGAAAAAAAAAGAAGTGAAGTGTAGATATTTCAAGGACATAGATAACTAATGAGCTAATGAGCGTTGAATCACTACTATATGTCAGGCACCGTATTAAGCATTCTACAGGTATTTCATTCA